>NC_000017.11:40060980-40685980 GCF_000001405.40 Homo sapiens
CCTGATCCAGATTACCGCTGGCCCTCCCCACTGCCTCCTAGTTCTGCCTTTGTGATGCAGAGTATAAATGTATCTCATGCATTGGGATTCCCTCCCAGCTCCTTGAGCAGCCCAATCCCAAGGGACTAGTTCCATACAGGGTAGAGTACAGACCCTGAGCACTACATACTGCAGCCTTGCTCCCCAGGGTTCCGGCCAAACCTGATCACCGAGGAGGTGGCATCGACTGGCAGACAGCCACCCTCAGTGCACCTCATTCCACTCACTGCACTGACTCTGCACACTGCAGCCTCCTGCCCCACACTGCAGCTGTTGCTTGTCTCCTGTGAGCCCAGACTGAACACAGGTTCGCTTACTGCATGGAGGCTCCGTACGCTGCAGCCTCAATTCCCCATTACAGCTGCCACTGCACACCACAGGCTCCCTTCACCCATGGCATGCCCTCAACACCACCACTGCACTCTGCACGCCATAGGTTTCATCCCAGCTGCTCTTCTCATCTCCATGGTTCCAGGGACCCCAAGAGAGGTACCCTCCCCTCCGCCAAGCATTACGAACTCCAGTACCCCCTGTGAAAGAAGTGGTTCCAACAGCACTGAGGATGCAGGTGGCTGAGACTAAGACATGAGCAAGGGCAGCCCAACTTGGGTAAGCTGTGGCTCAGAATCCCACACTCGCCAAGTGACTCTGCCCAGTATAAACTGGGCGATTAGCCGAGCAGCTCCCCCTAACACACACACACTTACACACACACACACTCACACACACACCCCTCCCCAAGAGCAGACTATGTAGCCAGGGCCCCACCCTGAGAGCCGTGGGAAGGCTGTGGCCCCCGCTGGTAAAACTGGGCTAATGACAGCAGGGGAACCGGCGGGGCCAGGGGGGTGCTGGGGTAATTAGGGCTCGGCCTGGCGCTAGGAGATCCTGAGATGAAAGGTGCTCTGGCGTCACTGGGTTGGTTTTATGTCCATGAATGCAGGTGTGTGGTGTGTGTATGTGTGTGCTGGGGGTGGGGCTGGCATGGTGGAGACCTCTCCTTTGGGTTGGGTTAGGGGGTCCATTTGTATGCAGCCCACCGTCTTCCTTAGATTGACTCTGGTACCATTTGGATTTTTGTGGGAGCAAACATGGGGGGAAATACCACCACCCGGGAGCTAGGAATTGAGGGGGTATGGCAGATCTTGTCCCCTCCCCGAGCTCAGGAGAGGGAGCAGATTGTTGGGGGAAATGGCTGGTGACAGAGAATAGAAAGAGCCTATATGGAGAAGGGTGACGTTGGAAAAGGGAGGCAGTGGATCGGTATTGATGTTAGAAATGAGAGGGGAGGGAGGTAACAGGGAATGAACCCCCACAAGGATGAAAAACGTAAGATGATTGAAGTTAAAAGGACATCAGGGGTCACCTGCCCAGCCCTCGCAGCTGAAGCTTGAGGAAGCTCTGCCCCCGACAGCAGTGGCGATTTGTCAAGGTCACACAGTGAGTTACCGGCGGAGAAGGGACCCGAACTCCCAAACAAACTACACCTGCAAGCGTTTGGTGTTTAGACTTTCTCCCCGATGTATAAGGTGCAGGCTGCTCGTCGATACTTCCTCCTCCACCCTCACGGTGCACACCCGAAAACCCCCCAATTCTCCCGGCAAGCAAAGGCTATTTTTTAATGACATCTTTTCCAAAATATGTCACCAAGTACCCACTCCTGCGGGAGCCGCCCGGGCTGGGGAGGGCGAGTCCGAGCGGGGCGGGGCAGAGGCGGCCGAGGGGCGGCCGGACCTCTGGCGGGGGTCCCGGGGCGCGGCAGGGGGCGGGGGGCGGGGGCGGGCGGCGGCGAGGCGGCCTGCAGGGAGCAGCCGCGAGCCGGCCGGGCGCGCCGAGCCCGAGCCCCAGCCGGAGCGGGGCGGGGGAGGGAGGAGCCAGAGCGGCCGCCGCCTCTGCCGGAGGAGCCGCGGGGCCGCCACACTCGCCCCCCGCCCCCCCCGCGCTCACTCGCACTCACACCCGGGCGCAGGAGGCGGGCGGCCCGGGCCCCACCGGCCCCCCATGGACGCCCCCAGCACGGGGCGCTGAGACCCCCGCGTCGCTGCCCAGCCCGGTCCGGCGCGCCACGCCGAGGTAAGGAGGAGGGAGCGAGGGGGCATTAATATGCAAATGCCTTGCGATTGATTATGCAAAGCCGCGGGGCTCCGTGGCCAGCTCCCAGGCGGGCTAGGGGCGCCCAGGGGGTGCCTGCTGCCAGCCTCAGCCTTTCCTGGCGCCCCAGTGACCCTGTCACGAGCCCGGGAGCTTGCAACTGACGCCCTGGGGAAGGGAGGTGTTGCTAGGAGGTCGCTGGGCCCCGGGGTTCGCAGGCGGAGATGGCGTCCGAGCCTCCCCCTGGAGGGCCCGCCCGGCCTCTGTCCGGCCAGTCTGCTGCGCATTCCCGGGCCGGGCCCCGTTGCCGGCCGCCGGAGCTCCCCCGCCCGCCGCGCCGCGGTTTGTTTACGGTGCGCCGGAGGCCTGCCCCCCCAGCCCCCACCCCTAGCCTCTGAGGCCCGAGTGGCCTTTGCAAAGCTGCCTCCAGCTGCGGAGGGCAGTATGAGTGCGGTGGCGCGGGTGGGCTTGCACGGGTCCGGGGAGAGGGAAGTTCCCCCGCCTCACCCGCCTCCCGGTTGAGCATGGCTGTCTGGTTGCAACACTGCTAATTGCAAAAACGCGGTTGTTGGGGGGGAATGTGTGTGTGGAAGGGGTGTACTTGGTGGTGCCTAGATGATTAGGAGAGTTGCTGGCTGGGGAGGAGAGGGAGAAATGGACCTGTGTGTGTGTACCCCACCTTGTTTCCCTCCCCTTGCAACGTGTCTCTGGTGCCCCTTCTCCATCTGGGGCCCTCCCTTGTCCAGCGTGAAAGAAAGGCCTGGGGGGATGACAGGGGCAATTGAAAGAACCACCGTTCCAGGGGTGGGGGTGGGGGACACAGAAGGAAAGCCAGTGAGGTGGGAGCCTGCCCCTCAGTGCTGGCTTTGGCTCCAGGAGGGGGAGGGGATGAAGGGGGCTGTTGTCCAAAATGAGGGGGGAAGCAAAAGTGACACGCAGACACAGAGATATGTCCACACAGACAGCCACATGCACATCCAGGGACACCCAGGCAGACTCAAGGACAGGAGCTACTGGACACACCCACATGGGGACAAGGGAAGAGACAGGCTGCTGCTGCACCGTGGAGCTCTGAGGGGTGGGATATACCCATGGGAGACCAAGAGCATGGGGACCGATCCATGCACATACCCACGCACAGGGTCACACGTAGATGCTGTCACACACTGGGGCAAGGAGGAGTTGCTGTCACCCACACATAAAAAGTCACTGTCACATGCATGCATGCACACAGAGCAATTGCACACAGCAGCACAATTACAAAAGACCCTGTCACTCACAGGCACACACGTGCTCGCATGAGCCCAGTCACACAGACATCATTGCTTGCCGTGACAGTCGCTGTCACTCAGTCAGATGCAAACACAGTTACACACCAACACATGTATACACAACTTAGCAACAAGTATTTTCCTGGACTCTTTACTGTGGAGCTCTGAGGTTCTGTAGGCAACAAAACCCTTGCTCCCAAGAATATTAAATTTGGCTGTATGAAAAAGTGTTCCTGCGTAATGGTGTAAAGCATGCATTCCCAATGACATGTTCTTGGTCTCTATCGCTTGAGATACCACCCTACTAGACAGTGAGCTCTTGGAGACCTGGGAGAATCACTTAAAGAGCTCTGGATCCCACGCAGAGCCTAGCACAAGGGCTGCTCTGTAAATACTTGTTAGTTGATTGACTGTGGAACCTGCAGACACAGGTGCACTCATTTGCACATGGTCCCCTGAACTCAGGTGCAGAATGAGTTCACAAGGCCCAGGTCCCCACAGTTGCAGGTCCACACCAACAGTCGTGTCCACACAACCCCAGATACACACAACTGCAGCCTGTGCAGCCGAGCACACACTTAGATGCACACAATCACAAATTTTTCCCCTTCAGCTTCCTCCTCCCCTTTTTCCTCTAGGCTCAGCCACTGTGCGGGAATGGGCTGTTTTTTTTTTCTTTCTTTCTTTTAGAGGGACAGAGAAACAAGAGCAAAGACAGTGGGTTCAGGGGGGTTCCAGAGGGCCGAGTCATGGGCTCAAAGCAGTGTCCAGTGACTTCTAGAAGCTAGGATTCTCTTGACTGTTGGGGAAGGGGAGAGCTGCTCTCCTCCCTACCCTAAAAGCTCAGGGGTGTCTAACTGCCCCTGCTCTGAGTCATTTGCCTGGGTCTTTCCTGGGAACAGTCAGTCACTTCCAGCTGAGTTCCTGCGCCCCACCTTGAGTCTGGCCCTTTTTCCCACCTGTACCCTCCTGTCCAAACTTGGAAGCTTTCCTTAAGAGGCCATCGGCTGGCGAGTGTCTGTGTGAGTGATATGTACTTTTGACTTGGAATTTCTCTCTAACTCTGTCTCTCTGTTGCTCTGTCTTGCAGTGTCTGATTCTCCCTCTCTCTCTCCTTGTTTCTCTGCCAGTCTGTAACTCTCTCTCACCCTGTTGCTACCCCCGATCTACCCCTGTCCTTGTCTCAGAGCTGGGGACTGGCAGCAATGTTCTTCATACTTTTCCAGTTGTTAATACCCAAGCTCCGCCCCTCTGCCCCCCCTGCGCAGCCTCTGGGGTCAGCTTGAGGTTGGGGTGGGGGGCGGGGGGCTCAGCTGGCTGCTCAGGACTTCCTGCACTTCCTTAGTGCCGCAGCTGTGGCCAGCAAGTTTTAGGGGCTGGGAATGGGGGAAGGGGGGGGGGGTCAGCCACTGCCCATGCTGACCCCTCGGGCCTGCATGTCTGGAGACACCAGTTCTGTGGGCACCCTCAGGGTGCAGGCTGCAGCCAGCTAGCAGCTCTTAAACAAGCCATGAAGAGGCTCCCCCCACACTGGCCCAAGCTGGAAAAGAACCGCCCCCATGGGCAGTGGCGGGAGCTGGCAGGACCCTGCTGAGTTGGGTCCACTGCAGGGCTCACAATGGCCTTTCTCCACACCCCTGGCAGCTGAGGCCCACCTCAGAGATGCCCAACAGCTGTGTCCTTTTTGCCCAGCCTCAGGGCCTGGTTCTGAGGGCACAGCTGCCTAGACTAAGTATGTACTAAGCGAGGCCCTCCCACCCGTGAGTGCAGGTTCCAGCCTAGAAGGGGTACCTCTTCTGGAGAGGGAATTTGAGGAGGGGGAACTCAGGCAGGAGACATCGAGCCCGGGGGCACCAAGCACTTCTCGCTATGCTCCCCTCTAGCCTTGGACTATTTGGAGGTGGAGGCACTTGGCAGAGAACCCACAGGGCAGCTACAGAGGGGAAAGACTGAGGCTTGGTCTCAGGGAACACATAGCTGGATGAAAGAACAAGGCATTGGGCCGGGCACAGTGGCTCACACCCGTAATCCTAGCACACTGGGAGGCGGAGGCAGGCAGATCACCTGAGGTCAGGAGTTCAAGACCAGTCTGACCAAGATGGTGAAACCCCATCTCTACTAAAAATACAAAACTTAGCTGGGTGTGGTGGCGGGGTCCTGTAATCCCAGCTACTCAGGAGGCTGAGGCAGGAGAATCGCTTGAACCCAGGAGGTGGAGGTTGCAGTGAGCTGAGATTGTACCACTGCACTACAGACTGGGTGACAGAGCGAGACTCCGTCTCAAAAAAAAAAAAAAAAAAAAAGAAAAACAAAAAAGAACAAGGCATTATCTATCAAGCAGGTGATATACCATCACAGCTAAGAACAGAGATGATGGTGATGATCATGACGGCCATGATTGACCTGGACTGCCTAGGTCTGAATCCCAGCTCTGTCACTTGCTGGATGTGTGACTTTGAGCAAGCGATTTAACTTCCCCGTTGCCTCATCTGTAAATTGGGGATGATCATATCTACCTCATTTAGCTTTTTTGAGGAAAAATGTTTTTAAAAGTGCCTAGTTCATAACAAACTGTATATGTGAGCGGTTGTGATGGGTGAAGGAAGCTGTGGGCCTGGGGTCTCCCAGATTTCTTAGAGAAGCTTCGTGGAGAATTGGGTCTCCTAGACATCAGTGAGACTGGGGCCTGGGGCAGTGGGTCTCCAATTTCCAGCCTTCTCACCGTCATGTAATCTTTTCCTCCCAGACAAATTTTTGCAGCCTGGAATGAGTGTATGGGAAAGAGCCCAAGGCAGGCCCCTCTGCCCCACCCTCCTTTGACCCTCGCCCTTCAGCTTACAAGGAGCCCTTGGCCCCTCAGCCTGGGACACACCCCACCAGCTAGGGGCACCTGCATAAATCTTTGGGCATCACTGCATCTCTGTTCAGGGTCTGAGCTCTGGGGGTGGGAGAGAGAGAACAAGGAAAGCCGTCCCCTCTCTTATGTGTGGGCTCAAAGAGGAGGCAGTGCCCTTCCTCCCTCCTGGGAGCCCAGCATTGGTCAACCAGGACCCAGCTCTGGCTGATAGGCACCAGATTCCCCTGCCCTCCATGGAGTGGTACTTAGTGTGAAAGGTGGTGGCAGAGAGAAACTGAAGCACTGAGTAATGACCAGTGTGGTGGGCACAGCACTTTGAGATCCAGCATCTGTCCTGGGTTGCCTCTTTGCCTTTGTGAGTCTGGTGATCAGGATCCCCTCTCCAAACCCCTTTTATTTAGCCCTGCCCCTCAAGGTGAAGGAAGGACAATGGGAGGATACCCTGTAGGGGTGACGGGAAGCCTTTGGAGTGGGAACCAATCTCAACTCTAGTTCTCGGCTGGGCACAGTGGCTCATGCCTGTAATCTCAATATTTTGGGAGGCCAAGGCGGGAGGATCACTTGAGGCCAGTAGTTCATGATCAGCCTGGTCAACATAGTGAGACCCCATCTCTAAAAACAACTTTAAAAAGTTAGCCAGGTGTGGTGGCGCATGCCTGTGTTACCAGCTACTTGGGAGGCTGAGGCCGGAGGATCGCTTAAGCCTGGAAGGTCGAGGCTGCGGTGAGCTGTGATTGTGCCACTGCACTCTAGCCTGAACAACAGAGTGAGACCCCCCACACACACATCCTCTCAAAACAGACAGAAAACAAAACAAAAAACCCAACTCTAGTTCTCATGGCTGCAAAGGTGTCTAGGGGACTTTGGAGAACTGTTGTGTCTCTTGGGGAGGGAGGCAAGCATGACCGTGGTGGGAAGATCACTGGCTGGGAGTTGGGAGGCCTGGCTGTTGACATTCACTAGTCGTATGACTTTGGGCCTGGGTTTTCATTATCTAGAGACAATGGTTCCTGTCTCACTCAGGTTGAGGGCAAATAACACAAGGTGGGATGACCCCTGTGTTCAATCCATGTTGCATCCTGGCATGGTGAGCAATGCCTGTGGATTCTCCTTTTTTCCCAGGGCCTGGCACATGCCAGGGTGGGGCATACACATGCTGCCTGGAACCAGAGACAGTTCTCAGTCTCTCACTGAAGTATCTGGGGCTGGTGTGTGGTGGGGGCACATGTGGTTCCACCTTGGTGTCACTTGGCAGGCCAAAGCTGGGGTCATAGGGACCTCCCTCCGGTATGCCATTGCGTGAGGTGGTCCAGAGGGAGGGTCAGAAGTTTGCTGGGTAGACAAGGGAAGCAAGATGGGTGTTACTGGTGCCCAGGAAATACTATCCTTGCTTCGCTGTTTTGGGGGTGGGCATTAAAGGTTGATACCAAAGCCTCAGCCATGCCCCTCAGCAGTGGCCAAGAGCAGAATGATTGGACCAAGCCCCTGGCCCACCTCCTCCTCCTCCTCTTTTCCTCTTCTAAAGAAGAGATCGGCTCTTGGCTCCCAGAGCCCCAGCTGCCTGTTTCTTTTTCTCTTTTACCAGGCATGGGGGTGGGGAAACAGGGGAACCGAGGCTTTGGTGTCTTTCGGCATTTTTGTACACATCAGTGAGTGGGTGTGTTGTGCACGCATCCATGTGAGAGTGTTTTTGTGCATGTGTGGGCTGGGGAGGGCTCTGAATATCTCCTGGAACGGTACCCAGAGCCCTGTGGCTCTGCGCATGCGGGGTGAGTGTGTGTGTCTGCACGTGTCCGTGTGTGTGCCGGAGACTCAGCTGCATTCACGCGCGCGCTCTCTCCCTCCCTCTCTCCCTCCCTCTCTCTCTCCCTCCCTCCCTTCCTCTTCCCTCTCCCTCTCTCTCTCCCCCTCCCCCTCTCTGTCTCTCCCTCCTTCTCTCCCTCCCTCTCTCTCTCTCACACACACACTCTCAATCTTTCTCTCTTCCCTCCCCCTTCCTCCCTCCTTCCTATTCCCTCCCTCCTCCCTTTCTGTCCCTGTCTCTCTGTCTCTGTCTCTGTCTCTCTCTCTCTGCCTCTGCCAGTTCTGCTTGGTTAGGGGCTAGCTCCAGCCTCTGGGGTGCCTGGGAGAACATCCCTCCCTTTCTTTCCCCCTCCACCATTCCCTCCCCTCCTAGGCCATGCTCTTCAGGGCTTGCAGGCAACTTCTTCTACTGCCTTAGATGAGGGAGTGAGGAGGGAGGACCCCAAGCCTTGTGCCCATGGTGCCATCTGCAGCAAGTGCCTTGGCCCCGTGACATTCATGCCTCCAGCATTCAGCTGCCCCAGCTCCCAGCTCCAATTACCCGCTGGCTGCTGGGGGAGGGTGGGGAGAATGTGCCGTGCCCAGCTTGGGGGTGCTCCTGCTTCTGCTTTCTTGGCTACTTGGATCTCCTGCCTCCATTCCTGAGGGGAATTGGGCAGGGGGGGCGTGAAGTTCTGTGGGCTGATAAGGAGGGGCTGAGTTCTCCAGCATGGGTGTGGGCATGACCACCCACCAGTGGTCATGGGGGATGGATGTGACCTGGGAGGAGACCTCCAGACCTGGGCACCCACCTTGATGCCTGGCTGGAGCTGGCCCGGGCAGGAGGAGGGAGAGGAGAGCAGCAGGTGGGTGAGGCTATGGGGGAGCCGAGTGGGAAGCAGTCTTTGATGTTAATACTGGGCATCTGGCCCAAGTCAAGGCTGCTGTTTATGTCTTTCTGTCTCTGACCTGCAGGGGGGGTTTCCTGTTATATTCTTTTGGGGCGGGGTGGGGAGGATCCTTTGTTTAAGTAACCAATCTCCCCCTTATGAGGATCCCCACCCCATCTCCCATTCTCTAGCCTCTAAGGTCCCACAGTGGCTAGGTGATGAGTCACTGCCCCCCAGCTCCAGAACCTGTCTCCTGGGGGCCCAGTGAGAGCTCACCAAGGGGTGCCGCCTCCCCTCCTCCCGTCTCCCCCATGCCTGCCAGGCTGGGGCCCTGAGTCTGTGTGTACTCCTCTGCCACATCACACCTGCCAAATAGTACCTTCCTTCCCGCCTTCACTCCTCCTCTCCTTCCTGGCACTAGGATAACAGAGAGTTGGGTGGGGCAGCCCTGCTCAATCCATACCTGAGAATAGAACAGGGGGTATGGGAAAGGACAGGGAGTCCCGGTCCTAGAGAGGCCTCTGCCCCTCAGCATGGGGGCACATGTCGCTGCTGCAGCACTGCCACCACCACAGACTCCCAGGGGCCCTTGGTGTGGGTGGCTGCCTGTGGTGCCCGTGTTGGCATGGGGGGCAGTGCTGCCCATAGACGCCTGTGCCCATGCATGCCCATTTATGTGTCTGGGCCACGGTGGCCGCCCCGGCCCCTCAGCATCGCCCTTCCTGGCTCCCATGGTGGGAGGCTGGGTGATCAGGAGTGGGTGGTGGGGGAGGGATCTCCCCCCACCCTAGCAGCAGGCAGAGGGGAAGGGGAGAGGGAGGTGTGAACCTACCCACAGAACTATTAATAGCCCACATGCCAGGCCACCAAGAACCAGCTGTCACCGTGGAAACCATTCCTACGCCCCCCTCCCCCCAGCCTGCATGGGGTGGGACTTAGACAGGGTACGAAGCCCCCCACCCATCTTTCTTTGTTACCTTTCTCTCTTTGTCTCCCCTCCTTCATGTGTCTCTCCTCCCTTTATCTGTCCTCCTTTCTACCTCACCCCTTCTCCCCATCCCCCATCTCTGGCTCCCCTTTCTTCCTCTCCCTCTACTGCCTTGTCACCCCTAGCTCTACCCCAGCCCTGTCCCATTTCTTTGTTCTTCCCCCTCCTCCCTTCTTCCCTCTTTCCCCCACCAGCCTTTTTACCCCTCCTCCCATCTTTCCACCCTTTTCTCAGCCGCCCCGCATGTACGTGTCCCTGTGGCTGGCAAGGAGGGCTGGGCTTTCTTCAGAGCACTAAGGACAAAGTTCAGGGGCCCCAGAAAGGTGGGGCCAAAGCCCAGAGCAGATACGCAGGAGGGTTAATGCGGGTAGTATTGGGGGTTAGATCCTGGGGACAGAAACTCCCCTCTGGCAGCCCCAGGAGTCCTTTGGGGGTGTCCTCAGATATACAGGACTGCAGAGTGGGACGGCTCGGCAGTGGGAACCTGGCGGGGCGCCCGTGGATGCCGCATTGGCCCCGTGTCCCTGTCCCCCCATGGCAGAAGTACTTAAGCTTAATGAAATGCTTCCCCCTCCACGGGCACTTTGCCTACACTGCCTCCCAGCAGCTCTTATCTCACAAGGAGGGAGTGGGTGGCCAGGCCAGCCGACAGGTGGGTCTTGCTGTCCTGCTGTCCAGCCTGGGCACAGAACCCCATAGCTCCGCCCCCTCGGCCTCCTTGGGGCAGGGCCTCCCTCGCCTCTGCAGAGGAGGTACCAGGAAGGAGTTTGGGGAGTTAAGCTGGACTCTGGAGGAGGGGTGAGAGGCTGCCCTTCAGGGTGGGTACCCCTGCCCCATGCCCCTTACCCGCTGACCTTTTTCTGTCCGTGGCTAACACAGGCTCATGTGGTATGTGTCTCCCCACATGCTGGGCCCTCTGCCTCGCCTCTGTATCACCCCAAAGGCCCAAGTGTGTCCCTGGAGAGATGCCAAGGAGTCCCCAGGGGTTCCAGCCTCTTTCTGGGTACCCAGTGAGGGTGCCCTAGGCAGCAAGGGCAGCACCTTGCTCCTCTGCCCACTACCAGGGGCTGACTGTAGCTGGGCTGCACTGCCCAGCACCAGGGCACCATTCAGTTCAAAAGAGGGGTGGGGCAGAGAGCGAGTCTGCCCCTCCCCCCAGTGGGCACGTGCAGGCCCTTGGCAGTACCCAGACACATTTGGAGTTAAGGCTGGGCAGGAGAGAGGGATGGGGAAATAAACATGGTGGCTTAGGTTGGCACTGCTCCAGGTCTGCAATGTAGCAACTGGTAAGTGGCAGGGGCCTGGGGGAGGGGACCCTCAGGAGCCCTGGCCTGGGGCAGGAGCTGCCCATGCCATGTGGCTGCCACTGGTGTTCCCCGCCTGGCCCGGCCCACAGCAGCCAGTGCTCATTCCTGCACACACTGGTCCTCCTCGGCTGCCCCCAGGACCTGCTCCCCGGGGCTGCCCCTCTCTCAGCATGCCCACTCCTGTGCTTGCCTCCTCCCCTCCCTGGGGGCGCTTGGGCCTCCGGCTGGCGAGTGGATTTTTCCAGCTTCTGTAAACAAGTGGTGGCAGTGTGCCAGGCGGGCAGGAGACAGGCGGGGGCAGCACCACAGCCAGGGTGTGCCAAGCACCGAGGCACAGCCTGGGGGGCAGACGGAGACACCCAGACCCGGAGAGAGAGACATTCAGACACAGACAGACAGACAGACATGCAGGCAGCCTCGCTGGACGTGGAGTCAGAAGATCGTCCTCTATTGTCCAGCCCAACCCCCGTAGCGGCCCTCGCCCCCTGCCCCTCACTGTCTGGCTGAGAGCATTAGGCCCCAGTGCCCAGCCCCTGGGCTTCCCCACCCACTCCTTCTCCTCCCCAACCTCCACCCCTTAGGGCTGGCTACGCCATTATAAATTTATAACAGGAATTTCTCCACAAGCCAAGAAAAACTTGACCTACTTTCTTGATGGCTCCCTGGGCTAAGGCTCCCTGCTCATGCCCCCCCACCCCAGTCTCCTGTCCAGCCCCCAGTGCCCAGTCCTGGTCTGGGGTGGGTATCAGAGGTAGAACGGGCCACTTTTCTGTGCAATGCCCATGCTCTCCACACTACCAGCTTGCCTGGGTGCAGAGGCCCCGTTCTGCTGCTGGCCCTGCCCAATCCCCTGACTTATCTCCCTCTCTCTTCCCACCCTGGCTGCTTATCAGCTCCTGGGGGTGGGGCCAGGGGGCCTAGGGGTGAGGTCTCCTATGCAGCAGCCACGTGACAGAGGTTGAGGTCGTATGTTGGGGAGCTGTACCCTTTGTCCCCCTCCTACCCGCCACACCTGCCTGTGTGCACACAGACAGTAAGCCACAGGTCTGCAGCCCAGGGTCAGAGGTGCAATGCCGTAGGAATGGTGGGCCCGGCTTGGCACTGCCCTGGACTCCAGGTAGCAGAACAAGGCTAGCATTAGGGCCAGGCTGTGAGGCTTATCCCACAGCCACCTGCTTACTAGTTGTGTGAACTTGAGTGAATGACCAAGCTTTCTGAGACTCAGTTTCCTCATCTGTGAAGTTCTCGTGCCCTCTTTGGAGGGTACAGATTCTCTCTCCAGTTAATATGTGTTAGTTTCCTTTCCTTTCCCCCTTGCCATCCTGGTCGATAGCAGCTCAGCTAAACCAACTGAGAAGTCTGGTCCTCTGCCTGGGAAGTGGGATTCGAGACCTTGCGTGGGAAGCTCTGGAGTCCCTGAGGGGCCAGAGTTGGGGATCATAACTTGGCTGGCAGCATGGGAGGTCAGTTCCCTACAGCTTTCAACATCTCTCTCTATTAAGGCACAAAGATGGGCATTCATGCTCACTGCGTGCCGCTCTATGTCCCATCCTTCCTTCACAGATACCCTCCCTGCCTATGCTGAAAACTGCTTGTCTCTGGTCCCCTCTTGCCCCTATAATACAGATGAGTTTCAGGAAAGCTTTTCTAGAGGGGTGGTAACAATAGCTAGTGTTTAATAGTTGCTCATTAAGGGCCAGGCATTTGTCTGAATATGAAGACTGAGACATATTACTTAGTACATGAATGATCTCATTCTCTCCCTCCATTCCTTCCCATGTCTGGGGCTTAGGAGGTGGATCTCCAATCTCGCCTGCTGTACCTGTTATCTAAGGGATCATCCTGGTCCCCTCTCTATGCCTGCCCTTCCTGCCCCCTGCTGTCTTGTTATGGGATCCCAAAGCCCCAAATGTTGCCACCAAAGGGATCCTACCCACCTTCCTACCGTGACACCTTCTTACCCCTGCCTCTCTCTTCTCTCCACAGGGATCTCTGGACAGGACAAGACTCCGAAGCTACTCCCCCAGCACACAGCCCGGGACCCACAAACCCAGCTTGCCCCCAGCCCTCCCACCTGCCACTCCCTGGCCCCTCCCACCGCCCGCCCCCCTTGGGGCGCAGGGCATGGTGTGAAAGGCCAAGTGCTGAGGCGGGTATCATGGGTGCTGTGCCCTAGGGCCTGGGTGGC
Source organism: Homo sapiens (assembly GCF_000001405.40). NCBI lineage: Eukaryota > Metazoa > Chordata > Mammalia > Primates > Hominidae > Homo > Homo sapiens. Next base: position 40,074,394 of record NC_000017.11, read on the forward strand.
AGGGGGTGGGTGGCCTGTGGGTGTGCCGGGGGGGCCAGTGTGCCCACCCCAGTCTCTTGGCGTGCTGGAGGGCATCCTGGATGGAATTGAAGTGAATGGAACAGAAGCCAAGCAAGGTGGAGTGTGGGTCAGACCCAGAGGAGAACAGGTAATGGGTTCAGCAACTAGGTCATGCCAACTCCTAAGCAGCAGGCATGGGCACCTGGCTGAGCTCTCCTTTAGGCACCGCCTTTAAGCACCTCTGTGGGATGGACGTGAGGCCAGCAAGCCTTCTGCCTACCTTTGTCTGGCAGATGAAGTCATGTTCAGATGTGACAGGCACTTGGATTGAGAGATGCTCATTTTGAAGCGGGGAGCGATACAGAGCAATTACAGGGAGCACATAAGGGGCTCTTCCCTAGACATTGCTGGGCAGTCTCAGATGCCCCCAACGTCCCTTCCACCATTGCTGCCCTTACCTTGAGCATGTGGGATCCAAACAGCCTTGCCATTTTCTTCCTCTCCCTACCAGCCCATTTACTATCTGACCACAAGTGTGTTGTCCACAAGCTGCGGTTCACGTAATACATTTCAGGGCACATGCACCAGTAACTATTGGTCATAGCCCAAGCTTATATTCGGAATCTATTGGGAGCCCCACAAGCTCTTCCTTGTTCATGGTCAAGGGCGGGCACTGCGATGGGGCTCCTCCCAGAAAGTGCACGCCAACCATGATGGTTTTGCTTCCACATGGGTGAGGTGTCAGCCCTGCACATACACCAAGGGATGGTTACCTGTGATCTGCATTGCCCTTGAGGAGCCCAGAGGGTCTCTGTCTTTTCTATCAGCTCCAAGTGGCACAGAGCTTTGTCCCAGTTGGCACGGTGCCCTGGGAGCTGGGTACAGCCTGTGCCTATGGCCAGGGAGAGGGTGGGGGTGGGGGTGCTCCGGGGAGCAGTGTGGCTGACTGTTGCCTAGGAGATCAGATCCCGAGCCAGGAAGCCAGAGGCCTGGCCAGGCAAAGCCCTAAGGCCCACAACTGGGTCCCTGGAGGGTAGAGGAAGTAGATGGAACTCACAGCTGGGCAGGGCATGGGGTAGCTCCCCTCCCCCAAAGCCTCACCCCAGGAAGGACTCTGAGGACGATCTGGCCTGTCGCTGTGTGGCTGTCACTTGCAGCCCCTGTGTCTCCCAGCTTAGGCTTCTGTGGGTCTGGAAGAGTCTGTGCTTAATGTTTGGAGAAAGGCAGGAATGCCAGTTCCCAGTCTCCTAAGACTGCAACCCCTCCCCCATCACCTTCCCCTCCCCCATGTCTATGCGCCACCTTGTGGCTATCTCTAGGACTACACTCAGAGGCTGTGAGTCTGGTGGTAACTGCTGAAGCCGCTAGCTCAACTGGGGCCTAGGTGGGCTGAGTTCCCCTGCACCCAACCCTCTGGGAGGCGTGAGGGAGACCTGACCTTTCAGCCTCATAGGAAGTAGACCGGAGTAATCCCCACGGGGCGTGGAGCATAGGGTTGTCTGTGACTGTGACCCTGGCCAAGGTCACTGTGTCAGTGTGTTGGGAGCTGCATCCGGCTCCAGGAGGAAGGGGCCTGCAACATGCCACACGCAGGGTGGGTGCGGGAGGTTATACAATCCTTGCATGCATGTAGAGGGCTTATGTAACCTGTGTGCACCGAGGTTATGCAACATGTATGTGGAGAGCCTGGCAACATATATGTGCAGTGGCTGAGGGTTGCTAATAATACGCTGCACAGAGGGGCTCAGTCCCGGCTCTGACTCTAGCTCATGGTGTCACCAGGCACAAGCAGGGTCTCAGTTTGCTGCTCTGTTAAATGGAGGCTGTGCAGAGGGTGTAGTGTTTTCTATTGCTGTGGGTTATTTAGCATGTGTGTATGACCTGGAGCTCAAGCAACACGTGCACACTGGAGGGATGAGGGTGGTTTTATGAGGTGCCTGTGCAGAGTGTTGTGTAACACATGGGCATATCCTAGAGGTTGTATAGCACATTTAAGAATGCCCTGAAAATTTCACAGGTATGTTGGCCCTGGTGCATACTCACCATCCATGGGTTTATAGTGAAGGTTGCATGGTTATTCATCTGTGCCGGTGTTATGTTGCATATGTATGTGTGTGTTCTAAAGGCTACATAGCTTTAAGCATATCCTGAGAATTCTTCCAGCGTATTCGTCATGTACTGAAAGATGAGGATGTCCTGCAGATTATGGGTGCTTCAGGTCTTCTGGCGGGTGAATGTGTGTGTGTTGGGGCTCTAGAATATGCTTGTGCCACAGCCAAGCCCCTTATCTCTCTCCCCTGCAACTTCCAGATAACTGGACCCTTTTAAGCATTGTCAGCTGACCCTGGGGGGTGGGAGGTAGAATGAGGACACAAAATGGAAAGAATCAGGCCTTGGGGGATTGCATAAGCCTCTCGGATGAGAAAGGGGCTACTCGAAGACTGCTCTGTGATTCTGCCCACTTTGCCTCCATCCAGTGCCAGGTCACCAGATGGAAAGCGAAAAAGAAAGAACGGCCAATGTTCCCTGAAAACCAGCATGTCAGGTGAGGCTGGCTGTGCGTGCCCCTTCTCCACGTCCCCAACCCCACCAAACCCAGCCAGGGCTCCTCTGGACCTGGATGTGGAACAGTAATTCATGTGTTCCCTGGGGGGAGCCTCCTAGAGGGCTTGGGATGGACTTGTCTGGGGGTGAGAAAGGTAATGTGGGATGTGCCCAGCTTTTGAGGGTGGATTAGGTCAGGACGGCCTCTTCCCTCTTCCCCTAATACCCTCATCTGAGGCCCTACCAGAATCAGGGCCTGAGCTGAAGGACTGAGGGGCTGTATTATCCCCAGTGAGCAGCTGACGTTTATTTTTCCCTCTCCACCATCCTCTGCCTTGTAGATAGATCAAGAAGAAAGCCCTGAATGGGCAGTCAGAAGAACTGAGATTCTTCATACTCTTAGGGCAGAGATGGACAGGTTCACCTCGTGTCTCTCTAGGATTCTACCAGGGAGGCTGGGCTAGGAGAGGGGTCAGAAACAAAAAGTTGAGGGATGGGGAAAAGTGTGAGAGCCTCTCTGCTGGGACTCCAAGCCATGCCTGCCTTCCTCCATCCTTTCCTTCCTCCCAGGGTATATCCCTAGTTACCTGGACAAAGACGAGCAGTGTGTCGTGTGTGGGGACAAGGCAACTGGTTATCACTACCGCTGTATCACTTGTGAGGGCTGCAAGGTATGGAAGCTACCTCCTGCCCCTCCCCTGCCACCTGAGCCCCCATATTACTCCCTATGTCACCTAAAGCCCGCCTGTTAGGTCATCACTTTTTTTTTTTTTCTTTGAGACGGAGTCTCACTCTTGTCCCCCAGGCTGGAGTGCAGTGGCGCGATCATGGCTCACTGCAACCTCCGCCTTCAGGTTCAAGTGATTCCCCTACCTCGGCCTCCTGAGTAGCTGGGATTACAGGTATGCACCTCCACACCCAGCTAGTTTTTTTGTATTTTTAGTAGAGACGGGGTTTCACTATGTGGCCAGGCTGGTCTCGAACTCCTGACCTCAGGTGACCACCCGTCTCAGCCTCCTGAAGTGCTGGGATTACAGGCATACCTGCCTGGTTACTTTCTCTTCTCTTCTCTTATTCATTCATTTACTCATTCATAACTCCTCCTCTGCCACTCACAGGAAAATTGCCTAACTTCTTCGAGCCTTAGTTTCAGTTTCTTCATCTATAAAATGAGGATAATCATTCTCTCTACCTTATAGCATTGTTGGGAGAATTAAATATGTTGGGAGATAGTTCACTTGAAGTGTTTAAAACAGTGCCATTGGGTGCTGTGGCTCATGCCTAAAATCCCAGCCCTTTGGGAGGGAGGCCAAGGCGGGAGCATCCCTTGATCCCAGGAGTTTGAGACCAGCCTAGCTAACACAGTGAGACACTGTCTCTACAAAATTAAAGAAATTAGCTGGGTGTGGTGCCACATGCCTGTGGTCCCAGCTACTCAGGAGGCTGAGGTGGGAGACTGCTTGAACCCAGAAGGTCAGGGCTGCATTGAACGGTGGTGGCGCCACTGCACTCCGGCCTGGGTGACAGAGCAAGATTCTGTCTCAAAGTAAAATAATAAAATAAAATAAAAAATAGTGCCATGTGCATAAGAAGCATTTGATAAATGCCAGCCATCACCCATTCATTCAGTGTATTCTTAGGTGTGAGAGTGTAGTACGTACCTCGCCTTCAAGCTGCTCACAGCCTGTCAGAGAGAGAGACACAACTTGAAACAAACATCAGTGTTATTCAAAATGTGGTTCATGGACCACCTGTCCTACTAGTTAAAATGCAGATTCCCAGCCTTCATCTTTTTTTTTTTTTTTTTTTTTTGAGATGGCATCTCGCTCTGTTGCCCAGGTTGGAGTGCAATGGTGTGATCTCGGCTCACTGCAACCTTCGCCTCCCGGGTTCAAGCGATTCTCCTGCTTCAGCCTCCTGAGTGGCTGGGACTACAGGCACCTGCCACCACGCCCAGCTAACTTTTATATTTTTAATAGAGACAGGGTTTCACCATGTTGACCAGGATGGTCTTGATCTCTTGACCTCGTGATCCGCCCGCCTTGGCCTCCCAAAGTGCTGGGGTTACAGGTGTGAGCCACTGCGCCCAGCCTGCCCAGGCTTCATCTTAACCCTGCTCACTCAGAGCCCTTTTGTGGAGCCCAGGAATCTTCCTTTTAACAGAATCCCGGAGTGTTTCCCATGCACCTGAAAGAGCGAGAGCCAGTACTGGGGGGGTAGTGGGAGCTGGGAGCACAGAGGAGAAGAGGACAGCAGGTTCTTCCAGGCAGAGGGGATGACAAGGTCATAGATTTTGGGAGGCCTAATTGTTTTGTTTTGTTTTTTTTGAGATGGAGTCTCGCTCTGTTGCCCAGCCTGGAGTGCAGTGGTGCAATCTTGGCTCACTGCAACCTCCACCTCTCGGGTTCAAGCAATTCTCCCTGCTTCAGCATTGGTAGCTGGGATTACAGACACCTGCCACCAAGCCTGGCTAATTTTTGTATTTTTAGTAGAGATAGGGTTTCACCATGTTAGCCAGGCTGGTCTCGAACTCCTGACCTCAGGTGATCTGCCTGCCTCTGCATCCCAAAGTGCTTAAGAGGCCTAATTAGATTTCACTTTGATCATTTCAGCCTGGATAGCCTTTCCAGGATCACCTCCTAAAAATGCAAGGCCTTCCAAGAAACAGAATTATTTAAATCCCAGCACTTTGGGAGTCCAAGGCAGGCAGATCACCTGAGGTTACCACACCCGGTGGCACTGTTTTAAACACTTCAAGTGAATTGTCTCATTTAATTCTCCCAACAGTGCTATAAGGTAGATAAAATGATTATCCCCATTTTATAGATGAAGAAACTGAGACTCAGAGAAGTTAGGCAATTTTCTTGTGAGTGACAGAGGAGGGATTATGAATGAGCAAATGAACGAATGAGTAAGGTCAGGAATTTGAGACCATCCTGGCCAACATGGTAAAAGCCTGTCTCTACTAAAAATACCAAAATTGGCCAGGTGTAGTGATGTACGCCTGTAATCCCACCTACTTGGGAGGCTGAGGCAGGAGAATCTCTTGAACTTGGGAGATGGAGGTTACAGTGAGAGTGGAGATTAAGTCAGTGTACTCCAGCCTGGGTGACAGAGCGACAGAGTGATACTCTGTCTCAAAATAAAAAAAAAAAGAAACAGAATGATTTATATGTTAAAGGCCAGGTATAGTAGCTCACGCCTGTAATCCAAACACTTTAGGAGGCCAAGGTGGGAGGATTGCTTGAGCCCAGGAGTTTAAGAACAGCCTGGGCAACATAGTGAGACCCTGTCCATACAAAAAAATTTTTAAAGTAGCCAGGCATGGTGGTGCACACACACCTGTGGTCCCAGCTACTCAGGCAGCTGAGGTAGGACGATCACTTGAGGCTGGGAGGTCGAAGCTGCTGTGAGCTGTGATTAAGCCATTGCACTCCAGCCTGGGCGACAGAACAAGACCCTGTCTTAAAAACAAAAAACAAACAAAAAAAAAAAACGGAAAAAAAGTTTAAGGCTTGAAGTTTCTCTCTCTTTCTTGATGTCAACCAAACCAAGACCATGAGGGATTTAGAGTTCCCTAGCAGAAGCAATACAATCCTTCTGGAAGCAATACAAACAGTGTAGCATAGAGAAAGGATCTTTTACTCTCACGGACATCTGAGTCCCAGGGAAGCACCCTGAAAAGACAGAGATGCCTTGGCCCCACCCTTGGATAGTTTTATTTTGTAGTTCTGGAGTGAGGCCCAGGAATCTGTATCTTTGGTAGGTGCCTTTGGTGACTTTTTTTTTTTTTTTTTTTTTTCAAGACGGAGTCTCACTCTGTCACCCAGGCTGGAGTGCAGTGGCGCGATCTTGGCTCACTGCAACCTCTGCCTCCCAGGTTCAAGCACTTGTCCTGCCTCAGCCTCCTGAGTAGCTGGGATTACAGGTGCCTGCCACCTCACCTGGCTAATTTTTTGTATTTTTAGTAGAGACAAGGTTTCACGATGTTGGCCACGTTGGTCTTGAACTCCTGACCTCGTGATCCACCCACCTCAGCCTCCCAAAGAGCTGGGATTACAGGCGTGAGCCACCGCACTCGGCTGCCTTTGGTGATTTTAATGCCCCTGGAATCTGAGAGCTCAGACGTTGGTGTCCCATACCTGAGGCCCAGTTCTGACTCTGCTGCCCACCGGCCACATGACTTTGGGCAAATTGCTTCATCTCACCAAGCTTCAGTTTCCTTGTCTGCAAAGTGGAGGCAGTAACAGTTCCTACCTCATAGGGTTGTCTGGAGGGTTCACTGTGATGTTCCATGAAAGACAAGGCTTATCTTTTGGGTTTTTGTTTTTGTTTGTAATGGGGTCTCTGTCACCCAGGTTGGAGTGCAGTGGTGCGATCATAGCTCACTGCAGCCTTGACCTCCTGGTCTCAAGCAATCCTAAGCAATCCTCCCACCTCAGCCTCCAGAGTAGCTGGGATTATAGGTGCACGCCACAACCCCTGGCCAATTTGTGTATTTTTAGTAGAGATGGGGTTTTGCTATGTTGGACAGGCTGGTCTTGATCTTGAACTCCTGGCCTCAAGTGATCTGCCTGCCTCAGCCTCCCAGAGTGCTGGGATTACAGGTGTGAGTCATTGCACCTGGCCAGCAAGGCTTATGTTTACTAAGTGACTGACACATTGTAAACATGAAAAAATACTAATTCTTCATATTATTGCAATCATCTTGAGTTTTGAGGTGTTTCCTTTAAAATAAAGGCGAGGCTGGGTGCGGTGGCTCACGCCTGTAATCCCAGCACTTTGGGAGGCCGAGGTGGGCAGATCACCTGAGGTCAGGAGTTCGAGACCAGCCTGGCCAACATGGTGAAACCCCATCTCTATAAAAATACAAAAATTAGCCGGGCGTAATGGTGGGCACCTGTAGTCCCAGCTACTCGGGAGGCTGAGGCAGGAGAATTGCTTGTACCTGGGAGGTGGAGGTTGCAGTAAGCTGAGATCACACCACTGCACTCCAGCCTGGGTGACAGAGTGAAACTTCATCTCAAAAAGAAAAAAAAAATTAAATTAAAAAAATAAAATAAAGGTGAATCCCAATGTAGAGAATTGAAATTTTTCTCTTCCCCTACTAGAGTTCATACTCAGTCCCTTTCCTTGACTTTTTTGGTTCCCCTGTTTTATGAATTCCACCTGCATGGACAACAGGCAACATATATGAGAATGGTTTTTGGGTCAGTGTTGTTTTTAAAGTCATTTAGCAAAATGGAAAATGAGGTTTTACTTGGATTTCCTTTTTTTTTTTTTTTTTTTTTTTTGAGACAGAGTTTTGCTCTTGTTGCCCAGACTAGAGTGCAATGGCACAATCTTGGCTCACCGCAACCTCTGCTTCCTGGGTTCAAGCAATTCTTCTGCCTCAGCCTCCCAAGTAGCTGGGATTACAGGCATGTGCCACCATTCCCGGCTAATTTTTTCTTTTTTTTTTCTTTTTTGAGATGAAGTCTCACTCTTGTCACCCAGGCTGGAGTGCAATGCGAGCTCCACCTCCTGGGTTCAAGCGATTCTCCTGCCTCAGCCTCCCGAGTAGCTGGGATTACAGGGGCAGGCCCAGCTAATTTTTATATTTTTAGTAGAGATGGGGTTTCACCATGTTGGCCAGGCTGGTCTTGAACTCCTGACTTCAGGCAGTCTGCCCGCCTGGGCCTCCCAAAGTGCTGGGATTACAGGCATGAGCCACCGCGCCCGGCCAAGGGGTGGACCCCGCCGTGGTTCCACCGCGGCTCAAACCTAGGACCTTCTGCATGTAAAGCAGATGTGATAACTGCTACACTATAGAATCGCATGCTTTTTTTTTTTTTTTTTTTTTTTTTTGAGATGGAGTCTCATTCTGTCACCCAGGCTGGAATGCAGTGGCGCGATCTTGGCTCACTGCAACCTCTGTGTCCTGGGTTCAAGCAATTCTCTGCCTCAGCCTCCTGAGTAGCTGGGATTACAGGCGCCCACCACCACGCCCGGGTAATTTTTTTTTTTTTTATACGGAGTCTTGCTCTGTCACCCAGCCTGGAGTGCAGTGGCGCGATCTTGGCTCGTGGCAAGCTCCACCTCCTGGGTTCACGCCATTCTCCTGCCTCAGCCTCCCGAGTAGCTGGGACTACAGCGCCCACCACCATGCCCGGCTATTTTTTTTGTATTTTTAGTAGAGACAGGGTTTCACCGTGTTAGCCAGGATGGTCTCGATCTCCTGACCTTGTGATCCGCCTGCCTCAGCCTCCCAAAGTGCTGGGATTACAGGCATAAGCCACCGCGCCCGGCCTACGCCCAATTTTTATACTTTTAGTAGAGACAGGGTTTCACCATGTTGGCCAGGGTGATCTTGAACTCCTGACCTCATGATTCATCCGCCTTGGCCTCCCAAAGTTCTGGGATTATAGGCATGAGCCACTGCACCCAACCTCATGCCCGGCTAATTTTCTATTTTTAGTAGAGACAGGGTTTCTTCATGTTGGTCAGGCTGGTCTCGAACTCCCGACCTCAGTTGATCTGCCCACCTCGGCCTCCCAAAGTGTTGGGATTACATGCGTGCGCCACCGCGCCCGGCGACTTGGATTTCCAAAGCTGCTATTCCTTAAGGCCTCACATTATCCCAGGTTCAAAGCTGCCTGCTCTAGACATCATTCCTGCCTCTGCCACAAACACTACCCAGACACCCCCAACCCCTCAGCAGCCTGGGGGCTGAGGGCATATATTTCTCAGGTCCTTGAGCCTAGTAATCTTGGGCTCATGGTGTCAGGAGGATGCCAGGTCCCCTCACTGATCTTGCCTTCCTTGCTCTCCACCCCTGACCCCTAGTAAACTGCATGGTTGGTTCAGGAAGGGGAAGCCATGTCATGATCACAGCCTGCTCCATCTCCCCCACCCCAGGGCTTCTTTCGCCGCACAATCCAGAAGAACCTCCATCCCACCTATTCCTGCAAATATGACAGCTGCTGTGTCATTGACAAGATCACCCGCAATCAGTGCCAGCTGTGCCGCTTCAAGAAGTGCATCGCCGTGGGCATGGCCATGGACTGTAAGGGGCCCAGGTGGAGGGAATAGAGCCAGGTGGCCTGGGGTGGGGATGAGTTCTGGGAGGGCAGCTTCCTTCCAGGGTACCCTCAGAGCCCACAGGGCAGAGTGGCAATCCAGTCTAGGTCAGAATGTTCAGTGTCTTGGTCCTTGCTGTCCTCCTTCCTGCGCAAAAGGAAACAGGATCCCTGTGTGGGCCCCAATGCCTACCTGCCTTACAACACTCGAGGGCCTTAGAGAGGGAGTCGTTTGGTAGAAAGAGCTCCTGGGCACCCACTCTAGCACACTGTTCTTGACTCCCAGCGAAGGCACCCCACTTCTAGATGAGACAGGGCATCTTCCATTGGCTGGGGATTGGGTGGCAGGATATTCGAGTAACCACCGTCACCATAATCCGTTAGACCAGAACATGATATTCATCTGGATCAGCCCAAACTGTTGTTGACATGGTCCCGGGGATTAATCATGATCCGGGTTGTGCTGCCCAACTGCTAGGTGATTTGGGAAGTCATTTAGCCTCCATGGCCCTCGGTTTCTCCAACCTGTACTCTAGGAAGAGTAGTTTCCGGGAGCATTATGGAAAGGGGATGGAGGGTGCCATGCGTTAGACCTTGTGCCTCTCTGTTCACAGTGGTTCTAGATGACTCGAAGCGGGTGGCCAAGCGTAAGCTGATTGAGCAGAACCGGGAGCGGCGGCGGAAGGAGGAGATGATCCGATCACTGCAGCAGCGACCAGAGCCCACTCCTGAAGAGTGGGATCTGATCCACATTGCCACAGAGGCCCATCGCAGCACCAATGCCCAGGGCAGCCATTGGAAACAGAGGCGGAAATTCCTGGTAAGGAGAAAGGGGGCATGGGGAGAGCAGTAGCCAGGTGGCAGGGAGAAGAGAGTGAGCTCGGAGTCTTGCCTCCTCCAGGAAGTCTTCTTAGTGTAATCCAACCCAAAATACATACTCTTCACACTTTTGCTGTCCAGATTTTATACACTTGTGTTTGTGTCCTTGCTGTCTGGACTGTCTACTCCATCCAACTGGGAGCTCAATGAGGACAGGGCCTTGCCTTCCTCATCGAATTTCCAGGGAGCGGGAGCGACCTTTCTTCTTTTTCCTGCCCTTAGTGACTGGGAGGAGAGGGTAAGGATACAGTTATGTCACAGTATTTTTGAGCACCTGCTGGGTGCCAGGCATTATGTTAGGCCCTGGTCAAGCTAGTTGCTAAGTAAATGATGAGTTTGGGACCAGGTGCAGTGGCTCATGCCTGTAATCCCAGCAATTTGTGAGACCAAGGTGGGAGGATCGCTTGAGCCCAGGAGTTTGAGACCAGTCTGGGTAACATACAGAGATCCCACCTCTATGAATAATTTTTTTTTTTTTTGATACGGAGTCTCACTCTCACCCAGGCTAGAGTGCAGTGGCACGATCTCGGCTCACCGCAACCTCCGCCTCCTGGGTTCAAGCGATTCTCCCGCCTCCGTCTCCCGAGTAGTTGGGATTACAGGCACTGGCCACCATGCCTGGCTAATTTTTGTGTTTTTAGTAGAGACAGGGTTTCACCATGTTGACCAGGCTGGTCTCGAACTCCTGACCTCAAGTGATCCACCCGCCTCGGCCTCCCAAAGTGCTGTGATTACAAGATGTGAGCCACCATGCCCACCCTCTATGAATAATTTTTTTTTTTTTTTGAGTTGGAGTTTCGCTCTTGTTGTCCAGGCTGGAGTGCAGTGGCACAGTCTTGGCTCACCGCAACCTCTACCTCCCGGCTTCAAGCGATTCTCCTGCCTCAGCTTCCCAAATAGCTGGGATTACAGGCGTGCGCCACCACGCCCGGCTAATTTTGTATTTTTAGTAGAGACGGTGTTTCTCCATGTTGGTCAGGCTTGTCTGAACTCGCAACCTCAGGTGATCTGCCTGCCTTGGCCTCCCAAAGTGCTGGGATTACAGGTGTGAGCTACTGCTCCCGGCCTCTCTACGAATAATTTTAAAATTAGCTGGGCATGGGGGTGTGTGCCTGTGGTCCCAGCTACTCGGGAGGCTGAGGCAGGAGGATCCCCTAAGCCTGGGAGGTCGAGGCTGCAGTAAGCCATGATTACACCGCTGCACTCCAGCCCAGGCAACAGAGCAAGACCCTCTCTCAAAAAATATGATCAGTTTGGGAGGAGATGGACAGTTGGCTATACGTGGTGAAGGAAGGCAGAAAACCAGCACCTGGTTCATGGTGGAGCATGCCGGGGGGTGGCACAGTGCACACTGTTAAGGGCACGGGCTCTGATTCCAAGCAGATGTGTAACAGTCACGAGTCAGACTGCCCAAGTTCAAACCCTGGTCCTACCACTTGCTGGTCATATGACTTTAACCTTATTATTTAGCTGCCCCATGCCTCAGTTTCCACATCTGTGAAATGGTGATTATTATAATTATTCCTTTTAGGATTATGGTCAGGATGAAATAAGACATGTAAAACATGTAGCCTGATGCCTGATCATATATTAAGTATTCAGTCATTATAGCTGCTACTACTGTTACTACCGTTGTTATTATTAGCTGACTTGGAGCTCTGGTTCTGGTCTATTCTCTGCTCAAGATGAAGGAAAAGCTTTGGGCCTGGGACTCAGGCACGGGCGGCCCCTCTTCCCCAAGCTGCCTTGGAGCTCCCCCTGGTGGGCAGGGAGCCTCAGTGAGAGGCTGAAAGGGGTCTGCGGCCCCAGCTGACCCCCGTCTTTCTCTCTAGCCCGATGACATTGGCCAGTCACCCATTGTCTCCATGCCGGACGGAGACAAGGTGGACCTGGAAGCCTTCAGCGAGTTTACCAAGATCATCACCCCGGCCATCACCCGTGTGGTGGACTTTGCCAAAAAACTGCCCATGTTCTCCGAGGTGAGTGGCAGAAGTGGGGAGAGATGTGATGCTGTGCTGGAGGGAAACCTGCTCCCCCGGTCACCCAGTACAGGCTCATCTGAGGTTCTCTGGACAAGGAGCAATTCCTGTAGGTCAACATACACAGATAACATACACAGACACACACACACACATGCATACACATACACCCAGCACACAGGCACACATGCAGACACATACACGGACACACACACACACCTAGCATACAGATACGTACACAGACACACATACACACACACATACACCCAGCACACAGACACACACACACCTAGTACACAAACACACACACAGATACATAGAAACACACACAGACATATACACCCAGCACACAGACACACACACACACACAGACACACACCCAGCACACAGGCACACACACACACACACCTAGCACACAGCCACACAGATACATAGACACACACACACAGATACAGACACACACACACACACAGACATATACACCTAGCACACAGACACACAGATACATAGACACACACCTAGCACACAGACACACACACACAGACACACCCAGCACACAGGCACACACACACACACACACCTAGCAGACACACACATAGATACATACAGACACACACACAAACACACAGGCACACACACACAGCATACAGACACACGCCAAGGTCTGGCTGCTCTAAGAAATCAGCCGGCTCCAAGTGCTCCCCTCCACAGCCCCTCATCCTTCAAGTCTATGCGGCCACCCAACTCCAGGCAGCCTGAAAGTTCTCATTTTCCAGAGCACTAGTGCTGGAGACAGGCTGCCCTACTAGCCATGTGACCTGGGGTAAGTTACCTCCATCCCCTGTGCCTCAGTGTTCCCATCTGGAGTGGGCTGGGGATAATGATGGGTGCTAACTCACAGGCATAATTTTTTTTTCTTTTTTGAGACAGATTTTCGTTCTGTCACCCAGGCTGGAGTGCAGTGACGCGATCTGGGCTCACTGCAACCTCCGCCTCCTGAGTTCAAGCAATTCTCCTGCCTTAGCCTCCTGAGTAGCTGGGACTACAGGCATGTGCCACCACGCCCAACTAATTTTGTATTTTTAGTAGAGATGGGTTTCACCATGTATGTTGGCCAGGCTGGTCTCGAACTCCTGACCTCAAGTGATCCACCCGCCTTGGCCTCCCATAGTGCTGGCATTATAGTCGTGAGCCACTGCGCCGGGCCTCACAGGCATAACTGTGAGGCTTAAATGGAATAGGGCATGCACATGGCCCAATACAAGGTCAGCCGTTCAGAGTCCATGGGGGCCTTGCGGGCCTCACGGCTCCCGTAGGACACTCTAGGGGAGACTCAAGGACGCGGGGAGGGGTATGCTGAGTGCTCCTGTGGCCCTGCCGCTCCACAGCTGCCTTGCGAAGACCAGATCATCCTCCTGAAGGGGTGCTGCATGGAGATCATGTCCCTGCGGGCGGCTGTCCGCTACGACCCTGAGAGCGACACCCTGACGCTGAGTGGGGAGATGGCTGTCAAGCGGGAGCAGCTCAAGAATGGCGGCCTGGGCGTAGTCTCCGACGCCATCTTTGAACTGGGCAAGTCACTCTCTGCCTTTAACCTGGATGACACGGAAGTGGCTCTGCTGCAGGCTGTGCTGCTAATGTCAACAGGTACCTGCTGATTAGTCGGGAGGGCTCAGAAGCTTCCAGGGGTCCCAGAGATTGGCTGGACCCTGGGCCTGTTGCTCAACTCCCTCCTGAATCTTCTTCTGGGCTACCTCTCTGTCACCTGGGCCATCCCCTATCCCCTGTTCCTTGCTCTGTCACACACTTCTCACTCGTTCCCCAGGCCCATCCCTTGCCTCCCCATCCCTGCTCTGTGCCTTTTCCTGTCTTTGTCTCCTTCCTTCTCGCTGCCCTGTCCCTCTGTCACTCACATTCCCCTTTGTTCCCCACTCCCCACTTTGTTCTCAGCCACCTTCCATCCCCTCATCCCTCCTCTGTCTCCCAGTCCCATCTCTTACCCCTCAGTCCCCTCCCTAACCCCATCTGCACCCCGCCTCTCTGACCACCAACCTCAGTCCTCCCCACTCCAAGGCTCCTCTCTCTCCCCCAGCCCCCGGCCTGTCCCTCTGTCCTCCTTGCATTGCCCCCTCCCCCCAGTACCCCCCTGCCCCTCTCCACTTCCCAGCTGCCTCCCTCTCCCTGTGCTTCTCCTGTCCACGTCTCTCAGGGGGAGCTTCTCCCCTCCCCTCCCCCAGCCTCTCTGCCTCTATCTCCCCTCTAGTCCTTTCTTCCCACGTCCCCACACCTCACCCTCCCCATCTCCAGGCCTTCGGCCAGCCCCTCGCCCCTCACGCCCCTCTTCCCTCACAGACCGCTCGGGCCTGCTGTGTGTGGACAAGATCGAGAAGAGTCAGGAGGCGTACCTGCTGGCGTTCGAGCACTACGTCAACCACCGCAAACACAACATTCCGCACTTCTGGCCCAAGCTGCTGATGAAGGTGACTGACCTCCGCATGATCGGGGCCTGCCACGCCAGCCGCTTCCTCCACATGAAAGTCGAGTGCCCCACCGAACTCTTCCCCCCACTCTTCCTCGAGGTCTTTGAGGATCAGGAAGTCTAAAGCCTCAGGCGGCCAGAGGGTGTGCGGAGCTGGTGGGGAGGAGCCTGGAGAGAAGGGGCAGAGCTGGGGGCTGAGGGAGACCCCCCCACACCCCTTCTCTCCTTCCTCTCGTCCTTGGATAGATTCAGCTCCCACACACACACCCGCACTGCCCAGGTCCCTCCTCAGACCTCCAGCCCTGGGACAGGGCAAACAACTGAACTTGCTATGGAAAGGACAGTGTGGGAGGCTGGGGGAGCTGTGTCCTGCAGTTCCCAGGACCCCATCCTCTCAGAAGGTAGGGGAAGGGCGGGAGGATTGAGAAGGGACAAGCCACCTTGACCGTAGGGGAAGGAGGAATGTGGGCTGGGGGAAGATGCCCTCAACTCACCCCCTACACACACATGAGAGAGAGCCCCCACCCAGTTCCTTGGCCTAGGTCTCCCCTCCAGGCTGAGGGCCTCTCTACTTCCCCAGATGCCTGGGTGCAAAGAACGGCTTGGCTTGGCTCCTCCTCTGGAGGTTAAAATTTATAGTCATTCTAACTGCACTTTGGAAACCAAGCAAGGGGAGAAGACAAATGAAGAAAAACTAGACAGAGAGAAAAATACAAAAAAGAGAGAGCGAGCGATAGAGAGAGATGATATTAAGTTATTAACTGAGGCTGACCAGAGGGGAGGACCCCCCCTTTACCACCCCATGCACTTTGCGAGCTGCCCCTTCTTCCCCCACATCAGAGAGAAATGCCCCCACACCAGAGCCCCAAGGGTAGGGCTGCCGATCAGAGCTGTGAGTTAACACAACAGGGTCCTGGCCACCCCCCTTGCCATACCCCGCCCTCTGTGCCCCTTTGGCACCCCCCAACCCTAGTATGTCCTCTGCTTTCTGCCACTCGTGCCCGCTGAGTTCCATCTACCTCTCATGCTGGATGCCAGCTGGCCCCTCACCAGCCTGCCCTGCTGCCCACACAGCTCCCCTTTAAGTGCCCAGCCCTAGGGGCCTCTCCCCATCCACCTCCTCCTTCCACACCTTGGCACCCACCCAGGAAAAAACTGTGGCTCCAACTCCTACCCTCCTTATATCCTGCAGTATTAGCTAGAAACCGGATGCTGCTGCATTGGTTGGGTCGGGGGTAGGAGGGCTGTGCGTGAGCGTCTCCCAGAACCCTCCACCCCTTTAGCACTCTGTTTCCCTGTTTCCCATCTGTCTTCTGGGCTCTCTCTAACCTCTGCCCTCCTCCCCAGCTCCTACTCACTGCACTAACTCTGGGCGGGCAGGTACCAGAATGGGGGTGTTTAGATAAGTGACACTTAGTTGGGGCCCCAGGGGAGGGGTGGTCGGTGCTCCTTTTTCTTTAAAGCTCTTTTGGCCAGCTGCCCCTCTGCCCCGGGACCCCTTCCCCTCTTCTTTTCTCTAATTCAGGGACTTTGGCTTGAGCCCCTCTCGCCCTCCTGGTGAGGGTGCTCTGTTGGTCTGCACTTGGGTGAGCTGTCCTCCTCCCCCTCCCTGTGGCTGCCGCCCACTCCTCAGGGGAGAGAGGGAGAGAGGAGGTGGTCCTCCCATGGGAGCAGGAGGTGGGGTGGGACAGAGCAGACCAGAGGGTGCTGGGCTCAGGGCTGCATGTCGGCAGGGATGGATGGGTGGACACAGATGCCCCCGGAAGCCATGGGGATTGGGGCAGGGGGTGGGGGGAGGGGTGCCAGGGCTTCCTGCGCTTTGCACTATTGGGGCAAAAATGTCTTAAGCAGTGGGGAACCTGCCACCCCACCCTGACCCTCAGCCTGCCACAGCCCCCTACACACACACACACACACACACACACACACACACACACACGGACATGCACACACGGACATGGGAAGGCAATGCTATGCTGCCCGTCAGGGCACTGTCCTTCCCCAATCGTTCAGGTGTTCCAACAGGGGTGGAGGGCCTGGAGGAGCACCCGCTGTCACCTGTGCATGTGCCTGTCCCACCCTGCTGGGGCCTCGGGCTGCCCGCGCTGTCTTTGTCTCTATCCTCTCTCTCTCTCCTGGAGTACTGAATCCTGTATTACTCCAGTCCCATGGGTAGGCCCTCTTGTACCTTCCTACCACGCCTGGGGGCCCAGTGGAATTCCTGACCTGTCTGCTGTCTTCCCCATCCCTCCATCCCCACCCCAACCCCTCCATCCCCATTCTCAGCCATGGACACGGCAGAGAAAAGGCCTTGAAGAGCCTTAGCCTCTTATAGGCACTTGGGACTCCCCCACCCTCCCCAATCATATGAGCTGTGATCCCATCCTCCCCGGACCCCTCCCTTCCCCCTCGGTGATGTGGGGTGTATGTGTGCGTTCCTCTGCGTGAATGTGTGAGTGAGTACACATGGTAGGGGAGGAGCCAGGGCGACTCAGGAGTGCCACGCACCTGCTCTAGAGCGGCAGCTGTCCCAGTCCCTGCTGTGGAAGTGGGGGACAGGGCCCTCTCCTGGGGGCCATTGGTGCTAATGAGGGGGATGGCCTTGATGTGGGTGCTCAGCATGCCTCCCCCAGTATTGGCCCGGGGCACTAGGGCAGGCAGGGTGGAGCAGCAGGTGCAGTATCGGTGGGAGGACGGGTTGCTGGGAATAGGACGAGGGGGCCAGGCCAGGACAAGGGGTTGCCAGAGCCATGACCACTACCCCGCCCCCACCACCCGCCTCTCCATCTCAGTATTGCCCCTCCCATCACTCATAACACACATACCTCATCCAGCCTCCTCCCTGCTCAGACTTGGGGAGGGTGGGGGAGGAGCCCCTACCCCTTCTCCTGGTGGCGGGTCTGCAGGGCTGGGAGAGGGCAGGGCGTTGTGAGAGAGAGACCGTCCATAAGGAGGACAGTAACTCCTGCCCTGGGAACTCCTGGGCGGGGGGGAGGGGGACACTGCCCAGAGGCGCTACTGAATGTATGAGAAGCTGGTGCTGGGCTGGGGGGAGGGGGGTTGTGGCCAGAAACAGGGAAGGAGGTAGGTCTCTTCCCCAGGGAGGGGTGGGACCGGCAGGGGTGACTTGAGGGGCTCCTACTCCTGCCCCACGTTGACAATCAGTATGTCTGTTATGTGCGATTTTTCACCCCGTTGTGTTTTGGGTCAGGATTTTAAAGAAAGATATTTTTATGGTAATTGTTGCTCGTCTATTTTACTATATATTTATGTAATAAATATATGATGAAAATAACCCCCTTGGGCACCCCCCTTAGACTTGTGTGCTGTTTCCCTATATCCTCCCATCTGCTGGCAGAGTACCCACCCCACAAACTGACCAGATGGAGAGGTGGCCCCCCCCAGCCTTGGCAGTATTTCCACCCCACCCCCCAAACGAGCACACACCACAGAAGCCAGCTCAGCTGTGAACTATTGGATTTGAGACAGGAACAGAACAAATCAGAGGGCCAGGGGAGGGTTGTGGGGGAGACAGAGTGGTTTAAATAGGGGAGGAGGGGAAGTTCGGTGATGGGGGAGGGAGGCAGGTATTTACAAGAAGGCTCAGGGGGCCAGAGGCTCATCTTGGAATATTTTATAACAATATAAATAAGATTCTGGTTTGCTTTTCCTTTTCGTCTCGTAAAGGAGAGAGAAGTGCAGAGTTCGATTCTGTACAAGGGGGCAGCGGCAGAAGGCCGGCCGGGCGGGTCACTGGGCGTCCACCCGGAAGGACAGCAGCTTCTCGGAATGCATGTTGTTCAGGGTCCGCAGGTCCGGCAGCTTGAGCAGCAGCTTGGTGAAGCGGGAAGTCTCCAAGGGCCGGTTCTTCAGCACCAGAGCCCGAAGAGCCCGCAGCAGCGTCTCCTGGAGCTGCTCCACCGAAGCGGAATTCTCCATGCCCGAGCGGTCTGTGGGGAAGACGACAGCAGTGAGGCGGACTCCCCGAGCTCCTCTGAGGAGGAACCGGAGGTCTGCGAGGACCTGGCAGGCAATGCAGCCTCTCCCTGAAGCCCCCCAGAAGGCCGATGGGGAAGGAGAAGGAGTGCCATACCTTCTCCCAGGCCTCTGCCCCAAGAGCAGGAGGTGCCTGAAAGCTGGGAGCGTGGGCTCAGCAGGGCTGGTCACCTCCCATCCCGTAAGACCACCTTCCCTTCCTCAGCAGGCCAAACATGGCCAGACTCCCTTGCTTTTTGCTGTGTAGTTCCCTCTGCCTGGGATGCCCTTCCCCCTTTCTCTGCCTGGCAACATCTTACTTGTCCTTTGAGGCCCCAACTCAAGTGTCACCTCCTTCCCCAGCTCCCCCAGGCAGAAATAGTTGTCTGTGCTTCCTTGGTTCATGCTTCTACTGTGACACTTATCTCACTGTTTTATAATTAGTCGGGCATGAGTCTGTTTCCCAAGCTAGACTGTGTCTGAATCATGTCTGTATCCCCAGTGCCCGGTGCAGGGCCTGGCATAGAGTAGGTACTCCATAAAAGGTGTGTTGAATTGAACTGCGTCTGCCTCCTCCCCCGGGTCAGGCGAGAGCCTGACCTACCTGCAGAGACAAGCACCACCGCGGTGAAGAGGCCCAGCTCCTCCTCGGTAAGCGCCAGGGAGTTGAGCTTCTCGCTGAAGTCGAACATGGCACTGAGCAGGTCTCCCATGCCCATGGCACCAAGCTCCTGCAGGCTGTAGGTGGTGCGGCTTAGGAACATCACTGTCTGGTCCTTCACGTTGAACAACGAAGCAAAGCGCACCATCAGCACCTAGGAGGGAAGGGGAACAGTCATCCTGGGTGTGGTGGGAGGAGCACTGACCAAATCGCCCCTGTAGTTTGCCAGAGGGTTTAGCGGTGCTGCCTTCGATTTCTCAGTAGAGTGGGGGTTGTTTCTGAATGGCCAATGAGGGAGCCCAGGTGGAAGGATGGCTTTGGGATCCAATAAGCCTGAATCTGAGTGTCAGCTTTGTCACTACCTGTGACCTTGGGCAAGGCATTCACCAAAGTTAATCTGCTCTTGTCTAGAATGGGGGCAGCAGTGCACCCAAGGCATTATTTCAGTGTAATGGGTTGTGATTAAATTCCAGCTGAGATGACAGAAGTCCCAGCCATCAAGAGGAAGCAGCAGGAGCCGCTCAGCCCCTTTCACCAATCAGGCTATAAGGACAAAGATACTGGGTTCCAAAACCTTTCAGAGGTCCTGCCCACCCCAGACAGCAGGGCTTTCTGTTGGATCCTTCCCAAGGTCAAAAGCAGGAAGCGTCTGGGTGCAATGGCTCACGCCTGTAATCCCAATACTTTGGGAGTCCAAGGCGGGCAGATCACCTGGGGTCAGGAGTTTGAGACCAGCCTGGCCAACATGGCGAAACCCTGTCTCTAATAAAAATATAAAAATTAGCCAAGCGTGGTGGCGGGAACCTGTAATCCCAGCTACTTGGAAGGCTGAGGTAGGAGAATTGCTTGAACCCAGGAGGTGGAGGTTGCAGTGAGTGGAGATCGCACCATTGCACTCCAGCCTGGGCGACAAGCGAAACTCTGTCTCAAAAAAAACAAAAACCAGAAGCATAAACGGTCACTCACCTCAAAGGTGCCAGCCTTAAGCAGGGTGACTTGGTCATGCTGAGAAAGGTCACGGAAGCCCGGGATGTGTTTGGCAAACTCTACCACCTCCCGCACAGCGGGCGTGAAGCTCATGGAGAAATCCTCCCAGATCTCCTGCACCGTTCGCCCACTGCGTCCATGCGGGTACATGTTCATAGGACATGCCTGGGGGAGGAAAAGATTGAAGGAGGGGAGTGTCAGCCAGGCTGGGTCAGATGGACGCCCCGAGCAGAGCTGGACCCCAGATTCTGCCTGGGCTAGGGGCTGTGGCCCTGAAGGATGGGTCTTTCAGATAAAGTAGCAATTAGGTGCCAGGTGGAGATTAGGGATTCCCAGGCAGAGTCCAGACTGCAAGGCAAGACATTTTCTCCTGGGAAGATGCTATCCCCACACTCAGCCTCCAGGAACCCCCAGCTGCCCTACACTAAGTCCATTCTGCCAGGCCCCCCCAATCTTCTTAACGCACTCGCCCGCCCCCATGCCCTTACCAGCAGAACATTCTTTGAGTTGCCCTGCCGGGGACTGTTGGCAGGTGCCTTGCCTTCTGGGGCTGCATACACGTGGGTGGGGCATAGACGGTGCCCGTTGCTGTTGGACTGGTGGCAGCTGTGGTGTGCAGGGCCAGGAGGCCAGGTGGGAGGGTAGGAGGAGGGAGCCTGGCGCAGACCATTTAGGGCCTCGTTATGACGCTGGGCAGCCAAGGTGTTGTTGTCATTGGGGGCAGGTGGGCAGCCCTGATTTTCCCAGCGATGTGGGGTGGTGGCTGGAGGGCTACCTGATGCATGGTTGGCATTGAAGTTGCCAGGTGAGCTGCCCAGCTTGTCATGGGCGTAGGTGAAGATCTCTCGATGGGCCCGGGCCACCTGGGATATCACATCCTCCACTGTGGGCTCAGGGCTTGGGGATCTGGGAGGCGTCAGCTGTTGTGGAAACTGGGAGAAGCCCACCAGGGGTGAGGGGACCGGAGCAGGGGGTGGCGAGGGGCCCATGGGGCCTGGGGTGGGGTGCTGGGTGGGTGAAGTCTCCAGCGGGCACTGGCTGCTCAACTGGTTGTTGGCCAGGTTCATGGCACTCTGCATCTCAGCAAGCATCCGCTGCTTCTCTCGTTTGGGGATGCGCCCAAAACGCACAGCTGCAACAGGATGAGAACAGCATCAGGAAGTTCTCAACCATGCTCACGTGCTTCTCTTCCTTCCTTCCTCCTGAAAGGGCAAGGCCCTGAAGGCTTGGGGTTTCACATCAAAACTAAAACCAGCAAGTCCCCACCCATCAAGGGGGTTTCCCTAGGAGGGATTGCTGGTAGGAGGTGACCCGAGGGACCAATGGGATAGAAGTATATGTTGACCCAAGCAAATGAAGGATGGACATCCCCTGGCACATGTGATTCACAGTATGATGTGTCTCCATTTGTGACTTTTTTAAAGGGAAGGATTAATTCAGAAACTTTGGGCGGAAGAAGGGGGGAGGATGTGGGGATGCTGCCTCACCGTCTCGAGACATGCCCACAGAGAGACACTTCTTGAAGCGACATTGCTGGCAGCGGTTGCGATTGATGCGGACGATGGAGCAATTCTCATTCTTCAGACACCTTTTGTACTGGATGTTCTGCTGGATGCTCCGACGGAAAAAGCCCTGGAGGGCAGGGGTGGTTAGTGACCACCTCCATCATGGCTGGGCCTCTGTGTCCAGGGGGAGGGGGCCACCTGCCCCTGCCCTTACCCCCAGTCCGCCTCACCTTGCAGCCCTCGCAGGCGTGCACACCGTAGTGGAAGCCCGAGGCAACGTCCCCACACACTTTACACAGTAACACCATGCCATTCAGCTCTGTGGAAGAGACGGGCAGCAGGTGAGCAGGAGAGGCCAGGCTGAGTGGCCACAGGTGTGGAGGCTTTCTGGGCCGGAGATCCAGGGAGGGAAAAGCTAAGGAGGAACTCCAGTGTTGAGGGGCACTGGAGTGACAAAACTGGGCTGAAGAGGGGCTGGTGCCACTCTAGGAGAAATCCCTGAAGCCAGAATAGGTCCTGGCAAGACTGGTGTCACGTAAAAACCCATTCCCAATCTGGCCCTGGCCTGCTTCCCTTCCCCCGAATCAGCTGGAAAGGTACTCACTGGTGATGTTGCTGGTGCTCTTGCTGGGGGACACTCGGCTGCTGTCCTCCATGGCCACTTGTAGACTCCCAGGGGGGCTCCCATTATAGAAGGAGGAGGAGGATGACGACGAGGAAGATGAGGAAGAAGGGGAGCCGTCATCACTCAGGCTGGGTGGAATGCTCCCAAAGGAGCGAGCCGGGTCTTGGGTGAGGGAGCCAGTGGGGGATGGTGGGAAGTAGGTGGGACAGCCTTGGGTCAGGGACTGGAAGCTGCCATTGGAGTTGTCACTATAGAGGGATTCAGGGCTGGTGCGGCTTGGGGAGGAGCCACTGGAGCCAATGTAGGTGATGACGCCACCTGGAGAGAGAACAAAAGGAAAGGGGGTGTCAGCCGCCATGTCTCCGGACCTAGGGTGCCACTGTGCTCATCCCCACCTGTCTGCCCAAAACATTGCTGGCCACTCAGTTCACCATGTGGAGCCCCTAATCTTGGAGTTAATAAGCAATTCCCCAACACACAGTAGACATGGCATGGCCAAGCAACACCTACGACCCTTTGCAGGCCACCTTCAGCTTCTGCTTTCAGTATGAGGCATGACCCCTGTGGCATCTCGCATATGTGCCCCCCTTCCTTAGTTGCCTTCCTTGGGAATATCGACTGCAGCTAATGACTTAGTTGTCAGTTGAAGATCTGGGGATGGGATGGGCAGCTGAGCACCATTCAAAGTGCCCAGTCCTCCAAAAACAAAAACCCAGCTGCTGATTTTAACACTAAGACCATTCCAGGAATGAGACCATGGACCATGGAGAGATAGGTAGCCAACAGTAAAGAGAATGGAGGGTTTACAAAAGTAAGACAGTCACATTCCCCCCAGTTGGGGACATATATTCTCTGAAGGAAATGAAGGGAAGGAATCTGCCCAGCCTGGTTCCCCTGGCCTCTTAAGAGAGTGAGCCACAGTGGAGTCTATCCCTGTGTCCAAAAAGGACTTCGAGGTGCGAGTTGCAGGAGGTGGAAGTACAAACTGTCCAGCCTGGGGCTCTAAAATTCCCCCTTCAGATCTCAGCCTGGTAACAATGACCTTGGCTCTCTGGCCATTCAGGGACTTTGACCCTCTGGTTACATTGCCAATGAGGTGGCTGTGCTCCCGTGGTATTAGCAGGAGAAAAAGGTGACCTGCCTGCCACACCTCCGGCAAGCACCTAGATTGGTCTGCCATGGGCGGGGTGGGAGAAGGGAGGATCCCAGGACACATGTGACCTAACACATGCCATGCCACTGTGTCTGCAGAGGCACATGTCTTGCTCACCCACTGACACACACTGAACTGGGCAGGGCGGCCCTAAAATAGCTCAAGGTTGGTCAGGGTGAACCCAGCTCCTTGGAAAATAGTTGCACAACAGATCAGCTCCCCCGGTTTCAGGGCTGAGGTGGGGGATGGAATCATTAGTTGGCAGTAAATGAAGTTGACCTAGTTCACCCATCCCCCAAAAAGGAGTGAGACCTTCATGCAGAGGCTTCCAACGTGGAAGTGAGGAGCATACTCAAGAGTCTAGGTCTAGGTCTAGACCCATCACTACCAACTTATTTTGTGACCTAGAGGACATCAACTCCCCTCTTTGGGTCTCAGTTTTCCTTTCTGTGAGAAAAAAAGGACAGTATCATTTCAGCTATGATTGTGGGGTGCAGTTGCTTTGGGGAGCCCTTAGTAGGCAAACTGCAGCTTGTCTGGTGGAGATGGGGGTAAGACAATGCTCGCAGAACTAAGGAGAGAGAAGCTTGGGGAACAGGAATTTGTAATGTGGGGAAGCTGAGTCTAAATGCAGTACGGTGAAGTAGGTGCAAATAAGAGTGAAGTGGAAAGGAGTGAGAAGGGTGGTTAGGGGTGAGGTCTCTTTAGGGAGTGTAAAACAGAAGGCCATGAAAGGTCAGGAATGGCTCCATGTTACTTTGTTTTGGTGATGGGGGAGGGGGCCGGGCAGGCGGACCGGAAAAGGAGGCAGGCGGGGGCGGTGAGTCAGCCCAGCTTCACCCAGATCTCGGCGGGGCGGGGCAGGGCGGGAGCTGGGCCCTCAGCCGGCCTCACGTCCCTGCTCCACGTGTGCCTCTCGCACGTGGCTCCCCAACGAGGAACCCCGGAACTCGAGGCCCCGCCCTCCTCGCTTCCCGTCAATCGAGAGCAGTCGCCCCGCCTCCTACCCGCCCTTCCCCGGCCACCAGGTCGTGGGCTGGACCCCGAACGATAGCAGGGCCAGGACAACCTAGGGGAGGAGAGAAGGGAACACGCGTTGCCGGGGCGACCGGGGGGGCGGAGCTCATTATGTAACGAGGCCGGGAGGCAACGACCAATGGGGTGGCAGCCACGGCTTCTGCTGAATGAAAACAAACGCAGCACGTGGGCCCGGCTCTAGAGCCATGTGAGCCCTCCCGGCGGCCGGAGCCCTGTAGGTGCCCTCCCTCGGGCCGGGCACCACGCTCTGGACTCCTCAAGTGTCGCTCCCTCCTGTCACTGAGGATTCCCCAGTGAGATCCGAACGATTCTCCCAGCCCCTCCTTCCCTGAACCCCATCGCGCCACTCTTCTCAGATTCCCTCGCGCCTGCAGGAACTAGAGGAGGGGGAAGACAAGAGGGGAGGGGGTCCGTTTTCTGAGGCCAGGCATACTACAGCTGCAGGTAGTGGACAGATGGGGCCGTTTCGGGGCACTGTTCCAAAGCTCCCAGTCCCCCTAAATTCTTCGCTTCACCACCCGTACCTCCTCTCCATTTCCTCCTGCCCAGGGATTCGAGGCTCAAGGGAGCTTTGGGACTCTGAGGGGTGGTGATGGGGCGTTTCTGAGAGCATTTCCAGCCCGAACAAGCCGCTCTGGAAATCCCACACTAAAGCACCGCAGCACGTTAGCAAATCTCCGGGCCGAGGGACACCCCAGTCCCTTACAAAGTTCCTCTTTTTATAAGGCGTAGATGGAGGTGGGGAGACAGTGACAGGGAAAAGATGATAGTAAAGAAATCTCAGTACCTGTGTTGTTGTTGGAGTCCAGGGTCGTCATGTCTTCACCAGCTGAGAGCGGTCATTCAAACTGGACCTTGACTCAAACTAGAGGTTGCGATCGCCGCTGTTGCCCCCTGGGCACTGGCTAAGGGCGGGGAGTGGACCCCGCGACTCACGATCAGGATCCGAAGCACCCTGCAGCAAGGTCTTGGGGTGGCCGGACTGCAGCCCTGCAGAAGGGTTGGACGTTGAGGCAACGGAGTTCTGCTTTGCATGGGAAGAGCAGAGAGAGTGTGTAGGGGGAATCAGCCTGCAGTAGTTCTGGCTAGAAGGTAGCAAGGAGGGTCGGGTCTCTGCAGTGTACGGGGTGCCTCTGCCTGCCGGCTCCGCAGCGCTGCGGGGTGGCGAATCTGGAGCTCCCGGTGCAAAAGTCCCAGAGGAAGAGAGGTTGCAACCAGGAAGTAAGTAGGTGATGGGGAGAAACGGGGCACCGAGTCGCAAAGAGGCGAGACGTGTGCCCTGCTACGTTCCCTCGGCAGTAATATTTCACTCTGCCAATCTCAGCCGCCTTTTGCCCGAGCCTTTCCCTGGGACAGAGGGCTCTGCGCAGGCGCCAGCAGCCCAGGGTTCCCGGGCCGCACGCGGCACTGGAGCAGGTACCATGTGATCCCAGGGAGCGCCTCGTGCCCCAGTGACACACTTTTCCAACAGCCGGCACGTTGAGCTCTTGCGCGCCTGCGCAACGACAAGACTGTCGGGATTTGTAGTCCACCGACAAAGTGGGCGGACTGCGTGCCTTTCCCCTTTCTGCCTGGCAAAGCGCTTGCCGGGACCTGGGAGGAGCTGAGAGTGGGGTGGGGTGGGGTGCGCTGAAGAGTCAGGGTGGCGTGTTTAGAAAGCCTGTATGGCAGGGGCATGTGAATTTCTGGGGAGGGACTGGCAAGCTTGTTTGCTGTCTGGGAGATCAAAGCTAAGAGGCCCTTTCTGCAAACCTTGCAAACGTGAGGGCTTCACGTGATTGCAGGACTGACCTCGTCCTGAGGTTACTGGTGACCGGGAGAGAGAGAAGCCGGGGAGGGAGATTTCCCTGGAGTCAGGAGCTTAGGCTGCCCTCTGCTTCAGGGCAAAGTCCAGAGAAGGAAAGGAAATGTGACCCCCTTTCCCTTCTACTCGCCTTAGGGAGAACACCTCCAGGGGAAGGAGTTCCCACAGAGGTAGGGATGTCTGTAGGGACTCCCTGTTTGCTTGTATGACACCATTCCACCCACTCCAGTTGACTTTGGGGTGAGTCATTTCCCTTTGTCTGGGAAATAAAAAGGACAACAGAGGGGAACTAATAGTGAAAGTGCTTTGAGGTCCTAAAGTAATGGGGAAGAGGTGAGGCAGGGGGTGGGGGCAGAGTGACACCCCTGCCCCTCGGTGCTGGAGGATAAAATATGAATTCCACAGAAGATTACTACTCAGAGGGGAACATGTAGATCATCTTAAGCCTCCCTCTTTTTACTAGTGGGGAACAGGAAGCTTAGGAGAAGTGACCGACCCAAGGTCAGACGTCCATTGCTAGTTTCATCTGCCCACCCCGAATGGGAAGGTGGGTAGATGTACAAGTGAAATACTGAACAGGGGTTAGAAACAGCCAGCATTGCCGGGTGCTTTGGCTCATGCCTGTAATCCCAGCACTTTGTGAGGCTGAGGTGGGTTGATCACCTGAGGTCAGGAGTTTGAGACCAGCCTGACCAACACGGTGAAACCACGTCTCTACTAAAAATACAAAAATTAGCCGGATGTGGTGGTGGGTGCCTGTAATCCCAGCTAGTCAGGAGGCTGAGGCAGGAGAATCGCTAGAACCCGGGAGGTGGAGGTTGCAGTGAGCCGAGATCGCCATTGCACTCCGGCCTGGGGGATAGAGTGAGACTCTGTCTCCAAAACAAACAAACAAAAAACAGCCAGTATTTCGCTTCAGAGCAGCAACTGTCCCATGAGTAATAACAGATCTCAAGTAGAGGAGATCTATCATGTTAGAGGGCTTGGGTCATGGAGGGGATGGAAGCTTCTTAGGCAGCGAAGGGAGAGGGAGCCTGAGCCACCTGCTGCTCCCGCTAATTCCTCCCCAGTCCCAGTGCTTCTAGAGAGGGTTTTCTTCACATAGGAAGCCCTTCTCCACAGGCAGCTCCTGGGATGGTATTGATGGATGCCTGGGAAACATGAAAGCCACCGAAAAGGTAGAGAAAAAGAATATGGGAGTCCGGGGGTGGTGGCTGACACCTGTAATCCCAGCATTTTGGGAGGCTGAAGTGGGCAGATCACCTGAGGTCAGGAGTTCGAGACCAGCCTGGCCAACATGGTGAAACCCCATCTCTACTAAAAATACAAAAATTAGCTGGGCGTGGTGGCGCACGCCTGTAGTCCCAGCCACTCGGGAGGCTGAGGCAGGAGAATTGCTTGAACCCAGGAGATGGAGATTGCAGTGAGCCGAGATCATGCCACTGCACAACAGCCTGGGCAACAGGGTGAGAGTCCATCTCAAAGAAAAAAAAAAAAGGCCAAGTGTGGTGGTGGCTCACACCTGTAATCCCAGCACTTGGGGAGGCCGAGGCAGGTGGATCACCCGAGGTCAGGAGTTTGAGACCAGCCTGGCCAACATGGAGAAACCTCGTCTCTACTAAAAATACAAAAATTAGCTGGGCGTGGTGGCGCACGCCTGTAGTCCCAGCTACTCTACTCGGGAGGCTGAGGCAGGAGAATTGCTTGAACCCGGGAGGCAGAGGTTGCAGTGACCTGAGATCGCGCCAGTGCACTCCAGCATGGGCAACAAGACCGAAACTCCATCTCAAAAAAAGAAAAAAAAAAAAAGAATAATAATATGAGCACAGGAGTAAACTGGGTAGTGAGGACAGTGAGGTTGACTGCAGGAGCTTGACCACTCACCCTCTGACTCCTTGTAGAAGATGAGCTTCCTGGAATGGGCTAGGCTTTAGCTTTGTTCTCCTGCTCCCAAGAAAAGTGGGAGAGAGAGGGCAGTGGGCTCTTCTCTGGCCCTTTGGCCCAGAGTTGGGAAGCTGCAGCAGAGTGTGGGAGCAACTGGGAGGGGCTAAAACAAACAAGGAAAGAGGCTTTTCAGGAAAACTTGGTTCTCAGCCTCCACCCCCTCTCCCTCCACCCTCTGGGCTCTGGAGGGAAAGCTAGGAGGTGAATTGCCCTGTCCTGCCCTTGCCTGCTCTCTGTGACCTTGACTCCAAGTCAGAGCCAGGGCCAGAGCCCAGGTGTCTGTCAGGGCTGGACTCAAAATCAGGACCCCTGGCGTGCATCTAGCTCCCCACAGCACAGCACCACCACTAGCACCCTCCCTTTACTTGGCCGGGGTCCTCCCCAAGGCCCACAGCTCTGTTTGCTGCTGTGGAGGTCCTACCCACCCCCTGTATACTTGCTGGATGTTTGTTCTTCTAGGAGTGGGAGCTGGGGTGGGTCAAGACTCCTCGCCTGCTGCAATCAGTGAGAAGGAGGAGGGAGCAGAGGTAGAGAGAGCTGAAATTCAGTCAGCCTGACTCTCCTCTTGGCAAAACCTGGGTGGTTCTGCAGTCTGTGTGTGGTGTGAAGGCAGAGGCTGGGAGGGAGGGGGCAAAGGAGAGGGGTTACCCCCTTGCTCCTTCCTTCCTTCCTTTCCATTTCTTATAGGGCCCTTCCTTTTCTCCCTCACAAGTAATTCGGGTGTCTTTCTTCTACAGCTGGTGAGAGGAGTACAGAATGAAAAGGCAGGGTTCTCTCTTGGCCCCAGAAGCTTCTAGTCAGTCTGTGTACCCTGCTCCTTTCTCTGTCAGCAGCTGCTGGGAGAAGGGCAGAAACTCTGAGACCCAAAGCCACCAAAGGGAGGGGGGAAAGGCTGGGTTGTCTGGCTCTGGGTGATTCGGAGTAGAATCTTGGTTTCTCTTTGACCTCAACCTTGGCTGTAAGACCTTAAGACAACAGGTGTATCTCAACACAACCTTCCTCACCTATCCCTCCAGCTGGACATTGCTGTTCACTTCTTTTTTTTTTTGAGACAGAGTCCCACTCTATCGCCCAGGCTGGAGTGCAGTGGCTCACTGCAACCTCCACCTTCCGGGTTTAAGCCATTCTCCTGTCTCAGCGTCCCAAGTTGCTGGGACTGCAGGAGCACGCCACAATGCCTGGCTAATTTTTTTTATATTTTTAGTAGAGATGGGGTTTCACCATATTAGTCAGGCTGGTCTTGAACTCCTGACCTAAGGTGATCCACCCACCTCAGCCTCCCAAAGTGCTGGGATAGCAGGCGTGAGCCACCATGCCCGGCCTGCTGTTCACTTCTACACACACACACACACACCCCATTTCTCCCATAGCCCAGTTCAACTCAAGAAAGCACTTAACTCTTCATAAATAGTACTCAGATTGGATCCAGGTAGAAAAGATGCATATTCACAACCTGGTACAGCAAGGCACTGCCCTGGTTCTGCATACACTTCCACTTGGATTCCCAAGTCTGGGATTCTGGGGACGAACCTTCCCATTAGGGGCAGTGTTGGATCCTGCCTGTGTGTTTCCAAATATGTCTTTAATTTTCCTTGATTTATTTGGACTGCAGAGGACAGCAGACACAGAGGAGAAGAAGGAAAGGTATTGAGAACACTAAGCTCTGGTCAGTTATGTATGTGTGCACGTGTGTGTGTGTGTGTGTGTGATTCTATGACTATGAGTGAGACTGCATGTTTGTGTGTGAGTGTGAATGCTGTGTGTGTGGGTGTGCATGTTTGATCTGAGATCTGTTCTCCCTGTCAGTAGGTTGTTCTGGGTAACAGGGCAACACCCTGTGCAAATTCTGGGTGGCCTAAATCTTGGGCCAACTGCTTGACTGACTGACTGACTGACTGACTGACTGACTGAGGGTGGGTCCTTGCTGGAAACAGGTCAGGCTTCTGTAGATGCCTTCCCATCCCCCTCCTTTCTCACCAAGAAACCATTGCCCAGAGTAGAAACCTGTCTGCCCAGGTGATGCAAACCTGGTATAGAAATGCTGGGGATGCCCCTGAATCAGGGAACCAGCCATGTGCCTGGGAGAGACTCACTCCCTGCCCTCCTAAATCCTTTTCTTTGTCTCTAAAAGGCCAGCTATCTTTCCCAACCCCACCCAAAGCCTGGATGTTTTGGGGAGAACTTTAAGAACATGCCACAGGAAGGACAGAGTCTGAGCTAACTTGTTTCTCAGTGTGGTGGGGGGAGGGGGATGGAGAAAGCAAGGGCGAGGCATGAGCCAGGGCTGGGTTCCATGGATGTGTTTTGCCTCAGATTCTATCTTTACCTCACTACTGCTTTTTCCAAGGAAAGGAAACCATAAATATGTATTAAGTACCAACCGTATGCCAGGCACTGTGCAAAGTGTTTTGTACACATTATCTCATTTAATATTCACAACAACCCTATGCTGTAGGTCTCATTCTTATTTTAGAGATGGGGAAACTGAGACTTAGAGAACTTTATTAACTTGCCCAGGGTGCCAGAGGGTCTAGGTGATTAGTCTTGAAGCTGTAATTTGCATAGCACTTAAGACTGAGAAGATGTCCATCAAAGAATGATAGCGCGGATGGAGATTATTGGAGGGGCTAAATCTCCCCTCTAGCTATCTCTTGAACTACCACTGTCAGCGTCACAATGAAAATGGCAATGCTGGGGATTCAACCCCAGGCGTGAAGATGAAACTCTTTCTGCTAGCAAGACTGCCCCTCCTAGAGAGATTACTGCCACCCTAGGGGAACGTCTGAGCAGCAAACTCATCCTGGTGTTTCCCAAGCAATGGTGATGCTTGGAAGTGGGATATATCACCAAGAACAGAAGCCTGAAGCACCCCTTGTCCCTGTCCCAGGGAGTACCTCAGCTTTCCAAAATCTCTCTTTTAACCCCAGGCACATTTCCTCTTCCCCTAAACTCTTCCCACTCCCCGTCCTACATTTCCCTCATCTGGTTCTAAAAGTAGAAGGGGCAGGAACAGGGTGCACAAACCACAGACTGCTATAGAGGTGACTAACAGAAACAGGCGTCTGAACTCTCTTCTCTACCCAAACCCTCTGAATTTGGGGTCTGCTGCTGGTGGTGAGGAGAGTGGGGCAAGTAGGTCAGGGCCCTCTGAAGTCCCATGGTGCTTCATTCCAGGAGCTGTATTAAGAAGATTGGTTGAGGGAGCGTGTGGAAGGCCACCAAGGACCAACAAAAGTTGTGTCCAAAGCCTTAAGGAAACAGCATCCCACTTCCCCATTTACCTGCTTGAGCAACGTGCACCTCTAAAACCAGCCCTTCCGAAAGCCACTGTCCTGGGCCAATGCTTCTTCAGCAGATGCTTTGAAGAACCTGAAGAAGGGTCCCCTCTCTCAGAACCTAGGATCTCACCCACATCACAGGATCCTGGAGGAGGCATGGATTGTCCTTGGCAGTGGAGACTAAGCCCCAGATGACCCTTTTTCTGGCATCCAGTACATGCTCTGCTAAGGCCTCCTGTCCAATCTTTGCCATGCTGCTGGAGCCACAGTGGTATCATCTTCCAGGCCCCTGCACCTGCCCATTGGCTGCCCTTGAGCCTCTGTAGAACTCAGATGCAGGGAGAATGTGGGGGAGGTGGAGGAAAGGGAGAGGGGGTGCTCTGCATCTGCTTCCATCTCTACCCTTTATCCCAAGCTCCATCTCAAACCCTCTCCTTATCCAGTGTCTCTCCATCCTTTGGGCCTCTGCAGATCACCATTAGCTGCCTGGGGAGGCCAGAGGCTCATGACAGTCCTCGTGAGCAGAATGGACCTCGGAGGAGCGGTGGCCTGGGCAGGCATTAGGGGCCTTGTGTAGCTTCTGGGAGGCTTACATAAACACTGGCTGGGATGGGGAGGAAAGGGGGGTTGCAATGGCTGCCCAGGGAAAAAAGCAACCCCCGCCCGGCCGGCTCAGCCTGAGTGGAAAGAAGGAACAAGGCTTACTTTCCCTCCTCTCACTCCTCTCCCCTGGTCTGCAGCTGTTAGTCGGGCTGGAAAGACTGCGGTATCTTGGGGGAGGGGGGGCAGGAGAAGGAGAGAGAGAGGATGCGACTTCACAAATTTGGGATCCCTCCTCCTCTTCTAAATTGGGGGGAGGGCGAGTGGGGAAGAAGCAGTTTGCCAAAGAGATTTTCAATGCCGCAGGAAGGAGCTTTGGCTCATTAGAATGCGCAGTTTGCACCCTGGAAAAAAAAAATCTGTGCTGGTTGCAAAAATGCAGACGTGTGTAGGGGCCCAGCGGAGATTAAAAAAAAAAAAAAAAAGCGCTAGCTCTGCAATGCAGGATCTGCGAAGTTTTGGTGCGATGAGGAAATGTGGGTCGTGCTCATTTCATTTGCTTGTTCCTGCTAACCTACTGTCCCCCTGACTCTAGCATAGTCTCATAGCCCAGCAAGAGGCACCGCAGCTTAGAAATGGGGTCACGAGTAGGGGGCAGAAGCAGAGAGCCAGAAGTGGGGGTCTGTGGTTAGAGTGCCCAGAGAAGGACCAATGGAGGTTAGAGGGCCAGGCAGATGGAAGGGGGCACTTCAATGAGGGATGGAGGCTGAATTTGCCTTTTGCACACGCATTTGTTCTGCAGCTACACAGGGGTTATTGGGAAAGCCCTTCTAGGTTTCCTCCAGCCCTCGGCTCTTCCCCATCTCCAAGTAGCAGAGGGACTTTCCCCTTCCGGTCCACTAACCTCACAGACCACTGTTGCAGAACCTTTGCTTCATGTCCCCAAACACACAAATCCCTGAACTGTCCTTGTTCTAACCCTGGAGGGGGCACTTGCTGCGTGTGTGTGTCATCCTCCTTCCTAGAAAGAGGGGACAGGGTAGCCTGATTTGGGGAGCCCAGGCTACAGGGAAGCCAAGTCTTGGCTCTGGGCAGACATCAACACATCACCATGAGGGCTGGGGTGGGCTGTTCTGTGTTCTTGGCTTGGGAAGGTCCTTTGTTCTTTTGAGGCTTAGGGTTCTGGGTTGTGAAAACACCAAGGGGCTGCCTGGGAGGAAAATATGCTTGGGGAGACCATGTTTCTTTTCTGGGTGTTTGCTCCCCTGGTGGCTCAGGAGAGACAAAAGGAGACAGAAGCAGGATAAAGCGCAAGGAGACAAGAAGGGAGCCCCGCGCGCTTTCCCTCCTTCCTCATCTTGCCTCCTGTTTCTCTGGCCCACGGAGGAAGGGGCCCAGTGTGTTTGTGCCGGCTCGAGGCTCACGCGGGCTGCCGGGGTCACATGGCCCGGGCATGTGCAGCCTGCTCCATTTCTACCACAACAACTCGCTCATAAACAGCCCGGCTGCTGCGGCGGTGGCGGTGGAGACATGTGCAAGCGAGGGGGTGGGGCACGTGGCCCTGCCCGAGCCAAGGGAAGGCGCTCGCTCAGCACTGCCTCCACCCCTCCCCAGCACTGGCGCTGCCTCGTCACAGGAAATTCCTAGTGCTCCTGTTGCTGCTGCAAAACATGTTTTGGGGAAGTGACTTTCAATAAGGATGGAATCAATGGACTATTTAAAAAGAGACAGAATGGATAATCAGTTAGAGACCGACTTACGCCTGCCCTTACCCTCTCTTAAGATCTCTGTACTGGTTAGGGTGGTACCAGTTCCTTCCTCCTATATAAAATTGGAACCATGTAATCCCAGCACTTTGGGAGGCCAACGTGGGCGGATCATTTGAGGTCAGGAGTTCGAGACCAGCCTGGCCAACATGGTGAAACCCCATCTCTACAAAAAATAAAAAAAAATTAGCCAGGCATGGTAGTGGGCGCCTGTAATCCCAGCTACCTGGGAGGCTGAGGCATGAGAATCGCTTGAACCCGGGAGGCGGAGGTTGTAGTGAGCCGAGATCATGCAACTGCACTCCAGCCTGGGCAACAGAGCGAGGCCCTGTCTCAAAAAAAAAAAAAAAATGGAACCAATCAAGTCCTCATGGTAAACAGTGGGGGGAGGGGCTGGGGTTCTCTAAGACAGTGGTTCTCAAGATAAGCATAGGGATCTGGGGTCACCTGGGAACATGTTAGAAATGCAAATTCCCAGGCCCCATCCCAGGTGGATTGAATCAGAAGCTCTGGGAGCAAAACCCAGCAATCTGAGTTTTAACAAGGCCCTTGGGATTCTGGGAAGCCTGAGACCCACTGCTTTAGGTCTTCGGTCCCTAACAATCAGTCCTCTAGGAGAATCTAGCCCAAGATCTGGGGACATGTCAGCTGGGCGTGGTGGCTCATCCCTGTAATCCCAGCACTTTGGGAGGCTGAGGCAGGCGGATCACTTGAGGCCACGCATTGGACACCAGCCTGGTCAACATGGTGAAACCCCGTCTCTACAAAAAAATACAAAAATTAGCCGGGTGTGGTGTGTGCCTGTAATCCCAGCTGCTCAGGAGGCTGAGGCAGGAGAATTCCTTGAACTGGGAGGTGGAGGTTACCATGAGCCAAGATCACACACTGCACTCCAGCCTGGGCGACAGAGTGAGACCCTGTCTCAAAAAAAAAAAAAAAAAAAAAGATCTGGGGGCATGTCTACCTTCCCCCTTTGTGCTGCTTCATCTCAAAGTCCAGCCACAGGGCGTAATCAGATTTAGTTTGACTCAGAGTAAAAAGCATTTATTGAGTGCCTCCTGTGTGCAGATTCTGGAAATGCGGGCAAATGGCACAACAGTAGTAGGCTAATGAGTAGCTGAGATCTCAAAGAGGAGTGGAAGGTACTGGGTGAGGGGAGAGTGAAAGAAAGAAAAGGTTAGAATTTTATTTGTTTATCCTTTCTCCATCTTACCTACTTTTCTTCCTGTCCCGAGGCTCCTATTAGAACAAATGATTGTGGCTTAAATTGTTTTGAGGCTGGAGGTAGAAATTAAGCCCTTATCTATTTTTGCTGGCCATGGGGACCCCAAGTTAGTTAACAGCCATAGGCTCTTGACTTCCCATGAGTAACTAAAAGAAGATGAGGACCATGCACACAGGCACACACAAACACTCCCTGCGATCTCAGATGCTAGGGTAGGGAGACCAAGAGAAGGAATGAAGTCCCAGAAGGTTGGAAGTTCCCTGGGTAAAATGAGTTTAGCAGATAACAAGCAGGAAAAGTCTTTCAATAGGGGAGGGCGGGGTCATCCCTGGCCTACTCCACCTTCCTGAGACCCAGAAACTGTGGCCAGAGGAAACAAAGGGTCCCTAAGGCAAATCACAAAAGCTCCTGAGAATGAAACCTGAGCCTGGAAAGAGAGTAGAGAATGAGGGATGGACACCAGATCCAAAGGGTTCCCTTACACAGGCAAATGGGGGTTAGGGGGTTGGGAGGGATGTGAGCCATGCCCAGCCCCTCTCCTTGGGCCTTCTCTCCATCACAGGCAGTTCTCAGGAGCAGAACTCCTGTTACTGTCTCAGTCTGAGCAGCTGACTCCTGGCCTCTCCCTGCTTCATTTTTTGAGGAATAAGCTTTTCTCTGATTCTCACAGAGCCCTTTCTTTTGCTTCTCTGCAAGGCTTTCTCTCTGTGCCTGAAAGGCTCTGGGCTCAAGGAGCAGACAGCCCTGCAGGCTCAACTGCAGTGACCTACATTGGCTCTCCCCTAGGCCCTGGGTGCGGGGGCTGAGATTTCAAGATAGGAACCTGGGAATCTGGCACAGGTCTACAGATGATGACATCAGGCAGACAGGCTGCAAAAGTGGCATTGAGGGACTGGACCCTGAGGCAGGGGATGCCATAGGACTATGTTCTCACTTTGTCATTTGAGGGCTTTTTATGGACAAGAGATCAGAAGAGATCAAATGCAAAAACACCTGAGCAGTGACCCCTTGGAGAGGAGCCAGTGGTCCCTGACAGGCCCAGTCTCTATTAATGAGATTTGGGAGTGGTTTCTGCCTGCTCCCTGTTCTTGCTGAACCTACACTGGTCTGCTGCAGGGGACTGGAAAGATGATGTGGAAGAATGAGTTCGGATTTCAGCTGATTTATTTCAGGGAAACGAAGGCTGGGTAAAAGTCAGATATGCAGAAATCCACGTACTCCCAGGCTTAACTATAATATAGAGACCCTGTATTTCTTTAGACTCAATGGTTCTGAGAAGGATCCAGAAGGAGCCCTCAAGATTAATTACCATTTACAAAGTCCTTACCTCAGGACCCTGGCAACTGAATCCCTCCTTCCAGCTACCAGCCTTCTGGAACAGAGAAGGCAGCTTCTGAAATAGGTGCTTTCCCTCTCTCCCACTATAAGCCACAGTGTTTAGGATGACCACTGCTTCCAGATTGTGTGATTTGCCCTGGCAAGGAAATCCTATTGTGGGGGGAGGAAATGAGGCAGTCGTGACACAAAGTGATGGATGAGCCTTTTGCTTAGCAGAGAGAGAGAGAAAGCCGGCAGGCTGTGCAGAACTGAGTGGCTCTTGGGTCCAAAGGGCTTCCCCTTGGCCAAGTCCCACCCCAAAGCCCAGGAAGTCCACAGCTTGGCGCCCAGTCAAGGCAAAAACATTCCTCAGGACTCTGACAGGCTGGGGGATGGTTCCCACCACGAGGATGGGGGAGGGGAAGGAAACACGCGGGGGAGGAAATGACCACAAAGAAGGGGGTGAGGGTAAGAGGTGGGGAGTGAGTTCTCAGTGCCCTGAGTCCCTTTTAGAGAGAAAGGTTGAGGCTGGACTCATTGGCTTGTGAAGGACTTGCAGCTTCAGAGCACATGACTTCTGGGTCACCCTTCTGCTCAGGGTCATCCCTGATGACCCAAGGTGTCCTCTGGAGGCTTGTTAACTCAATCTCCCTCCTTACGCAGGGGCTGTGGTTGAGCTTGGGAGCCCCTGAGTGGCTAAAAGCTGGAATTGCAGTTGTGCTGGGGGAGGAGCCCATCGGGTCTCCCTCTGCCTCTCCACCTCCGCCCCTCCCTTTCCCTCTCCCTAAGCCCAGGACTCTGGAAATAGCACCTGGTAATGGGAGCGCTGACAGATGCTGAGTTATAGGAGAGCAAATGTCCTGGCTAGAGTCCTCAACATTCTAGTTTGATCGCTTTTGGGCTGTTTCCCTTGAAAACACGTGCCCCAGCAAGGATTGAAAAACTACCTATTGGTACTATGCTCACTACCTGGGTGACAGGTTCAGTCATACCCCAAACTTCACCATTACACAATATACCCTTGTAACAAACCTGCATATGTACCCCCTGAATCTAAAATAAAAGTTGAAATACACACACGGAAAAATAGGTGCCCCAGGACTACTTCCATTGTCTTCCATAAATTACTGTTTAACATGCCCCTGGGTAGTGTGCTTCCTGGCTACTGAGATCCCCCTCCTAGGGCTCCCCGGCTTGTAGCTTCTGGACCATTCACTGTCCATGACCCCTATGACCTTGGAGGGAGAAATGGCCCCACAATAATTCTGATTTTAAATTTACCCCTCCCTACCTGCACTACTTAGTCCTAGTTTTCCTCCTCTGAGCCTTGCCCACAACTCCTTCCCCAAGTCAGCCTCCAACCTTGAATGTTCCCTCACCCCCAGTTCCCTACCCAATCCCCCAATCCCACATCTCCTGTAGGGGATAGGAGTGAGGTGAAAAATGGACAAAGCTTAGAAATTTTTCCAAGGAAACTAGTTCCCTCTGCATGGCTTCCTTTGACCTATTTTCTAACTTTCCCTGGTTAGCCCCCTTGTTCCATGTACCAAGGCTTCCCACTGGACTAATTTTTGCTGCCCCGCCCTACTCCTCCTTCCTCCAACATGATCTCCTGGGGCTCTTCCCATCCAGGGAAAATGTTCCCCAGTGCTGAGAGAGGGAGAGATTCCATTTTGGAAACTATGTCAGCTTGAGGAGTCCGAGCTCTTAAAGAGACAACTAGAGTGTTGCTGGGGAAGCGGGTAGTGGTAGTGAGCAAAAAGCAGCTCACCCACCCAGAGGAGGCCCTGTTCCCATCACCCAGCCCATAATTAGGGCATTCTTGGCTCTTGTCTGGAATGGGAGGATCTGAGTGCTCTGCCAACATCATGAAGAACTCAACGGGAAATGGAGTTGGAGTAGAGGTAACCAACTTTGCAGCTGGAAATTAAAATTTTATTCAACTCCACCCCCAAGTAATTTTATTTGATGACATCCTTCTCTTGCATTTGTCTCATCGTTTGATTGTGTAATCCTTAGCCAGGGAGCTATGTAGATATGAAATCATTTTAAACAGAGGCAGCTGCATTCCCCTATTGTACCTGAGCCCTCATCAGCTTTCCTCCTCTCAAGCTGCTGCCCCACATTCACCCTGAAGGGGGCACTTTTGTTCAGTCGTTAGCTGGTGCCAGCTGAAAGCGAGCTCCAGGAAGGAAACATAACAATTGGTCACATGTTGGGGTGAGGGTTCTCGCAGGGGCTGCTGGGACAGGGAAGGGAGGTCCACGTGGAGTGGGCGGAACGCGCTGAAAGTTTTGGCGGGGCTAGCAGAGGGAGAAAAATACCCAAATTTGAGTTGTGATTTTTAATAGGGGGAAAAAAAAAAGGCAAGGAGGGTGTGTCCTACCCTCTGAGAGGCCCCCGCAGAGGGGAGCAGGAGAGCAGCACACTAGCATCCTGCTCGCGGAAGCCTGGAACGCAGGACATGGTTTCTGCCAGAAAGAGCTGAGCCAGGCCAGGCTGCGGAGCTGGAAGCCTCTGTGGCTCCACGCTGGCTTCCCATCCCCCATCCTCCCGGAGAAGGCAAAGGTGGCCTCTCCAACTGTGGTGTCCTTTCAGTGTCACAGGACTGGGGTAATACCAGTCACACAACTCCAGTCTCTATTTACCTTTCCGAGAGCTTCAGGAAACCACCCAGATGAATCCTCTTTCCCTGGGGAGTGGCCAAAACAAGTCTCCTCTTTTTTCTACCTACTTCTGCCCCACTGTTAGCTGGAAAACGTAGCTTTATACAGTCATAAAGCTGCAAGGGACCTTAAAGATGATTTATTTCCATTTTATTTTTTGGTCTGGGAAAACCAAGCCCAGTCAAGTGAAAAGTCTTGCTGCATCCTCTTTCCACGACATAGGCATTCCCTTCAAAGAATGTAGGTCATAGAAATGGAATTCTGCCATTCTATAAGCCTTAGAGGGGTGGTGAAAGTATTGGCTTTTAACTCTTTCCATACTCTTAGCCAGAAGGCAAAAAGAATGGTCATTATCTCATTAGGGACAGAATTGCTTAGGGAGGCCCGACACTGTGGCTCAATCCGGACACGGTGACTATAATCCCAGCATTTTGGGAGGCTGAGGTGGGCGGATCACCTGAGGTCAGGAGTTCGAGACCAGCCCGGCCAACATGGTGAAACCCCCGTCTCTACTAAAAATACAAAAATTAGCCGGGCATGGTGGCAGGCGCCTGGAATCCCAGCTACTCGGGAGGCTGAGGCAGAAAAGAATTGCTTGAACCCAGGAGGTGGAGGTTGCAGTGAGCCGAGATTGCACCACTGCACTGTCCAACCTGGGTGACAGAGCAAGGCTTCGTCTCAAAAAAAAGAAAAAAAAAAAAGACTTAAGGACTTGATTTATGGTCCTAAACACAGTTTTCCTAGGCTCCCTCACAGCTGGCAACTCCACTTTGCCCCTCTGGGCCTTTGAGAGCTCCCTTCTTTACATTTCTTAGTTCAGGGATCACCACAGCTTAAAACTTAATGGTTTGGAAACAAGAATTCCTTTCCCTTCTTAGAAGACCTTCTCTTCTCAGGTTTCAGTTTTCTGGTGGTTTAGCCAGGTCATCCTGTGTATTGAGATCAAGATCAGACCTCCAATCCAAAAATTCCAGCTTTGGCTTTGGTGGGGAAAAGCATGTTTACTTAGTCTGGAGCAGTGAAATCCTAGACTTTGGATTTCAGAGCTGTAAAGTTTCCAGAAAAAAAAAATGTTGAGACCAGGCACAGTGGCTCATGCTTGTAGTCCCAGCACTTTGAGAGGCCAAGGCGGATGGGTCACTTGAGCCCAGGAGTTTGAGACCAGCCTGGGCAACATGGTGAGGCCCCATGTCATGTAAAAATTAGCCAGGCATGGTGGTGCATACCTGTAGTACCGGTGACTCAGGAGGCTGAGGTAGGAGTATCACTTGAGCCTGGGAGTTCGAGGTATGATAATGTCTGTGAACAGCTACTGGACTCCAGCCTGGGCAACACAGCCAGACCCCGTTTAAAAAAAAAAGTCAACCAACCCCAGTTGTAGAGTCCCAAGCAGTGGTTCTCAAACTTGAAGTACATCAGAATCACCTGGAGGGCTTGTTAAAACACCACGTGCTGCATCTCACCCCACAGTTTCTTATTCATTAGGTCTAAGGTGGGAAGCCAAGAATTTGCATATCTAACAAGTTTCCAGGTGATACTGAAGGTGCTGGCCTGGAACCACAATTGGGCTAGAGAGGAAGAAAACATATAATTTATTCATGGAATTGCCAGCTGGTTAGTCTTAGAAATTTGACGGTAAAGCCCTCCTTCTCCCTCACCCCACTTTCTATTGATCAACAAATGCTGCCAATTAGTAATAATGTGATAACTACATTATCAAGCATTACTAGGTGCCACATGCTATGATAAACATTTTACATGGATTATCTCATTTAATCCTCACAATAACCCTGTGAAGTAAGGTATTAGTATAGTCATTTTACAGATAAGCAACCTGAGGTAGAGGTTAAATAACACACAGCCACTAAACGGGAGAACTGTGATTGCTATTTGCAGTTTCACACCAGAAACTTTGCTCTTAACAGCTGAGTCTCCTCCTGTCATTCCCTCTATATCCCCATACTACTAGTATCTTAACCACTCATCATCTCACACCTGCACTAACAGCCTTCAAGTTGGCCTCCGGCTTTTGGTGCAGAGACGCAAATATTGAAGTTAGCTTTCAGATACACAAATCTAATCATTCTATACTTTGGTGGAAATCCTCTGATGTTTCACCAAGGCTGATAAATTATACATTCCTTAACTGGGCCTTCAGACCTTCATAATCTGGTCTCAATCTGTTTTATCCCCTACATGCCCCACTATCCAGAACTACACTCCAATGAACTTCTCCCATTTTCTACAGTTACATCCTATTTTTTTTTTGAAACGGAGTTGCGCTCTTCTCACCCAGACTAGAGTGCAGTGGTGAGATCTCGGCTCACTGCAACCTCCGCCTTCTGGGTTTGAGTGATTCTCCTGTCTTGCCTTAGCCTCCCTATTAGGAGGGACTACAGGCACATGCCACCACGCCCAGCTAATTTTTTTTTTTGAGACAGAGTCTGTCTCCCAGGCTGGAGTGCAGTGGCGCGATCTCGGCTCACTGCAAGCTCTGCCTCCCAGGTTCATGCCATTCTGCCTCAGCCTCCCAAGTAGCTGGGACTACAGGCGTCTGCCAGTACGCCCAGCTATTTTTTTTAATTTTTAGTAGAGACGGGGTTTCACCGTCTTAGCCAGGATGGTCTTGATCTCCTGACCTCGTGATCTGCCCGCCTCGGCCTCCCAAAGTGCTGGGATTACAGGTGTGAGCCACTGTGCCCAGCTGCAATGTTCTTACCTCTGCCTGAAATGTCCTTTGATCTCAACCTTCAAGGCCCACCTCAGTTGTCACTTCCTCCTTAATTCCTTCCAGATGGTATGTTCAAATTTGTTCCTAGACAAATTTACTCTTCTCTAGGTTTCACTATTTTATTAGAGACAGAGTCTTGCTCTATCAACCAGGCTGGAGTTCAGCAGTGTGATCATAGCTCACTATAACCTCAGCCTCTCGGGCTCAAACAATCCTCCCGCCTTAGCCTCCCAAGTAGCTAGGACTACAGGCATGCACCACAATGCTCGGCTAATTTTTTTTTTTTTTTTTGAGACAGAGCCTCACTCTGCTACCCAGGCTGGAGTGCAGTGACTTGATCTTGGCTCACTGCAACCTCTGCC
Source organism: Homo sapiens (assembly GCF_000001405.40). Lineage (NCBI taxonomy): Eukaryota > Metazoa > Chordata > Mammalia > Primates > Hominidae > Homo > Homo sapiens. Next base: position 40,116,910 of record NC_000017.11, read on the forward strand.
TCCCAGGTTCAAGCGATTCTCCTGTCTCAGCATCCTGTGTAGCCGAGATTACAGGTGTGCGCCACCACATCTGGCTAATTTTTGTTTGTTTGTTTGTTTGAGATGGGAGTCTTGCTGTGTCGCCCAGGCTGGAGTGCGATGGCACGATCTCGACTCACTGCAACCTCCGCCTCTCAGGTTCAAGCGATTCTCCTGCCTCAGCCTCCCGAGTAGCTGGGATTACAGGCATCCACCACCATGCCCAGCTAATTTTTGCATTTTTAGTAGAGACGGGGTTTCATCACGTTGGCCAGGCTGGTCTCAAACTCCTGACCTCAGGTGATCCGCCTGCCTCGGCCTCCTAAAGTGCTGGGATTACAGGCATGAGCCACCGCACCCGACCAAACGTTATGACCACAAAGGGACTCAAACCCTCAATCTTCTGATCTGAAGTCAGACACCTTATCCATTAAGGCCACACGGTCTCCTACTCTAATTTTTGGATTTTTAGTAGAGACTGGGGGTTTCACCATGTTGGCCAGGCTGGTCTCAAACTCCTCACCTCAAGCGATCTGCCTGCCTCGGCCTCCCAAAGTGCTAGGATTACAGGTGTGAGCCACCAGACCCAGCCATAATTTTTAAATTTTTTGTAGAGACAGGGTCTCACTATGTTGCCCAGGCTTGTCCCAAACGCCTGGCTTCAGGTGATCCTCATGCCTTGGCCTCCCAAAGTGTTGAGATTACAGGCGTGAGCCACCACACCCGGCCCTATTTTTTAATAGAACTGCCACCCTCAGTCAAGCTAAAGGTCAAAGGTAGGTAGATGCTTTCTCTTAATATATCTAAACAGCTCATTTAATCATTTAACCAATATTTATTAAATGCCTACTTTGTGGCAGGTATGGTTCTAGGTGCTGAGGATATGGCAGTAACAAAACATGAAGCAGCCCAGTGCTGTGGCTCACACTTTTAATCCCAGCACTTTGGGAGGCTGAGGCAGGTGGATCTCTCGAGGTCAAGAGTTTGATACCAGCCTGGTCAACATGGCGAAACCCTGTCTCTACTAAAAACACAAAAATTAGCCAGGCGTGGTGGTGCACGCCTGTAATCCCAGCTACTTGGGCAGCCGAGGCAGAACAGTCACTTGAACCTGGGAGGCAGAGGTTGCGGTGAGCCGAGATTACACCACTGCACTCCAGCCTGGGTAAGAGTGAGACTCCGTCTTAAAAAACAAACAAACCCCCCAAAACTATGAAGTTTACATTGTAGTGGGGGAGGATAAGGTAATAAGGTAAATTAGAGGTAATACATGCTAAGGAGAAAAATCAAGCAAAAAAAGGGAAGAGGCGGTTTGGAGAAGGCTGTGAGTATACATAGCGGGGGCCAAAGGTCTCAGCTGACATACAGTAAAGAGCTGAAGGAGGTGAGGGAGGAAGTCATGTGGACATCTGAAGGAAGAGGGATCTAGGTAGAGGGAACAGCAACTGCAAGGGCCTGAAGGGGCCAACAGAAAGGAGTGAATAACAGTAGAAACTAAAGTCAGAGAGCAGTACCAGGGAGCCAGATCCTACAAGCCTTAATGATTTTACTTTTACTCCAAGTGAGATGGGAAGCCATGAGAGGGTTCTGAGTAGAGAAAGATCATGATCTTACTCCCATCTTACCAGGACCACTGTGGCTGCTGAGTAGACTTAAGTGATGGAAGGCAAAGGTTGAAACTGAGAGACCAATTACAGTTACTGCAATTAAAACAAGTGAGATAGGATTGTGTGGCAGAGGCCAGGGTGGAAGTTGTGGAGGTGTTGAGAAACTGTGGGATTTTGGACATACATATACATATATATATATATATATATATATATATATATATATGTATTTTTTTTTTTTTTTGAGATGGAGTCTCCCTCTGTCACTCAGGCTGGAGTGCAGTGGTGGGATCTCGGCTGACTGCAAGCTCTGCCTCCCGGGTTCACCCCATTCTCCTGCCTCAGCCTCCCGAGTAGCTGGGACTACAGGCCCCTGCCACCAGGCTCGGCTAAATTTTTTTTTTTTTTTGAGACGGACTCTCACTCTGTCGCCAGGCTGGAGTGCAGTGGCGCGATCTCGGCTCACTGCAAGCTCTGCCTCCTGGGTTCACGCCATTCTCCTGCCTCAGCCTCCCGAGTAGCTGGGACTACAAGCGCCCGCCACCATGCTTGGCTAATTTTTTGTATTTTTAGTAGAGACGGGGTTTCGCCATGTTAGCCAGGATGGTCTCGATCTCCTGACCTTGTGATCCGCCCACCTCGGCCTCCCAGAGTGCTGGGGTAACAGGCACGAGCCACGACGTCCAGCCTTGGACATACATTTTGAAAGGCAATGGGGTGACAAAGAGAGGAAGACTGGGCTGGGCGCGGTGGCTTACGCCTGTAATCCCAGCTTTGGGTGGCTGAGGTGAGCGGATCATGAGGTCAGGAGTTTGAGACCAGCCTGACCAACATGGTGAAACCCCGTCTCTACTAAAAATACAAAAATTAGCTGGGCATGGTGGTGCATGCCTGTAATCCCAGCTACTCTGGAGGCTGAGGCAGGAGAATCGCTTGAACCCGGGAGGTGGAGAGGTTGCAGTGGGCTGAGATTGTGCCACTGCACTCCAGCCTGGGCAACAGAGCAAGACTCCGTCTCAAAAAAAAAAAAAAAAAAGAGTAAGACTGTAGAAGTGGTATTTGGGTGTTTGGGTGGGAGGAATTCGGGAGCTTGATTTTTAGATGTAAGTTTGAAATACCTAGGCCGGGCGCGGTGGTTCACACCTGTAATCCCAGCACTCTGGGAGGCCGAGGCGGGCAGATCACGAGGTCAGGAGATGAGACCATCCTGACTAACACAGTGAAACCACGTCTCTACTAAAAAATACAAAAAATTAGCCAGGCGTAGTGGCAGGCGCCTGTAGTCCCAGCTACTGGGGAGGCTGAGGCAGAATGGCGTGAACCCGGGAGGAGCTCGCAGTGAGCCGAGATCGTGCCACTGCACTCCAGCACTCCAGCCTGGGCAACAGAGCAAGACTCCACCTCAAAAAAAAGAAATACCTATTAGACATCCAACTGGGTATGTATACTAGACAGTTGGATATATGATTCTGGAGTTAGGGGATGAGTCCAGAAAGAAATATAAATTACGGAGCTGTCAGCGTAGAGATGGTGCAGAAAGTCTTGACGCTGAAGGCTGGGCACAGTGGCTCACTCCTATAATCCCAGCACTTTGGGACGCCCAGGTGGGAGGATCGCTTGAGCGAGTTCAATACCAGCCTGGGCAACAAAGGCTGGTATTACAAAGGCCCGTCTCTACAAAAAAATAAAAAGTTAGCCAGGTGTGGCAGCCCAAGCCTGTTGTCCCAGCTACTTAGGAGACTGAGGTGGGAGGATCACTTGAGCCCTGGAGGTTGAGGCTGCAGTGAACCATAATTGTGCCACTGTACTCTAGCCTTGGGGACACAGCAAGACCCCAGTGCCACAAACACACAAGCCTTGACATGGAAAGAGATCACCACATTCTATGTGCCCTCTCATCCCTGCTCACTCCATTACTTGGTGTCCCTAAGCTCAATACTTCCCTTGCTGATCTGAGGCCATACAGTCTGGTGAAAGAGGGCCGGACTCTTGGCTTCTTAACACATTCACATACGTTTGTTTAAAATTTCCAGTGTTTCATGCTTTCAGCCCACAAAGCACAGACACAGTTTTAATGAGAGGTTTTCACATCAGGCCAGAGAATGTCAGTCTTCTCCATCTCCATAGAGATTTTAAAAAGCACACCTCAGACAAAAAAGAAAAACAAGCAATTAAGACTATTTCAGGGCTGGGCACGGTGGCTCACACCTGTAATCCCACCACTTTGGGAGGCCGAGGCGGGCGGATCACCTGAAGTCGGGAGTTCCAGACCAGCCTGACCAAGGAGAAATCCTGTCTCTACTAAAAATACAAAATTAGCTGGGCGTGGTGGCGCGTGACTGTAATCCCAGCTACTCGGGAGGCTGAGGCAGGAGAATCGCTTGAACCCCGGAGGCGGAGGTTGCAGTGAGCTGAATTTCACCATTGCACTCCAGCCTGGGCGACAGAGTGAGAATCCGTCTCAAAAAAAAAAAACGTTTTTTTCACAAGGAATTCTGAGGACTTGTTGGCTCAATTGCTTGGACATAAAGACACACATACATGAAGCTGGAGAGATAGGAAGAAGCGCTCAACACAGAACACCCTAAGTATCCCTACTCCCTTTCAAGGACTAAATCCCTTCAGAGATTTCCTTTGCTTCAGTCCTTCAGGAGCCTCCCGAAGATGCTAGGAGTCGTTTAAGAAGGCTGGAAGATGGCCGTTGGGAAGGAACTGTTGGTAGCTGGCAATACTTCATCCCAAGGAGGCGGTGGCAATAGCTCCCTGGGCAGCAGACATCATGGATTTTCCTCCCTCTGGGAACCAGAGGTCCCTCCGTTTCTGGTTTGAATCCCTTAGAGACAAAGAACTTCATTCTCTCCCATACCCGCGTGGGACTGCTGGGGAGGAGAGGGGGTGGAGGGGTTAGACTTCTACCCCCATGAAACACCCGCGGGCTCAAAGAGGAGCCTGGATCCTGACTGGTCCAGGAGGCGTGCGGGGCCGCGGGGCCCCTCCGGCTTGGGCCAGGCGCGTTGCCAAGATGCCCGGGGAAGGGGCCGCCCGGCGCAGGCCGGGGACGTGGAGCGCTCGGGGCGCTCCCACGTAGGCCACACATTGGCCGCCTGTATCCTCCTTCTTTCCTCTCAACTCCATTCTCTCGCGCTTTTTTCCCGGGGAGCCTCCGCTTTCCCCTTCTTCCCGCGGCCGCCCTCGCCCTTCTTCCCCCTCCAGACCCTCCCCCGGCTCGCCCCTCCCTCGGCAGCCCACCTTCACCCCGCTCCTCCGCGCGCTCCTCGGTCCTCGCCCCTCAGCCCCGGCCTCCCCTCGCCGGCCCCCGGCCCCCGCGGTCCCCTCCCTGCCCCCCTCGAGGCGGCGGCGGCCCCTTTCACAATAGCGCGGCCCGCCTCCCTCCTCTCGGCTCCCGGTGCACTCCCGCCCGCTCCCCTCCCCGCGCATGCGTCCTCCGGTTGGCGGCGGCTGCGGCGGTGGCGGCTACGAGCGGCTCCGTTTTTTTAAAGGGAAACGCTGAGGCGCCGGGGGTGACTGTGGGGGAGGGGGACCCCGAGCCGCGGAGACCCCCGGGAGAGGCGACAGACCCCCTCTCCCGGAGTAGGAGGGCTTTGGGCGGACCCAGCCCTCCACCCCCTCCTGAGGAGGAGGGGGGGGAAATGGAGGCTCGGGGCGGTTGAGGCGAGCTCCGGGGCGGGGGGCCGGGGCGGGGAAGGGGGGGTGCGGGGTGGGGAGACGAGGCGGGCCCGGCCGGGCCAGGGGGGGCCGAAGCGAGCTCCGGGGATGAGCTCGGGGGCGGCTGGGTGCGAGCTCCTGCCTCTGAGGCGAAGGCGGCGGCGGCGGCAGCAGAGGCGGCGGCGAGGCCCCCATGGGCCGGCGGCGGGCCTCAGCCGCGGCCTCCACGTCTCCGCACGCCGGCGGGATGGCGCCCGGGCCCCGGAGGAGCCGCGCTAGCGGAGGCCTGCTGCCGCGCTGCTGAGGCGAGCCCGCCAAACTCCCCTCCCCCCCCTCAGTCCTCGACCCCCCGCACCTCGCCCCTTCCCCACCCCCTCCTCCGCCTCGGTGCCCGGCGCTGCTCCGGACCACTATGACCATGAGATCCGCGGTGTTCAAGGCGGCCGCGGCCCCTGCCGGCGGCAATCCTGAGCAGCGACTGGACTACGAGCGGGCTGCGGCGCTGGGCGGGCCCGAGGACGAGCCTGGGGCGGCCGAAGCCCACTTCCTCCCCCGGCACCGTAAGCTCAAGGAGCCGGGGCCCCCGCTGGCCTCCTCCCAGGGCGGGAGCCCCGCGCCTTCCCCGGCCGGCTGCGGCGGCAAGGGCCGGGGCTTGTTACTCCCGGCCGGGGCGGCCCCCGGGCAGCAGGAAGAGAGCTGGGGCGGTTCGGTGCCCTTGCCCTGTCCGCCCCCGGCCACCAAGCAAGCCGGCATTGGGGGGGAGCCTGCCGCAGCCGGAGCCGGCTGCAGCCCCCGGCCCAAGTATCAGGCGGTGCTGCCCATTCAGACGGGCTCTCTCGTGGCGGCGGCCAAAGAGCCTACGCCCTGGGCTGGGGACAAGGGTGGGGCGGCCTCCCCCGCTGCCACCGCCTCGGACCCGGCGGGACCCCCACCACTACCTCTGCCCGGGCCGCCACCCCTCGCGCCCACCGCCACCGCCGGGACCCTGGCGGCCAGCGAGGGCAGATGGAAGAGTATGAGGAAGAGCCCTCTCGGGGGTGGTGGCGGCTCGGGAGCCTCCAGTCAGGCCGCCTGCCTCAAACAGATCCTTCTGCTGCAATTGGACCTCATCGAACAGCAGCAGCAGCAGCTGCAGGCCAAGGAAAAGGAGATCGAGGAGCTGAAGTCAGAGAGAGACACGGTACGGGAGGGGTTAATCTGCATTCGGGCCGAGGAGCGAGTTGTGCGCATGCTCGGGGGAAGGGGGCTGTAGGAGGTTAAGGCACCCCCGGGTTAGGGGTAAAGGAGGTTGGCCACCGGCAAAGGAGTATCTTAGGCGCTGGGTCTCTGGGAGCCAGGCTCACAGACACGTTGGGTTGGAGGGAAGGGTTAAAGGGCAACCTCTCAGGGGGAGGGGGAGGGGTTTCAGGTGCCAAAGGGTTAATTTAAAATGACAGCCCCAGACGTGTGGGAAAGACGTTTAGTGGAAAAAGACGTGATCTGTGAGGGGTTAAAAATGAAAGGGTGGGGTGTAGGTGTTGTGTCCTTATGGAAGGGTTAAATTAAAGAGCTATTGCGTTAGAAATGCACGGTGGAGGAGAGGGCTGTAGCAAGCAGCTGTTGCTTTCACCACTGCTGCAGCATCTTTAGATAGGAGGGCAGTAGGCCTTTTAGTGGGCACAGGGGTAGAGGTGATTTACGTGGAATCCTATTTTAGTTTTCTTAAATGATATTAAGAGAATCACTGCCTTTGATTTCAGACAGCTTTTAATAGGAACCTGAGTTCTAATACATGACCCACTGACCAGGTCCCTTTTATAAGCATGGTGTTTGAAACTGGAAGATTTTAGGGCATCAGGGGAAAGTAAGCTTATTAAATGTATTAAATAGACCTCCCCATCCTTATTTTAGAATCTTAGGGAGTAGGAAAGTCGTTTATTATTTCTTTACTTCTGAGGAGCTTGGACGACACAGGCTTGTTTTTACTGCAGCAGTAGTTAAGGGCATCTCTGCGTTAAAACATATTCCTTCAGATATGAGGGAAGCTGGGGTGGGGGGTATTACTGTGCTAGCATACCTTACAGCTGCCTAAAAATAAACATGGTTTCTACAATTGTTGTGTTCAGGCTGCAGCAGTCTCTCTCTCCCTCTCTCCCTCCCTCTTCCTCCCTCCCTGTCTCTTTCCCTTTCTCTCTCTCTCTCTCTCCCTCCCTCCCCGCCGTCCTCATCTCTCCCTCTCTCCTCTTTCTCTCTGGCGTCGTGTGCGCTAAGAGCTGAGCAAGGGAGCAAGCGGCTATTCATTTTGTTTGCTTTCCAAATGAATCTCATCGGGTGGCTGTTTTATTGGAGAATGCATTCTGCAAGGTGGATTGGGAGCTGGGGCAGGTCTCATTAAAATATCTCATGGTGTTGATTTGTGGAAGTTACTCAACATGGAGGTGGCACTGCTCAGACTGTACTGCAGTCTAGGGGTGTGATGGTACCGTAATTACAACACATCATATCCTTGTATGGGGGGAGTGGGAAGAGAAGGACCAGTGAAGGAGAAAAAAATCAAGGAAATGTCACCCACAAATGGTGGTTAAGGGCTGTGAATCAAAACATATACAAGGAGATGAAATGAGAGTATGGCTGATAGGGGGGTTCTCTGCTGATTGTGGAGGTTTCTGCTCAGTTCCTGAGGTAATGGCCCCTTTGCAGGCTTTCCTAGTCAGGAAAAGTGGGGTGAGTTAAGGATAGAGTGTCAGTCTGAACTTGGTACTCACTGCTTCTGTTGTGTATTGCAATCTTAATATTGCTTAAGCTTGTTTCACTTATTCCAGTTGTTGTTTGGCCTTGTCTGAAATCTATGCAATGAATGTAATGAAGGCAGCGTTAAACATCACTGTCTAACCCAGATAAAATTCTTGTAATAGAGTATAAGTAGCACAACACCTTTTCTCAAAACTAAACTAACACAAAGTTTTCAATACTAATAGAGTTCCATTTTCTGTTTAGTTTTTTAGTCCTTCCTTTTAACTAAAACTAAAGGAACTTTGATTTTAATAAATATTTAGATGAATAGGTATAATTTTTTGTGTTACCTCAAATTCAAAGGAATGTGTTTATGTCATGATTGTTGGAATTATGGGTACTGATTTCTATTTTCCAAATGAAATGTTCATTGTTTTAAAAGTACCCCCTCCCACACATACCCCTTTCAAATAACACTGCCATTCCTGGTGGCACTGTATGAGCTCTTAATTCCTTCTCAATGTACTGTTTGCACTTTGCTGTTGTGTATAGAGCTTTGGAGTAGAAGTAGAGAGGATAGAATTTGGACAATCTCAGGGCCTCTTAAAAGATCATGTAGGCTGGGCGCGGTGGCTCACGCCTGTAATCCCAGCACTTTGGGAGGCCTACGCAGGTGGACCACGAGGTCAAGAGATAGAGACCATCCTGGCCAACATGGTGAAACCCTGTCTCTACTAAAAATACAAAAATTACCCGGTGTGGTGGCGGGCGCCTGAAATACCAGCTACTCGGGAGGCTGAGGCAGGGAGGCGGAGGTTGCAGTGAGCCATTGCAATCCAGCCTGGGCAACAAGAGCAAAACTCCGTCTCAAAACAAAAACAAAAACAAACAAACAAAACATGTATACAATTAATTCTGGAAACTCCCGAACCAACTTGGAGCCACACAGGTAGCAGTAGCAGAGACCATGCCATTAAAAGGCATGTTACGGCCCTTCCCAGTGGAGAGGATCTCCCTACAGAAGAATGAACTACAAATTACCCCATGCCTCTTCCCATCTAGGTTAGCCCTTAAAATTTAACAGTATACCTTCTCTTCTCTATTTTGTTTAAGGAAAACTGTTCAGATTAATGTCTGCCTATTTAAAAAGTTGAGTTGATGTGGTCCATAGAAAGAGGCAGAAGACTATACTGATTCCTAAATGGGGCTAAGTATCTGTGTGTTTAATTTTTTATGTGTTAAGTCTGCATTTTGCTACTCTCTCTTTTAGCTCCTTGCTCGGATTGAACGTATGGAAAGGCGGATGCAGCTGGTAAAGAAGGATAACGAGAAAGAAAGGCACAAGCTGTTTCAGGGCTATGAAACTGAAGAGAGAGAGGAAACAGAGCTATCTGAGAAAATTAAACTGGAGTGCCAGCCGGAGCTTTCCGAGACATCCCAGACTCTGCCTCCCAAGCCCTTCTCATGTGGGCGGAGTGGAAAGGGACATAAAAGGTGTGCTGATAACTTTGTTTGATGAGGACCCTTGTTACCAGTGATTGAGAGTAGGAGATTGGGATTTATGAATTGGTTTTATAGCAATCATAACTTGCTTTAGAAGTCTTCTATGCGGAGGGCCGGGTGTGGTGGCTCACACCTGTAATCCCAGCACTTTGGGAGGCCAAGGCGGGTGGATCATGAGGTCAAGAGATAGAGACCATCCTGGCCAACATTTTGAAACCCCGTCTCTACTAAAAATATAAAAAATTAGCCGGGCGTGATGGCGGGCGCCTGTAGTCCCAGCTACTCGGGAGGCTGAGGCAGGAGAATCACTTGAACCCGGGAGGCGGAGGTTGCAGTGAGCCGGGATTGCTCCACTGCACTCCAGCCTGGCAACAGAGCGAGACTCCGTCAAAAAAAAAAAAAAAAGAAGTCTTCTATGCTGAGAAACTATCTTGAAACATTCTTATGCAGACTGTAAAAGTCTGTTTAGGAGTATTTTGGTCACAGTAATAATTATTGAATGCAGCTTACATCATAAAGAGAATGGGCAATAAGTATGACAGCTGAGTTTCTTAAAACTATAGCAGTTCACTTCAAGTTAGGAAGTGTTAAATTCCTTCATTGTGTCGTGCATTGGTAGACATAGAAAAGTAAAATACAGGCCAGGCGTGGTGGCTCATGCCTGTAATCCCTTTGAGAGGGCAAGGTGGGGAAGGAGTATGGAACGTATGGAAAGTGGGGAAGGAGGGATCGCTTGCGCCCAGGAGTTTGAGACCAGCCTGGGCAACATAGTGAGACCTCATTTTTACAAAAAATCCAAAAATTAGCCGGGCCTGGAGGTATGCACCTGTAGTCCCAGCTACTCAGGAGGTTGAGGCTACAGTGAGCTGTTACTGCACCACTGCACTCCAGCCTGGGTGACGGAGTGATACCCTGTCTCAATTGAAAAAAAAAAAAAAAAAGGTAAAAATGGAACTGTCCTTGGACTCAAAGAAATTAGCCCAACTGTAAGGATAGGCATACATTTTGAAAACTCAGAATTCAAATGCAGTAAAATACGTAGATGTACAACACCTGATATAAACTAAGGCTTTTTGTTTGTTTGAGATAGGGTCTCTCTCTGTCACCCAGGCTGGGGTGCAAGTGTCGCCAACATGGCTCACTTCATCTTCCACCTCTTGGACTCAAGTGATCCTCCTACTTCAGCCTCCCATGTAGCTAGGACCATAGGCACTCACCATGCTTGGCTAACTTTTTTTAGTTTTTGTAGAGACAGGCTCTCACTTTGTTTCCCAGGCTGATCTCAAACTCCTGGGCTCAAGTGATCCTCCCGAAGTGCTGGGATTACAGACATTAAACTAAGTTTTGTAAGATTCAGGGATATTAAAAGTTATTCTGGGTTAGAATTGTGAAACTTTAAGTAGAAATCAGTCTTGAAAAAGAAGTATAGCCGGGTGCGGTGGCTCACGCCTGTAATCCCAGCACTTTGGGAGGCCGAGGCGGGTGGATCACGAGGTCAGGAGATCGAGACCATCCTGGCTAACACGGTGAAACCCTGTCTCTACTAAAAATAGAAAAATTAGCCGGGTGTGGTGCATACACCTGTAGTCCCAGCTACTTGGGAGGCTGAGGCAGGAGAATTGCTTGAACCCAGGAGGTGGAGGTTGCAGTAAGCAGAGATCGCACCACTGCACTCCACTCTGGGTGACAGAGTGAGACTCCAAAAAAGTATTAAAATTTAGGTTGGTAAAGAGGAAGGGAGATGACTTTCTTGGGATGTGGTGGGGGAAGAAGGGAAGAAGAAAGAGGCTAGAGAATGCCAGCAGACAGTAAGAAAAAGGAAATAAAGGTTACAATTAATGTGGTACAGGGTTGGGGGAAAAGGAAAGAGACTGATCTCTGGATTACAAGAAGTAGGTGCACCTAATGTGGGTTGTAGTGGTACATAATGTTGGCTAAAGGACCTTGAATATTCTTTTTTTTTTTTTTTTTTTTTCTGAGACAGAGTCTCACTCTGTCGCCCAGGCTGGAGTGCAGTGGCGTGATCTCAGCTCACTGCAACCTCTGCCTCCCAGGGTCAAGCGATTCTCCTGCCTCAGCCTCTCAAGTAGCTAGGATTACAGGCATGTGCCACCACGCCTGACTAATTTTTGTATTTTTTTTTTTTAGTAGAGACGGGGTTTCACCATATTGACCAGGCTGGTCTCGAACTCCTGACCTCAAGTGATCCGCCTGCATTGGCCTTCCAAAGTGCTGGGATTACAGGCGTGAGCCACTGCGCCTGGTGGACCTTGAATATTCTTAAGCATGGAAATTCCTTGTTCAACATTTACTGGCCAGGTGCAGTGGCTCATGCCGGTAATCCCAGCACTTTGGGAGGCCTAGGTGGGTGGATCACCTGAGGTCAGGTATTTGAGACCAGTCTGACCAATATGGTGAAACCCTGCCTTTATTAAAAATACAAAAAAAATTAACCAGGCATGGTGGTGTATGCCTGTAATCCCAGCTACTCAGGAGGCTGAGATAGGAGAATTGCTTGAACCCGGGAGGCAGAGATTGCAGTGAGCCGAGATCATGCCACTGCACTCCAGCTTGGGTGACAGAGCAAGACTCTGTCTCAAAAACAAAACAAAACAAAACAAAAAATTTACTATGGGCCTATTTTATATACTGCTAAGCCTGGGCTGTTCCTGCTCATGACTGCTAAATGAGCACCAGACATTTAGGTACCTGAATACTTGTCATTTTGGGGCAAAAGAACCAGCTTATTCTTTTGCTCCAGAATGTGTTCAAATTAGATTTTATTCAAGTGTCAATAAATTTTATAATGTTTTCTTCCCTATCTAATAGGAAATCCCCATTTGGAAGTACAGAAAGAAAGACTCCTGTTAAAAAGCTGGCTCCTGAATTTTCAAAAGTCAAAACAAAAACTCCTAAGCACTCTCCTATTAAAGAGGAACCCTGTGGTTCCTTATCTGAAACTGTTTGTAAACGTGAATTGAGGAGCCAAGAAACCCCAGAAAAGCCCCGGTCTTCAGTGGACACCCCACCAAGACTCTCCACTCCCCAAAAGGGACCCAGCACCCATCCCAAGGAGAAAGCCTTCTCAAGTGAGATAGAAGATTTGCCGTACCTTTCCACCACAGAAATGTATTTGTGTCGTTGGCACCAGCCTCCCCCATCACCGTTACCATTACGGGAATCCTCTCCAAAGAAGGAGGAGACTGTAGCAAGTAAGGCATAGAGAACACTTGCTCTTATACCCTAGTGGTGGCGGTCAAGCTAACAAGTGTGAAAATGCCTTTGGCATTTTTAAAAAAGTGCAATCAATAAAGCAGAGTTCTGTCAAGAATGAGTAAGTTAACAGCCAGAGACAGACACTGTGCAGGCATTGCAAATAGATGGAATTACAGCAAAATGTGCTCAATGTATTTGCCTGCTTACAACACTGGGAGATGTGTTTGCCAGTAAGTTGCTCATCACAAGAGCACCAGACTTGGGGGTGTAATCTCCGGCAACTTGCATGCCCTCTGAAAGAAGGGTTTTCTGTGCTGTGAAATGCATAGAACTATACTTTGCCATGCACGACTGTTCCTGCAATTGATATTGTGTGAAATCTGGGAGGGTGGTCTTTGGGTGTTCTCAGGGGCCAATGGTAATTTTTGGGTTGGGGAGCCAGCTTGGGGTGGGGAATTTTCACCTGGGCCTCCGCTCTTTAACTATATAAACATTTATCTGTATATCTATGTCCCTGTCTGGGGGGCAGGAGGAATCTGCCAAAGACCAACAGTCTTACTTTATCTTACTATACTTCACAAAGGTTCTAAAATGTGAAGAGTTTACTTGGATTGCAGTAGCCCATTGGTTGTTCATATATTTAAATAAAATGGTCTACAAACTATTTTTCAAACAATAAGGACTATCTTGGGATATCTGAGCTGCTTGGGGAGGGTGTGGGGTGTGGGACCTTGGTCTTCATTCCCTTTTTTTTTTCTTTATGGCTTCCACACAGAGATGCTCCCCTATCTTCTACATCAACCAGTAACTGGAATGTGCCTTCAATCATGTAATATTAGTCTATGTCAGTCACTGCGGTTACTCTGGGGTAATGGTTGGGGAGGCCTTCTAGGATAGAGCCGCAGTCCCAAGTTTCTACCACTGTGTCTTGCCTAGCAGGATGGGGATAGAAATCCATTCCAGTGAGACAAGAGCGTTCTCCAGGCTTTGTTTGGCTGTTCTGGTGACAAAATTAAGTGGGAAAGCTAGATTAGTCGTCTTAATGATCTAACCTCTATTAGGCCTCACACTTGAGTACATGAGATAGATCAGGATCCTGATCTAGGTTCAGATTTTTGTTGGTTCAGTCAGTTGAACAGGTTCTTCCTTAATGGTTAACCTCTTTTGCTGCCATGGCAATGCTGCGTAACAACTTAAGAGAAACGTGAAGCAACTTCCCATCCGGGATTGGGTAATGGCTTGGTCCAGAGCTGTTCTGTGTGACTGGCTATTTTTGAAAATCCTTTCTTCCCTAGTACAGACAATTTCAAACACCTCTGAGATTGTGGGCATAGTGAAACAAAGGAGTCTAATTGGGGAGATCCCAGCCCCTTGAGGAGCCTGAGTTGTGAATAAACATGTGAATCCTTATTCTTGATGCCCCTATCTCAAGAGGAAGGCTCAATGGCTTGTTCTAGGGGAGCCAAAGTCTTTGTGCATGTTGTTCAGGCTGGACCAGCAAGGTAGTTTGTTTGGAGGGAGGAGGGAGCTGTTTAAGAAGACTACATATGTAAGTTTTGAGAACACTGATCTTTTATTTGAAAAATAGGGTCAACTTTTACTCACCTGCCATGTTCTGAGTTTAAGGTTTGATATCCTTGGCCATCAACTGTTGCAGGGAAACCACCCTAAATAATGAAGAAAAGAAGTCGTCTCAGTGTAAAAAAAAAAAGTGGTGGGCTTATTTTCTTTTCTTTTGTCTGTTGTTCCCTCTTCCCCTCCCCCAGAGAGAAATTCTCAAAAGAACAACTCAAAAAACAAAATGGCTTCCTAGTGAGAACTTCAGTGATGATCCTTTCCTCCATTTGGGGTATGGGCTTTTTTTCTTTTTACACTGAGATTATTCTTCTTTCCTGCATTATTTAGGGTGTCTGATGCCATCAAGTGTTGCAGGAGAAACTTCAGTCTTGGCTGGTGAGTAGAATAGGAATTGTGCTGGCTGGGCCTGGGGTGGGGGTTGGTGGGATGGTGGATGGTTGGGAGCTGCATTCCCCATCCACTGGATGTGGGAGACTGAGATTTCTTGGTGTATGATTGATTACACTACTATAGACTTCAAAATGACAACAAATTTCAGTTGTTTTTCAGGAACTGCTATAGCATCATTATATGAATTGTCAGGTATTGGTTTAGGGTTTTTGTGATCCTGAGTTTGGCAGACTGCAATGGCATTTTAGGTTCTTTTATACCATAGCAAGGACACTGAATATGGCTTCAGGGAGGCCATAGAATGGATTCCTATCACTTGGTAACTTTGTCTCTTCTGGGGAGAGACCTCTTATCCTAGTGAATAGTTGTGCAACTTTGGATTTAAGGGTGGTTCCACCCCTCCTCCCTTTCTTTTTCTCTCTCTTTTTTTTCAGTTCCTTCTTGGAGGGACCACTCAGTAGAGCCTCTAAGGGACCCAAATCCTTCAGACCTTTTGGAGGTAGGTAACCAAGAGCACTCAATTGAAGAGAGTAAGAGATTAAATAGAATGTGAGGGTATAACTGGAAAATGTCATAGTACTATGGATGAATTAAATAATTTTAAGGCCAGACAGAAACTTGAGAAATTATCTAGTCCAGCTCCTTCATTTTATAGATTAAAAAACAGGTCTAGAGTAGTTAAGTGATTTATTAAAAAATAAATAGCTAGGTAATGTTCAAAACAAAGGTAGATTTTATGCTAAGTAGAAAAGTTAGGGCTGGGTGTGGTGGCTTACGCCTATAATCCCAGCACTTTGGGAGGCTGAGACAGGTGGATCACCTGAGGTCAGGAGTCAGAGATCAGCCTGGCCAATGTGGTGAAACCCCATCTCCACTAAAAATACAAAAATTAGCCGGGCGTGGTGGCGCACACCTGTAATCCCAGCTACTCGGGAGGCTGAGACAGGGAGAATTGCTTGAACCCAGGAGGCAGAGGTTGCAGTGAGCCAAGATCGCACCACTGCACTCCAGCCTGGGTGACGGAGTGACTCCATCACACACACACAAAAAAAAGCATGTACCCCTCAACCATAAAATTACATATTCCAAGCTCATTTGACTCTTAAAGTTTTGATTATTTTAAAGTCAGACTCTTACAAAGTATGGAGGCAGGGAGGGTTTATGACAGTCTGGGGGTTTTAGTTTGATGTGATGTTTACCTTGGAAAGATATGGAAATGATTTTGAAATTTGGAGATTCTAAAAGGATGTGGATGGGGAAAGGAGTATGTGTTTTGTTGATTCTGTTACCAGGAGGTTCCCATACTGTCCATGGAACCCACAGACTCAGGTAGAACCGGAAGGTGAAAGATTTTACGTTCCTGGAAGCTGGAAATTAGTTAGTATATGTGTGTAACTAATATATGGTGATAAATAGCTTATCAGCTGCTTTTCTTTACACAGAACCTGGATGACAGTGTGTTTTCGAAGCGGCATGCAAAACTGGAGCTGGATGAGAAGAGAAGGAAAAGGTGAGGCCAGAGATGTCCATCCTGGAAACAACTGAGCCCTAGGACCTAGGACAGAGTATCAGGGAACCTGACCTCCCTTTTTCATGCTGTGGAGAATCTTGGAGTGCTTAACACTCTTACATTACTGGCTTCCCAGTTGGTTGAATATCTTAGTTGGAAATGGTAGTTGTTGCGGTAAACATGTTTGGCCTCTTTTTGTGTATGACCTTCCTCAATTCTACTTTCTGTGGAACACCAACACATGATCTAAACGGTAGACCTAAACAGCTCTCCCTTAACAAGGCAGTCATTTCTCTTTACCCTGTCTAGAGGAGTCAGCAAGGGTCTTCCTAGCATCTGGATTGTGTGAGTTGCTTTTATAGAGCAGGTTTTGGGTAAACAGTAATGTTGGGTTTCTTTGTTTTGTTTGGTTTGTTTTTCCCAGATGGGATATTCAGAGGATCAGGGAACAAAGAATTTTACAGCGACTGCAGCTCAGAATGTATAAAAAGAAAGGAATTCAGGAATCTGAGCCTGAGGTTACCTCATTTTTCCCTGAGCCAGATGATGGTAAGTTGTGTCCATCTAAAAGAGTAGGTTTTTGAAAGAAGGAGGAGGGTGCAAGGCTCCAGGGTACAACTTGCTCTGAATGAATGAAGTGTATTTTGGAGCAGATATAGCTTCTAGACATTTCCCATCTGTATTACTAATACGCTCCCGTTTGACTTTCTCCCATAGTTGAAAGTTTGATGATTACCCCCTTCTTGCCTGTTGTAGCATTTGGACGACCATTACCAAAATTAACTCCACAGTAAGTATACATTTTTTTTCTCCCCTTCCAGGTAACCTGCACATCCTTTTCAGACTTCATGGAAGCCTAGATATGAGGTGGAACCAGGTGGCTTAGGGATAGCCATGGGTCTTTGACAGAAATGAGGCTACCTGGGCAACTAGCTTTTGTAATAAGATTCCCAAGCCAATAATTAGGAGTATTGCTTTTTGAGTTAGAAATAGATGATTCCATCACTTTAATGGTACACAGTTGCTCTGGCTTTGAGGCAGGAAAGACACTCCAAACTAGTCAGGGATAGGAGTGGTAAGGGACATAGTGACTTTTTTGTAGTTGCTATCATGTCCACACTGAATCCCTTCTAGTCTTGCAAGTTGATTTCCTCATCCTTTTTTGCCAGGAATTTTGAGCTACCCTGGTTGGATGAGCGTAGCCGATGCAGATTGGAGATCCAGAAGAAGCAAACACCTCACCGGACGTGTAGGAAATAGCTGTGCTGGCAAGAACCCTGTCTTCAGATAGTTGTAGCATGCCATTCCCGAGAGTGGCAGAGACCTGTATATGTGACCTTTGTCCTCACATATGTTATCACTCGCTGATAATACCCTTTCATACTTCCTTGACTTTGTTTTCATTACTCTGATTTCACAAAAACTCTTTCATTCGGCTAATTGTGAGTTATGGAGGGTGATTGGGATTTCTTTTCCCTTTTTTGGGAAATGGGCTCTCAAGCTAAAGCTATAGGATGGCAGATTCAGAAGTTTCAGGGGTCTGTTTCTATACATTTGCCTATGTTAAAGGGGTAAAAGGGCTCTCTTCATTAGACATGTGGAAGATGAAGCAGCCCCTTCCTTTAGAGCTGTGCCTGCATGGCACTCTTCTCACCCTGGTACACCCTCCTTATAGTGGGTATAGTGATTTTTAACCCTAAAATAAAACAAACAACCTCACCATGAGCTTTAGGACCAGAAGAGGAATGACAAGTGAAGCGATGAAGCAAGCCATCTTCACAGAGTAGAAAAGACATCGGAGAGTTGGTAGATAACTGTCTGAAAAGATAGTTGTTCATTTGAAACTATTCTGTGATACAGTCATGTGGGAAGGGATGTTTGGCTGTGATTATTTTTTCAGTTAATGGATAACAATTTCTTTACTGCTCAAAAACCAAAATCTTTGGAAAAGAAAGTGGGGATGGTTAGTTTCAGAACAAGTTACAGCTGTAAACAAAAGCACTTAGTATTTGGGATGGCATGCCAAAACCTGTATAAATGTCCTTGTATCACATCACTTCTCAAGTATTCCTTCATTGGGCTTCATCCTTTTAGCAGAACTCTTGGTGGTGGGATAGAGACTTAGGGAGGGTAGGGGGAGAGTGTGGAAATAGGTGCTTCCTTTGGCTGGCAAATGTCTACATCTTGAAACAAACAGATGTACCTAATGAGCTTCTCCATTCACTTTGTAAAAATAATTTGTATGTGTACCATCTTGGTCCTCTCCCCTCCCGTTTTGTTAAAATATCAGGATAGCACTCCCAGGCCACTTTGGTCTCAGTGTAAGATCCCTATTAACTATCTGAAAGGAAAATAGAGCCAAGACCTCTGGTCTCAAATATATAGGAATTGCCTTTCTTTAGTCTTCAGGACTATTGTGTGAAAACAAGTAGGGGTCTAATCTCCTAGAAGGTAGGGGCTTTTATCCTTAAAGAGAATATGTCCCCAGATTATTAGCACTTTTAGAGGAGAAGCCAAGGTATGTAGGGTGTGTGGCTGGCCCATCAGTGGAGCACGAAGAGAGAATGGGATACCATTGTGGGAAGAGAAGAAAAGTTCCTCAGGGGCCTCCCACTGCTAAAGTTTTTTGTGAGATGTTGATCTGTGCTTCCTGGATTTGACTTTTAAAGGAATTATTCTGGCAGCACATGTAGTATTCTTGGATGATCTTGCTGCTCTTATTTCTCCTTTTGTGTGTGTGTGTGTGTGTGTGTGGCTATGGGTTTTCATTTGTAACTCCATCTGCTTAGGAGAGTGGGCTCTCTATAAGGGAACCTGCTGTAAACTTCATTGCAGCAAGGATGTAGAGAGAAATAGGACTTAATTCCACTAGGGGCTCTCATCTCACACCTTAAGGAGGAGATTTCTAGAAAAACTGGGCCAGATTTTCTTTGTTCTCCATCATTTTAATGTGGCAGGCTGTTCAGTTTTCTTACTCTTACCTATGTGATATTTCTTCGTAACGTGTCCAAAAAGAAAAAAGACCCAATCAGTGTCTCTTGACTTTGTTCTTTGATCCCTCAGTTTCTTCTTGATTTCAGCATGTGTCGGGTTCCTAATTTTGGGTATGAGTTAGCAAATTTAACCATTGTGTTTGTGCCCTACCCAGGGGACTCCCCAGTTTCTGACTTGAAGTAGACTGAGAAGAATCCACGAGGTGCTATCTGGCCAGATTTAAGTAGATTCTATTTCCTTGGTTCTCCCTCTCCCTGAGGACCTCTTATTTTATTGTCCCCTCTTCTAGGTTAATTCTCCTTTGATTTGACTTTGTTGAGAAGGAGGTTGGACAGTAGATTAGCAAAGTTCCAAGTGCAAAATTACAGTGTGTTAGAGTGTGGGGGGAAAATTAGTCTTATTTTTCCCTACATGGGATACAACACTGTGAATTCAATCTTCAACTGAAGGCCCTGCAGTTCTCCTAAAACATAGTTGTTTGTTTTTCTTTAACAAAGTTTAAGCTAGTGTTAATAAATTAAAAAAAATTGCTTGTCTGTCTACTTCAGCTTTGTTTTATGCCCATTTCATATTGTTGTCTGTGTTGTAATTCATAACTTTTGATACCATTTCTGATGTGTAAAATTGGTTGTCTTGTAAATATCTTATAAAGAGTTCAATTGTAAATAAACTATTGTGGCTGTTAATTTTTGAACTTCTGCTTCAATTTATTATATTTATTGGCAAACAAACAATTCTGCTTGTATATTTGAAACATTGGAAAAAGAAATCCATTTTCTCAATAAAAAAGAATAACACATTATTTTCCCCTTTATAATAAGGTACTCACTTCCATTTGTGTATAAGTATAATGTATGTTTCATCCCTCTTTGTCCAGTGTACTTCCTTAAGTATAATCAGCAACTTGGCTGGGCGCAGTGGCTCACACCTGTGATCCCAGCACTTTGGTGGCTGAGGTGGGCAGATCACTTGTGGTCAGAGGTTCAAGACCAGCCTGGCCAACACAGTAAAACATGGTAAAACCCCATCTACTAAAAATACAAAAATTATCCAGATGTGGTGGCATGCACCTGTTATCCCAGTTACTTGGGAGGCTGAGGCAGGAAAATCTCTTGAACCTGGGAAGTGGAAGTTGTGGTAAGCCAAGATCAAGCTGCTGCACTTCAGCCTGGGTGACAGCGAGACTCCATCCCACCCACCCCCAACAAAAAAAAAGGGTCGGGCGTGTTGGCTCACATTTGTAATCCCAGCCACTTTGGGAGACTGAGGTGGGTAGATCACCTGAGGTCAGAAGTTCGAAACCAGCTTGGCCAACACGGTGAAACCCTGTCTCTACTAAAAATAAAATAAATTAGCCAGGCTTGGTGACAGGCACCTGTAATCCCAGCTACTCGGGAGGCTGAGGCAGGAGAATTGCTTGAACCCAGGAGGCAGAGGTTGCAGTGAGCCGAGATCATGCCATTGCACTCCAGCCTGGGTGATAGAGGGAGACTCCAACTCCAAAAAAAAAAAAGTATAATTAGCAATTTTAGAAACGAGATTATAGGATACTTCGTAAGTTAACAAAATCTTATAGCTGGAAAGACATTAGAGGTCATCTAGTGTGACCCCGATATGTGATTTACCCTTGATAACACTCCAGACAAGCAAATTCCAGGCTGTGCTTCAACACTTTTTCTACATACATTTTTCCCCCTAAGTGTTTGAAAATTCTTGCTTGTTGACAAAAAATCTAACTTCTTGTAACTTAAACTCACTGGTTTTTGCTTTGCCTTCTAGGATGATGAAAAAAAGACCAATCCCTCCTTTCTTCATAGTCCCTAGTTAAAGATTGCTGTGGGCTCCAGGCCCGGCGCGGTGGCTCAGGCCTGTAATCCCAGCACTTTGGGAGGCCAAGGCGGGTGGATCACGAGGTCAGGAGTTCAAGAGCAGCCTGACCAACATGGTGAAACCCCGTCTCTACTAAAAATACAAAAATTAGCTGGGCGTGGTGGTGCGCGCCTGTAATCCCAGCTACACAGGAGGCTGAGGCAGGAGAATCGCTTGAACCTGAAAGGCGGAGGTTGCAGTGAGCCCAGATCGCACCACTCCACTCCAGCCTGGGCGACAGAGCGAGACTCCGTCCCCCTCAAAAAAAAAAAAAAAAACTGGACCCAGACTAAACAACTGAAGGACAAAGTGGCAGACTATCACTTTCCTTATTTAGACACTAAACTTGGCAGCCTTATTTGCACCAATTTAGTCTGTGATCGATAAGATCCTCCAGGTTCTTTTTCTTTAACACTTATTAAATCATATTATCCTCCATTTTGAACTCAGGCAGTTGGCTTTTGGAGCTGGACTTATAAGTTGTCACGTTTGGCCACTTGTCTAATTAGCTGAGATTGTTTGAATTTTCTTTTTTTCTTTTTTTTGAAACAGAATCTCTTTGTCTCCCAGGCTGGAGTGCAGTGGCGCGATCTCGGCTCACTGCAAGCTCCGCCTACCGGGTTCACGCCATTCTGCCTCAGCCTCCCGAATAGCTGGGACTACAGGCGCCTGCCACCACGCCCGTCTATTTTTTTTTATTTTTAGTAGAGACGGGGTTTCACCGTGTTAGCCAGGATGGTCTTGATCTCCTGACCTCGTGATCTGCCCGCCTCGGCCTCCCAAAGTGCTAGGATTACAGGCGTGAGCCACCGCGCCCGGCCTTGAATTTTCCTTTCATCTCTGAAGGCATTCATAATTACTTCCAGTTTCATGTTATCTATAAATTTGATAAACATCAGGATCCTTAACCATGTCATTTATAAAAATTTTACTCAGGAAAGGCCGGGCGCGGTGGCTCACGCCTGTAATCCCAGCACTTTGGGAGGCCAAGAACGGCGGATCACGAGGTCAGGAGATCGAGACCATCCTGGCTAACACGGTGAAACCTCATCTCTACTAAAAACATAAAAAGTTAGTCGGGCCTGGCGGCAGACACCTGTAGTCCCAGCTACTCGGGAGGCTGAGGCAGGAGAATGGCGTGAACCCGGGAGACGGAGCTTTCAGTGGGCCGAGATCACCCCACTGCACCCCAGCCTGGGCGACAGACAGAGTGAGACTCCCTCTCAAAAAAAAAAAAAATATTTTACTCAGGGAAGAATTCTATGCCATGGTGGCCTTTGTTTGATAACATACATTATTAACGTGCACTCCTGTAGGTGCACTAAAAACTTAGCTCATGCACTTTGTATATCCTTATAATGGTCCAAAGAAAACACACTGATTCTTTTCAATGGTGGCCAATGCCTTGCCAAAATGAAATAATTTCCATAAACCTTAAGAAGGAAATAATGTCAGGATTTTGAATCAACATCTGTTTCTACTGACCATTTATTTTTAAATAGGTTCTAAAATCCTGACAAGGGCAGTAGCTCATGCCTGTAGTCCCAGCACTTTGGGAGGCTGAGACGAAAGGATCGCTTGATCCCAGCCAGGAGACAAGCCTGGGCAAGAGCGAGACCCCATCTCTACAAAAAACAGAAAAATTAGCCGGGTGTGGTAGTGTGTGCCCGTTGTCCCAACTACTAAGGAAGCTAAGGCAAGGAGGTCACCTGTGCCTGGGAGGTCAAGGCTGCAGTGAGCCGCGCTACTGCACTCCAGCCTGGGCAACAGAGTGAGACCCTGCCTCGAAAAAGCCAAAACAAAACCGGTAATACTGGCATCATACCAGCCTGCACTTTGGGACAGGTGATGGCTGGGGTGGGAAGAAACGTGAAGAGGAAATGAGAACACAGAGAAAACGCTGCAACAAGAAGTCCTCTGGCTTCACTGCAGACAACTGGTTTCTCCTTCGCCCGTTATCTTAAACAAGGCTGGTGCAGCAAATCTGACGCAGCACTACAGCTTTTAAGATTTACCTTGATTCGTGATTTTACCAAGCAAAGGAATGCAGTAAATTGACCTGCTTCAAACGTAGGTAGAAGTGAGAAATGGAAACAGAAAACCATGAAACAGCCCTAGTGTTGCAGTGAAGCTGTGACAGGTTGACTCCTTCCACTCGGGAAGCCCAAGATGGCCGGGCCAGGAACCCGGGAGGCTGCTGAAGTCTCAATTCCCCTCGCCCTAGGCCTGCCCAAGGGAAGTCAGGAGCCGCGCCACGCCCCCTTACATCACCGATAGACGTAATCCGGGTCGGCCGCAAACGTGCCGCAGGCCTAGGCCCCGCCCAGTGCCCCGCCCCTCCCCCAACACACACACACACACACACACACACACACACCCCAACACACACACACACACCCCAACACACACACACACACACACACACACACACACACACACACACACACACACACACACAGCGGGATGGCCGAGCGCCGCACGCGTAGCACGCCGGGACTAGCTATCCAGCCTCCCAGCAGCCTCTGCGACGGGCGCGGTGCGTAAGTACCTCGCCGGTGGTGGCCGTTCTCCGTAAGATGGCGGACCGGCGGCGGCAGCGCGCTTCGCAAGACACCGAGGACGAGGAATCTGGTGCTTCGGGCTCCGACAGCGGCGGCTCCCCGTTGCGGGGAGGCGGGAGCTGCAGCGGTAGCGCCGGAGGCGGCGGCAGCGGCTCTCTGCCTTCACAGCGCGGAGGCCGAACCGGGGCCCTTCATCTGCGGCGGGTGGAGAGCGGGGGCGCCAAGAGTGCTGAGGAGTCGGAGTGTGTGAGTGCGCGCAGGCGGGGCGGGGTGGGGACCGGGCGGCGAGCCGGCCGGGGGCGGGGTGTAGGTGATGCTAGGTAGTCTGTGAGTTGATAGTAGATACTGGGACTTTTTTTTGTTTTTGAGAGAAAAGGGGAGTTATCCCAATGCGAGTTTGCATCCGGAGTTCCAAGGGAAGAAGAAGGATTGGGGGTTTCTGGGAGGATGGTAGAGCCGCTGGAGATGGAAAGCGGATGTTTTATTCAGAAGTCGGGGCTGGAGGGAAGGAGACCAGACCTGCCTTGGCTACTACTTGATAAAGATTTACCTATCTCTGTCTCCCTCTCCAACCATTTTGTGCTGAATCTTCAGCTTTTCACCCACATTTCTTTATTGGGCTCCCCACCTCTGGAAATCACAGAACTAACCCATGTCTTCTGCTTTCTTTCAGGAGAGTGAAGATGGCATTGAAGGTGATGGTGAGTAGCATCTTTTACCCCATTAGGACAAGAGTTTTTTTTAACATAAACTCAGGTCATCTATTTCCAACATCGACATTCTCACACACTGTCACGGATTTAGGGCCACAGAGTGCCTTTTTGTAACATAGTGGTTAAGAGCATAGGCTTTAGCAGTATAGTCTTCAGCAAGTTACCCTCTGAGCCTGTTTCTCCTTTTGTAAGTGGGGACTATAATTTTATCCACGTTGTAGGTTGATGTCAGAATTAAATGAGACTCTTAGTCTGACCTGTAATAAGCAGCCAAAAAATGTTTCTGGGTTTCTTTTTTTCCACATATTTCTGTTTTATTTCAGCTGTTCTCTCGGATTATGAAAGTGCAGAAGACTCGGAAGTGAGTATGACAGGTTTTTTCCTATGGTATAGATCAGAAATGCTTTTTAAAAACGTGTACACACCTTCGTTGCAAACGTACCATGACCTCCGTGTTTATCCTCTTGTGTATTCTTCATTTATGCTTCTGAAAAAGTGTTACAGAAGGTCTTGTTCACTTTAGACCTAGGGAAAACTTGGGGCACGCCGTCTCAAGCCACAGGTGTTATACTGTTAGTTGGCTTCTCTTCCTGTCTGAAGAATATGAGGTTCTAAATAAGAGAGTGAGGATATCTTGAAGTCCTCTGAAAGATGTTTGACAGTTTGTTTTATGCAGTGTAGGTTGAGAAGCCAGCCAATTGGTTATTTTTTTCCAAATCTATCTGAAGACTTTGAAAGGGTAGGATTCGGAATGTTTTGTGCCAAGAGCATCCATCATTTTATAGGTGGGGATTTTTCTGTTTTTAGGAGAAAGTTTCCTGTCTTTTGGATAAACTACTAGAGATGCCATCAGAGTAAGTGTTTGTTTCCTGGGTTGTTGAGTGGACTCCTGAGTTCTGGTAATGGGATTATATATAGGGGGAATTGGATGGTGGATCAAAGATTTTGTCTATACATTTTTAGAACTGTTACTACATTTTAGAATCTGTTAAGCCCTTGAGGATGGAATAGTGAACACTATAACAAAATTCCTATCTTTAGAGATCTTACAACTCAATAAGGAAGTCAGACAAACATTCAAGCAATTGTACCACTTGCTGATAGGGGATAGCACTGGGATAGGGCTAAGTAGGGTGTTACAGCTGGGTACTGAATCCATCTTAGGCAGTCGGGAAAGATTAAACAGTTGGCTGGGTAAGATGTGTTCTAGGCAGAGAGAACAACAGTCAAGAAAGCCCACAGGGGCCGGGAGCAGTGGCTCACGCCTGTAATCCCAGCACTTTGGAAGGCTGAGGCAGACGGATCACTTGAGGCCAGGAGTTTGAGACCAACGTGGCCAAAATGGTGAAACTCCATCTCTGGCCCGGCGCGGTGGCTCACGCCTATAATCCCAGCACTTTGTGAGGCCCAGGCGGGCGGATCACGAGGTCAGGAGATCGAAACCGTCCTGGCTAACATGGTGAAACCCCGTCCCTACTAAAAATACAAAAAAAAATAATAATAAATTAGCTGGGCGTGGTGGCGGGCGCCTGTAGTCCCAGCTACTCGGGAGGCTGAGGCAGGAAAATGGTGTGAATCCGGGAGGCGGAGCTTGCAGTGAGCTGAGATTGTGCCACTGCACTCCAGCCTGGGTGACAGAGCAAGACTCCGTCTCAAAAAAAAAAACCCATCTCTACTAAAAAATACAAAAATTAGCTTGGTGTGGTGATGCATGCCTGTAATCGCAGCTACTTGGGAGGCTGAGACACGAAAATCGTTTGATCCCAGGAGATGGAGGTGGCAGTGAGCTGAAATCATGCCACTGCACTGCTACCTGGGTGACAGAGTGAGACTCTGTCTCAAAAAAAAAAAAATAAATAAATAAAAGAAAGGCTGTAGGGGTACAAAAAGAATAGTAATTAGAATGAATAAGATCTAAACCCAGCGCGATGGCTCACACCTGTAATCCCAGCACTGTGGGAGGCCAAGGTGGGCCAGTCACTTGAGGCTAGGAGGTCAAGACCAGCCTGGCCAACATGGCAAAACTCCATCTCTACTAAAAATACAAAAATTAGCAGCTCATGGTCCCGCATGCCTGTAATTCCAGCTACTCAAGTGGCTGAGGCAGGAGAATCCCTTGAGCCTGGGAGGTGGAGGTGGCAGTGAGCCATAATCACACCACTGTACTCCAGCCTGGGCAACAGAGCAAGACTCTTGTCTCAGAAAATTTAAAAAATAAAAATGACTAAGATCTAGAATTTCATATTTGCAACATGGTGACTACAGTCAACCAGTAACTTATTGTACATTTAAAAATAACTATTGGCTGGGCACAGTGGCTCATGCCTGTAATCCCAGCACTTCGGGAGGCTGAGGTGGGTGGATAACAAGGTCAAGAGATTGAGACCATCCTGGCCAACATGGTGAAATCTCGTCTCTACTAAAAATACAAAAATTAGCTGGGCGTGCTTGCACGCCCCTGTAGTCCCAGCTACTCAGGAGGCTGAGGCAGGAGAATCGCTTGAATCCGGGAGGCAGAGGTTGCAGTGAGCCGAAATCAAGCCACTGCACTCCAGCCTGGTGACAGGGCAAGACTCCATCTCAAAAAAAAAGTATATATATATATTAATAAAAGAACGTAATTGAATTGTTTGTAACAAAGGATAAATGCTTGAGGCGATCCATACCCCATTTACCCTTACATGATTATTACACATTGTATATCTATATAAAAATATCTCATGGGCCGGGCTTGGTGGCTCACACCTGTAATCCCAGCACTTTGGGAGGCCGAGGCGGGTGAATCACCTGCGGTCAGGAGTTCGAGACTAGCCTGGCCAACATGGCGAAACCCATTTTCAGTCTCTACTGAAAATAAGAAAAATTAAGTAGGCGTGGTGGCAGGTGCCTGTAATCCCAGCGACTCAGGAGGCTGAGGCAGGAGAATCACTTGAACCCAGGAGGTGGAGGTTGCAGTGAGCCAAGATTGTGCCATTGCACTTCATCCTGGGCAACAAGAGGGAAACTCTGTCTCAAAAAACAAAAACAAAAACAAAACTCATGTACTACATAAATATATACCTACTGTGTACTCAACAAAAATTAAAAACTTTCTTTTTCTTTTTTTTTTTTTGCTTGAGATGGAGTCTTGCTCTGTAACCCAGGCAAGAGTGCAGTGGCATGATCTTAGCTCGCTGCAACCTCCACCTCCCGGGTTCAAGCGATTCTCCTGTCTCAGCTTCCCAAGTAGCTGGGATTACAGGTGCACACCACCACACCCAGCTAATTTTTGTATTTGTAGTAGAGACGGGGTTTTACCATGTTGGCCAGGCTGGTCATGAACTCGTGAACTCAGGTGATCCGTCCGCCTCAGCTTCCCAAAGTACCGGGATTACAGGTGGATTACGGGTGTGAGCCACTGTGCCCAGCCCTCTTTTTTTTTTTTTTTTTTTTTTAAAAAAGAGGCAGGGTCTCACTCTGTTGCCCAGTCACCCAGGCTGGAGTGCAGTTGTGGGGTCACAGCTCACTGCAACCTCAAACTGCTGGGTTCAACCAGTCCTCCTGCCTTGACCTCCTGAAGTGCTGAGATTACAAGCATGAGCCACCATACCCAGCCAAAAAAAAAAAAAAATTAAGTTTTTTTTTTTTTTATTGAGATGGAGTATTGCTCTGTTACCCAGGCTGGAGTGCAATGGCTCGATCTCAGCTCACTGCAACCTCTGCCTCCTGGGTTCAAGCGATTCTCCTGCCTCAGCCTCCCGAGTAGCTGGGATTATAGGCGCATGCCACCACGCCCGCCTAATTTTTGTGTTTTTAGTAGAGATGGGGTTTCACCATGTTGGTCAAGCTGGTCTCGAACTCCTGACCTCAGGTGACCCACCCACCTCGGCCTCCCAAGGTGCTGGGATTACAGGCATGAGCCACCGTGCCCCCCATTTTTTTTGTTTTGTTTTGTTTTGTTTTTTAAGACGGAGTCTCATTCCGTTGCCAGGCTGGAGTGCGGTGGTGCAATCTCGGCTCACTGCAGCCTCCGCCCCGCCTGGTTCAAGTGATTTCTCCTGCCTCAGCCTCCCGAGTAGCTGGGACTACAGGTGTGCACCACCACGCTCAGCTAATTTTTGTATTTTTAGTAGAGACGGGGTTCCACCATGTTGGCCAGGATGGTCTCCATCTCTTGACGTCGTGATCCACCCACCTCGGCCTCCCAAAGTGCTGGGATTACAGGCGTGAGCTACTGCGCCTGGCCCAAAATTTTTTTAAAAAGAGAAAAAGCCCAGATAGAGAAGATAGAGAGCGTTTGGGAACTTGGGAGTAATTAGGTGTGACTGGAGCATTGTTGGGACAGGATAGGTATTAGAAATAAAGACAAATTGGTGAGCAGGGGCCACTAATTGGTGAGGTGGGAGGATTGCTTGAGCCTGGGAAGTGAAGGTTGCAGTGAATCAAGATTGTATCACTGTACTCCAGCCTGGGCAACAGAGCAAGACCCTGTGTCAAAAAAAAAAAGTGATGCGATTGGATTTATTTATTCATTTTTTAAAAATTTTTATTTACTGTTTTTTGTTTGTTTGTTTTTTTAATTTTTAGTAGAGATGGGGTTTCACCATGTTGGCAAGGCTGGTCTCGAACTCCTGACCTCAAGTGATCTGCCGGTCTTGGTTTTTCAAAGTGCTGGGATTACAAGCATGAGCCACTATGCTTTGTCTGATTTAAATTTTAAAGATGTGTTTTTCAGATCCAGAGAACACTTGCATCAGAAAATCCAATTAGCCATTCTCTACTGAAACAGACTCTTGGGAGGGGCATTGGAGACTCAGACATTTATGTATTAAAGAATATCCCAGGTTGATGCTATGTACTGTAAAATTTGAGGATTCTTTTATAGCAGTTATTTTGTCCACAGTGAAGAGAAACAAGATCAGAGACAGAAAAGCTAGTTAAGAAAGCTATTGTAGGAATCTAGTTAAGTAGTGAGTGTGGCATGGAATAGAGTGGTGATAGTGAAAATAGAAGTGGACAGAATTCAGAGTTAGAAGTGGTTTTGGGATGGGGAATATTTGCTGCAGTACAGATGCTTTTTGATTTATGGTGTAGTTACATCCCATCCTGGTAAACCCATCATAAGTTCAGAAGTTCAAGATAACTTCTTGGCTAACTTGGAGCAGCAACTCTCTGTTGCTATCCAGCATCTCGAGAAGTACGATTTCTTTTTTTTTTTTTTTTTCTTTTTTTAAGACAGAGTCTCACTCTGTCTCACTCTGTCTGCAGTGGCGTGATCTCAGCTCACTGCAACCTCTGCCTCCCGGGTTCAAGCGATTCTCGTGCCTCAGCCTCCCAAGTAGCTGGGATTACAGGCGCACGCCACCATGCCTGGCTGATTTTTTTTGTATTTTTAGTAGAGACGGGGTTTCATCATGTTGGACAGGCTGGTCTTGAACTCTTGACCTGGTGATCCGCCTGCCTCGGCCTCCCAAAGTGCTGGGATTACAGGCATGAGCCACAGTGCCTGGCCTCTTTTTTATTTTTTTAAAAATATTTTTAATAGAGATGAGGTCACTCTGTGTTGCCCAGGCTGATCTTGAACTGGACTCAAGGGATCCTCCCACCTTGGCCTCCCAAAGTGCTGGGATTACATGTGTGGTGAGCCACTGCACCCAGCTGAGAAGTACAGTTTCTACTGAATGTTTATGGCTTTCATACCACCATAAAGTCAAAATTATAAGTTGAACCATCATACATCAGGGACCGTCTGTAGTCACTAGAGAATGGAAACGTTGGAGAAACTGACAGGCAATATGGAGTGTTCATTGAGTTTTGGGGATTGTGAATTTATAGCAGCTTACCATTCTATATGTAAGGGAGTTTGGATGTTTTCCTAATGGCTAGGAAAGAAGTACCACTGAAGGCTTAAATGTGGGGGATGAATTGTGGGTGAGGCACAAAGGAAGACTAGAGGCAGAAGAGCTGTTTAGAGGTTGTTAGGATAGTCCAAGGAGCATGACGATGGTGCCCCTAAAGAAGGTTCATACTTGTTGGAATGGCAAGATGTGGGACAGATTAGAGAGAGATTCTAGTGTACTAACAACCCCTTCATTGATTGAATGTGGAACCTAAATTAAGGAGTCAAAGGAGGCCAGGTACCTTGGCTCATGCCTGTAATCACAGCATTTTGGGAGGCTGAGGCAGGTGGATTGCTTGAGCCCAGGAGCCTGAGACCCACCTGGGCAACATGGAAAAATCCTGTCTCTACAAAAGAAAAGTAGAAAAAAAAATTATCCGGTCTTGGTGGCGCAGGCCTGTGGTCCCAGCTACTGAGGAGGTTCAGGCAGGAGGATCATCTAAGCCCAGGGAGGTCAAAGCAGTAGAGCTGTGATCACTCCACAGCACTCCAGCCTGGACAACAAAGTGAGACCCTGACTCAGAAAAAGAAAAAGGAGTCAAAGGAATGTGCAGGTTGATGAATGGTGTTGAATGGTGTTAACTGTTAAGGAAGGGACCCCAGGAGAAGAGTTCTGGAAGGACAGTTGTGGGTTAGGTTTTGGATGTTTTGAGATCGAGAAGGTGTGGGACTTTTAGGTGGTGATACCTGGTAAATAGTTTTTGATTCCTAATTGCTCATACCTTTCTGAGTTCTCATTTCATTTTTGAGTTTTTCCAATTCTGATTGATGTTCTTTCATGCCTTATATAATTTTCTTAATGTCTTTTTAGCTTATTTTGAAATAGAAGTTGCAATTTTGATATGATATGCGGATGTCTTTCTGGCATGCTTTCATTGTCTGTAGGAATGCTATTATTTTTTCTTATTATAACTTTATGGGATTTAACTTCTGTATTTTCTGTTCATTTTTATGTAAAATTAGTTTTCCTGGTCTTTTCGAAGGAAGCATGATTTAGAATAGCTTTTTCTAACTTCACAGAGCTGCTTCTGTTGTTTTTCTGTGGTGGTGAGAAATATGGTGGCTTGCTTTCTGAGATTTGTTGCTTTTGTTCCCTTTCCCAGCTTGTTCTGGACCATCCCTGTCCTACTGAATTTGGTCCTGCTCTCAACAGTTTCTCTTCTAGGAACTCCCTTCTAGGGACAGTGTAGGGCCCTGTCCCCAGAAGGAAGCCCTGGCAGCCAGGTCAGCTTCATCCCTTCAGACCTTTTTTTTTTTTAAGACAGAGTCTCACTCTGTCGCCCAGACTGGAGTGCAGTGGCGCAATCTCAGCTAACTGCAATCTCCGTCTCCTGGGTTCAAGCGATTCTCCTGCCTTAGCCTCCTGAGTAGCTGGGACCTCGTGTGTCACCGTGCCCAGCTAATTTTTGTATTTTTAGTAGAGATGAGGTTTCACCATGTTTTCCAGGCTGGTCTCGAACTCCTGACTCAGATGATCCACCCACCTTGGCCTCCCAAAGTGATGGGATTACAGGCATGAGCCACCGTGTGTGGCCCCCTTGCTAGTTGTAAGTGCTGTTCTCAGTTTTGACTGTTGTGCTTTCCCTTGACTGCCTGTTGATTATTTCAGTGTTCTCCTGTTCTCAGGTCCATTTGCTTTCTCTCTGCTTTCTCCTGCGTGGACACCAGTACTATACAGGTCCTACAGCTGTTGGTGCTTTGTTATGCACTTACATTTTGGGTCTTGGGGGATACCTGGTAACTTAACTTTGTTGCAGTGTTGTCTGAAGGTTTTGGTTTCTTTTTTATTTTTTGAGACAGAGTCTTGCTGTCGCCCAGGCTGGAGTGCAGTGGCTTTGCCTTCCAGATTCAAGCTATTCTTGTGCCTCAGCCTCCTGCGTAGCTGGGATTACAGGTGCGTGCCACCATGCCTGGCTAATTTTTGCATTTTTAGTAGAGACGCGGTTTTACCATGTTGGCCAGGCTGGTCTCGAACTCCTGGTCTCAGGTGATCCACCCACCTCGGCTTCCCAAAGTGTTGGGATTATGGACGTGAGCCACTGTGTCTGGCCAGGGTTTTGGTTTGGGTCTCGGTTTTGCTGTCCAGAGCTCTCATTCCATGTGGAGATTTGAAGAGAGATAAAACTGTGCCACTGCCATTTTCTGAGAGTCTTCCAAGAATTCTTTTTTTTTTTTTTTTGGCAAATGGGTCTCCTTATTTTGCCCAAGCTGAGCTTGAACTTGAACTTACAATCCTCATCAGCCTCTTGAATAGCTGAGACAATAGGTTCATGCCACTGTGCCTGGCCAAAAAAACTTGTTAAAGAAATTTGACTGAGGGAAGGCTGAAGAGATGGTAGTTGGAGAGGTAGCTTTGAGATCAAGAGGTGATTTGGATGTTTTTTAAAAAGTTAGGAGAGTATCAAATAAGGTCAAAGATTGAAAAAAAGAAAAGAAAGGGGGAAAAAAGAGAGGGAATAGATAATGATATTGAGTACTGGTATTTTTGACTGAGTATATGAGAAAAAGTAGGAACCAGACAAGATTAACATCTTCCATTGTAATTACAGAGAAGTGGGAAGGAAAGGTATGTGCAAAGGAAGATTAGAAAGGAGGGAAAAGCTGGGTGCGGTGGCTCACGCCTGTAATCCCGGCACTTTGGGAGGCCGAGGCGGGCAGATCACGAGGTCAGGAGATCGAGACCATCCTGGCTAACATGGTGAAACCCCGTCTCTACTAAAAATACAAAAAATTAGCCGGGCATGGTGGCGGGCACTTGAGCCTGGGCGACAGAGCGAGACTCCGTCTCAAAAAAAAGGGAAAAAAAAGAGGGAATAGATAATAATATTAAGTACTGGTATTCTTGACTAAGTACATGAGAAGATGTAGGAACCAGATGAGAAGTATCTTCCATTGTAATTACAAAGAAGTGGGAAGGAAAGGAAGTTAGCGTTCCTTTCTGTGTTTTGTTTTTGTGAAATAGAAGGATAGAGCAGGACAGGCACGGTGGCTCACACCTGTAATCCAAGCACTTTGGGAGGCCAAGGCAGGAGGATTGCTTGAGCCCAGGAATTTGAGACCAATCTGGGCAACAAAGTGAGACCCTCTCTCTACAAAAAATCAACCTGGCGCAGTGATGTGTGCTTATGTCCCAGCTACTTGGGAGCTTGGAGTGGGAGGATCCCTTGAGCCCAGGAGGTCGAGGCCACAGCAAGCTATGATTGCACCACTGCACTCCACCCTGGGTAACAGTGTGAGACTCTCGAAAAAAACAAAAGAATGACATCTGCTTCAAAAAGTAAGAGTGTGTGCGTGTGTGTGTGTGTGTGTGTGTGTGTGTGTAACCCCCTTTGGCAATGGAGTAGTCTGTTGTAGGCCTGGAGAAAGCAGACATTTGAATTGATCCAGTTCCAGGCATATGGGAGTGGCAAGAGAAATGGGATGTTACTAGTAGTGATTGAAATGAATGAGCTATGGAGTCTAGAGAGAGAAGAAAGTGAATGTGAGAAAGGACTGATAGGCAGAAGTTAGAAGCATCAAGGGAATGGATGCATTGAAAAATTAGAGACGAGACAGTAAGGAAACAACTAGGAATAAGAGGCATTTTTTTAAAAAACTGCTTTATTGTGGCAAGGCGCCGAGGCTCATGCCTTTATCCCAGCACTTTGGGAGGCTAAGGCAGGCAGATCACGAGGTCAGGAGATCGAGATCATCCTGGCTAACACGGTGAAACCCCGTCTCTACTAAAAATACAAAAAACTTAGCCAGATGTGGTGGCGGGCACCTGTAGTCCCAGCCACTCGGGAGGCTGAGGCAGGAGAATGGTGTGAACCCGGGAGGTGGAGCTTGCAGTGAGCCGAGATCACGCCACTGCACTCCAGCCTGGGCGACAGAGTGAGACTCCCTCTCAAAAAAGAAAAAAAGAAAAAAAACTGCTTTATTGAGATACAATTCACAGAACGTACAGTTCATTTATTTATAAAGTGCATAATTTAGCCAGGTGCGTGCCTGTACTCAGCTACTCAGGAGGCTGAGGCAGGAGGAATGGTCGGCCCAGGAGTTCGAGACCAGCCTGGGCAACATAGTGAGACCTCATCTCTTTTTATTTGTTTGTGTGTTTGTTTTTGAGACAGAGTCTTGCTCTGTCACCCAGTCTGGAGTGCAGTGGCACAATCTTGGTTCACTGCAACTTGACCCTCTGGGGTTCAAGTGATTCTCGTTCGTCAGCCTCCCGGATAGCTGAGGTTACAGGTATGTGCCATATGCCTGCCTAATTTTTAGTATTTTTAGTAGAGATGGAATTTTGTCATTTTGGCCAGGCTGGTCTCAAACTCCCAGTCTCAAGTGATCTACCCACCTCAGCTTCCCAAAGTGCTGGGATTACAGGCGTAAGTCACCACGCCTGGCCCGTAAGACCTTATCTCTATAAAAAATAAAAAATTTAGCCAGGCGTGGTGGCGTGCACCTGTAGTCCCAGCTACTTGGCAAGCTGAGGCAGGAGAATTGTTTGAGCCCAGGAGGTCAAGGCTGCAGGGAGCTGTGATCATACCACTGCACTCCAGCTTGAGTAACAGAGTGAGACCTTCATCTCAAAAAAAAAAAAAAAAAAAAGGAAGGAAGAAACCCAGTTCTCCCATCCTTCCCGTAGCCTCAAGCAACCGCAAATCTACTTTCTGTCTCTGTTGATTTTCCTATTCTGGCCTTTCATATGAATGGAATTATGTAATATGTAGATTTATGTGTCTGGCCTCTTTCAGTATAATGTTTTCATCTGACTTGTAGCATGTATCAGTACTTCATTCCTTCTTTCTGCCTCCCCACCCCAGCTTTATTGAGGTATAACTCACAAATAAAAATTGTATACATTTAACACATACAGTGTGGCATCTTGATATATGTGTACATTGTGGAGTACCACAGTTAAGCTAATTAACGTATCTATCACCTCACCTAGTTAACCTTTTTGTATGTGTGTGATGAGAACACCGAAGAGCTACTCTCAGCACATTTCAAGTTTACAATATGTTATTTATTTTTATTTTACATGGTTTAAAAAGAGACAGAACCTTTGTCACCCAAGCTGGAGTTCAGTGATGCAGTTATAGCTCACTGCAACCTCAAACTCCTGGGCTTAAGCAATCCTCCCACCTCAGCCTCCTCAATAGCTGGGACTACAGGCGTGCACTACCATGCCCAGCTAATTTATTTATTTGTTTTTATTTTTATTTTTTTTTTGAGACGGAGTTTCACTCTTGTTGCCCAGGCTGGAGTGCAGTGGCATGATCTCAGCTCACTGCAGCCTCTGCCTCCTGGGTTCAAGCGGTTCTCCTGCCTAAGCCTCCCAAGTAGCTGAGATTACAGTCATGCGCCACCAAGCCCAGCTAGTTTTGTATTTTTAGTAGAGGTGGAGTTTCTCCATGTTGGTCAGGCTGGTCTCGAGCTCCCGACCTCAGGTGATCCACCCACTCAGCCTCTCAAAGTGCTGGGATTACAGGCGTGAGCCACCATGCCCAGCCGCCCAGCTAATTTTTAAACAAATTTTTTGTAGAGGCAAAGAATCGCTGTATTGCCCAGGCTGGTCTTGAACTCAGCTTCAAGCAATCCTCCAGCCTCAGCTTCCCAAAGTATTAGGATTACAGGCATGAGCCACCATGCCTGACCAAGTATACAGTACGCTATTATTATTATTATTTTAGACAGTCTTGCTCTGTAGCCCAGGCTGGAGTGCAGTGTTACAATCTCGGCTCACTGCAGTCTCTGCCTCCCAGGTTCAAGCAATTCTTCTGCCTCAGCCTCCTGAGTAGTTGGGATTACAAGCGCCCACCACCACGCCCGGCTAATTTTTTTATTTTTAGTAGAGACAGGGTTTCACCATGTTGCCCAGGCTGGTCTCGAACTCCTGACCTCATGATCTGCCCACCTCGGCCTCCCAAAGTGCTGGGATTACAGGTGTGAGCCACCACGCCCAACCAGTAAGTTATTATTAACTATGGTTACCATGCTGTACATTAGGTCTCCAGAACTTATAACTGAAGTTTTATATCCTTTTACCACGATCTCATTTTCGCTACCCTTAAGCCCTAGAAACCCCCTTCCTACTCTCTGTTTCTATGAGTTTGACTTGAGATCATGTGGTGGTTATCTTTCTGTGTCTAGCTTATTTTACTTAGCATAGTTCCGTCTAGGTTCATCCATTTGTTGTCACAAATGTCAAAATTTTTTTTTTAGGGCAGAATTAGATTCCATTGTTCGTGTGTTCCACATTTTCTTTATCCATTCACCCAACAACAGACACGAGTTATTTCCATAGCTTATTTCCATCTTTTGGTTATTATGAATAATTCTGCTACAAACATTAGTGTACATGTTTTTATGGGGACATATGTTTTCACTTCTTTTTGACTATGTACCTAGGAATGGAATTGCTGAGTCATGTGGTAACTCTGTAATCATTTGAGGAACTAGAACCGCCATACTGTTTCCAAGGTGCTGCACCATTTTACGTGACTAGCAGCAGTGTATGAGGGTTCCAGTTTCTCTATATCCTTAACAGCACTTGTTGTGTTATTTACCCAGGTGCATGCCTGTACTCTCAGCTACTCAGGAGGCTGTGGCAGTAGGATTTCTTGGGCCCAGGAGTTCGAGACCAGCTTGGGCAACATAGACCTGTCTAAAACTTTTTTTTTTTGGCGGGGCACGGTGGCTCACGCCTATAATCCCAGCACTTTGGGAGGCCGAGTCAGACGGATCACTTGAGATCAGGAGTTCCAGACCAGCCTTGCTAACATGGCGAAACCTCGTCTCTGCTAAAAATGCAAAAATTAGCCAGCCACTGTGGCACGCGCCTGTAATCCCAGCTATTCAGGTGGCTGAGGCATAAGAATCACTTGAACCCGGGAGGTAGAGGTTGCAGTGAGCCGATTTGATTCTAGATGTCCTATTAGGTATGAGATGTTTTCTCATTCTGATTTGCATTTCCCTGATGACTAATGATGCTGAGCGTTTTTTTTTTTTTTTTTTTTTGGTGCTTATTGGCCATTTGTGTATCTTCCTTGAAGAAATGACTATTCAGATACCTAGGCAATTTTTTAAAAATTAATTTTTAATTATTGTTTTTATTTTTTTTAGAGACAAGGTCTTGCTGTATTATCCAGAGTGGTCTCAAACTCCTGGGCTCAAGCAAGCAGTCTTCCCACCTCAGCCTCCTCAGTAGTTGAGACTATAGGCATCAGCCACCACACTTGATCTTTGCCCAAAGTAGCTGGGATTACAGGTGTGCGCTGCCATGCCCGGCTAATTTTTGTATTTTTAGTAGAGACGAGGTTTTGCCATGTTGGCCAGGCTGGTCTTGAACTCCTGACCTCAGGTGATCTGCCCACCTCAGCCTCCCAAAGTGCTGGGATTACAGGTGTGAGCCACTGCGCTTGGCCATTTTTTTTTTTTTAATTGAGATGTAAGAGTTCTCTATATATTCTGTATTCTAGATGTAAGTCCCTTATCAGATATGATTTGCAAATATGTGTTCCCTTTCTGTGGATTGTTCACTTTCTTTATAGTGTTCTTTCAAGGACAAAGGTTTTAGTTTTGATGAAGCCTGGTTTATGTTTTTCCTTTTGTTGCAGATGCTTTTGGTGTTAGGTATCTAAGAGTCATTTGCCAAACTGAGAGTCATGAGTATTTACTCCTGTGTTTTCTTCTAAGAGTTTTATAGTTTCAACTCTTAAATTTAGGTCTTTGATTCATTTTGAGTTAGTTTTTATATGTGGGGTAAAGTAAGGGTCTAACTTCATTCTTTTTGTTTTTTGAGATGGAGTCTCGCTCTTTCACCCAGGCTGGAGTGCAGTGGCGCTATCTAGGTTCACTGCAAGCTCTGCCTCCCGGGTTCATGCCATTCTCCTGCCTCAGCCTCCCGAGTAGCTGGGACTACAGGCACCCGCCACCACGCCCAGCTGATTTTTTGTATTTTTAGTAGAGATGGGGTTTCACCGTGTTAGCCAGGATGATCTCGATCTCCTGACCTCGTGATCTACCCATCTTGGCCTCCCAAAATGCTGGGATTACAGGCATGAGCCACTGCGCCTGGCCAACTTCATTCTTTTGCACGTGACGATTTTGGTCCATGACTCGGGTGTTTATACGTAAGGTTTTATTTTGTTTTGTTTTGTTTTTTTGAGATGGAGTCTCATTCTGTCACCCAGCCTGGAGTGCAGTGTCGCTATCTTGGCTCACTGCAACCTCTGTCTCCTGGGTTCAGGCGATTCTCCTGCCTCAGCCTCCCGGGTGGCTAGGATTACAGGCATGAGCCACCACGCTCAGCTAATTATATTTAAGGTTTTAAAAGTGGAGCAGTTTTACTTATAATAAAGCATAGCAGTTCTAGGTAAGACTGGTTTGGAGTGCAGCCATGGAAATGGATGGCTGAAGTGCAGGTGAAGACTGACCTCAGTGCTAAAGTCTTCCTGTCAACGACAGGCCCGTGGCCTCGGAGGAGCCGGGGTTTATTAAAATGAGGCTAGAGGAGTTAGATCTGAAAGAGACATTGAGAATAAGGATACCAACTCCATCTCTTAGTCTGAAATATGTGGGAAGTAGAAGAATGAGCTAAAACTTCTGTATTAGAATTTTTCAAAGGAACAGTTCCTTCAGGGTGGAGCTAGTAAGAATTGGAAAGAGTACACTGAAATGGTGGGTGATGTAGGGGAGTTTGTCTCTTCTGGAAAAAGGTTTTGATGACATCCCTTTGCCAAAGCAGTGTGACCGTGTGGTAGCACCTTGGCTTCAGTTAGACTAAGCTTTGACTAATTTGGAGCCTCCTCAGTACTATGCTATTTGTATCTGTTCTGCCCTGGAAACAAAATTAGTTTTTCACTTAAAATAAAGTTGCCTTATTTGACATCCTACCACAGATCAGAGGGTGGAGCATAAAACAAGCTTTCCTTATTAATCATGTGATAATACTATTTAAAGGTATTTGAATTAAATCAGTACGTGTGTGTAGGGAGATGGAGAATTAAAGTCACATACACCAAGTTATTGTAATTTCTGCTTGAAAATCTTCAGGGAACATAGGATCAAGGAAAGAACTGAATGATTGCCACCTACCCATCCTAGTCTTGAGGAGGAAAAACTTCATGTAATTAAGGGAAATGGGAAGAATCAATGGTGCTCAGTTGTTAAAAAGCTATAGGTAAAGGCTTGATTCTGATAGTGTGGGTATAGTCAAACAGTCTCCCTCTATTCTGTTACCTTTCTGAGAGTCCTAACCCAAAACACTCAAGGCCAAAATAGTTAACCTTTGAACGGCCAGGCGCGGTGGCTCATGCCTATAATCCCAGCATTTTGGGAGGCCGAGACAGGCGGATCATGAGGTCAGGAGATCGAGACCATCCTGGCTAACACGATGAAACCCCGTCTCTACTGAAAATACAAAAAATAATTAGCCGGGCATGGTGGCGGGCGCCTGTAGTCCCACCTACTTGGGAGGCTGAGGCAGGAGAATGGCATGAACCCGGGAGGCGGAGCTTGCAGTGAGCCGAGATCCAGCCACTGCACTCCAGCTGGGGCGACAGAGTGAGACTCCGTTTCAATAAAAAAAAATTAAAAAAATAAAATAGTTGACCTTTGGACAACATGGGAGTTAAGAGTGCCTATCCTGTCTGGGTACAGTCACTCATGCTTCTAATCTGAGCACTTTAGTGGGCCAAGGCAGGAGGATCACTTGAGTCCAAGAGTTTGAGACTAGCCTGGACAAGAAAGCAAGACCCTGTCTCTACAAAAAAAAGGACAAAAATTAGCTGGGCATGATGGCACGTGCCTGCAGTCCCAGCTACTCAGGAGGCTGAGGCAGGAGGATCACTCGAGCCCGGGAGTTTGAGGCTGCAGCAAGCCATGATCACACCACTACACTCTACCCTGAGTGATACAGTGAGACCCCATCTGTTAAAAAAATAAAAGGGGGTTGGCCGGGCGCGGTGGCTCACGCCTGTAATCCCAGCACTTTGGGAGGCCGAGGCGGGTGGATCACGAGGTCAGGAGATCGAGACCATCCTGGCTAACATGGTGAAACCCCGTCTCTACTAAAAATACAAAAAATTAGCCAGGTTTGGTGGCGGGTGCGTGTAGTCCCAGCTACTCGGGAGGCTGAGGCAGGAGAATGGCGTGAACCTGGGAGGCAGAGTTTGCAGTGAGCTGAGATTGCACCACTACATTCCAGCCTGGACAACAGCGAGACTCCGTCTCAAATAAATAAATAAATAAATAAATAAATTAATTAATTAATTAATTAAAAGGGGCTGGGCGTGGTGCCTCATGCCTGTAATCCCAGCACCTCAGGAGGCCGAGGTGGGCGGCTTGCCTGAGCTCAGGACTTTGAGACCAGCCTGGGCAACATGGTGAAACCTTATCTCTACTAAAAGTACGAAAATAGCTGGGAGTGGTGGCATACGCCTGTAGTCCCTGCTACTCAGGAGGCTGAGGCATAAGAATTGCTTGAACCCAGGAGGTGGAGGTTGCAGTGAGCTGAGATCGCGCCATTGCACTCCAGCCTGGGCGACAGAGCAAGACTCTGTCTCCAAAATAAATAAATAATAAATAAAATATAAAGGACACCTATCCCTGTTGCAGTAAGAATTCCAAGTATAACTTTTGACTCACCCAAAACTTAACTACTAAGTCAACTGGAAGCCATACCAATAACATAAACAGTCAGTGAATATGTATTTTATATTTTATGTGTATTATGTACTGTACTCTTACAATGAAGCTAGAGAAAAGAAAATGTTATTAAGAAATCATTCACTATTAAGGAAACATACTATTCAGTGGAAGTGGATCATCATAAAGGTCTTCATCATCTTTGCATTGAGTAGACTTCAGAAGAGGAGGGGTTGATCTTGCTGCCTTGGGTGACAGAGGCAGTGGAAGGAGAGGCAGGCATACTTGCTGCAACTTCTATTGAAAAAAAATTTGCGTAGAAGTGGACCTGAGTAGTTCAAACCCCTTGTTCCAGCGTCAACTATACCCAGATGCTGAGCAGGGAAAAATGAGGAAGAGGGATTAATTGGCTTGTCTGGGCCAATCAGGCTGACTCAGCTCTATTTGAAGAGATGGCAGAAACTTAGAGTTTGAGAGTTTCTCAATCAGGAATTCAGGAATCTCATGTTGAGCCTCTTTGACCAGATTATTGGGGCCAGCCTGGGTCTTGAGTGACAGGGCAGTCTGGTTCAGTTCAAGTATCAGACCCAGTAGGTGAGTGAGAGACCAGTGTACATACATCTACCAGGTTTCAGATGTAACCCACCAATGAAGACTAGACCACCTTTCCTTGAACCCATTTCTCTGTGTTCTCGTAGGCCTCCCTAGCCATAGCTCTGCCTCCTTAGGTCCAAATCTGGGGAGGACAAGGAGAGGAGAGTAACCCTATTCTAAAGCCAGTTCCCTTATCATGAGCCTTAGCTGCTGCCTTTTCCTACCTAGAACTAGCCACACGTCCATTTCCTGGCCCTTTCTAATGGCCTAATGATCCTTTGTGTGTAGACCCAGCACTTTCTGTGTCATGAACAGTGTTACCCAATCTTGATGTGGTAAAAGAGGGAAGAAGATAGTAAAAAGAGAGAGAGAGCACTTGGACTAATTTTTTTCATTTCTGAAATGTGATGGTTGTACAAGTTGTCCTTTAAGGTTTTTTAGGTCAAATTTTTGTAATTATGTGATTCTGGATATGTTCTGGCTGCAGGAATTTTCTGCTGCAGAAAACCAGTACTCATAGGCATTAAAAAAAGCTACCATTTTCCAGCTTGAGGATAAGTGCATTGGGAAATCATGGAGTCATTATCAAGAGTTTGCACATCTGGTTGGGCGCAGTGGCTCATGCCTGTAATCCTAGCACTTTGGGAGGCTGAGGCAGGAGGTTCGCTTGAGCTCAGAAGTTTCAGACCAGCCTGGGTAATGTGGTGAAACTCTGTCTCTACAAAAAATACAAAAATTAGTTGGGCATAGTGGTGTACATCTGTAGTCCCAGCTACTTGTGGGGGCTGAGGTGGGAGGATTACTTGAGCCCAGGAAGTCAAGGCTATAGTCAGTTGAGATCACACCACTGCACTCCAGCCTGGGCGACAGAGTGAGACCCTGTCTCAAAAAAGAGTTGCATGTCTACTCATTCAGTTCTCATTATCTATAGACTAAAATATACATCTCCCCCCTTATGTACTACTATTTTTGAATATATGTAAATTAATAAAATGTAAACTTAAAGTGTTATTGAATGTATAACAGTTTGTTGTTTTTTGTTTGTTTTTGAGACAGTCTCTGTTGTCCAGGTTGGAGTGCAGTGGTGCGATCTCGGTTCACTGCAACCTCTGCCTCCCAGGTTAAAGTGATTCTCCCGCCTCAGCCTCCTGAGTAGCTGGGACTACAGGCACGCACGCATCAGTTCATTGTGTGTTTTTTTTTTTTTTTTTTTGAGACAGGATCTCTCTCTGTTGCTAAGACTGGAGCGCAGTGGCACAATTATGGCTCACTGCAACCTCTACCTCCTGGGCTGAAATGATCTCACACCTCAGCCTCCCAAGTTGCTGGGACTATAGGCGCACACCACCATTCCTGGCGAATTTTTTTTTTTTTTTTTTTTTTTTT
This sequence comes from Homo sapiens, assembly GCF_000001405.40. Lineage (NCBI taxonomy): Eukaryota > Metazoa > Chordata > Mammalia > Primates > Hominidae > Homo > Homo sapiens. The sequence continues at coordinate 40,159,737 of NC_000017.11, forward strand.
GACAGGGTCTCACTCTTTTGCCCAGACTAGTATCAGTGGTGCAATCTTGGCTCACTGCAACCTCCACCTCCTGGGTTTAAGCAATTCTCTTGCCTCAGCCTCCCAAATAGCTGGGATTACAAATTCATGCCACCATGTCTGGCTGATTTTTGTATTTTTAGTAGAGACAGGGTTTCACCATGTTGGCCAGGCTGGTCTCAAACTCCGGACCTCAAGTGATCCACCTACCTCGGCCTCCCAGAGTGTTGGGATTACAGGCGTGAACCACTACATCCAGCCTAGCAGTTGTTTGTCATTGTATGTTTTCTCAGTGAATATCTCATGGGGATCCATGAAAATTTTTAGATCCTAAAAAGGGGTCCGCATAATCAAAAAGGTTGGGAATTTCTGCTCTAAGCCATTTTGAGATGGGAGAGTTCACAACTTACGTCAAAGTATAGTTATTAGGCACTGCATGTTTAAGAGACAATTCATGGGCCAGGTACAGTGTTCATGCCTGTAATCCCAGCCCTTTGGGAGGCCAAGGGAGGAGGATTGCTTGAGCTCAGCAGTTTGAGAACTGCCTAGGCAACATAGCGAGACCTCGTCTCTACTAAAAATAAAAAAAAATCAGCCAGGTGTGGTGGCATGTGCCTGTAGTCGCAGCTACTTGGGAGGCTGAGGTGGGAGGATCACTTGAGCCCAGGAGATTGAGATTGCAGTAAGCCATGATTGTGCCACTGCACTCCTGGGCAACAGAGCAAGACCCTGTCTCAAAACAGAAAAAAAAAAAAAGATAATTCATGGAGAGAGAGATTATCAAGGAAGATTAAGCTCCTCTTATATGTTAGGTATCGTATAGTAAGTCTCCCTTCCATTCTTATCCTCTGGGCCCATTAGAGGCTGCCGCTGTTTTTTTGTTTTTTTGTTTTGCTTTTTCGAGATGGAGTTTTGCTTTTGTCACCCAGGCTGGAGTGCAGTGGCACAAACTTGGCTCACTGCAACCTCCGCCTCCCGGCTAATTTTTGTATTTTTAGTAGAGACAGAGTTTCACCATGTTGGCCAGGCTGGTCTCGAACTCCTGACCTCAAGTGATACGCCTGCCTCGGCCTCCCAAAGTGCTGGGATTACAGGTGTAAGCCACTGCGCCCAGCCTGCCACTTTTAATAATTCTTGCATATGTTCCAGGAATACCTATGTGGATATATATGTATGTATGTGTGTATTTTTTTTAATGTGATATTTTTAAAATAGTGTCTTTTTTTTATTATTACTATTTTTTGCGACAGAGCCTTGCTCTGTCGCCCAGGCTGAAGTGCAGTGGCGCAGTCTCTGCTCACTGCAAGCTCTGCCTCCCTGGTTCAAACGATTTTCCTGCCTCAGCCTCCCGAGCAGCTGGGATTACAGGTGCCTACCACCAAGTGCGGCTAATTCTTATATTTCTAGTAGAGATGGGGTTTTGCCATGCTGGCCAGGTTGGTCTCACACTCCTGACCGCAGGTGATCTGCCTGCATTGGCCTCCCAAAATGTGATTACAGGCGTGAGCCACTGTGCCAGGCCAAAATAGGATCTTTATTTTCTAGAAATATGGGTAAGAATATTGATTTGTTTGCTTTTCAGTTCTATGTTGTACTAAAAATTTATTGATAAATGTATTCCTAAAGAGTAGAAAATTGAAATGCAGCCAGGCACGGTGGCTCACGCCTATAAACCCAGCACTTTGGGCGGCCAAGGCAGGCAGATCACGAAATCAGGAGTTCAAGACCAGCCTGGCCAACATGGTGAAACCTGGTCTCTACTAAACATACAAAAATTAGCCAGGCGCGGTAGTGGGCGCCTATAATCCCAGCTATTTAGGAGGCTGAGGCAGGAGAATTGCTTGACCCCTGGAGGCAGAGGTTACAGTGAGCTGAGATTGTGCCACTGTATTCCAGCCTGGGTGACAGAGACTTTGTTTTGGGGTTGGGGGCAGGGGTGGGAATTAAAATGCACCGTTCAGATCTTATATGCATCGCTGACAGGGAAACTTTTTTCAGGGTGAAGAAGGTGAATACAGTGAAGAGGAAAACTCCAAAGTGGAGCTGAAATCAGAAGCTAATGATGCTGTTAATTCTTCAACAAAAGAAGAGAAGGGAGAAGAAAAGCCTGACACCAAAAGCACTGTGACTGGAGAGAGGCAAAGTGGGGACGGACAGGTTAGTACATTCCACAGTCCTCCATTTTAGAGGCTGGAATAGAGATTCTTGAGGCTTGGAAGAGTAAGGATCCCTTTATCTGTCCTCTAGGAGAGCACAGAGCCTGTGGAGAACAAAGTGGGTAAAAAGGGCCCTAAGCATTTGGATGATGATGAAGATCGGAAGAATCCAGCATACATACCTCGGAAAGGGCTCTTCTTTGAGCATGATCTTCGAGGGCAAACTCAGGAGGAGGAAGTCAGGTAAAAGCCACTTGCTGCTGCTGCTGTCTAACATGTATTTTACACATGTAGGCCAGGTACTTCGATTTGCCTGTATTTCATTTATTACAGCATTTTAAGATAAGTATTATGATTATCCTTATCGTACAAATGAGGAAAGTAGGCTTAGAATATTTGGTAACTCTTGGTGAGGCAGCTAAGATACAGACCTAGGACAGTTTGTTTCCAGAACTCATCTTCTCTTAATTATTATACTTTTGCTTTTCTTAGTCTGAGGTGTAAGGCGTCTGAGAAGTGAAATACTTGCATAGGTTGCCTTTTAGGAGAAAGGAGATGTTTCAAAGGTACTGAATGGCATGAAATGAAGTCTTTTTCTCATTTCTGTGTCTGTTATATTTGAGCCCAGCAGGCCCTGAGGTTCTGTGATTCACGCTTGCTTTGGGGAGGCCTGTTTTTTATAATCTCTTTGGGATGATGAGGAGACTACGTAAAGTTCCTATTGTCCCCCTGCCTCCCTGACCCATTTTGTTCAAGAACATCTCTACTTGGAGAATTCTGCTGACCCAAGACACTTTTCCTTCATTTTATCCAGACCCAAGGGGCGTCAGCGAAAGCTATGGAAGGATGAGGGTCGCTGGGAGCATGACAAGTTCCGGGAAGATGAGCAGGCCCCAAAGTCCCGACAGGAGCTCATTGCTCTTTATGGTTATGACATTCGCTCAGCTCATAATCCTGATGACATCAAACCTCGAAGAATCCGGAAACCCCGGTGAGGACATTTTAGAACATAAGACCAGGCTGGGTATGGTGGCTTACGGTGGCTTACACCTGGAATCCCGGCACTTTGGGAGGCTGAGGCAGGAGGATTGCTTGAGGCCAGGAGTTCAAGACCAGCCTGGGGAACATAGTGAGACCCTGTCTCCAAAAAAAAAAAGAAAAAAAGGAAAAAAAAAATAGAGTGTAGACTCTTGATATCTTTTAGAAAGAATTCTCTTTGCTTTTCTTTTTATTTATTTATTTAAGACAGAGTCTCGCTGTGTTGCCTAGGCTGGAGTGCAATGGCATGTTCTCGGCTCACTGCAACCTCCACCTCTTGGGTTGAAGTGATTCTCCTGCTTCAGCCTCCTGAGTAGCCAGGATTACAGGCGCGTACTATCGCGATCGGCTAATTTTTGTATTTTTAGTAGAAATGAGGTTTCGCTATGTTGGCCAGGCTGGTCTTGAACTCCTGGCCTCAAGTGATCTGCCCGTCTCGATCTCCCAAAGTGCTGGGATTACAGGCCTGAGCCACCGCGCGTAGCCTCCTTTTGTTAATTTCCTAACAGTTTCTTCATTCCATTTTTTGTAGATATGGGAGTCCTCCACAAAGAGATCCAAACTGGAACGGTGAGCGGCTAAACAAGTCTCATCGCCACCAGGGTCTTGGGGGCACCCTACCACCAAGGACATTTATTAACAGGAATGCTGCAGGTACCGGCCGTATGTCTGCACCCAGGAATTATTCTCGATCTGGGGGCTTCAAGGAAGGTCGTGCTGGTTTTAGGCCTGTGGAAGCTGGTGGGCAGCATGGTGGCCGGTCTGGTGAGACTGTTAAGCATGAGATTAGTTACCGGTCACGGCGCCTAGAGCAGACTTCTGTGAGGGATCCATCTCCAGAAGCAGATGCTCCAGTGCTTGGCAGTCCTGAGAAGGAAGAGGCAGCCTCAGAGCCACCAGCTGCTGCTCCTGATGCTGCACCACCACCCCCTGATAGGCCCATTGAGAAGAAATCCTATTCCCGGGCAAGAAGAACTCGAACCAAAGTTGGAGATGCAGTCAAGCTTGCAGAGGAGGTGCCCCCTCCTCCTGAAGGACTGATTCCAGCACCTCCAGTCCCAGAAACCACCCCAACTCCACCTACTAAGACTGGGACCTGGGAAGCTCCGGTGGATTCTAGTACAAGTGGACTTGAGCAAGATGTGGCACAACTAAATATAGCAGAACAGAATTGGAGTCCGGGGCAGCCTTCTTTCCTGCAACCACGGGAACTTCGAGGTAGGTATCATAGGATTGGTGGCTAGCTTTTTCCCCTTTGCATCATCAGGTTTAGGGGCATGGGACTTCTGTCTCAGGAAGGTGGTGTCTGACAAATGTCTACTTCTTTTTTTTTGAGACAGAGTCTCACTCTTTTGCCCAGGCTGGAGTGCAGTGGCGCGATTTTGGCTCACTGCAACCTTCGCCTCCCAGGTTCAAGTGATTCTCCTGCCTCAGCCTCCTGAGTAGCTGGGGTTACAGGCGCACACCACCACGCCCAGCTAATTTTTTTTTTTGTATTTTTATTTATTTATTTGTTTTGAGATGGAGTCTTGCTCTGTTGCCTAAGCTAGATGCAGTGGCACGATCTCGGCTCACTGTAATGTCCACCTCCGGGTTCAAGTGATTCTCCTGCCTCAGCCTCCCGAGTAGCTGGGAGTATAGGCGTGCACTACCACGCTGGGCTAATTTTTGTATTTTTAGTAGAGACCGGGTTTCACCATGTTGGCCAGGATGGTCTTGATCTCTTGACCTTGTGATCCTCCCACCTTGGCTTCCCAAAGTGCCGGGATTACAGGTGTGAGCCACAGCCACCGTGCCTGGCCTTTTTTTTTTTTTTTTTTTTTTTGTGACAGAGACTTGCTCTGTTGCCCAGGCTGGAGTGCAGTGGCACGATCTTGGCTCACTACAACCTCTGCGTCCAGGGCTCAAACAATTCTCCTGCCTCAGCCTCCTGAGTAGCTGGGATTACAGGCTCTCACCACCACACCTGGCTAATTTTTTTTTTTTTTTTTTGAGACAGAGTCTCACTGTTGCCCAGGCTGGAGTGCAGTGGTGTGATCTCGGCTCACTGCAAGCTCTGCCTCCTGGGTTCACGCCATTCTCCTGCCTCAGCCTCCTGAATAGCTGGGACTACAGGCGCCCACCACCGCGACTGGCTAGTTTTTTTTTTTGTATTTTTAGTAGAGACGGTTTCACCGTGTTAGCCAGGATGGTCTCGATCTCCTGACCTCGTGATCCGCCCACCTTGGCCTCCCAGAGTGCTGGGATTACAGGCATGAGCCACCGTGCCTGGCCCACACCTAATTTTTGTATTTTTCATAGAGATGGGGTTTCATTATGTTGGCCAGGCTGGTCTCGAACTCCTGACCTTAAGTGATCGACCCATCTTGGCCTCCCAGAGTGCTGGGATTACAGGCGTGAGCCACTGTGCCAGCCCCAGCTAATTTTTAAAAAATTTTTTGTAGTGATGGGTCTTGCTATATTGCCCAGGCTAATCTTGAACTCCTGGGCTCAAGAGATCCTCCTAAAGCGCTGGGATTACAGATGGAAGACACTGCACCTGCCCGGTCATCATTGAGCCTCCTGAGTACAGGATCATTTTCCACAAAAAGTAGAAGAAGACAACGTTATTATTTGAACTAATGGTTAAATATTTGAAGGCAGAAATTTATTCAGTTGAATTTTGATCAAGATCTTCTCTAATATATTTGAAAGGCAAGCCTCCCTTATTTCCTTAATCTTCTAGAGACAGATTGCCCAATAGAACTTTGTGTAATGATTGTACTTTTGTGTTTTTGTTGTTGTTGTGTTTACATAGATATAGTTTTTTTTTTTGTTTTTTTTTTTTTTTAGATGGGTCCCACTTTGTCACCCAGGCTAGAGTCTGGAGTGCAGTAGCGTGACCTTGGCTCACTGCAACCTCCGCCTCCAGGGCTCAAGCAATCCTCCCATCTCAGCCTCCTCAGTAGCTAAGATCATAAGCACACATCATTACACCTGGCTGATTTTTTTTATTTTTTGAAAAGACGGGGGGTCTCACTGTGTTTTCCAGGCTGGTCTTGAACTCCTGGGCTCAAGCAGTCTTACCTCTGCCACCCAGAGTGCTGGGCTTATAAGCATGAGCCACTGCATCCAGCCGGAATTGAACTTTTAATTAATTGAAACTTAAGTGTCCACATTTGGTTAGTGGATATCATATTGGGCAGCATAGTTTTAGAGAGTAAGACCTACCTATTACCCATTTTGCCTATTGTGGTTTGTTTTTCTCCAGCCAGATAGATCAAAGGATCTTCCCTTAGTCTGAAATCTAACTTAAATATTGGAACTCCTCAATTGGAGTTGCAGCACCCTTCTTACTATTGGAGGACAATCTCTAGAACATTCCTTTTTGTCTTGAGTCATTTTAGCCAGAGGAGAATCTCCTTTCAAACTTCCAACCCAGACCCCTGTGAATGGATATAATCAAGTAGATTTACAAAGCATCCCTCCCTTGTCCAGCTGTTGCTCAGAAACTCTTGGGCTGAGATTTTTCAATATGTTGGATAATGTAATGTGCTAATTATAATCTCTCAGGGATTCTATGCAGGGAACAATTTGATAGGAAAAAATTTGAATTTGATTTTCTTCACTGAAGTCATTTTATTTTTCATTTTCAAGGGCTTTATTGCTATATTAAGATGGCAGACAGTGGGGACAAATTTCTAAATGCTGGTGTTGACAGAAAGCAGAGATAGTTTATAGAGAATTTTATTAGTTAAAAGAAAAAAGGCATTCCTTATGTTGACACTTAAACCTGTCTCTTGATAGTATCTTTGAGTCCCACTCACGTATGTCTGATCTGCAGAAGTGACTTTTTTGGTGTATTACAGGTATGCCCAACCATATACACATGGGAGCAGGACCTCCACCTCAGTTTAACCGGATGGAAGAAATGGTACAGAAGGGGAAAGGGGTAGATGGGGGAGGGAGCTGCCTGTTACACAGCTTGTTCATTGTTTAAACCAAGATAAGGTCTTTTTTTTTTTTCTTTTCTTTCTTTCTTTTTTTTTGAGACAGAGTCTCGCTCTGTTGCCCAGGCTAGAGTGCAGTGACGGGATCACGGCTCACTGCAAGCTCTGCCTCCTGGGTCCCAGTTCAAGCAATTCTGCCTCAGCCTCCCGAGTAGCTGGCATTACAGGCACGTGCCATCATGCCCAGCTAATTTTTGTATTTTTAGTAAAGACAGGGTTTCACCATGTTGGCCAGGCTGGTCCTGACTCCTGACCTCATGATCCACCCACCCTGGCCTCCCAAAGTATTGGGATTACAGGCATGAGCCACCACGCCCGGCCAAGATAAAGTCAGTTTTTCCATTGATTATGCATGTTTCTTTTAATTTGGATCTCCTAAATGTAAGGTAGAAGGTTTAGGTTCAAATCTTGATATCTTTTCATTATTTTTCAGCTCACTTTGCAAATATCCATTAAATACCTGCCATGTACCAAGTGTTTTTCAACACCTAAAGGAAGGTAGGACTTGATATGAGAGCCCTCTAGAATTCTTATTGTTTAGGCCTCTTTCTTTGTCTCAGGGTGTCCAGGGTGGTCGAGCCAAACGCTATTCATCCCAGCGGCAAAGACCTGTGCCAGAGCCCCCCGCCCCTCCAGTGCATATCAGTATCATGGAGGGACATTACTATGATCCACGTGAGTTTTTTCTTACTGTTGGGGTACTTTTCTTGGCAGGGTGAAGTGAAGTAAGATACCAGGCTCCTGGCTCCTGAATTTCTCTTCTGACCTCTTATAGTGGTTATCAAACATTGTCTGGTTGCTGTTTTCTTCGCATGGAATATTGAGAACATCTTTTAAAGGGCTTGGGGAACAAGGAGACTTGTCCATGTGAAGAGTAAGGGTTTATGAGAGTCCCAATGTGATATCTTACAGTGCAGTTCCAGGGACCAATCTATACCCATGGTGACAGCCCTGCCCCGCTGCCTCCACAGGGCATGCTTGTGCAGCCAGGAATGAACCTTCCCCACCCAGGTAAGCTTTGTGTCTCTGCTTATATGCTTCCAGTACCTGAGGATATATGTTGGGAGTGCCACAAAACCCATCCTCCTGAGCTTTGTGCTGCTAGCCTGGGAGTCTGGCCATCCTGGCTGCTTGGGCAACAAGTTCCTCTTGTGTCCATCCTGAGGACTTCCATTCTGAGCCTGATTATACTGAGCAGTCCAGCCGGGCCATCCTGTGAAAATGATGTTACTTTATTTTTCAGTTTTTTTCTTCTCCTTATCCAGGTTTACATCCCCACCAGACACCAGCTCCTCTGCCCAATCCAGGCCTCTATCCCCCACCAGTGTCCATGTCTCCAGGACAGCCACCACCTCAGCAGTTGCTTGCTCCTACTTACTTTTCTGCTCCAGGCGTCATGAACTTTGGTAATCCCAGTTACCCTTATGCTCCAGGGGCACTGCCTCCCCCACCACCGCCTCATCTGTATCCTAATACACAGGTGAGATGGCTAATGATCATGTTTTTCTAGATACACATTCTTTAATTCAGACAGGAATGTGGTATGGGGAGAATGCTAAAGGAATTTGAGAGAACATTTTCAGTGCCACTGATTTGTATGTGACACCAAGACGCCTCTTAGTGGTCAGGAGCTGGAAATGCAGCTTATGTAATGCCCATCATCTTTATTCTTTTCAGTTTTTTTCTCCGTTGCCCAGGCTTGGAGTGCAGTGGCGTGATCTCGGTTCACTGTAACCTCCACCTCTTGGGTTCAAGCGATTCTTCTGCCTCAGCCTCCCGAGTAGCTGGGATTACAGTGCCTGCCACCATGCCCGGCTAGTTTTTGTATTTCTAGTAGAGATGGCGTTTCACCATGTTGGCCAAGCTGGTCTCAAACTCCTGACCTCAACCGATCCACCTGCCTCGGCCTCCGAAAGTGCTGGGATTACAGGCATAAGCCACCGCACCCAGCGTTCAGTTTCTTTAATGGTGTTTCTTTCCTGTGTTGTGGTACATCATAGGTGGCAATACCTGGTTTTTACTCTATTGCATAAAGAAGCTGTATTCTACTCCTTATCACCCCTACCTCTGTCCTGCTTAACTTCCACCACGTTGACATAATCAAGTATCTGTAGTGTCGCTACTGAACTCAGCCTTTTCCATTTGTCAGCTGATGGTAGGAATTAGAGAAAGCTGGGCAGTACTTTGAAGAAATAAAAACCAGAGCATAATAATGAAGAATTAAGGCAAAAATGAATAGTCACTTTATTTTGAAGGGTGGGCAGATTAGATATTTTTAAAATTATAAATTCCCCAATTCTCTTATGGCTGAATAATATTTCCTGTTCATCATAGGTTGGATGAATTCATTCCTAACTTTTTCTTCTCCTGGCTTGTGGGGTCCCAGGCCCCATCACAGGTATATGGAGGAGTGACCTACTATAACCCCGCCCAGCAGCAGGTGCAGCCAAAGCCCTCCCCACCCCGGAGGACTCCCCAGCCAGTCACCATCAAGCCCCCTCCACCTGAGGTATGAGAGTTCCTTCCTATACTTAATGCACATGCTCCGTCAGTGGGCTTTCCTTCTCCCCAGAGGATTTCCCTCATTTTCTGGGTGTGTTTCTCTGGAAAACAGTCTTTTTGTTATGACCTGATAACAAATTCCAACTTTGTTATTTCAGGTTGTAAGCAGGGGTTCCAGTTAATACAAGTTTCTGAATATTTTAAATCTTAACATCATATAAAAGTAAGTGCACAACTTACTGTGAATATTGTTAAAACTAATGCTCACACTTGCTTAATAAACAAAAATCACTTAATTAATGCTTTTTTTTTTTTTTTTTTTTTTTTTTTTTTTGAGACGGCGTCTCAGTCTGTTATCCAGGCTGGAGTGCAGTGGTGCAATCTCGGCTCACTGCAACCTCCATCTCCTGAGTTCAAGCGATTCTCTTGCCTCAGCCTCCTAAGTAGCTAGGATTACAGGCACGCACCACCACACCTGGCTAATTTTTGTATTTTTAGTGGGAATGGGGTTTCACCATATTGGCCAGGCTGGTCTTGAACTCCTGACCTCAGGTGATCCACCTGCCTTGGCCTCCCAAAGTGTTGGGATTACAGGTGTGAGCCACCCCACCCAGCCTCTGATTAATGCTTTAAGTTATAATAATCATGGGATATCTCAGGAGGCTTAAAGGAGTCCTGAAATTTGCCAGTTTGTTTGTTTGGCAAGTGTATTGGGCAGGGTTGAAGTAGAAACGATTGTTAACATGACAGTTTTCAATTGGGAAGCTACAAGGAAAAAATACAGGAAGGCAGTCAAGGAAAAGGGAAATCTAAATTTGAGATGTTATAGCAGAAAAAACCAGTTCTAAAGATCATAGAGGAGAAGGACTGGGGGTTTTGTTGCTTTTGTTTAAGGACATTACTTAAAACACATTATTTAGAAGTGTGGCTTTTTGAAAACAGCTTGTGAATGCCCAGAAGGCCCACTAACACTTTGGTGGTTCTTCCCTTTTTCCAACCCCTGTCAGAGCAGCAGAGGTGAGAACTCAGAAGAGAAATACAGCTGGCTATCTACTACCAGAAGGGCTTCAAAGATATAGGGTGTGGCTCCTACCAGCAAACAGCTGAAAGAGGAGGACCCCTGCCTTCCTCTGAGGACAGGCTCTAGAGAGAGGGAGAAACAAGTGGACCTCGTCCCATCTTCACTCTTCACTTGAGTTGGCTGTGTTCGGGGGAGCAGAGAGAGCCAGACAGCCCCAAGCTTCTGAGTCTAGATACAGAAGCCCATGTCTTCTGCTGTTCTTCACTTCTGGGAAATTGAAGTGTCTTCTGTTCCCAAGGAAGCTCCTTCCTGTTTGTTTTGTTTTCTAAGATGTTCATTTTTAAAGCCTGGCTTCTTATCCTTAATATTATTTTAATTTTTTCTCTTTGTTTCTGTTTCTTGCTCTCTCTCCCTGCCTTTAAATGAAACAAGTCTAGTCTTCTGGTTTTCTAGCCCCTCTGGATTCCCTTTTGACTCTTCCGTGCATCCCAGATAATGGAGAATGTATCAGCCAGCCTTCCCCACCAAGTCTAAAAAGACCTGGCCTTTCACTTTTAGTTGGCATTTGTTATCCTCTTGTATACTTGTATTCCCTTAACTCTAACCCTGTGGAAGCATGGCTGTCTGCACAGAGGGTCCCATTGTGCAGAAAAGCTCAGAGTAGGTGGGTAGGAGCCCTTCTCTTTGACTTAGGTTTTTAGGAGTCTGAGCATCCATCAATACCTGTACTATGATGGGCTTCTGTTCTCTGCTGAGGGCCAATACCCTACTGTGGGGAGAGATGGCACACCAGATGCTTTTGTGAGAAAGGGATGGTGGAGTGAGAGCCTTTGCCTTTAGGGGTGTGTATTCACATAGTCCTCAGGGCTCAGTCTTTTGAGGTAAGTGGAATTAGAGGGCCTTGCTTCTCTTCTTTCCATTCTTCTTGCTACACCCCTTTTCCAGTTGCTGTGGACCAATGCATCTCTTTAAAGGCAAATATTATCCAGCAAGCAGTCTACCCTGTCCTTTGCAATTGCTCTTCTCCACGTCTTTCCTGCTACAAGTGTTTTAGATGTTACTACCTTATTTTCCCCGAATTCTATTTTTGTCCTTGCAGACAGAATATAAAAACTCCTGGGCTTAAGGCCTAAGGAAGCCAGTCACCTTCTGGGCAAGGGCTCCTATCTTTCCTCCCTATCCATGGCACTAAACCACTTCTCTGCTGCCTCTGTGGAAGAGATTCCTATTACTGCAGTACATACGTCTGCCAGGGGTAACCTGGCCACTGTCCCTGTCCTTCTACAGAACCTGAGGGCAAAGATGGTGGCTGTGTCTCTCCCCGGTAATGTCACTGTTTTTATTCCTTCCATCTAGCAGCTGGCCTAATCACTCTGAGTCACAGGTGTGGGATGGAGAGTGGGGAGAGGCACTTAATCTGTAACCCCCAAGGAGGAAATAACTAAGAGATTCTTCTAGGGGTAGCTGGTGGTTGTGCCTTTTGTAGGCTGTTCCCTTTGCCTTAAACCTGAAGATGTCTCCTCAAGCCTGTGGGCAGCATGCCCAGATTCCCAGACCTTAAGACACTGTGAGAGTTGTCTCTGTTGGTCCACTGTGTTTAGTTGCAAGGATTTTTCCATGTGTGGTGGTGTTTTTTGTTACTGTTTTAAAGGGTGCCCATTTGTGATCAGCATTGTGACTTGGAGATAATAAAATTTAGACTATAAACTTGGCTCCCTTGCCAGTGTTTTGCATGAGTCTTGATTTGGGAGGGAGGGAAGAGGACTCCCTAATTCCCCCACAGGGTCACGGTCACAACTCAGGTCAGCCCAAGTTGTGAAACAGAAGCCCAGAGAGATGAGGAGCCCCTATGAGGCCATAAATGTGTCTGCACTCCCCATCAGTTATCTTTTTTAACCACATAGATCACCAGGATGTCATGCCATCCCTTAGATTGGAAGTGTCAGGGACAGAAAAGTAGTGAGATGCTGGTTATTCACATGAGCATCTAGTATCCTTTATGGCTTCCTTTGTGTTTGGCAAGTAAGTTTCCCAAGGTAATATGCCATCAGATGTCAATATAACTATACCAAGTCCTGGGTTGGGGGGAAGTACAGGTAGCTAGCTTTCTTGAAAAGTGAAGATGCTGCTGGCCACCGTGGCTCACGCCTGTAATCCCAGCACTTAGGGAGGCCGAGGTGGGCAGATCTCGATCAGGGAGATCGAGACCATCCTGGCTAAACAGGGTGAAACACTGCCTCTACTAAAAATACAAAAATAGCTGGGAGTGGTGGCGGGTGCCTGTAGTCCCAGCTACTTGGGAGGCTGAGGCAGGAGAATGATGGGAACCCGGGAGGTGGAGCTTGCAGTGAGCCGAGATTGCGCCACTGCATTCCAGCCTGGGCGACAGAGTGAGACTCCGTCTCAAAAAAAAAAAAAAAAAAAAGGAAAAGTAAAGATGCTGACACTAAAGTATTCAGGACCACACAGTCTTAGAGAGACTATCAGCTCAGGTAAGGGGAAGGGAATTTGTGTGTGTGTGTGTGTGTGTGTGTGTGTGTATTTTTAGTAGAAATTTTTGTATTTTTTGTACAACAAATTTTGTATTTTTAGTAGCAATGGGGTTTCACCATGTTGGCCAGGCTGGTCTTGAACTCCTGACCTTAGGTGACCCACCTGCCTTGGCCTCCCAAGGCCAAGTCTGAGTCTGTGTTCTTAATGTCCTTGCCAGTGGCTCTCCACCCTACCAGATCCAAAGTCACTTTTTTTTTTTTTTCTGAGACGGTCTTGCCCGTCACCCAGGCTGGAATGCAGTAGCACAATCATAGGTTGCTGTAACTTGGAACTCCAAGGTTCAAGCAATCTTGCCACAGCTTCCCAAATAGCTGTGACTACAGGCCCACACCACCATGCCCAGCTAATTTTTGTGGTTTGTTTTTAGTAGAGACGAGGTCTCAGTGTGTTACCCAGGCTAGTCTGGAACGCCTTGGTTCAAATGATCCTCCTGTCTTAGCCTCCTAGAGTGCTGGGATTACATGTGCAAGCCACTACACCCAGCCCCAATGTTCCTTTCTTATAACAAATATTTTGCAACACTAATATCCCAAAGTGAAATGGACAGATAACATAACCTGCCTGGACACATGATTTCAAAAAACAAATCAACTGTGGGTCATAATTCAGTTTACCTAGTCCACTTGGCCTTTGATGCTTAGAGGGCAGTTCCTACCTTTGAAGTGACTTTTTCCTCTAGGTCCTGGGTGGGATGGAAGTTTACTACAGAAGCTATCTCTGGTATGGGAGAGCAACTTTCATATGGAGCTGGCAGCATTTGTTGGGTTTCACAAATCCATACACGGGAGGCATAGATATCATAGTACATCTTTTTTTTTTTTTTTTTTTTTTTTTTGGTCTTGCTCTATTGCCCAGGCTGGAGTGCAATGGCACAATCGTGGCTCACTGCAGCTTTGACCACCTGGGCTCAATCAATCCACCCACCTCAGCCTCTCAAGTAGCTGAAACCACAAGCATGCACCACCACACCTAGCTAATTTATTTTTGTAGAGATAGGGTCATTGAATTCCTGGGCTCAAGTGATCCCGCTGTCTGGGCTTCCCAAAGTGCTGGGATTACAGGCTTGAGCTGCTGTGCCCAACTATTGTACATCTTATAAAGACAGATGGGACTTCCCCCATATCTTGGTGCTGGTGCCACAGCCAGAGGACTGTGACTTTTCTGAGCCCCGTCCCTAATTCCTTTTTTTTTTTTAGACTGAGTCTCACTCTGTCGCCCAGGCTGGAGTGCAGTGGCACGATCTCGGCTCACCACAACCTCCACCTCCCGGGTTTAAGCGATTCTCCTGCCTCAGCCTCCCAAGTAGCTGGGGTTTACAGGCGCCCGCCACCATGCCCCACTACTTTTTTTCTGTATTTTTAGTAGAGATGGGGTTTCACCATGTTGGCCAGGCTGGTCTCAAATTCCTGGCCTCAGGTGATTGGCTCAGCTTGGCCTCCCAAAGTTCTGGGATTACAGGCGTGAGCCACCACGCTGGGCCCCTAATTCCTCTTTAAATCATGTCAGTTTGCTTCTCTTCCCCACAATGTGATGGGTGACTGTAGGCCTGATCTCCTGGGGTTATGAAAAAATGCCATCCAGCCTTGGGGGTGGGTTACTGGCAGGAGGTTTGAGTGTTGGATGCTTCCCCTTTACCCTTGCCTCTTGCTTCCCTAGTCCTTCAGTTAGACCCTATTGCTCTCTCTGTTGCCCTGGTAACCAGCTCTGCAAGAAGAAACTCAAGCTCAGCAAAGCCCCCAGGTTCTCTCTATCCTCCCAGCCTGCCTCTGGGTGGGCAGAAAGAAGAGGGTGTGTAAGCAGCAGACAGATAGCCTGAGGTGGCCCTGCCCAGTCCCCTTGTAGAAGCCCATGGGCTCAAAAAAAGCTCAAAGCTTTTTCGCCCCCATCTCATAGTTGTTATTCATACCACCCTGCCTTCCTCTTTATTTCTTCCATAAGCGGGTGCAAATGCTCTGCCAGCTCTCTTCCCCTTCAGGGTCAGCGCACAGACCTGCTACCTTGTAGGCAACTCGGAGCACCAAAGACTTGGAATTCCAAAGTCAGCTCCCAGCATCTGCAGCCCACTTGGGTTGACTGTCCGTCTAGGGCAGTGATTTTCAATCCTGGCCATTTGTGTCATGTGAGGAGCTTTTTAAAAAATACCATAAGCCTTCGCCCTGGTTCAGAAATCTGATTTAATTGGTCTGAGATATGGCCTAGGCATCAGTTTTTTTTTTGTTTGTTTGTTTTTTTTTTTTTTGAGACAGTCTTGCTCTTGTTGCCCAGGCTGGAGTGCAGTGGCATGATCTCGGCTCACTGCAGCCTCCACCTCCCGGGTTCAAGCGATTCTCCTGCCTCAGCCTCCTGAGTAGCTGAGATTACAGGCACCAGCCACCATGCCCAGCAAATGTTTGTATTTTTAGTAGAGACAGGGTTTCACTATGTTGGCCAGACTGGTCTCGAACTTCTGACCTCATGTTGCACCCTTCTCGGCCTCCCAAAGTACCGGGATTATAGGCGTGAGCTGTTGCACTTGGCCAGTATTTTTTTTTTTTTTTTAATATGGAGTCTCTCACCCAGGCTGGAGTGCAGTGGCATGATAACAGCTCACTGCAACCTTCACCTCCCAGGTTCAAGCAATCCTTCTACCTCAGCCTCCAAAGTAGCTTGGATTACAGGTGTGTGCCACCATGCCCGGCTAATTTTTTTTGTATTTTTAGAAGTGGGGTTTCACCATGTTGGTCAGGCTGGTCTTGAACTCATGACCTCAAGTGATCTGCCCGCCTTGGCTTCCCAAAGTGTTGAGATTACAGGCGTGAGCCACCAAGCCCAGCCAGCATCAGTATTTCTGAGAAGCTTCCCTGTGATTCCAGTGTGTAGTCAGGGTGAAAACCACTGCCACTCCAGGAGGACCATGACTTGATGCTGGCTCTCCTCACTGATTCAAAATGTTGAACTTAGTCTCTGCCTGACATCCTTGAGCATTTGGGGGAGTACTGGGGTCCTGTGTCCCAAGCTTCTAGCTTCCAGAAGTCTCTCAGTCTGTTTTATTTTCAACCCCCTACACCCTTCACACTCCCCAATTCGCCCTTCCTAACCAACAATTCCCAAATCCTGCCCAGAGAGAAGGTTACCAAGGCAACCGGCTTAATCTGGTAACTGTGGCATGTGCTGGGAGAGAAGCCCTTCCCTCTTCCTATTCAGTTCATAAAATGCTACCTGGGGAGCTCCAACCCATTCCAGCCACTTTCCCCTTTCAAGCCAGGGGATATTGGAGTGTCCAATAAGGGGAGCACAGGAAGCTGATACTCAGACCTCTAATACAGCTTCTTAGCCAAAATTGTGCGCTGTCTTCTTTTTACTGTTTCCAAATCCACAAACAGATGGGTGTGCAAAGCTTTATTTCTGTGAACACATGCTCTAGCACACATGGGAACAGATATGCACATACATTGATACGTATGTCATACACACCCTGTTCAGTTTTACTACCACTCCCAGCCATTAGCATTCCTGTCTCTGCCTGGTTGGTGCTCGGTAAACAGGGGTGGGGCATTGTCCAGAGAGCCTCAACCCATCGAGAACCTGCTGCCACTCCCACACCTTGTAAGTCTAACCTGGATGTTCTCACACTTAGCATGGCTTTACGATGCACCCCCCTCCTCCCCCACACTCCTTCTGGGGCAGCATATCCTTAAGGACAGAATGCTCCTGGTGTGGGCATCAGGAGTAAGGATTACTTGGAGTGCTAATTGGCACCACTTTTCCCACTCCATGGCCATGTACACTTGGGCTCTGTGCTTGATGATAGTCGGCAGTTCTGGGGCTTGTCACCTGTCTCCATGGCCCTGCTTCCTTCTGCTGCCAGCTGGGCTCAGGTGCCCTTGTGCTCCTGGTCTCCTCCCCACTGCCTATTATCCCCTCCTCACCCCAGCTAGACCTGCCACAACCTGCTGCTCCCTGCCTGGCTCCTACCTGCCTGCCAGTACCTGCCCACAGACCAGGCCCACACCACCTATTGTGCCCTACCAGAGAGGACAGATGGGCACCGCCTCCAGTGGCAATGCTAATTCACCCAAGAGGCCTTCCCAGCTCTTCTCACAGAAGGAAGATAAACTCCACATATTTCTGTGAGTATGAGAAAGGTGCACACTCTTGGGTTCAGCAATCTGTAGGCCTGACTTGGGTACACAGGTAGGTGAGTGAAGGTGTCCAGGCCACAGACCTGTCCTGACTCTTTGAAATGATGCTGAGACCCGGTTATCCCTTGAGCCAGGAATCCTTCCCCATTGGTAAATCTCTGACTTACCTTTGCCCTTAATTTCTTCTGCTTAGAACCCAAGTCCCTTACTGTTTCCCTCGCGGTCAACCCCAGCGCGCGAGTTCAAGCCTCGTGCGGCGCGGGGGCGAGCCGAGGAAGGGTAGGGGCGGGGACTGGGCGGGGACTGGAGGAGGGGGCGCGGTCTCGGTTCTGCCACCTTCCCCCTCTTCACGGCCAGGAGCGCAGCCGCCGCCGCCGCCGCCGCCGCGTCCTCTCAGCCTTGCGCTCCGCCCGCTGCCTCTGCCGCCGCAGCGCAGAGCCGGGCGCACCGGCCCCGCAGCCTGCCCACTCTTCGGGCCGCGTGCCGGCTGCAGCCGGCATGGGGGGTTGCTGAGAGCGAGCACTCCTTTCCTCTGGCACCTCCCCCGGCTACTGGCCACTGGACTCTGGCCAGCGAGGCTCGGCCCCTCTGGCCCCCAGTCTGGCGCCTGGCACGGCCCTCTACTCTGCTCCTCCAGCTCTGAGCATCGTGTCTTCGCCGCCCCCCCCGCCCGCGCCTGGGATACCTGGGTCCCCCGGCGACCCCTAGGAGAGGGGCGGGGGGGGGCATGAAGCCGCTGGAGAAATTTCTGAAGAAGCAGACGTCGCAGCTGGCGGGCCGAACGGTGGCGGGAGGTCCCGGCGGGGGTCTGGGGAGCTGCGGTGGGCCTGGAGGGGGTGGGGGACCCGGCGGGGGCGGCGGTCCAGCCGGGGGACAGCGGTCGTTGCAGCGGCGTCAGAGCGTGTCTCGCCTGCTGCTCCCCGCTTTCCTCCGGGAGCCCCCCGCCGAGCCGGGGCTGGAGCCGCCCCCTGAGGAGGAAGGAGGAGAGCCGGCGGGGGTCGCGGAGGAGCCGGGCAGCGGGGGGCCCTGCTGGCTGCAGCTGGAGGAGGTGCCGGGGCCCGGGCCTCTCGGGGGAGGGGGGCCCCTGCGCTCCCCTTCCTCCTACTCATCTGACGAGCTGTCCCCAGGCGAGCCCTTGACTTCGCCGCCCTGGGCCCCTCTGGGCGCCCCCGAGCGGCCCGAGCATCTTCTGAACCGGGTTCTGGAGCGGCTTGCTGGAGGGGCTACCAGGGACAGCGCCGCCTCAGGTAAGGAGCCGGTGGGCTCGAACACCCAGAGCAGGGGCTGGCCCCGGCTCCTCTTCCTTGCCCTTGGAGCGTAGGGGTGGCGCCGTGCCGGGGCTTGGTTATAGGGTTGAGTGGTCCGCGGAAGCCGGCTAGGGGCCTAGCGGAGGTACAGACCCTCCCGCGGAAGAGGAGAGCAGTACTCACCTTCCTCCCTACAGCAGCCTCACCCTCGTCTGGAGAAGCAGCTGAGCCTCTTACTCTCCTTCAGCCACCCTTCCTTTCCCCTGGGCATTGGAGCCACTGACTCCCATGGGTCCCTGATGTTGAATACCTCCTCCTGTGGCCCCAAATTAGGGCCTGACACATTAAAATGGGAGCTGCCCAGCGCAGCCATGCCACCCGCCAGAGGTGCTTTAGCCCTGAAAACCCTGGGGTCCCTGACTGTTCAGAGGCCTACACAGCGCAGGCTGACCCACCCAGGGAGGCAGTGCCAGACAGGCACAGGCCCCAAGCTGCCTTTTAGGCATCAGCAAAGGGATGCGTTGTCCTTAGCAGTTTGGTGGGGGGGATAGTATTCTCCTTGGGCTGGACTCAGAAGGTGTCTGGGAGGGGAGAGGTGGCTGGGCCGGCATCATGGCCCTGCAGCATCCAGGGTGTCCAAGCGCCTCCAGCTTCCACCCTTCGGTGGCAGGCCTCAGCACCCGGCTTTTTTTTTTTTTTCTTTTGGAGATGTAGTCTCACTGTCACCCAGGCTGGAGTGCAGTGGCGCCATCTCAGCTCACTGCAACCTCCACCGCCCAGGTTCAAGCGATTCTCCTGCCTCAGCCTCCTGAGTAGCTGGGACTACAGGCATGTGGCACCACGCCTGGCTAATTTTTGTATTTTTAGTAGAGACAGGGGTTTCACCGTGTTAGCCAGGATGGTCTCGAACTCCTGACCTCGTGATCCACCTGCCTTGGCCTCCCAAAGTGCTGGGATTACAGGCGTGAGCCACTGGCCTGGCTAATTTTTGTAGTTTTAGTAGAGACGGGGTTTCGGGGTTTCACCAACTTGGTCAGGCTGGTCTTGAACTCCTGACCTCGTTATCTACCTCCCCCCACCCCCACCCCACGGCCTCCCAAAGTGCTGGGATTACAGGCGTGAGCCACCGGACCTGGCACACGGCCTCTTTAAAATATAATCACCACACCCTGAGAAGCTTATTCCCTAAATGATGATACTATTTCACCACTCCCTTTCAGCACCCCTACTAAGGGGCCTTTGAGGAAACCAAGGCCCCAAATCTGGTTAGTTCTGAGGTAGAAGACCGAGGGTTCTTTAGGTCTAGCTCTAGGCATTACTCTAAGCCCAGGAGGGTCTGAGGTTTGGGAGCCCCGGCTGAGGCCCTAATGGTGAGGGCTTTCACACTTGCTCTCAGCCCTCGGCAGGGAACCCCAACCTAGATGTGTGGAGGGGGGCTCCACTCTCCTAGATCCTTCTCAAGACCTGGGTCCTCTCCTTTGGAGCAGGCTGTAGTTGCCCTGGGGAGCTGACACCTTTTGGATTTAATTAGAAAAATATCAGACACACACAGCTCTCCTAACCATAACTTCCCGCCTACACCACACACCCTGTGTCTCTATGACACATTCCCTAGGGAGGCTGTACATTGGCCCAGAGCCTGCTTTGGAAAAGACAGATGCCCAACTGTGGCCCCCATATCAGCATCTCCCCAACTCTGCCCCATCTTACTCTTCCTTTGCTCCAGCTTAGGAATCCTGTGAGATAAAGTCTATGAAGGATGTCAGGCCTCTCGTTTCCTCACCCTCATCCCTGAAGCTGGGGGTCAGAGCTGGAGGCTCTCTGACTCATTGTAAGAACACAGCAGGGTAGCTGGGCAGGGAGGAAAAGGGAGAAGCTGTCTTTCCCCTTTTACAGGGGCCTGGTGCCACACGCTCCGCTCATTCTCCCCTGGGGTAAGACTCCTGAAATGTCACCCATGTTATCTGGCAGCCTGGATCCCCAGAGTAACTAGTTTGGGAAATTCCAAACCAGTCCCAGGTGAATGAGAATCAGCTTAACCTGCCACTCTGATGTTCTCCAATAAAACCAATGTTCTCAAGTCATCCTGGTCTCCTCCCAGGGTGTGTGGGAGGAGAGAACTTACAGAAGTTACTCTGAACCTACCAAAGCCTCTCCAACGTCCAAGCAGCCCCCTCTGACCGCTAGGTTTTACCCTAACACTCTGCTTGCCTCAGGCATATTGAGAAAAGGACAAAGACTCAGGATTCTGGGTTCTTATTCCAGCTCCAGGCAAGTCCCTCCCAGCTCTGGGCCTCAGTTTCACATTTGCGAAATGAAATCCTTGAAGTCAATTACTTTGTGTTGGTTTTCCTCCTCCGCCTGCATGGCTAGAACTGACCACAGGAGATAGTGAACCAAGGGGAGTCAGAAGCCTTGGTTTTGTCCTGGGACAGTGCCTGGGGACCTGGCCCTAACCAGTCCTGGTGAGGACACCTGGCTCCCTCCCTGCACCTTGTCTGTCTGTGTGTGCCAGGTGGCCCTGCCCCACCCCAGGGCTGGCTGCAAGTCAGGGCGACCTTGTACCCGGCTGACTGGCTGAGCCAGGCCCAGACGGGGGTGTGGAGGGGAAAGGGGTGGTGAGAGGAGCCGCTCCCCTTCACCATTCCATCATTAACCCTTCTGTCTCTGGGCCCCTAAAGGACACAGGATTTCTATTTAAAGGTTCTGGGATCAAAGTGATGGCAGTCTCTCCATCTCCCTTTTAATCAGGCTGGTTCCCACCTGCCTAGTTAGAACTCAAAGCTGTTAGGTGGGAAATGGGGAGGGGAAGAGGGATACACACACATGCACACACACAGTCCCCACTGATGCTAACCTCTGTGTTTGGAAATACTCTTTGTCTGGAGACACTTCTGTGGGCTACTTCTTTTTTCAGGCAGAACTCAACCTTGGTGTGTTATCTGACCAACTTCCCACATACGCTGAAGAGAAGTGCACATGGCCATCAAAGGCACGCGCCCCCCCCTTCCCTTCAGCTGCCTTGGCAGCTGCCGAACCCACCCTCGCAGTGGCTGCCCAGAACCTTTACACATGTATGTGTGCGCGTGTGCAGAGCATGACAAGGCAGGTGGCTGGGGCTCCAGCCTGGCTAAAGAGAACTTGCCCTTAGGGGCAAGAGAGGGAGGCACTGCATTTCCAGTTTCGTTCTGGAAGTGCCCACCTGACATCTGTGGTGCCCACTGATCTTTACAGATATCCTGCTGGATGACATTGTCCTTACCCATTCTCTCTTCCTCCCGACGGAGAAATTTCTGCAGGAGCTACACCAGTAATATCCTTTTGTGGAGTTTGGAAAAGGAGAGGTCAGAAGGGAGCCACTCCCTCCGTCCCACATGCAATCTCAGAGCCTAAACTCTCCCCTAGGAAACATACCTGGGGCCGAGTGCAGTGGCTCACACCTGTAATCCCAGCACTTTGGGAGGCTGAGGCAGGCGGATCACCTGAGGTCAGGAGATCAAGACCAGCCAGGCTAACATAGTGAAACACCATCTCTACTAAAAATAGAAAAAATTAGCCAGGCATGGTGCCACGCACCTGTAATCTCAGCTACTTGGGAGGCTGAGGCAGGAGAATCACTTGAACCCGGGAGGCAAAGGTTGCAGTGAGCCGAGATCGCGTCACTACACTCCAGCCTGAGTGACAGAGTGAGACTCCATCTCAAAAAAAAAAGAAAAGAAAACATACCTGGGTTTCAGTCCCAGCTTTTCTACTCATCAGCTGTGTGACTTGTACAGATTACCTAACCTCATGGGGACTCAGTTTCCTTTTCTGTAAAATGGAGGTAAATAGCACCTGCCCTGCCTATCTATTAGCTGCTATGAAGATCAGTCTGATAGCAGATGTGGGAGTGCTTTGGAGGCTGCAGAGCCCTGTACAAATGAAAGGTGTTATTTATTTATTTATTTTGAGATGGAGTCTTGCTCTGTCACCCAGGCTGGAGTACAGTGGTGCGACCTTGGCTCACTGCAGCCTCTGCCTCCTGGGTTCAAGCGATTCTCCTGCCTCAGCCTCCCCCATAGCTGGGGACTACAGGCGCACACCACCACACCTGGCTACTTTTTGTATTTTTTGGTGGAGACGGAGTTTCACCATGTTGCCCAGGCTGGTCTCGAACTCCTGACCTCAAGTGATTCGCCTGCCTTGGCCTCCCAGAGTGCTGGGATTAAAGGCGTGAGCCACTGCGCCCAGCCAAGGTGTTATTATTCTACTAAGGGCACCTCTATCCCCACTGAATTATTGCTCTAAAACATCTGGTTGCCCAGTGAGTTATGATGGGGTCTGATGTAAACATCAGGCCATGGTTGTGCTTCAGTAGGGTCCGCTAGAGAGGAGCCACTGGATGGGCTATTCATAGGGTCTCATGTAAGCATGGGCCTCTCACAGAGTTATTTTAGGACCTAATTGTAAATGTCAGACCACTGAGTAGAATGTTACAGGCTCCCAGCCAGGCACGGTGGCATATGACTTTAATCACAGCACTTTGGGAGGCTGGGGCGGGTGGATCACTTGAGGGCAGGAGTTCGAGATCAGCCTGGCCAACAAGGTGAAACTCCGTCTCTACTAAAACACAAAAAATTAGCCGGGTTTGGTGGCAGGCACCTGTAATCTCAGCTACTCAGGAACCTGAGGCAGGAGAATCGCTTGAACCCAGGAGGCAGAGGTTGCAGTGAGCTGAGATCATGCCATTGCACTCCAGCCTGGGCAACAGAGTGAGACTCCCTCTCAAATAAATAAATAAATAAATAAATAAAAGTAACAAGCTGTCTTAGAAACATCAGGCCTTCCAGTGAGGTATAGTCAGGTTTGTGGTAAACACCATTGGCATTTATTAGGCGCACTGTGAGCTCCAGGCCCTGGGCTGGTCAGAGGTTGGATGGGTCTGGGCAGGGTATCCTCAAGTGAAAATCTAACCTGTCTAACCTGCAGGAGCTGGATGTGGTCAAGTGGTCATCGCTACCTACTCTAAGCAAAAGCCTGGGCTGGGGCATGAGGAGGTCTTGGCTTCAGGACCACCGAAACTCCTTTCTCTCTGGCCCCAAATCTAGAGAATACTTGGGGGCAATTTAGCCTCCCATCTTTCTTTTCTTTTCTTTTCTTTTTTTTTTTTTTTTTTGAGATGGAGTTTTGCTCTTATTGCCCAGGCTGGAGTGCAATGGCCTGACCTCGGCTCACTGCAACCTCCGCCTCCCGGGTTCAAGTGATTATCTTGCCTCAGCCTCCCGAGTAGCTGGGATTACAGGTGTACGCCACCACTCCCAGCTAATTTTTTGTATTTTTAGTAGAGATGAGGTTTCACCATGTTGACCAGGATGGTCTCAAATTCCTGACCTTAAGTGATCCACCTGCCTCAGCCTTGCAAAGGGCTGGGATTACAGGTGTGAGCCACCGCGCCTGGCCTTTTTTTTTTTTGCCTTTTTTTTTTTTTTTTTTTTTTTTTTGAGACAGAGTCATTCTCTGTCGCCCAGGCTGGAGTGCAATGGTGCGACTTTGGCTCACTGCAACCTCTGCCTCCCAGGTTCAAACGATTCTTGTGCCTCAGCCTCCAGAGTAGCTGGGATTACAGGTGCACACCACCATGCCCGTCTAATTTTTGTATTTTTAGTAGAGTCTTCGTTTCACCATGTTGGCCAGACTGGTCTCGAACTCCTGACCTCAGGTGATCCGCCCGCCTCAGCTTCCCAAACTGCTGGGATTATAGGCGTGAGCCACTGCGCCCAGCCTAGCCTCCCATCTTTCTTCTCAATTCCTCAGGTCTGCTTGCGTAGGGATTTTTCTTAACTTAAGGGTCAGCTTTGTTCGGGCAGGAGGCATGGAGGGCCCTGAAGGGCTGGGCCGGAAGCAAGCCTGTCTAGCCATGCTTCTCCATTTCTTGGACACCTACCAGGGGCTGCTTCAAGAGGAAGAGGGGGCCGGCCACATCATCAAGGTGGGCCTGGGGGAAGAGAAGGTGGGTAAACAGGCTATTAGCTCTGGAAGGGGGCCCCTGTGAAGGAGCCATACTTCTCATTCTGGGTACCTGGAAGGAAGAGATGCCAGGGGGCCTTAGCTTATATGGCTCTCCTGTGCTTAAAGGTATGGAGACCTTGCCCGGCCCCTGCAGAGAGTAGCCCTTGGAATGAGACCCCTTCCTTCACCTTCTTTGTCCTCCTCTCTC
The DNA here is from genome assembly GCF_000001405.40 of Homo sapiens. NCBI lineage: Eukaryota > Metazoa > Chordata > Mammalia > Primates > Hominidae > Homo > Homo sapiens. Next base: position 40,184,578 of record NC_000017.11, read on the forward strand.
CAGGATCTATACCTGCTAATTATGAAGGACGAGTCCCTTTACCAGGGCCTCCGAGAGGACACTCTGAGGCTGCACCAGCTGGTGGAGACGGTGGAACTAAAGTGAGGGGGAGTGGGGCAGGGGCGGGAACAGGAAAGTGGTCCCCTGCGTTCCTCTACTACAGGGGCTGCCTCTGGCCTATTGGCTGCAATATGGATTTGCTTGTTTGTTTGTTTGTTTTGAGACAGAGTCTCACTTTGTCGCCTAGGCTGGAGAGCAGTGGTGCGATCTCGGCTCACAGCAACCTCCACCTCTTGGGTTGAAGTGATTCTCATGCCTCAGCCTCCTGAGTAGCTGGGATTACAGGGGTGCACCATGCCCAGCTAATTTTTGTACTTTTAGTAGAGATGGGTTTCACCATGTTGGCCAGGCTGTTCTTGAACTCCTGGCCTCAAGTGATCTGCCTGCCTCAGCCTCCCAAAGTGCTGGGATTACAGGTGTGAGCCACTGTGTCTGGCTTCCAATATGGTTTTATTTCAGCTCCTTTCTCTCACTGAAGGGTGGCACAAAGCACTGTCTCCAGTCACTTTTTTGTCCATTCTCCCATTCATTTGTCTGATAATCCAGTGGTGTACTGGTAAATATTTAACAACCAGTGCTGCAGGAGAAAGAGCCCTGATTTGTAGCTTTTGCTGATTCCTACAGTGTAAACTCTGTCACCATGGCTGATTTCAAGCTACCAATGTGACAACACTGAAAGAGGAGTTGGGAAGAGACATGCAGCACAGGCTGTTATGTAGTATCTCCACCATACAGTAGATGTAGTAAAAGGTAGTAAAATGGCTGGGCAAGGTGGCTTATGCCTGTAATCCCAGCACTTTGGGAGGTCAAGATGGGTGGAGCACTTAAGGTCAGGAGTTCAAGACCAGCCTGGCTAACATTGTGAAACCCTGTCTCCACTACAAAAAAAAAAAAAAAAAAAAAGGCTGTGTGCCAAGGCAGGCAGATCATGAGGTCAGGAGTTTGAGAGCAGCCCGGCCAATATGGTGAAACCCTGTCTCTACTAAAAATACAAAAATTAGCTGGGCGTGGTAGGGCGCTCCTGTAGTCCCAGCTACTTGGGAGGGTGAGGCAGAAGAATTGCTTGAATCCAGGAGGTGGAGGTTGCAGTGAGCTGAGATCATGCCACTGCACTCCAGCCTGGGCGACAGAGTGAGATTCTGTCTCAAAAAAAAAAAAAAAAAAAAGAAAAGAAAAATTAGCTGGGGGTGGTGGTACGTGCCTGTAGTCCCAGCTACTCAGGAGGCTGAGGCAGGAGAATTGCTTGAACCCAGGAGATGGAGGTTGCAGTGAGCTGAAATCACCTTACTGCACTACAGCCTGGGTGACAGAGCGAGACTCCGTCTCTAAAGAAAAAAAAAAAGGCCGGGTGCGGTGGCTCACGCCTGTAATCCCAGCACTTTGGGAGGCTGAGGCAGGCAGATCATGAGAGGCAGATCATGAGATCAGGAGTTCGAGACCAGCCTGACCAACATGGTGAAACCCCATCTCTACTAAAAATACAAAAATTAGCCAGGCATGGTGGCACATGCCTGTAATCCCAGCTACTCAAGAGGCTGAGGCAGGAGAATGTCTTGAATCCAGGAGGCAGAGGTTGTAGTGAGCCAAGATTGCATCACTGCATTCCAGCCTGGGTGACAGAGTGGACTCCGTCTCAAAAAAAAAAAAAAGGCCGGGCGCGGTGGCTCACGCCTGTAATCCCAGCACTTTGGGAGGCCGAGGCGGGTGGATCATGAGGTCAGGAGATCGAGACCATCCTGGCTAACAAGGTGAAACCCCGTCTCTACTAAAAATACAAAAAATTAGCCGGGCGCGGTGGCGGGCGCCTGCAGTCCCAGCTACTCGGGAGGCTGAGGCAGGAGAATGGCGTGAACCCGGGAAGCGGAGTTTGCAGTGAGCCGAGATTGCGCCACTGCAGTCCGCAGTCCGGCCTGGGCGACAGAGCGAGACTCCGTCTCAAAAAAAAAAAAAAAAAAAAAAAAAAAAAAAAAAAGAGGTGGGCTGGGTGTGGTGGCTCATGCCTGTAATCCCAGCACTTTGGGAGGCCGAGGCAGGCAGAATGAGGTCAAGAGATCGAGACCATCCTGGCCAACACGGTGAAACCCTGTCTGTACTAAAAATACAAAAATTAGCCGGGCGTGGTGGTACACACCTGTAATCCCAGCTACACGGGAGGCTGAGGCAGGAGAATTGCTTGAATCCAGGAGGTGGAGGTTACAGTGAGCCGAGATTGCAGCACTGCACGCCAGCCTGACAACAGAGCAAGACTCTGTCTCAAAAAAAAAAAAAAAAAAGTAGTGAAAACAGGAAGGAAACTGTTTTTTTGGTAACAACTTATTTGATTATAAATTTTATGTATTATTTATTAATTTGTATTATTATTTTTTAATAGAGACGGTTTCATTATGTTGTCCAGGCTGGGCTCCAGCAATCCTCCCACCTTGGCCTCCCAGAGTGTTGGGATTCTAGGTGTAAGCCACCACACCTGGCCTGACTATAAGTTTATAAAACATATATATTTATATATGGAGATATATTTGTTTATTTATATTTTAATGGCTCTTTAAAAAACAGTTGGTAAAATTCCCCAGAACTTAACAGTATGCTCTTGTGAGCCAGTGTGAACCAGCTTCAGGACACCACTGTATCCATCCATCCATGAATCCATTCTGCCCTTTTAGTTTCTCTCTTCTCTTGTCCCCACCACCACAACCCTTAGGGAGGCCTCAGCTTGTGGTCTAGCATCCTTCTCTGCCTTCTCTGTGCTGACACTAGAGAGATCTTTCATGCTCCTGTTCCAAAGGCATCCCTGCTCCCCATGCTTCCAAGAGAAAGTGAAACATCCCAGCATTCAATACCCTTCCCTTTCTGCCTTCTGCTGATCCTTCCCATCTCATCTCCTACATCCCCTCCATCCATGACACCTCAACTCCTGCGCTCTCGAACTTCCCATGGTCGGTTATATTGTCCACCCCAGAATGCCCTCCTCCCACCATGTTTTCTTTTTTTTTTGAGACAGAGCCTGGCTCTGTCGCCCAGGCTGGAGTGCAGTGGTGTGATCTCGGCTCACTGCAAGCTCTACCTCCCAGGTTCACACCATTCTCCTGCCTCAGCCTTCTGAGTAGCTGGGACTACAGGCGCCTGCCACCACGCCCGGCTAATTTTTTATATTTTTTTTAGTAGAGACGGGGTTTCATCGTGTTAGCCAGGATGGTCTAGATCTCCTGACCTCGTGATCCGCCCGCCTTGGCCTCCCAAAGTGCTGAGATTACAGGCGTGAGCCACCGCGCCTGGCCTTTTTTTTTTTTTTTTTTTTTTGAGATGGAGTCTTGCTCTGTTGCCAGGCTGGAGTGCATGGCGTGATCTCAACTCACTGCAACCTCCCCCTCCCGGGTTCAAGCGATTCTCCTGCCTCAGCCTCCCAAGTAGCTGGGATTACAGGTGCACGCCACTACGCCTGGCTAATTTTTGTGTTTTTAGTAGAGACGGGGTTTCACCATGTTGGCCAGGCTGGTCTTGAACTCCTGGCCTCAAGTGATCTGCCCACCTCAGCTTCCCAAAGTGCTGGGATTACAGGTGTGAGCCACTGCACCTGGCCTCCACCTCCTTCTCTTCCTGCTTTCCTCCAAGGCCCAGGTCAAATGCCATCTTCTCAATGAAAACTTCCCAGATCTTCCTTTTAGGAATAGCTTTCTTCTTCCCCCACACCAGCATAACTCTCCTGGTACCTTTGTTATATTATCAACACCTCCTGCCTGGTATTAGAAGTAGCTGTATGCCTGTCTATCTCCTTCCTAGACTGTGAAGTTCTTTTCAGCAAAATTCAGCAAACAGCTGCTGACCTACTACCTACCATGTGTCAAGCAGTGTGTTAGGCCCTGGTGGATGAAAAGATACTCAGTAAGAACCAAATCCCAGTCCTCAAGAGCTCTCAATCTCATAGAAGAGATAAGAGGTGAACATAAACATTATCCCAATGTTCTATAGTAGTTGAGAGAAGAAAGTGACCTTCCTGGTGGGTGGGGTGGATCAGAGAAGAATTCATGGAAGAGGTGGCATTTGATTAGGGTTACTTGGATAATTATCCCATACTGCTCATTGTCCTCTCTTCTGACCCCCTTAACCACCTGAAATTGCTGCTGGTGCATCCTTGACCCAATTCTGATATTCTTGCTTGATGTTGCCTGCTTGGTGTTGGTTGTCCATATGCCTGGCAGGGCGTGCTGATGCCCAGCTGTGTCCATGCCAGGATTCCAGAGGAGAACCAGCCACCCAGCAAGCAGGTGAAGCCACTCTTCCGCCACTTCCGCCGGATAGACTCCTGTCTGCAGACCCGGGTGGCCTTCCGGGGCTCTGATGAGAGTGAGTGTGGGCATTAGGAGGGGCAGGGTGTCCTGAGTGGCTCAGGGGGACATATCTCTGGGTCTTGAGCACCCTCAGTGGCATCTCCCTGGGTGGTAGAACCAGCCCCTTTCACAGGACCTTCTTCAGAGGCCAGCCTCTGGTGGGGAATAGAGGCACCCTGGAGGAGACTGTGCCAGCTGCTGCCACTCTGCCCTCTGTTGAAAGCCATTTTCCTGTTTCCGTCCAGTCTTCTGCCGTGTATACATGCCTGACCACTCTTATGTGACCATACGCAGCCGCCTTTCAGCATCTGTGCAGGACATTCTGGGCTCTGTGACGGAGAAACTTCAATATTCAGAGGAGCCCGCGGGGCGTGAGGATTCCCTCATCCTGGTAGCTGTGTCCTCCTCTGGAGGTGAGGGTCAGGAAGAACTGGGCTGATGCTCCGAGAGGAGAAACTCACAAGCTCAGGGCTCTGGGGGAGGGGTAGAGACTGAATTCTAGGCCCTTGCTACTCAAAGTATGGTCCCGGGACAAGCCTCATGTGCATCGCCTGGGAACTTGTTAGGATGCAGCATCTTGCTGGGTGCAGTGGTGCAAACCTGCAGTCCCAGCTACTCAGGAGGCTGAGGCAGGAGGATTGCTTGAGCCCAGGAATCCAAGGTAGTACATTATGATTGCACCTGTGAATAGGCACTGCGCCCTATCCTGGGCAACATAACAAGACTCTGTCTCTAAAAGAGATGCAGCATCTGCGACCCCACCCCGACCTGCTGGTCTTGTTCAAATCAGCATTTGGACAGGACCCCCCAGGGGACTCCTATGCCTACTAAAGTTTGGGAGGCACTAGCTGGGCATGGTGGTGTGCACCTGTAATCCCAGCTACTTGGGAGGCTGAGGCAGGAGAATCACTTGAACCGCGGAGGCGGAGGTTGCAGTGCCGAGATCAAGACACTGTGCTCCAGTCTGGGCAACAAGAGCGAAACTCCGTCTCAAAAAAAAAAAAAAAGTTTGGGAGGCACTGGTCTAGGACTCAGGTTCTGATCTGAGTGCTGCCCCTCACTCACCTATGGATTGTATTCTGATCCTTTAACCTCCCTGTGTATGTAAGGATGCCACATTTCACAGGCTAAAGACACAGGATGAGTGGGAAGGCAGAAAGCCAGCAATGTCACTGAAGCTTTGTTTTCCTCTACAGTAGGAAAAAATTTCAGCCTTCCCAGTGTCACAAGGACAACAGAGTAAGAGAAAAGCTGTGAAAGAAAGGGAGTAGAAAAAAAGTTATAAATGCAAAAGAAATAATCATTTGACAAATTCCAGATAAATATGGCATAAACTAGTGATAAGATGAGTTCCATTAGTCTAGAATGTGTCAGTGTGGGGTGAGGAGTTTTTGGATAGGACAGTGTCAGTGTGGGATGTGTGAGGGTGCAGGCGGCAGGGGCCGAGGATGAGCAGCTCTTTCTCCTGCAGAGAAGGTCCTTCTCCAGCCCACTGAGGACTGTGTTTTCACCGCACTGGGCATCAACAGCCACCTGTTTGCCTGTACTCGGGACAGCTATGAGGCTCTGGTAAGAACTTCCCAAGGCCTTGACTGGAATGGAGGGCTGAGGAGGGCTGTGAGCAATCCCTCACCCTGCCACCAGGAGCCCAGCCCCTATGCCCCTGCCTGCCACCAGGTGCCCCTCCCCGAGGAGATCCAGGTCTCCCCTGGAGACACAGAGATCCACCGAGTGGAGCCTGAGGACGTTGCCAACCACCTAACTGCCTTCCACTGGGAGCTGTTCCGATGTGTGCATGAGGTGGGGACCGAGGCTGGTGCTATGCTGGGGGGCTGGAGGGAGAAATGTGCCATTGGGAGACGGTGTTCGCAGCACAACGTCCTGGTTCCAAGGCTCACTTGCAGCAAGCCCTTGGGCAACGCATGGCCGTAACCTTTGTTCCCCCATCTGAAAAAAATCGCAAAGAGAGAGACCCCAGAGCACAGTGGCTCAGGGCCCAAGTGCTGTTTACACAGAACCTGACCCAGGATTTCTATTTTTAAAATATTCACTATTAAAGAAATAAAATAAGGCAGAGACAATAATGCCTAGCAGATGGTTGTCTTGAGGATGTCAGCCGTGAGCGAATGCCTGGCACCTAGTAAGTGCTCAGTAGCTGGTGAAATATTATTAATGCTGGTTGTTTTCTTTTTCCGCATCTTTGCCGCCTCCTGTCCTTTCTATTTTTCTATTTTCCACCCCTTCCGCCCCCGCCCTCCTGCCTTTCGCTCCTCATCGCCTTGCACTGCCATCTTCCCACCCACTCCCCTCACCCCCTGGCGCCCTGGCCGCCCCTCCGCTGCCGTGGGTGCAGCTGGAGTTCGTGGACTACGTGTTCCACGGGGAGCGCGGCCGCCGGGAGACGGCCAACTTGGAGCTGCTGCTGCAGCGCTGCAGCGAGGTCACGCACTGGGTGGCCACCGAAGTGCTGCTCTGCGAGGCCCCGGGCAAGCGCGCGCAGCTGCTCAAGAAGTTCATCAAGATCGCGGCCCTGTGAGTGCGGCCGTCGGCGGGATGGGGGGCCGGAGGCCGGAGGCCCGCGCCGCCGCCCGCCCCTGACCCCGCCTCCCACCCCCGCAGCTGCAAGCAGAACCAGGACCTGCTGTCTTTCTACGCCGTGGTCATGGGGCTGGACAACGCCGCTGTCAGCCGCCTTCGACTCACCTGGGAGGTGATGAGACCCCTCCCGTTCCTACCTGGGAATCTGGGCATCCCGGGCTCCCCGAAGTGCGTCCTCCCGGGACGGCCGCCGGCCTGGAGGGAGTCTTTGCGCCAGTTGGAGGGAGGCGCCCTCTTCTGGCATACGCAACCCCAGGGCGCACAGCTTGGCTAATGGACCCTGTCTTTGTGCAAATTAGTGAAAAGCCCGGATCCCGCCTGAGTCACGGCAGGCAGCCCTTGGCCAGGTCAGGTCGCAGACTTGGCTGTGGGAGTTGGGCTGATTTTCATCCACACTCAGTGGGGGCATCTTTATACAAAGCACCTGCATAAGACAGACCTGGCCTTCCCCAGAATAATGAATTCCTCTGGGCTGTTTCAAGCCTCTAGACTTAGCCAAGGCCTGACTTCATTTCCCCACCCACCAGCTTCCCAGCCCCCTACAAGCCATGCAGGCCCTTTTGCCCTCCAACAGGGAGAATTAATCCGAGGCTCCCATGTAACCCAAGGAGCTCCACTCTGATATCCCTTCTCCTTCCTTCAAACTCTGCAGAAGCTGCCAGGGAAATTCAAGAACTTGTTTCGCAAATTTGAGAACCTGACGGTGAGTGGGTTTGGCTCTTTCTTCTGCTCTTGGACTGAGAGCCCAGAAACCCTCTGTTCCCATAAACCCCCTTCCTCAAGCTTTCCTTTCAAGGTGTTTAGTGTATGGGACCCCCCACCCTCCTTACCATGCTGGAGGGTGAGGTTGGAAGGATTGCGCCCCTGTTTTTCTTGAAGGAAAGGGGGAGTAGTCAGGTCCCTCCCCACCACACCATTAGAAAGCCCCCAGCACCCCTATCTGATCAGGAATGTATACAAGGCAGGGGGTGAGGGAGGAAGCTGAGGACATCTTTGGGATGCATTGGCCAGTCTGTCCCTTGATCTCTCTCCTGTGGAATACTAGGACCCCTGCAGGAACCACAAAAGCTACCGAGAAGTGATCTCCAAAATGAAGCCCCCTGTGATTCCCTTCGTGCCTCTGATCCTCAAAGGTGAGAGAGTTACTCCCAAGCTGTGCCGCTTCCACCCATGCTTCCCTTCTCCTATGCCCTGCTTCTGACTTCCAGCTCCCTCTCGACTCAGCCCTGAGTACCCACCTGGAGAGGAGCCCCCCACCACAGACGGAGTGGGTTCTGGGGAAGAGCGGGGTCCTCGGGTGCAGTGGCCCCTTTCGAACTCCTCTCTTATCCTTTCCTCACATTGGATTCTCTCCACATCCCCTAGACCTGACTTTCCTGCACGAAGGGAGTAAGACCCTTGTAGATGGTTTGGTGAACATCGAGAAGCTGGTGAGTGAGTGGCACTGCAAACCCCTAGTCCCACAAGTGGGGGGCTTGCATCCTCTCCCTCTCTCATCACCTCCCAAAAATAGCAGCCTTCCTCCAAGTGCCCAGCTTGCCTAACAGACTCTTGACTGTCTCCCTGGTGGCATCACTGTGGCAACCCACCCACAGGTGGCAGAGCTGACAGGCAGCTTGGGGGCAACTTCACCTCCCCCTCACATGGCACTCTGTTACACCCACTCCTTTGGTCCTTCAGAGACCCTCCAGAATTGGAGACTGGAGGGAGTAAAGCAGAGTGGGAGAATGGCGGAGGGGGAGCATAAGAGGGGGAGCCTCTTTCTGTGCCCCTTTCAAGGCTCATTCCTTGTCATCTCCCAGCATTCAGTGGCCGAAAAAGTGAGGACAATCCGCAAATACCGGAGCCGGCCCCTTTGTGAGTACCCAGGGTACTGAGAGCAGTACAGATAGAGCTTTGACTGAACGGGAGGGTTCAGGGGAGAACTCCCTGTCCAGATGTGTATTTCCATACACTTGCTGGTTCCCCATTCTCTCCTTGCCTCTGCAGAGGCCTTCCTGCCCAACATCTGTCTCAGTCCACAGCCTGATCTTCTGCCCGGTGTGTGTGTAGAGGAAGAAGGGAAGCTGGGAACCTGACTGCCTCTCCCTCTTTACCCACTAGGCCTGGACATGGAGGCATCCCCCAATCACCTGCAGACCAAGGCCTATGTGCGCCAGTTTCAGGTCATCGACAACCAGAACCTCCTCTTCGAGCTCTCCTACAAGCTGGAGGCAAACAGTCAGTGAGAGTGGAGGCTCCAGTCAGACCCGCCAGATCCTTGGGCACCTGGCACTCAAGCACTTTGCACGATGTCTCAACCAACATCTGACATCTTTCCCGTGGAGCAACTTCCTGCTCCACGGGAAAGAGGTCGATGGATTTACCCCTGGACCCATAAGTCTGTTCATCCTGCTGAAGTCCCCTCCCCATTGCTCCTTCAAGCCAAAACTACACTTTGCTGGTTCCTGTCCCCTCTGAGAAAGGGGATAGAAAGCTCCTTCCTCTATGTCCTCCCATCGAGATCTGTTCTGGGGATGGAGCTTCCAACTTCCTCTTGCAGCAGGAAAGAATGCTGCTCACCCTTCTGTCTTGCAGAGTGGGATTGTGGGAGGGATTGGCAGCCTTCTTCTCCACCACCTGTCCAGCTTCTTCCTGGTCAGGGCTGGGACCCCCAGGAATATTATGTTGCCGTGTGTGTGTGTGTGTGTGTGTGTGTGTGTGTGTGTGTGTGTGTGTGTGTGTGTGTGTCTTCTTTTAGGGAGCAGGAGTGCATCTGGTAATTGAGGGTGGATGTTGTGTGTGCTGGGGAGGGGTCCTTCTGTTTGGTGCTACCCTTGTCTACTCTGCCCCTGGATGGTGCGGGGTGCTTTCTCCACCCCCACACTCCCTGCTCAGCTCCTCGTGCTGCCCTGCATGCCCAGGCTTGTGAGCCAAGCTGCTTTTTGGGGCAGGGAGTAGCAGCAGGTGGGAGGGGTTACCCATCAGCCCTTGCAAGTCCCCCACTCAGGCCTCTGGAAGGTCCAGGGATGGGCTCTGATGAGAGGGTAAAAGATGCTCAGGGAAACACAGGCCTCAGCTGCCTAGAGGACCCTCCCCCTGCCTTGCAGTGGGCTCGGGTAGAGCAGTATCAGGAGCTAGGGTTGTCTGCTGCCCACACTCCTGCTTTTTGGGATATCTAACTGCTAAGGAGGGAGTTGACATCCCCCTTCTGGCTCATGTGTCTGACACCAACAACATGGTCTCTGTCCCTCTCTCTTTGACTCTCCCTTTGTCCTCCCCATAGAGCTGGGGTGGGGTGGATCCCTATACCTGGGGCAGGCAGCCCCAAAGTGGGGGAGGGGGATGGCAGAGACTGTAAAGGCGCCACTGGACTCTGGCAAGGCCTTTATTACCTTTACTCCCCTCCCTCTCCCATCACCAGCCTCAAGGCCTGAGGGGTGCAGGGGCTCCTGGCAGCTACTGGGTGAGGTTTCCTGGCACAGACTCACCCTTCTTTCTGGCACCACCTCTTTCCCTTTTGAAGAGACAGCAACAGCCGTAGCAAAAGCAGCTGCTGCTCCTGCTATGAGGGTGTATATATTTTTTACCCAAAGCTCTGGAATTGTACATTTATTTTTTAAAACTCAAAGAGGGAAAGAGCCTTGTATCATATGTGAACATTGTATCATAGGTAATGTTGTACAGACCCTTTTATACAGTGATCTGTCTTGTTCCTGCAGCAAAAATCCTCTATGGACATAGGAGGTGCTGTGTCCCATGCCCTCTTGCCCTGACAGTGTCCCATGGGCCCCCTTCTGCTCCCTGCCCCCTCCCTGCTACTGCTGATGCACTCTCCTCTCCCTGCAGCCCCTGGCTTCCCAGCCTTCCTCCTGACCCCTTCCAACAGCCTTGGAACTCCAGCTGCCACCACCCTCTGGGTCGGACACTGGGACCCACTGGCCCAGTCTTGGCTGCTGCTTACCCCTAGCCTTGATGCCTGCCCAGGGACCCCCAGCCCCCTCCCGTTGCCCTGCAGCTTTAACAGAGTGAACCATGTGTATTGTACAGGCGCGGTTGTCATTGCAGAAACCGCTGGGTGGAGAAGAAGCCGATAAAGTCTATGAATCAACCTGCCTGTTGTTCTCCATTCTGTTTTCTTTGAGGCTGTGGAAGTGCTGAGGGAGGGGAGAGGGGATGGCCGCCCAGTGCTGTCAGGAGCAGGGCTGTTCTGGAGTGACTTTGAAAATGTGGGTGGCGGGGTACAGTGGCTCATGCTTGTAATCCCAGCACTTTGGGAGGCCGAGGCGGGCAGATCACCTGAGGGCGGGAGTTCGAGACCAGCCTGGCCAACATGGTGAAACCCTGTCTCTACTAAAAATACAAAAATTAGCCAGGTGTGGTGGTGCATGCCTGTAATCCCAGCTACTTGGGAGGCTGAGTCAGGAGAGTAGCTTGAACTCAGGAGGCGGAGGTTGCAAGGCGCAGTGGCTCTCCAGCCTGGGCAACAGAGCAAGACTCTGCCAAAAAAGAAAATGTGGATGAGAGGAAAAGATGCCAACCTCACAAGACATGTCACATAATGCCTGGAACTCAGAAGAGGGGATGGGATGTTTTCGTTCATACATGTTCCAGGTGGCATAAATATGAGATCACATTTAATTCTAATGCTAAGGTAGAAGATTGAGGCACAGCAGTCCCAGAATAATTACTAGTGAGGGCACTGGTCCCCTAACCCAGGTCTGTCCCCTGAAGACAGCATGTACTGTTCACACAACCAATATTTACCAGTTCTACTAAGTTTTGTTTTGTTTTGTTTTTTTTGAGACGGAGTCTTGCTCTGTTGCCCAGGCTGGAGTGCAGTGGCGTGATGTCTGCTCACTGCAAGCTCTGCCTCCCAGGTTCATGCCATTCTCCTGCCTCAGCCTCCCAAGTAGCTGGGACTACAGGTGCCCACCACCATGCCGGGCTAATTTTTTTTTTAATATTTTTAGTAGAGATGAGGTTTCACTGTGTTAGCCAGGATGGTCTGGATCTCCTGACCTCGTGATCTGCCCACCTCGGCCTCCCAAAGTGCTGGGATTACAGGCTTGAGCCACTGCGCCTGGCCCAATCCTACTAAGATTATAGGGTGCAGAGAGCCTAGCGTTAGGCTTAAATGATAGCCTGAGTTCCAGGAGACATCATACACTCAAATAGCTATACCTGGGCCCTTGATAATCCCCATTCACATCTGTTTCTGCCTCAGTCTTCTGCATCTCAGAAAAATGATCCTCTCATCCACCCAGGTTTTCTCTCTCTGTTGCCCAAGCTGGAGTGCAGTGGCGTAATCTTGGCTCACTGCAACCTCTGCCTCCCAGGTTCAAGTGATCCTCCTGCCTCAGCCTCCTGAGTAGCTGGGATTATAGGCAGAGGCCACCACACCCGGCTAATTTTTGTATTTTTAGTAGAGATGGGGTTTCACCATGTTGGTCAGGTTGGTCTCAAACTCCTGACCTCAAGTGATCCACCCACCTCAGTCTTCCAAAGTGCTGGGATTACAGCTGTGAGCCACTGCCCAGCCACCTACCCAAGTTTTCAAGGCAAAAATACAGGACTCACCATTGGTGCCTCTTTCTCCCACCCTTCATTCATCTCAGCCAGTCCCATCGGCTACAATTCCAGAGCATTTTCTGAGTGATCCACTTCTGTATGACTCCCCTATGACCATACTAGTCCAAACCACCTTCATAGCTTCCCTGCATGACTACTGCAGCCTCCTACCTGGTCTGTCAGCTTCCTCTCTTTGATCCACCCCTACCTGCCACCAGTTTGATTTCCACATGGCAGCCAGGGTGTTCTTTCAGAAACACCAATCACGCTGGGCATGGTGGCTCAAGCCCATAATCCTAGCACTTCGGGAGGCTGAGGCAGGAGGATCGCTTGAGCCCAGGAGTTCAAGACCAGCTTGGGCAACATAGTGAGACCCTGTCTCTACAAAAAATAAAAAATTAACGAGGCTGCAGTGAGCTGCGATAGCACCACTGTACTATAGCCTGAGCAACAGAGTGAGACCCTGTTTAAAAAAAAAAAAAAAAAGAAAGGAGAGCAAGGGAAGGAGGGAGGGAGGGACAGAGGGAGGGAGAGAGGGAGGGAGGAAGGAAAGAAGGAAGGAAGGAAGGAAGGAAAAAAACCCAGTGTCTTTCAACACATGAATGGACAAATGCATTGGGGCATATTCTTATGGTGGAATACTATATAGCAAGAAAAAAGAACAAATTATTAATACCCACGTGAATGAATCTCACAGACTTAATGTTGAATAAAGGAAGCCAGACACAGGCTGGGTATGTTGGCTCACACCTCTAATCCCAGCACTTTGGGGGCCTGAAGTAGGAGTGAGAGGTGAAGCTGGCTGGGCTTCTGGGTCAGGTGGGGACTTGGAGAAGTTTTCTGTCTAGCTAAAGGATTGTAAATGCACCAATCAGTGCTCTGTGTCTAGCTAATCAGGTAGGGGACTTGGAGAACTTTTCTGTCTAGCTAAAGGATTGTAAAAGCACCAATCAGCGCTGTGTGTCTAGCTAAAGGTTTGTAAATGCACCAATCAGTGCTCTGTGTCTAGCTAAAGGTTTGTAAATGCAGCAATCAGTGCTCTGTGTCTAGCTAAAGGTTTGTAAATGCACCAATCAGCACTCTGTAAAAACGAACCAATCAGCACTCTGTAAAACGGACTAATCAGCATTCTGTAAAATGGACCAATCAGCGCTCTGTAAAATGGACCAATCAGCAGGATGTGGGTGGGGCCAGGCCACCCGAGCCAGTAGCGGCAACCCACTGGGGTCCCCTTCCACGCTGTGGGAGCTTTGTTCTTTTGCTCTTTGCAATAAATCTTGCTGCTGCTCACTCTTTTGGTCCGCACTATATGAGCTGTAGCACTTACCACAAAGGTCTGCAGCTTCACTCTTGAAGCCAGCGAGACTACGAACCCACTGGGAGGAACAAACAACTCCAGAAGCGCCACCTTTAAGAGCTGTAACACTCACTGCTGAAGGTCTGTGGCTTCATTCCTGAAGTCAGGGAGAGGACGAACCCACCAGAAGGAAGAAACTGGACACATCTGAACACCTGAAGGAACAAACTCCGGACACACCATCTTTAAGAGCTAACACTCACCGTGAGGGTCTGTGGCATCATTCTTGAAGCTTCATTCTTGAAGTCAGCAAGACTAAGAACCCACTGGAAGGAACCAGTTCTGGACACAGGAGGATCTCTTAAGCCCAGGAGTTCAAGACCAGCCTGGCCAACATAGTGAGACCCCTATCTCTACAAAAAATAAAAAATGTAGCTGGGCATGGTGTGTCGCGCCTGTAATCCCAGCACTTTGGGAGGTTGAGGCAGGAGAATCCCTTGAGTCCAGGAGTTTGAGACCAGCTCAGGCAACATAGGGAGACCTTGTCTCTACAAAAAAATAAAAAAATAGGCCAGGTGCGGTGGCTCATGCCTGTAATCCCAGCATTTGGGAGGCCGAGGTGGGTGGATCACCTGAGGTCGGAAGTTTGAGACCAGCTGACCAGCATGGAGAAACTGTCTCCACTAAAAATACAAAATTAGCTGGGCGTGGTGGCACATGCCTGTAATCCCAGCTACTCGGGAGGCTGAGGCAGGAGAATCGCTTGAACCTGGGAGGCAGAGGTTGTGGTGAGCTGAGAGCGTGCCATTGCACTCCAGCCTGGGTAACAAGAGCAAAACTCCATCTCAAAAAAAAAAAAAAGGCTGGGCAGGGTGGCTCACGCCTGTAATCCCAACACTTTGGGAGGCTGAGACCTATGGATCACGAGGTCAGGAGTGCAAGACCAGCCTGGCCAAGATGGTGAAACACCATGTCTACTAAAAAATACAAAAGTGAGCTGGGCATGGTGGCAGGCACCTATGTAATCCCAGCTACTCAGAAGGCTGAGGCAGATAATTGCTTGAACCCGGGAGGCAGAGGTTGCAGTGAGCCGAGATCGTGCTACTGCACTCCAGCCTGGGCGACAGAGTGAGACTCCGTCTCAAAAAAAAAAAAAAAAAAAGCCATATATGGTGGTGCATTCCTGTAGTCTCAGCTACTTGGTAAGCTGGGGTGGGAGGATTGCTTGAGCCTGGGAGCTCAAGGCTGCAGTGAGCAGAGATCATGCCACTGTATTCCAGCATGGGCGAAAGAGGGAGACCGTGTCTCAAAAAAAGAAAAAAAAAAAGCCAAGCATAGTGGTGCATGTGTGTAGTCCCAGCTACTCAGGAGGCTGAGGTGGAAGGATTGTTTAAGCCCAGGAGTTCAAGGCTGCAGAGAGCTATGATTGCACCACTGTACTCCAGCCTGGGTGACAGAGTGAGACTCTTTCTCTTAAAAAAAAAAAAGAAAAAGAAAAAAAGGCCGGGCACGGTGGCTCACGCCTGTAATCCCAGCACTTTGGGAGGCCGAGGCGGGTGGATCACGAGGTTAGGAGAGTGAGACCATCTTGGCCAACATGGTGAAATCCTGTTTCTACTAAAATACAAAAAAATTAGCTGGGTGTGGTGGCGTGCGCCTGTAATCCCAGCTACTTGGGAGGCTGAGGCAGGGGAATCGCTTGAACCCGGGAGGGAGAGTTTGGAGTGAGCTGAGATTGCGCCACTGCACTCCAGCCCGGCGACAGCGACAGAACAAGACTCAGTCTAAAGAAAAAAAAGGCTGGGCGCGGTGGCTCACGCCTGTAATCCCAGCACTTTGGGAGGCGGAGGCGGGCGGATCACGAGGTCAGGAGATCGAGACCATCCTGGCTACCAGGGTGAAACCCCGTCTCTACTAAAAATACAAAAAAGTAGCCCGGCGTGGTGGTGGGCGCCTGTAGTCCCAGCTACTCCGGAGGCTGAGGCAGGAGAATGGCGTGAAACCGGGAGGGGGACCTTGCAGTGAGCCGAGATGGTGCCACTGCACTCCAGCCTGGACGACAGAGCGAGACTCCATCTCAAAAAAAAAAAAAAATTTAGGCCGGGCACGGTGGCTCACACCTGTAATCCCAGCACTTTGGGAGGCCAACGCGAGTGGATCACCTGAGATTGGGAGTTCAAGGCCAGCCTGACCAAGACGGAGAAACCCTGTCTCTACTAAAAACACAAAATTAACTGGGTATGGTGGCGCATGCCTGTAATCCCAGCTACTAGGGAGGCTGAGGCAGGAGAATCGCTTGAACCTGGGAGGCGGAGGTTGTGGTGAGCTGGGATGGCACCACTGCACTCCAGCCTGGGCAACAGAGCCAGACTCCATCTCAAAAAAAAAAAAAAAAAGTTCAAGAGCAGGCTAAATTAATCTACGGGGATAGAAGTAAAAATAGGCTGGGCACGGTGGCTCATGCCTGTAATCCCAGCACTTTGGGAGGCTGAGGCGGGCGAATCACGAGGACAGGAAATCGAGACCATCCTGGCTAACACGGTGAAACCCCGTCTCTACTAAAAACACAAAAAAAATTAGCCGGGTCTGGTGGCGGGCGCCTGTAGTCCCAGCAACTCGGGAGGCTGAAGCAGGAGAATGACGTGAACCCGGGAGGTGGAGCTTGCAGTGAGCCGAGATCATGCCACTGCACTCCAGCCTGGGCGACAGAACAAGACTCCGTCTCAAAAAAAAAAAAAAAAAAAGAAGTAAAAATAGTGCCTACTCAATAGGGTAGGGGAAAGTATTGACCGTGAAGGGGCATGAAGAAGCCCTGTGGGGCGATAGAAATGTTCCATATCGGCCAGGCGCGGTGGCTCTCGCCTGTAATCCCAGAACTCTGGGAGGTCGAGGTGCGGGAGGCTGAGGCAGGAGAATCACTTGAACCCGGGAGGTGGAGGTTGCAGTGAGCTGAGGTTGCACTGAGCTGAGATCGGGCCACTGCACTCCAGCCTGGGCAACAGAGTGAGGAATAAATAAATAAATAAATAAAAGAAATGTTCCATATCGTGACCTGGGGGTGGGTATACAAGTGTGTCTATCTGGCTTGTTGAGTTGGTCATGTAAAATTTGTTAAGTGTTACCGTAGCTACATTACACCATAAAGCAATTCAGATTCTGACAGTCCACTGTTTTTAATAACAGATTTAAAATAAAAAATTCTCCCTTCCTGGCCAGGCATGGTGGCTCACACCTATAATCCCAGGACTTTGGGAGGCTGAGGCAGGCAGATCACTTGAGGTCAGGAGTTCAAGACCAGCCTAGCCAACATGGTGAAAGCCTGCCTCTACTAAAAATACAAAAATTAGTTGGGTGTGGTGGCGGTCACCTGTAGTCCCAGATACTCGGGAGGCTGAGGCAGGAGAATCAGTTGAACCCAGGAGGCGGAGGTTGCAGTGAGCCGAGATCCCAACACTGCACTCCAGCCTGGGTGACAGAGCGAGACTCTGTCTCAAAAAATAAATAAATAAGGTGTCTTCATGAGGTGTGCTGCGTGCAGTGAAGAATTTAGGCAGTGCCCTTTGAATCCACTAGGTGTCACCACCAAGATTGTTTTCTCAACCTGCCTGGGGATGAGGGAGGAGGCTACATAACCCAGAGGAGGATAGTGCCTTTCTTGGGGTAATCTTGAATCCTTCTGAGAGGGTCTATCCCCAGATATAAGTCATATTTGACCGGAAGAACTTGTTTCTTCAGTCTCTCCCTATGAGCTCTTTCATCTTTAGCGTTTAAACCCTTTTAAGTCTCCATTTTTAAAAACACTTTCCTTCTGTAGTCCTAGTGGGAGGATCGCTTAAGCCTAGAAGTTTGAGGCTGCAGTGAGCTATGATCACACCACTGCACGCCAGCCTGGGAAACAGACCAAGAACATGTCTCAAAAATAAATAGGCCGTGTGCAGTGGCTCACGCCTGTAATCCCAGCACTTTGGGAGGCTGAGGCAGGAGGATTGCTTGAGCTCAGGAGTTTGAGACCAGCCTGGGCAACATAGTGAGACCCTTACCTCTACTAAAAAAAAAAAAAAAAAAGCCAGGTGTAGTGGCATATGCCTGTAATCCCAGCTACTCGGAAGGCTGAGGCATGAGAATTGCTTGAACCCAGGAGGTGGAGGTTGCAGTGTGTGGAGATTGAGCCATTGCACTCCAGCCTAGGTGACAAAGTGAGACTGTCTAAAAAAAAAAAAAAAGAATCCTAATATTTGGGGAAAAAAAGAAAAAACATTATGTTTAAATGTGTTGTGTAATATTTCAATCATACAAAAAGTTTAAAGACTAATATAATGAGCACTTGAGTCTCCACCTCCCAGCTTAGGAAATGAAAACTTGGCCGGGTGCCGTGGCTCACTTCTGTAATCCCAGCACTTTGGGAGGCCGAGGTGGGCAGATCATGAGGTCAGGAGATCGAGACCATCCTGGCTAATACAGTGAAACCCCGTCTCTACTAAAAACACAAAAAAATTAGCCAGGTGTGTAGTCCCAGCTACTCGGGAGGCTGAGGCAGGAGAATCACTTGAACCTGGGAGGCGGAGGTTGCAGCGAGCTAAGCTCGTGCTACTGTACTCCAGCCTGGGCAACAGAGAGAGACTCCGTCTGAAAAAAAAAAAAAGAAAAGAAAAAAAGAAAAAGAAATGAAACCCTACCCTCCAGCTGAACCTGGTACCTGTCCCCAGTTGCATCCTCTTTCTTTCTTTCCAGAGACAACCACCCTCATAAGTATGGTATTGTGACACAAAGTAGCAAACCTAAGTAGCCACTTTTGTTAATTCTGCTTGCCAGCAGAATTTCACCAATTCCCTTGGCAGCAGAATTTCACAAAGCCCCTGAGTCAGTGTGAGCACAGTCCCCAGCCCAGAAGAATGCCCTGAAAATGATAAGCAGGATAGGGCACAGCTTCCTGTGTCTCTTGCCAAAGTCACTGCAATTTCCGAAAAGATAAGTTCAGTGATCCTGGCCTTTGCTTCTTCCTGTACGTAAAACAATGTGACGAATTAATGATTATGCCTCTGTAATCTATAACCAGATGTATCTTCGCACCCATACTTTGATGAGATTTTGCTCTAATGTAACTTCTCAGCATATATTTAATATAACTTCTGAGCACATACAGAACCGCCACCACCTGTGTATTCACTACTCCGGAGCAGTCTAACTGAATCTCTCTGAAAGTCTCCTCCCAGGTTGGGCGCAATGGCTCATGCCTGTAATCCCAACACTTTGAAGGCTGAAGCAGGTGGATCACCTGAGATCAGGAGTTTGAGACCAGCCTGGCCAACATGGTGAAACGTCATCTCTATTAAAAATACAAAAAAAAAAAAAATGGCCGGGCGTGGTGGCTCACGCCTGTAATCCCAGCACTTTGGGAGGCCTGAGGCGGGCGGATCACAAGGTCAAGAGATTGAGACCATCTTGGCCAACATGGTGAAACTCCATCTCTACTAAAAATAGAAAAATTAGCAGGGCGTGGTGGCGCATGCCTGTAATCCCAGCTACTCGGGAGGCTGAGGCAGGAGAATCACTTGAAGCAGGGAGTCGGAGGTTGCAGTGAGCTGAGATCGTGCCACTGCACTCCAGCCTGGCAGCAGAACGAGACTCCGTCTCAAAAAGAAAAAAAAAATAGCTGGGCGTGGTGATGGGAGCCTGTAATCCCAGCTACTTGGGAGGCTGAGGCAGGAGAATCGCTTTAACCTGGGAGGCGGAGGTTGCAGTGAGCCAAGGTCATGCCATTGCACTCCAGCCTGGGCAACAAGAGCGAGACTCTGTCTCAAAAAAAAAAGAAAGAAAGAAAGAAAGTCTCCTCCCAGATTGCAATCCTCAGTGAAACTCTGCATAAAACTTATTCTTTAAATGCTTGGTTTTTCTCTCTCTCTCTCTCTCTGTCTCTTTCCTTCTTCTTCTTCTTTTTTTTTTTTTGGGGGGGGTTCAGGATGTTACTCTGTCACCCAGGCTAGAGTGCAGTGGTGCAATCACAGCTCACTGCAACCTTGACCTCCTGGACTCAAGTGATCCTCCCACCTCAGCCTCACGAGTAGCTGGGACCACAGGCATGCACCACCATACTCGGCTAGTTTTTTTATTGTTTGTAGAGACAGAATTTTGCTACGTTGCCCAGGCTGGTCTCAAACTCCTGGGCTCAAGGGATCTTCCCATCTCAGAGTCTCAAAGTGCTGGGGTTACAGGTGTGAGCCACTGTTCCCAGCCAAAAGCTTGATTTTTCTTTCATCAACAGTATAACATTCCTGTAAACTTGTACTACATTTGTATACATCTCCAAACAGTGTGTTGCAATTTTGAGGATAACAGTTTTATTGAGATGTAGTTCACATACTATGTAATTAACCTAAAATGTACAAATCAATGGTTTTTAGTATATTCACCAAGCTGTGTAACCATCACCACAGTTAATTTTGTTTTTTTTGTTTTTTCCGAGACAGAGCCTCGCTCTGTTGCTCAGGCTGGAGTGAAATGGCACGGTCTCGGCTCACTGCAACCTCCACCTCCCAGGTTCAAGCAATTCTCCTGCCTCAGCCTCCCGAGTAGCTGGGATTACAGGCGGCCGCCACCATGCCTGGCTAATTTTTGTATTTTTAGTAGAGATGGGGGTTTCACCATGTTGGCCAGGCTGGTCTCGAACTGCTGACCTCGTGATCCACCTGCCTTGGCCTCCCAAAGTGCTGGGATTACAGGCGTGAGCCACCGCACCTGGCTAATTTTAGATCATTTTCATTACCCCCCAAAAGAAACCCCCTGTACAAGACTGTTCATAGCAACATTATTTGTAGTAGCCCAAAGTAGATAAACTAAAATGTGGTATATTCATAAGATGGAATACTATTCCATCATAAAAAAGAATGTATTTGTCCATTCTCACACTCCTATAAAGAACTACCTGAGGCCAGGTGCGGTGGCTCACACCTGTAATCCCAGCACTTTGGGAGGCCGAGGCAGGTGGATCACCTGAGGTCAGGAGTTCAAGACCAGCCTGACCAACATGGTGAAACCCCGTCTCTACTAAAAATACAAAAAAATTAGCTGGGCGTGGTGGCAGGTGCCTCTAATCCCAGCTACTTGGGAGGCTGAGGGAGGAGAATCGTTTCAACCCAGGAGGCAGAGGTTGCAGTGAGCCAGATTGTGACACTGCACACCAGCCTGGGCAACAAGAGCAAAACTCCATCACACACATACACACACACACAAAAACTACCTGAGACTGGGTAATTTATAAAGAAAAGAGGTTTAGTGGCTGGGTGCGGTGGCTCACGCCTGTAATCCCAACACTTTGGGAGGCCAAGGTGGGCAGATCACGAGGTCAGGAGATTGAGACCATCCTGGCTAACATGGTGAAACCCCGTCTCTACTAAAAATACAAAAAAATTAGCTGGGCATGGTGGTGGGCGCCTGTAGTACTAGCTACTCGGGAGGCTGAGGCAGGAGAATGGTATGAACCCGGGAGGTGGAGCTTGCAGTGAGCCAAGATTGCGCCACTGCACTCCAGCTTGGGCAACAGAGCCAGGCTCCGTCTCAAAAAAAAAAAAAAAAAAAAAAGAAAGAAAGAAAGAAAGAAAAGAGGTTTAGGCCAGGCACGGTGGTTCATTCCTGTAATCGCTACACTTTGGGATGCCAAGGCTAGCAGATCACGAGGTCAGGCAATCAAGACCATCCTGGCCAACATGATGAAACCCAGTCTCTACTAAAAATACAAAAAATTAGCTGGGTGTGGTGGCACGCACCTGTAGTCCCACCTACTCAGGAGGCTGAGGCAGGAGAATCACTTGAACCCAGGAGGCGAGGGTTGCAGTGAGCCGAGATCATGCCATTGCACTGCAGCCTGGACAACAGAGCGAGACTCCATCTAAAAAAAAATAAGAGGTTTAATTGACTCACAGTTCCACAGGACGTACATGAGGCACGGCTGGGGAGGCCTCAGGAAACTTACAATTATGGCAGAAAGGGAAAGGGGAAGCAAGTAATCTTCACATGAGCAGGAAAGAGAGAGCAGAAGGGGAGGTGACACACACTTTTATTTATTTATTTATTTATTTATTTTGAGACTCACTCTGTCGCCCAGGCTGGAGTACAGTGACATGATCTCAGCTCACTGCAATCTCTGCCTTCCGGGTTCAAGCGATTCTCCTGCCTCAGCCTCCTGAGTAGCTGGGATTACAGGCATGCATCACCATGCCTGGCTAATTTTTGTATTTTTGGTAGAGAAAAGATTTCACCATGTTGGCCAGGTTGGTCTTGAACCCCTGACCTCAGGTGATCCACCCGCGTTGGCCTCCCAAATGCTGGGATTACAGGCGTGAGCCATGTGCCTGGCCAGTGCCACACACTTTTAAACAACCAGATCTCATGAGAACTCATTCATTATCACGGAATCAGCAAGGGGGAAATCTGCTCCCATGATCCAGTCACCTCCTGCCAGGTCCCTCCTAACATTGGAAATTACAATTTGACATGAGATTTGGGTGGGGACACAAAGTCAAACCATAGCAAGGAATGAAGTACTGATATATACTACAACATGGATGAACCTTGAAAAAACTGTGCTAAAAAACCAGACACAAAAGGCCTCATATTGTATGATTCCATTTATATGAAATGTCCAGCATAGACAAATCCATAGAGACAGAAAGTAGATAGTTTCTGGTTGCCATGGGCTGGGGTGAGAGCAGAATGGGGAGAGGCTACTAATGGGTATGGAGTTTCTTTTTGGGTGATGAAAATGTTTTGGAATTAGATAGTGGTGATGGCTGTACAACATTGTAAATATACTATATACTCACTTGGATGCTTTAAAGTGGTTACAATGGTGAGTTTTATGTTATGTGAATTTTATTTGCTTGGCTTCTAGACTCATCACACCAGTCTCTGCCTCCATCATTACAAGGCATTCTCCTCTGTGTGTCTCTCTGTGTCCTCTCTTCTTCTTTCTTTCTTTTTTTTTTGAGATGGAGTCTCACTCTTGTCACCCAGGCTGGAGTGCAGTGGCATGATCTTGGCTCACTGCCACCTCCGCTTCCCAGGTTCAAGTGATTATACTGCCTCAGCCTCCTGAATAGCTGGGATTACAGAGGCCCGCCACGACGCCCGGCTAATTTTTTGTATTTTTAGTAGAGATGGGGTTTCACTGTGGTCTCGATCTCCTGACCTCGTGATCCGCCCGCCTCGGCCTCCCAAACTGCTGGGACTACAGGCGTGAGCCACTGCGCCCAGCCTCTCTTTTCTTTTCTTTCTTTTTTTTTTTTTTTTGAGACAGAGTCTTCCTGTGTCACCCAGGCTGGAGTGCGGTGTCACGATCTCAGCTCACTGCAGCCTCTGCCTCTGCATCCTGGACTCAAGTGATCCTCCCACCTCAACTTACTGAGTAGCTGGGACCACAGGCGCGCACCACCAAGCACAGCTAATTTTTCTGGATTTTTAGTAGAGACGGGGTTTTTATCGTGTTGCCCAGGCTCGTCTCAAACTCTTGGCCTCAAGCTATCTGCCTGCCTCGGTCGGCCACACAAAGTGCTGGAATTACAGGTGTGAGCCACCACGCTTGGCCAATTGAATGTTTTTAGATTTTATATAAATATTATCATACTGGATGTGGTGTTCAGCAACTCCCCATCCACAACACTCTGCCTGTGAGGCTCATCCAGGTCAGCATATATTACTGGTTTGTTTGGTTTTGCTGTTCTGTGTTTCTCTTTGATTCTCAACCCAGTGCATCTGGCTTTCTCTGTCATCACTCACATAATCTGCCTGGGTCAAGAGCACCGATGACTCCCATGTTACCAAATCCAAGAACACTTATTTTCCTATTGCTGGCATTTGATATTTCTGACCATTCTTCCTTCTGGAACACTTATCGCTGCTTCCAGGATGCTACGTTCTCAGGATTTCCCTGTCTTCTCTTTCTCAGTCTTCCTCACTGGCCTCTCCCTCAGCCTGGTCCTTGTATGTGGAGTGCCCCAGCTCCCTCTTGAGCCCTTTTTTTTTCCTTCCATAATCCTGGGCTTAGATTTCATCGTCATATTTGTGTTTGGGAATCTACTGCTGCATAACAAACAGTTCCAAATTTAGTAGCTTAAAAATGACAACTTTGTTTTATTTTATTTTACTTTTTATTTTTTTTTGAGACAGAGTCTTGCTCTGTCGCCCAGGCTGGAGTGCGGTGGCATGATCTTGGCTCACTGCAACCTCCGCCTCCTGGGTTCAAGTGATTCTTGTGCCTCAGTCTCCCAAATAGTTGGGATTACAGGCATGAGCCACCACGCCCAGCTAATTTTTGTATTTTTAGTAGAGACAGGGTTTCACTATGTTGCCCAGGCTGGTTTTGAACTCCTGACCTCAGGTGATCTACCTGCCTCAGCGTCCCAAAGTGCTAGGATTACAGGTGTGAGCCACTGCACCCAGCCTAAAAACAGCAACCATTTTATAACTTCTCATGATCTTCCGGGCTGATGGGAGCTTAGCTGGATAGTTCTTCTGGTCTCACTTGAGGTCTCTCTTGCTGCAGTCAGAAGGCCACTGGAGGGCCAGGTGCAGTGGCTTACGCCTGTAATCCCAGCACTTTGGGAGGCCGAGGCGGGCGGATCACCTGAGGTCAGGAGTTTGAGACCAGCCTGGCCAGTGTGGCAAAACCCCATCTCTACTAAGCATACAAAAATTAGTCGGGCATGGTGGCTGGTGCCTGTAATCCCAGCTTCTCAGGAGGCTGAGGCAGAAGAATCGCTTGAACTCGGGAGGCGGAGATGGCAGTGGGCCGAGATCGTGCCACTGCACTCCAGCCTGACAAAGCGAGACTCAGTCTCAAAAAAAAAAAAAAAAAAAAAAAAAAAAGCCACTGGAGCTAGCTAGGATGCTAGCTCACATGTCCTGAGCCCTGGTGGGAACAAAGGGACCACAAGGATGGCTGGACTTTTCTCTCCATGTCCAGGCTTCTCCCTCCAGGTGGTCTCTGCAGCAGAGTACCTGATTTCTCACATGGGAGATGACTCCCAAAAGCAAAAAAGTAGAAGCTGTCAAGTCTTTTTACAATTTAGTCCTGAACCTGGTACAGCTTCAATTCTGCTGCATTCCACTGGTTAAGAGCAGTCACAGGCCAGCCCCACATTCAATAAATACCAGGACTCCTGGTTCACTGGGAGCCATCTTTGGAAATTAGCTACCACAGTTTATGAGTCCCAAATTCCTAGGATTACTCTCCTCAGTTTCAGACCCAAATATCCAGTGATCTAAGGAATCTCTCTTCTTGGTCATTCCACTGTGCTATTCGGGCTCCTCCAGTGCCCCAGCCCCTCCTCTTGCTCTGCAACTGTTTCCAGCTAAGTGTTAACATCACCTCCAAGCAGGAGTTCAAGTCAGAAATTTAGCAATCATATTTGGGTCCTCCCACTCTTTGGTCCCGCATTCCTTTTCTTAAATATCTCTAGACTTACCCCTCTCCATCTCTGCTGCTGATACTCTAATCACAAACATGGCTAAGATTGGTGAGTGGTTTCCATGTGTGTAAACACTTGGGATGCATTCCATTTGGGCTTATCTGCTCATTTTGCAGATGAGGAACCTGAGACTGGTAGAGGTTGGATAATTTGCCCAAAGTCTCACCTTATTCAAGAGTGGGGAGAACTAAGAGGCCTTAGGTTCTGCAGACAGACAGGCAGCCCTGACTTCAGAGGCTTTGTGCCAAGCCAGTGTCCAGCAGCCACTCAGTGTAGACAACTGTCATCTCCCAGTTGGCCTTTCCTAGCAGTCTCCCAACTGGTGTTCCGGCCTCCAACCTGGCCCCATCTAATCCATCCTCCTTGCTGCAGTCAGAGGTATCTTTCTAGAATACCAAGAGCATCTTGGTCTTCTCTGCTTAAGCCTTTCAATGGTTTCCCTTGAGATAAAATCTAACTTTTCTCAATACATAATTAAGTCCTTCATAAATTGGCCCCTGTCAGCTTGACAGTATAGCGTGAGGCAGTAGCTCTTCATGGGAGCATTTTGGAAATGTCGTTGTCCATCTATCACAATGGTAAGAACGTGCTATTGGCATTTGATGGTCAGTGGTCAGGGATACTGGAGTGCTATAATACAAGGGACACCCAACCAAGAATTATCCTTGGTTTCCACAAAACTCTTTTTTTTTTTTTCCAGAGTCTTGCTCTGTCACCCCAGCTTGAGTGCAGTGACACAATTTTGGCTCACTGCAAGCTCTGCCTCACAGGTTCAAGCTATTCTCCTGCCTCGGCCTCCCAAGTAGCTGGACTTATAGGTGCTCGCCACCACGTCTGGCTAATTTTTTTTTTTTAATATATATATAGTTTCTGAGACAGAGGCTCGCTCTTGTTGTCCAGGCTGGAGTGCAGTGGCACAATCTTGGCTCACCCCAACCTCTGCCTCCTGGGTTCAAGCCATTCTTATGCCTCAGCCTCCAGAGTAGCTGTGATTACAGGCACCTGCCATCATGCCCGGTTAATTTTTGTATTTTTAGTAGAGATGGGGTTTTACCACATTGGCCAGGCTGGTCTGGAACTCCTGGTCACGAGTGAGCCACCCACCTCAGCCTCCCAAAGTGCTGGGATTACAGGCGTGAGTGGGTCCCATCTTTACGGTGGGGGAATCTCCTATTAAATTCCCCTTTGAAGACTGAGCACGGTGGCTCATGCCTGTAATCCCAACACTTTGGGAGGCTGAGGCGGGAAGATCATGAAGTGAAGAGATTGAGACAATCCTGGCCAACATGGTGAAACCCCGTCTCTACTAAAAATACAAAAAATTAGCTGGGCGTGCTGGCACGCGCCTGTAGTCCCAGCAACTTGGGAGGCTGAGGCAGGAGAATTGCTTGAACCCAGGAGGCAGAGCTTGCAGTGAGCCGAGACTGCACCTCTGTACTCCAGCCTGGTGATAGAGCAAGACTCCATCTCAAAAAAAAAAAAAAAATTCCCCTCTGGAGAGGTTTTGGGGTGTTTCCCCTTCCCATGAGACAATAACAAAAGTTCAAGTTCACCAGGTTAGTCAAGTGCCCTCAGAGTAAAAGCTTGTTTCAGTGTTCCACTGACCTCTCTCTGCATCCCCTGCCTTATTTTATTTTGCCCTGAAAATTCCTTACTTTTTCAGCAGCTCATCAAAGCATTTAAAATTTAAAAAAATTTAGGCTGGGTGTGGTGGCTCATGCCTGTAATCCCAGCTACTCGGGAGGCTGAGGCAGGAGAATCGCTTGAACCCAGGAGGCAGAGGTTGTGGTGAGCCAAGATCACGCCATTACATTCCAGCTTGGGCAACACAATGAGACTCCATTTCAAAAAAAAAAAAAAATTAGGCCAGGCGCGGTGGCTCATGCTTGTAATCCCAGCACTTTGGGAGGCCAAGGTGGCAGATCATGAAGTCAGGAGATTGAGACCATCCTAGCTAACATGGTGAAACCCTATCTCTACTAAAAATACAAAAAATTAGCCAGGCGTGGTGGCGCATACCTGTAATCCCAGCTACTCGGGAGGCTAAGGCAAGAGAATCGCTTGAACCCAGGAGGCGGAGGTTGCAGTGAGCTGAGATTCTGCCACTGCACTCTAGCCTGGGCGAGAGCGTGAAATTCCGTCTAAAAAAAAATTTAAAAAAATAATAATTTTTATCTGAGATTTTTAGTTGTTTTTTGGGGAGACAGAGTCTTCCAGGTACTTGGCCTGGCAGACAAAGGAAGGCATAAACATGAAATATTTTTGCACGTATTTAATATGACCTGTTTTTTTCCAAGAATGCAACTACTATGTAAATTGTTTTGTATTGTTCAGAACTTTATCAAAAGTTGTTTACCATTTTGGAAAATCACAACCCTAATGGCAATGCTGTTCTATACAACACCCTTAGGTCAGTCTGCATTTATCTCTACCACACTCTTAGTGATTCTAGGTATGGGTGCAAGTATCTGACTACTTTATCTTCTAGTGTAATGGTGCCTGGGTATTTGCATATTGAAACGCCATCCTTCTATTTGTCTTTTTTTTTTTTTTGAGACGGAGTTTCACTCTCATTGCCCAGGCTGGAGTGCAATGGCATGCTCTTAGCTCACTGCAACCTCTGCTTCCCGGGTTCAAGCAATTCTCCTGCCTCAGCCTCCTGAGTAGCTGCGATTAAAGGTGCCCACCATCATGCCTGGCTAATTCTTTATATTTTTAGTAGAGATGAGATTTCCCCATGTTGGCCAGGCTGGTCTTGAACTCCTAACCTCAGGTAATCCACCCGCCTTGGCCTACCAAAGTGCTGGGATTGCAAGTGTGAGCCACCGTGCCCGGCCTATTTGTCTTTTTTATAATCAAGACATCATATTGATTTGTTTTTTGAAATCATGTGTCCAGGCAGGTTATATTATCTGTTCATTTCACTTTGGGATATTAGTGTTGCAAAATATTTGTTATAAGAAAGGAACATTGGGACTGGGTGTAGTGGCTTACACATGTAATCCCAGCACTCTAGGAGGCTAAGGCAGGAGGATCACTGGAACCTAGGCGTTCCAGATCAGCCTGGGTAACACAGTGAGACCTTGTCTCTACTAAAAACAAAAAAAAAATTAGCTGGGCATGGTGGTGTGGGCCTGTAGTCACAGCTATTTGGAAAGCTGTGGCAGGATTGCTTGAACCTTGGAGTTCCAAGTTACAGCCACCTATGATTGTGCTACTGCATTCCAGCCTGGGTGACGGAGCAAGACCCTGTGACATTGGATATGGTAGGGTGGAAAGTCACCAGCCAGGACATTAAGAACGCAGACTCAGCCAGGCATGGTGACTCATGCCTGTAATCCCAGCCCTTTGGGAGGCTGAGGCAGGCAGATCACGAGGTCAGGAGTTCGAGACCAGCCTGGCTAACAGTGAAACCCTGTCTCTAAGAAAAATGCAAAAATTAGCCAGGTGTGGTGGCATGCGCCTGTAGTCCCAGCTACTCGGGAGGCTGAGGCAGGAGAATCGCTTGAACCTGGGAGGTGAAGGTTGAAGTGAGCCGAGGTCGCACCATTGCACTCAAGCCTGGGTGACAGAATGAGACTCCATCTAAAAAAAAAACACACAAAGGCCGGGCGCGGTGGCTCATGCCTGTAATCCCAGCACTTTGGGAGGCCGAGGTGGGTGGATCATGAGGTCAGGAGATCGAGACCATCCTGGCTAACACAGTGAAACCCTGTCTCTACTAAAAATACAAAAAATTAGCCGGGCGTGGTGGTGGGTGCCTGTTGTCCCAGCTACTCAGGAGGCTGAGGCAGGAGAATGGCGTGAACCCGGGAGGTGGAGCTTGCAGTGAGCCGAGATCGTGCCACTGCACTCCAGCCTGGGCGACAGAGTGAGACTCCGTCTCAAAAAAACAAAAAACAAAAAACAAAAAAAAACCACACACACAGGCTCAGCGGGGTGCGGTGGCTCACGCCTGTAATCCCAGCACTTTGGGAGTCCGAGGAGGGTGGATCACAAGGTCAGGAGTTCCAGACCAGCCTGGCCAACATAGTGAAACCCCTTCTCTACTAAAAAATACAAAAATTAGCCAGGTGTGGTGGAGCACGCCTGTAATTCCAGGTACTCAGGAGGCTGATGCAGGAGAATTGCTTGAACCCAGGAGGTGGAGTTTGCAGTGAGCTGAAATCATGCCACTGCTCTCCAGCCTGGGCGACAGGGCAAGATGTGTCTCGAAAAAAAAAAAAGGGGTTGGGCGCAGTAGCACATTCCTCTAATTCCAGCACTTTGGGAGGCCAAGGCTGGCGGATCACCTGAGGTCAGGAGTTCAAGACCAGCCTGACCAACATGGATAAACCCCGTCTCTACTAAAAATACAAAATTAGCTGGGCATGGTGGCACATGCCTGTAATCCCAGCTACTAGGGAGGCTGAGGCAGCAGAATAGTTTGAACCCAGGAGGTGGAGGTTGCGGTGAGCCGAGATCTCGCCATTGCACTCTAGCCTGGGCAACAAGAGTGAAACTCTGTCTCAAAAAAAAAAAAAAAAAATGCCGGGCGCAGTGGCTCACGCCTGTAATCCCAGCACTTTGGGAGGCCGAGGCGGGCGGATCACGAGGTCAGGAGATTGAGACCATCCTGGCTAACATGGTGAAACCCCGTCTCTACCAAAAATACAAAAAAAAAAAATTAGCCAGGTGTGGTGGTGGGCTCCTGTAGTCCCAGCTACTCAGGAGGCTGAGGCAGGAGAATGGTGTGAGCCTGGGAGGTGGAACTTGCAGTGAGCCGAGATCTCGCCACTGCACTCCAGCCTGGGCGAGAGAGCGAGACTCCATCTCAAAACAAACAAACAAACAAACAAAAAAACAAAGGGCCAGGTGTGGTGGCTTACACCTGTAATCCCAGCACTTTGGGAGGCCAAGGCAGGTGGATCACTTGAGGTCAGGAATTCAAGACCAGCCTGGCAAATATGATGAAACCTCATTTCTACTAAAAATACAAAAACTAGCCGGGCGTGCTGGCATGTGCCTGCAATCCCAGCTACTCGGGAGGCTGAAGCAGAAGAATTGCTTGAACCCGGGAGGCAGAGGTTGCAGTGAGCCGAGATCGCGCCATTGCACTTCAGCCTGGGCAACACAGCAAGACTGTCTGAAACAAACAAACAAAAAACACAGACTCTGGAGATACTTTTACTTTCGCTACTTATAGATATGTGACTTTGAGCAAGATGATTAACCTTGCTGTGTCTGTTTCTTCATCTGTAAAATGGGCTTAAAAATATCTGCCTCAGAAAGTTATTGAGAGGATTAAATGAGCTATGTGAGGTTTTGACAGTGCCTGGCACATGGTAAGTGTTACTAAATGTCAAACTTATGATGACTTCTGTAACCTAATTTCTTGCCTCCCCCAGAAGTTCTAACTCTATATCAATATATTTTCTGAACCAGGTGAGGTGGCTCACACCTGTAATCCCAGCACTTTGGGAGGCCGAAGTAGGAGGATCACTTGAGGCCAGGAGTTCCACACCACCTGGGCAACAAAGGGAGATGCTGTGTCTGTGAAAAGAAAAAAATTGGCCGGGCACCGTGGCTCACGCCTGTAATTCTAGCACTTTGGGAGGCCTAGGCAGGTGGATCACGAGGTCAGGAGATCGAGACCATCCTGGCTAACACGGTGAAACCTCATCTCTACTGAAAATACAAAAAATTAGCTGGGCGTGGTGGCGGGCGCTTGTAGTCCCAGCTACTTGGGAGGCTGAGGCAGGAGAATGGCATGAACCCTGGAGGCGGAGCTTGCAGTGAGCCGAGATTGCACCACTGCACTCCAGCCTGGGGGACAGAGCGAGATTCCTTCTCAAAAAAAAAAGAAAGAAAGAAAAAGAAAAAAAATGTAAAAATTAGCTGCATGTGGTCACCAGTGCCTGCAGTCCCAAATAGGAGGCTGAGGCAGAAGGACCACTTGAGCCCAGAAGTTCAAGACTACAGGCCAGGTGTGGTGGCTCACGCCCATAATCCCAGCACTTTGGGAGACCAAGGTGGATGGATTATCTGAGATCAGGAGTTTGAGACCAGCCTGGCCAACTTGGTGAAACCCCATCTCTACTAAAAACACAAAAATTAGGGCCAGGCGCAGTGGCTCACAACTCTAATCCCAGCACTTTGGAAGGCCAAGGCAGGTGGATCACCTGAGGTCTGGAGTTTGAGACCAACCTTGCCTACATGGTGAAACCCCATCTCTACTAAAAATACAAAAAATTAGCCGGGCGTGTTGGCAGGCGCCTGTAATCCCAGCTACTCGGGAGGCTGAGGCAGGAGAATCGCTTGAACCCGGGAGGCGAGCTGAGATTGCGCCATTGCACTCCAGCCTGGGCAACAAGAGAGAAACTCTGTCTCAAAAAAAAAAAAATACAAAAATTAGACAGGCATGGTGGCTGGTGCCTGTAGTCCCAGCTACTCGGGAGGCTGAGGCAGGAGAATCGCTTGAAGCCAGGAGATGGAGGTTGCATTGAGCTGAGATCACACCACTGCACTCCAGCCTGAGCAATAGAGTGAGACTCATTTTCAAAAAATAGAAAAAATAAAAAGACTGCAGGCCAGGCGCAGTGGCTCATACCTGTAATCCCAGCACTTCAGGAGGCCGAGGCGGGCGGATCATGAGGTCAGGAGATCGAGCCCATCCTGGGTAACATGGTGAAACCTCGTCTTTACTAAAACTACAAAAAAAAAAAAAAAATTAGCCAGGCATGGTGGCAGGTGCCTGTAGTCCCAGCTACTCGGGAGGCTGAGGCAGGAGAATGGTGTGAACCCAGGAGGCGGAGCTTGCAGTGAGCCGAGATTGCGCCACTGCACTCTAGCCTGTGCGTCAGAGCGAGACTCTGTCTCCAAAAAAAAAAAAAAAAAAGACTGCAGTGAGCCATTACTGTGCCACTGCACTGCAGCATGTCTTTAAAAGACCCTGTCTCTTAAAAAAAAAAAAAAGTGCGTTCAGTTATTGGAATGTGCCATGATTCTTCTTGCTTTGCCCAAACTCTCCCTACAATGCTTTTCCTTCACTTCTTCCCTGGTCAATTCCTACCTGTCCCTCAAGTCTCACTTAGAATATGGGTATGGCCTCACTTAGTTACTTTCTTTTTTCTTCCTTTAGACAGGGTTTCACTCTATTGCTCGGGCTGGAGTGCAGTGGCCAATCATGGCTCAGCCCAGCCTTGATCTCCTGGGCTTAAGTGATCCTCCCATATCAGCCTCCCAAGTAGCTGGAACCACAGGCTCACACCACCGTGTCCAGCTAATTTTTTTTTTTTTTTTTGAGACAGAGTCTCACTCTCGTTGCCCAGGCTAGAGTGCAATGGAGTGATCTCAGCTCACCGCTACCTCCGCCTCCTGGGTTCAAGCGATTCTCCTGCCTCAGCATCCCAAGTAGCTGGGATTACAGGCATGTGCCAACACACCTGGCTAATTTTGTATTTGTAGTAGAGACGGGGTTTCACCATGTTGGTCAGGTTGGTCTCGAACTCCCCACCTCAGGTGATCTGCCCGCCTTGGCCTCCCAAAGTGCTGGGATTACGGGCGTGAGCCACCGTGCCCGGTTATATCCGGGTAATTTTTGTAGTAACAAGATTTCACCATGTTTCCCAGGCTGGTCTTGAACTTCTGGGCTCAAGCGATCCCCCCTGTCAGCCTCCCAAAGTGCTGGGATTACAGGCATGAGCCACTGCACTTGGGCCATTTACCTTTTTCATGAAGCCTATATCACTATTTCCCCAAGTCTGGGTGAGATGTCCCTATATTCATCCCAGCGGCTGCCCTTATCACAGAGTGTGTGATAGAGCATGGGGCTTTACATTAGCTACAGTGGGCAGTGAATGCCCTCTGAGGACGAAGCATTTGCAGTAAGGCTTGAAAAATGAGGAAGAGGCGGAGGATAGCCAGTACACAGTCCCTGAGGTGGGAACTGCTGAATGGGGTACATTGCAGTGATAGAAATCAGGTCCTCATAATGTAGAGTGAGTGAGGAGGGGACAGGCAGGGGATGAGGTTGAAGAGTTGGGAGGCTCTGGTAAGGTGTTTGGACCCACCATCTCCCTGGCTCCATCGCCCCACGTATGGCCATGCAGGATGTAGACAGCTGAAAATCTTTACCTCGTGTCCTTGATCCCTATGCCTGCTGTGTTCCCTGCCTTCTCTGATTAATAATAAAATTCCATTCATCCTTCAAGGCCCAGCTCCAAACCATTTAGGAAACCTCCTTCCATTCTTTAGCAGGAATTAATTGCTCCCTTGTCTGACGTCCCACAGCACTAATCACACGCTGACTTGTATCTCAGCTAGCTGTTTATGCCAGTCTGCCCACCAACGTAGTGAGTTCCCTGAGGGCAGAGGCTCTGTCTTAGTCACCTCTGTAGCCATCTCCTGGTGTTTAGCAGGTACTCAATGTGACATTTACTTGACTAGTGGGTGGTGCCTAGTACTACTCATGGCAGAATAGAAGGAAAACAAAAATAATAACAACTTATGCTCTATCACGTTTTCCCATTCATTAACTGATTTCAGCTTTGCAACAACTCTATGAGACAGACGGGACAGGCACTATTAGACCCATTTTACAGATAGGGTAGCTAAGGCCCAATGGCACACAGCTTGTAAGTAATGGGGACTAAGTCCCAATCTTGCCCCCTTACTTCGGATTCTGTGCTGGGAATGGAATTAAACCAAGAGTATTTTGAAGCTATAATGGAAAGCGCTTTTCTGGGTGGACTAGGGAGAGATACTTAGTCAGCTGTCAGGGTTTAACAGCAGCTCCATCAAAGAGGGCACAGGATTTCTCTCTCTGGCCCAAGCAGCTGGAGGGGTCCACAGCACCATCCTATAGCCCTGGAAGCTGGAGGAAACCCCAGCCCGAGAAAGAAGAGACGGTGTTCGAGTCAGGTGGGTAAGATGACGTAAATGATGACTTGTGAGCAGTGGCCTGCCTCTGTTGCCATGACAACCGGAGCTTGACTACTTGGCCTTTGCAAGGTTGGCCGAGGCGGGTTCTTCGTTAACTCGAGATTAAGGAAGGATATTTAGGGGGGAGGGTGTGTGTGTGTGCGGCGGATTAAAGACGAAAGGAGTATATTCAACAATGACTGTTTAGCTCAGTGGTTCTCCACCTTGGCAACACGTTAGAATCACCTGCAACAATTTCCTGATGCCTAGGCTGCACCCCAGAATTAAATTATAATTTCCAGGGGTGGGAACCAGGCATCATAGTATTTAAATCTTGCCAGGTGATTCCAATTGCAGCTAAAGTTGCAAACCCAGCTTTTAGCTGGTAAGCGGAATTCCTGTGACCTTCCTAAGATGGCGTCCACTCAACCGCTTCCGCCTTTACGTGGGCCGGCAGGGGGCGGGCTTCCCAGGGGCGCATGCGTCTCGCATCTCTCCGCTCCCTGCTCTCTCCTCCTTTTTCCCCCGCCTCCATTTTGTTCGCGGACGCTGGGGACGGTGGGAGCAGATCCATTTCCGGGTTGGCAAAAGGGGCGGTGGCGGCGGCGGCGGCGGCGGCGGCGGCGGCGACGGCGAGAAAGAGCTTGCCGGGGGGCGAGCAGGACAGGACGAAGCCGGAGTGTAGGCGGCAGAGGATTCGCTCCCAGAGCAGCTGCGGCCAGGTCGGAAAGAGGCCGGGGCGGCTGGGTCAGTCGCTGAAATGACCTGCGGACCTGAGTGGGAGGGAAAGTCGCGGGGAGGGGGGCTCGGGGCGGGGCTTGAGAAGAGAGGGGGGCATTAGAGGAGGGGCCGGAGGGGGAGAGGGGTCTTGCGGGTGGGGCCTGAGGGGCGGGGGGCCGGGGGACTGTATCGGAAGAACCTGGAGGAGAGAGGGCGTGGGGAATCTGGGGAGGAGTGGTCGAATATTGGTATGGGGCGAGCGGGGACTGGAAAAATGGGGAGGAACGTTTTTGAGAGACAGGCAATAAGGGCTCCTGAAGGGTTGGGTGAGTTAAGGCGGCAACTCTGTGAGGAACGAGGTAATCGTGCGCAAAAAGGGAGACGGGAACGGAGGACCTGTTGGGAACGGCTAATTAGCAGGATGCTGTGGGTGAGGAGTCCAGTGTGACATTTTGGGGATTGAGTTAGGTGAAAGCTAGTGTTTGGGAAGATGGCTCGGGAAACTGCTTACACTAGAGGGAATCTTGAGAGCGTTCTTTGAAAAGGAATCAGAATTTAGTTAAAGGTTGGATTGAGAATGTTAAGATGCGCATTGGAACGTCTGGAGTTGAGGGTTCATGTTGAAGTGGTGTGAAGTGAGGGAAGATGGAATTTTTTTTTTTTTGTTTTAAAGGTGGGGTCTGGCTATGTTGCTCAGACTAGTCTTGAACTCCTGGGCTCAAGCGATCTTCCCACCTTGGACTCCCAGAGTGCTGGGATTACAGGTGTGAGCCACTGCACCCGGCCAAGATGGAAATGTTAAAGTGTTCAGCATGGCAGTGTGTATGGTCGAGTTTTTTATCAGGAAGGAAAGTTCTTAAAAATAGCATTGAGGCAAGGAACTGATATGTGATGGAATTCTTTTTTCTTTTTTTTTCTTTTAAGAGACGTGGTCTCACTCTGTCGCCCGGGCTGGAGTGCAGTGGCATGATCATGGCTCCTTAAAGCCTCGACCTCCCGGGCTGAAGTGGTCCTTCCACCTAAGCCCCGCCAATAGCTGGGACCACAGGTGTGACCACTACTCCCGCCTAACGTGTGTGTGTGTATATATATATATATATATATATATATATATATATATATATATATGTATATATATATATTTTTTTGTTGTTGTTGTTGGAGACAGAGTCTTGCCCTGTTGTCCAGGCTAGTCTGGAATTCCTGGGCTCAAGTGATCCTCCTGTCTCGGCCTCCGCAAGTGCTGGGATTACAGGGATGAGCCACTGTGCCTGGCCCAGAATTCGTTTTTTTTTTTTTTTTGAGATGGAGTCTCGCTCAGTGGCCTAGGCTGGAGTGTAGCGGTGCGATCTCGGCTCACTGCAAGCTCCGCCTCCCGGGTTCACGCCCATTCTTCTGCCTCAGCCTCCCGAGTAGCTGGGACTATAGGTGCCCACCACCACACCTGGCTAATTTTTTTTTGAATTTTTAGTAGAGACGGGGTTTCACTGTGTTAGCCAGGATGGATGGTCTGGATCTCCTGACCTCGTGATCCGCCCGCCTCTGCCTCCCAGAGTTCTGGGATTAGAGGCGTGAGCCCCTGCGCCTGTCCAGAATTCATATTTTTTAAAGGACTTGAATAATCTGTTATTGCTTTGGGCTCTCCCAGGGTCCCCGTCCTTTTTCATGCTGTTATTTTTGCCTTACGGTTTTGGTTTTTGACTGTCTTACTGAATGTTTTTGGCTATTCTGTTCTCCTTTTACAAATCAGAAGAGAACCACAGGGAATAAGGACAGTTTTAGCCTACCTATGGATTTAGTAAATAACTTCAAGGCAAATTATTAAGCTCTCATTTTTTTCCCCTTTGAAATATAGGTTTTCTCTGTCCCTGCCTCTAAAAGTTTGTCTTAACACATGGGATCTTTAAAGTGGTTGCATAGAAGTGATCTCTGAAAATGAGATTGAGATATTGATATTTAAAAGACATACAATGGTGCACCTGCCTGTAATCCCAGCTACTTGGGAGGCTGAGGCAGGAGGATTGCTTGAGTCTAAGAGTTCGAGACCATTCTGGGCAACGTAGCAATACCCCATCTCTCTCTCTGTCTCTTTTTTTGTTTGTTTGTTTAAGACGGAGTCTCGCTCTTTCACCCAGGCTGGAGTGCAGTGGCGTGATCTCGGCTCACTGCAACCTCTGCCTGCCGGATTCAAGCGCTTCTCCTGCCTCAGTCCCCCAAGTAACTGGTACTATAGGCATGCACCACCACGCCCAGCTAATTTTTTGTATTTTAGTAGAGATGGGGTTTCACCATGTTGGTCAGGCTGGTCTCGAACTCCTGACTTCAGGTGATCCACCCACCTCGGCCTCCCAAAGTGTTGAGATTACAGGCATGAGCTACCACACCTGGCCGCATGTTTAGTTTTTTAACTCTTATTAATGTCAACTTTTAAAAGTAAAAATTTCATATTGTGTTACATTGGTTGCCATCAAGATGAAGATAGGGAAGTTAAGAGTTGGGGAAGGTGGAGATGAATGAAGTCAATTGATGAAGACTAGTAGAATGTAGTGTTGGTTTTTTTATTTGTTTATTTATTTATTTTGAGACAGAGTCTTGCTGTATTGCCCAGGCTGGAGTGCAATGGCACAATCTTGGCTCACTGCAACCTCTGTCTCCTGGGTTCAAGCAATTCTCCTGGCTCAGCCTCCCAAGTAGCTGGGATTACAGGCGCGTGCTGCCACGCCCAGCTAATTTTTGTATTTTTAGTAGAGACAGGGTTTCACCGTATTGGCCAGGCTGGTCTCGAACTCCTGACCTCGTGATCTGCCCACCTTGGCCTCCCAAAGTGCTGGGATTACAGGTGTGAGCCACCGCGCCTGGCCGACCTGTCTCTTAAAGGAAAACAAGGCTGGGCGCGCTGGCTCATGCCTATAATCCCAACGCTTTGGGAGGCCAAGGTGGTGGATCACCTGAGATTGCAGTGAGCTGAGATCGCGCCATTGCACTCCAGCCTGGGCAACAAGAGCGAAACTCCACCTCAACAACAACAACAACAACAACAAAAGGAAACATGTTTTTCTGTTTCTTCCTCTTAGCCTTGCTCATGTGTGTGTGTGTTTGTGTGTGTGTGTGTGTGTCTGCGTGCCAGCCAGGGAAGAACTGGTTTTGATTTGATGCATATTCAGTTTTTTTTTTTTTTTTTTTTTTTTTTTTTTTTTGAGACAGAGTTTCGCTCCTGCTGCCCAGGCTGGAGTGGAATGGCGCAGTCTTGGCTCACTGCAACCTCCGCCTGCCGGATTCAAGCGCTTCTCCTGCCTCAGTCCCCCAAGTAACTGGTACTATAGGCATGCACCACCACGCCCAGCTAATTTTTTGTATTTTAGTAGAGATGGGGTTTCACCATGTTGGTCAGGCTGGTCTCGAACTCCTGACTTCAGGTGATCCACCCACCTCGGCCTCCCAAAGTGTTGAGATTACAGGCATGAGCTACCACACCTGGCCGCATGTTTAGTTTTTTAACTCTTATTAATGTCAACTTTTAAAAGTAAAAATTTCATATTGTGTTACATTGGTTGCCATCAAGATGAAGATAGGGAAGTTAAGAGTTGGGGAAGGTGGAGATGAATGAAGTCAATTGATGAAGACTAGTAGAATGTAGTGTTTGTTTTTTTATTTGTTTATTTATTTATTTTGAGACAGAGTCTTGCTGTATTGCCCAGGCTGGAGTGCAATGGCACAATCTTGGCTCACTGCAACCTCTGTCTCCTGGGTTCAAGCAATTCTCCTGGCTCAGCCTCCCAAGTAGCTGGGATTACAGGCATGTGCCACCTGGCTAATTTTTGTATTTTTAGTAGAGACAGGGTTTTGCCATGTTGGCCAGGCTGGTCATTTACTAATTCCACCTCACACTTGATACTAGAGTAGTGTTTACCCTAGCTGGTACTGATAAGTTATGTGATAGCACCAAGGTGAAATGCAGGAGAGGTGTGAACATTGGAGTTTTCAGGTTTTACTGATGGCTTTTACGAAGGGAAGAGATTCTAGACTCACTAGGTGTTTTTAGGAAAAAAAAAAGGCAAGAGGCAAGAGACAGAAGTCTTGTTCTGTTGAAGAGAAAATTTTTTTTTGGGTTTTTTTTTTTTTTTTTTGAGACGGAGTCTCGCTCAGTTGCCCAGGCTGGAGTGCAATGGCATGATCTCTGCTCACTGCAACCTCCACCTCCCAGGTTCAAGCGATTCTCCTGCCTCAGCCTCCTGAGTAGCTGGGTGCCATCACGCCTGGCTAATTTTTGTATTTTTGTAGAGACGAGGTTTCACTGTGTTGGTCAGGCTGGTCTCGAACTTCTGACCTTGTGATCTGCCAGTCTCGGCCTCCCAAAGTGCTGGGATTACAGGCGTGAGCCACCGCGCCCGGCCCGAGAAAATTATTAAATGTTCTTTCTTTACTTGTGTTCTCTGATTGGGAGAGTAACCTGGTATATGTTAGTCTGTTTTCCTGCTCTGAAATAACTGTGAAATTCATGGGCTCTTGGTTCAGGCAGCTTCAGCAAACATAGTCTTCTTACAACCCCAGGAAGAGTTGCAGGCTACAAAATATATGTACTTATTTGGGAGTAAAAACCTGCTTAATATTATGCTATTGCAACCTACAGTGTACCTTTTTGGTTTGTTTTTTAAGGGGATTTTGAGATAACATATGGAGGCTCGGTGCTCCTGGGCGGACTTTTGGTACAGCCTGCTTATTTTTTTTTTCTTTTCTTTTCTTTTTTTTTTTTTTTTTTGAGACGGAGTCTCACTTTGTCCCCCAGGCTGGAGTGCAGTGGCGCAATCTCGGCTCACTGCAAGCTCCGCCTCCCAGGTTCACGCCATTCTCCTGCCTCAGCCTCCTGAGGAGCTGGACTACAGGCGCCTGCCACCACGCCCGGCTGATTTTTTGTATTTTTTTTTTTTTTTTTTTTGTAGTAGAGACGGGGTTTCAACTTGTTAGCGAGGATGTCTTGATCTCCTGACCTTGTGATCCACCCGCCTCGGCCTCCCAAAGTGCTGAAATTACGGGCGTGAGCCACCGCGCCCGGCCCAGCCTGCTTCTTTAACATAATGATTTTCCATTTTTCCTATCCTGTCACAGTTTTCCGTTGCTCTGCTTGAGCCAGTCCTATGTAGAAAGTGGCAAATTACACATTTTTTCTCCCCTTTTAGTCTCTGGTGGACATCTTGTCTGTGTCACAGTTTGATACTACCAAATTGAAAGGATTCTTCACTGCTTCAGATGGGGAGGGTGACAGAAGCTGAGCTGTTTCCTGGGTCAGATAATGGCCTCTGTCAAAGCAAAGAATAGTTGTAGAGACACAAACTGGGCCCTTGAAGCTGTGACTAACATTTTGGCAACATGCATCCCTTTGCCAAATAACTTCTTTTCTTCTTGAGTGTGATTGTTGATCTCCTTCTCAAAGTAGGCTCTTGTTGCTACTATTCTTCACACAACTCCCAAGCAAAAGTTGGCAGAGTTCCGGTTGACTGACTGTGTCTTGAGGGATATGCCCCGGATTAGAGTGGATGGGGCGTTCCATGTCAAAATGAGGTTCATTGGCAGATCCTGAGAGCTGCTTTGCAAAGAAATAGAGGCAGTACTCTTTACTGAATGTTCTTGCGGTCCTTTATCTTTCTTCTAAATTCAAGTCTGTTTCTTATTCATCTAGTGATTAAATGCAGAATCATTGCCTTTGCCTAGCTTCGTGGGCATTGTGGAAGAGAAGACAGTATTTCCAACTTTTTTTTTTTTTTTCTTTTCTCACAAGCCATTGAGCCTGAGGAACTACAGGCTAAATTTATGAGCATTTCTTGATATCTACAGAGGGCTACTAAAAAAAAAATGCTGAATAGACCTTTATGGGGAACAACAATGTTAATAGGAAAAAAAGGTGATATGTTTGCTAATGTCTATGTCAGTCTTAACTCTCTTTAAGATTTTGGCTCATTTTGGCTTAAGAGCCTGCAGAAGTATGTAAGTTATCAAATAGGGGAGCCAGGAATTGGTTTCTTCCTTGCCATTTAAGCTTGGCAAAGTTAGAGCAATTTGGAATGGCTATCCAACAATGTGTTCTACTTAGTAAATACTCTCTTGTTTTTCAGGGGATAGTTAGCTAAAGGTAGGGTTATCTCCAATATGTTTTGGGATGGATCGTGAAGATCATTCCCTTTTTATTTTGAGACAGGATCTCTCTCTCTTGCCCAGGCTGGAGTGTGGCGGCGTGATCTGTAGCCTCGACCTCCCCAGGCTCAGGCTCAGGTGTTCTTCCCACTTCAGCCTCCTGTGTAGCTGGGACTACAGGCGCACGCCACTATGCCTCACTAATTTTTATTTTTTGTAGAGATGGGGTTTCGCCATGTTGCCCAGCCTGGTCTTGAACTTTTGCCGGCCTCCCAAAGTGCTGGGATTATAGGTGTGAGCCACCAGGCTCAGCCATTATAATTGATTTTCAAAAAAAATTTAGTTTCTTAAGCTTCATGGATTCAAATTGAGTGCCATTTGGATTTTGAGGCCCCTCAGTGGAAATAATTTGTTTTTAGCAAGTAATTATGATATTTCTAAAGTGCAAATTCACTGACCTACTTTCTGTGCTTCTGGAAATGCTGAATCGAATAATCTTTTTTTTTCCTCCCAATAATCCCTCTGACTGTGAAAACATTCTCCATATGTATTCAGATTGGGATAGTTGGTAAAAAAAAAAAAAAAAAAATTTTTTTTTTTTTGAGATGGAGTCTCGTTCTGTCGGCCAGTCTGGAGTGCAGTGGTGCGATCCCAGCTCACTGCAACCTCCACCTCCCGGGTTCATGCGATTATCCTGCCTCAGCCTCCCGAGTAGCTGGGATTACAGGCGCACACCACCACACCCGGCTAATTTAATTTTTTTTTTTTTGTATTTTTAGTAGAGACGGGATTTCACTATGTTGGCCAGACTGGTCTCGAACTCCTGACCTCGCGATCCGCCCACCTTGGCCTCCCAAAGTGCTGGGATTACAGGCATGAGCCACTGTGCCCGGCCTTTGGAATTTTCTTCTAAGGTAGTACACTAGTATGAGATGCGATGTCTGAGATTTGTGGATAAGTGGACTTTTCCTTCTTCCATTCCTGCCCTCCCAGTGCTCACCTAGTAGGGAGGATGTTTATTATCTAAGATCCAGATGTGAGACATTTAAACTGCTTCTTTCCTTGTCTTAGAAATAAGAACAGAACTGTTTTTAGCAAATTTTATTTTTTTAATTTTTTAAATTTATTATTATTATTTTTGAGACTGAGTCTTGCTCTGTTGCCCAGGCTGGAGTGCAATGGCACAATCTCGGCTCACTGCAGCCTCTGCCTCCTGAGTTCAAGCGATTCTGCTGCCTTAGCCTCCTGAGTAGCTGAGATTACAGGTGCACGCCACCATGCCCAACTAATTTTTGTATTTTTTAGTAGAGGTGGGGTTTCACCTTGTTGCCCAGGCTGGTCTTGAACTCCTGACCTAGTGATCTTTCCGCCTCAGCCTCCCAAAGTGCTGGGATTACAGGCGTGAGCCACCACGCCCAGCCTATTTATTTATTTTTTTTTGAGACAGAGTTTCACTGTGTCAGCCAGGCTGGAGTGGAGTGGCAAGATCTGGGCTCACTGCAAGCTCTGCCTCCCAGGCTCAAGCAATCTCCTGCCTCACCGTGTCAAGTAGCTGAGATTACAGGTGTGTGCCACCACGTCCAGCTAATTTTTGTATTTTTAGTAGAGACGGGGTTTCACCATGTTGGCCAGGCTGGTCTCAAACTCCTGACCTCGTGATCTGCCTGCCTCGGCCTTCCAAAGTGCTGGGATTACAGGTGTGAGTCACTGCTCCTGGCCACAAATGTTATATTTTAAATAAATAATACAAAATTTAAAAGATAAAAAAGTATATAAGCAGGATGGTGGCCATGGAAGTCAGAATCCACTAAGGAGTATGTATCAACTCACCTGCCAAGAAAAAGAAAGTATATAGTGAATACCCTTGGAAACATCTATGTTTGTCTTCCTATCAATCCAGTTCATCTTCCCAGAGGCAACTCGTATTATTATTTTCTTTAGATCTGTTCCAGGCTGGTTGCGGTGGCTCACACCTGTAATCCCAGCACTTTGGGAGGCTGAGGCGGGCGGATCACCTGAGGTCAGAAGTTGGAGACCAGCCTGGCCAACATGGTGAAACCCTGTCTCTATTAAGAATATAAAAATTAGCGGGGCATGGTGGTGTGTGCCTGTAGTCCCAGTTACTCGGGAGGCTGAGGCACAAGAATCACTTGAACCTGGGAGGCGGAATGGTGAGCTAAAATTGTGCCACTGCACTCCAGCCTGGGTGACAGAGCAAGACTTTGTCTCAAAACAAAACAAAAAACAAAAAAAGTTTGTTCCAGAGATACCAGGTACATATAAAGCAAATATGTATATTTCTTGTTTTTTTTTTTGTTGTTGTTGTTTTAATAAATGTAGCACACTGTTAATACTATCTGTATCTTTTGCTTGTTTTTATACCTCTTTTTGTTTTTTTTTTTTTTTTTTTTTTTGAGACGGAGTCTCGCTCTGTCGCCCAGGCTGGAGTGCAGTGGCGGGATCTCGGCTCACTGCAAGCTCCGCCTCCCGGGTTCACGCCATTCTCCTGCCTCAGCCTCCCAAGTAGCTGGGACTACAGGCGCCCGCCACTACGCCCGGCTAATTTTTTGTATTTTTAGTAGAGACGGGGTTTCACCGTTTTAGCCGGGATGGTCTCGATCTCCTGACCTCGTGATCCGCCCGCCTCGGCCTCCCAAAGTGCTGGGATTACAGGCGTGAGCCACCGCGCCCGGCCATTTTTATACCTCTTTTGACTGTTACTCCCTATCAGCAATAAAGATACTTGGCACCTACCTTACACTGATAGACATACACAGTTTCCAGTCTTTTGCTATTACAAACTATGCTGCAGTGAAGAAGCATATATATTTGGCTCTTTGCATATATGACTGTGTCTGTAGGGTAAATTCTTAGAACTAGAATTGCTGAAGCTGATTTTTTTTGATGTTCGTTATTCATTTATTCAACAAGAATTTTTGAGTTCCTACTGTGTGCCAAGTACTGTGGTAGGGGATGCAGGGGATGCAGATAGGGCAGTGAACAAATTTTCTTGGTCTTTTTTTTTTTGAGACAGAGTCTCTCTCTGTCACCCAGGCGGGAATTTAGTGGTGCAAACATGGTTCATTGTAGCCTCAACCTTCTGGGCTCAAGCAGTCCTCCCACCTCAGCCTCCTGTGTAGCTGGGACCACAGGTGTGTGCACAATTTTTAAAATTTTTTGTAGACGTGAGGTCTCACTTTGTTGCCTAGGCTGGTCTTGAACTCGGGCTTAAGCAGTCCTCCTATCTCGAAGTGCCATAATTACAGGCATGAGCCACCACACCTGGCCCTGACTTGGTCTTCCACTTACGGTGGAAGACTTTTTTTTTTTAGACAAGGTTTCATTCCCATCTTGGCTCACTGCGACCTCCACCTCCTGGGCTCAAGTGATTCTCTTGCCTTAGCCTCCTAAATAGCTGGGACTGCAGATGCATGCCACCATGGCTAATTTTTGTAGTT
Organism: Homo sapiens; assembly: GCF_000001405.40. Classification (NCBI taxonomy): domain Eukaryota; kingdom Metazoa; phylum Chordata; class Mammalia; order Primates; family Hominidae; genus Homo; species Homo sapiens. The sequence goes on from NC_000017.11 coordinate 40,229,078, forward strand.
TTTGTAGAGGTGGGGCTTTGCCAAGTTGCCCAGGCTGGTCTTTTTTTTTTTTTAGATGAGTTTTGTTCTTGTTGCCCAGGCTGGAGTGCAATGGCATGATCTCAACTCACCGCAACCTCTGCCTCCCGGGTTCAAGCGATTCTCCTGCCTCAGCTTCCCGAGTAGCTAGGATTACAGGCATGCATCACCACGCCCGGCTAATTTTGTATTTTTAGTAGAGACGGGGTTTCTCCTTATTAGGCTGGTCTCGAACTCCTGACCTCAGGTGATCCGCCCACCTCGGCGTCCCAAAGTGCTGGGATAACAGGTGTGAGCCGCCGCACCTGGCCAAAGACATTTATTCATTTATTTATTTATTTGTTTTAGACAGAGTCTAGCTCTATTAGCCAGGCTGGAGTGCAGTGGCATGATCTTGGCTCACCGCAACCTCTGCCTCCCAGGTTCAAGCCATTCTGCTGTAGCCTCCCAAGTAGCTGGGACTACAGGTGCACCACCATGTCTGGCTAATTTTTTCTGTATTTTTAGTAGAGATGGGGTTTCACCATGTTGGCCAGGCTGGCCTCAAAACTCCTAACCTCAAGTGATCTTCCTGCCTCGGCCTCCTAAAGTGCTGGGATTGTAGGTGTGAGCCACCGTGCCTGGCCCAAAGACATTTATTAAACAAATAATTATTACTGTTGCTGTAAATGCTGTGGAGACAGCTAATGGTTAGCCCATCCCAGGTTGATTGAGAGGAAGGGCAGTCAGAGAAGGTCTCTGAGGAATTGACTTTTAAGGGTGAAACCTAAGAATGAAGGGAGGACAAAAGACTGACCTAGGTAGAGGAGATGGCACAGGTGAATGTCCTGAGGAGGGAAAGAATGTTTGTATTTTGAGGAATTGAAAGAGGTTCCAGTGTGGCTGGAGCTTAGGGAGTGAAAAACAGACAGGTAGGAGGCAAGGCTTCAGAATGTGAGCTGTCCTAAAAAATGGGTAAATAGGCTGGCATGGTGGCTCATGCCTGTAATACCAACACTTTGGGAGACCAAGGTGGGAGGATCACTTGAGCCTAGAAGTTCACAACCAATCTGGGCAACATAGGGAGACCCCCCAGTCTCTATATAATTAAAATATTAGCTGGGCATGGTGATGAGCACCCGTGGTTCTAGCCGCTCAGGAGGCTGAGGGAGGAGGATCACTTGAGCCCCAGGAGAGGGAGGTTGCAGTGAGCTGTTGCAGCACCACTGCACTCCAACCTCGGAGACAGAGTGAGACCCTGTTTCAAAAAACAACAACTAAAAGAGTAATAGGATAGTGAATTTTGAGGTCAGCTTCTAAAATAGGGCTTTTTTTTTTCCTGTCAGTTCTTTTACTAGTGTTGATGATGAGACCATCAGTGTCATAAAGAAGTCTGATGCTTGTGCAGTGAAACAGTTTTTATAAGAACTTTCCTGGATGAAACCTATTCTTTTAGTCTTGATTTCTCATAGGTCCTGCAAATCAAACTTGGTTGGCTGGATTAGCTCTTAAAATTTTAGGATCTTAGAAATTGTTTTGGAGATTAGGCTTATTGGGGAACAATTTTTAGATTATGGGGGATGATGGGATTGTTAGTTTACCAGACTTGCTATTTAGGAAACAGAAAACCTATTTACTTTTAGTGGGAGGAGCAGGGAGGAGTGTTTAAAAAAAGAAAAAACTTATTTACTGTTAGGGAATGTTGACTGTTTTAAAAATAATCTTCATGGTGCTAGGGAGAGAACAGATGTTCTTTTATTTTGAACCGATGAATATACTGTCATACCCATCATCTAGGCCATATGTCTTAGCATGACACGTAAGTCTTGTTGGACACGCAAGGTAGCCCAAGGGCCATTATAATTCTGAATATATGAAAGTGTTTTTATCTGCAAGTGTATTGACTTTTGTTCAGAAATCACAGTACTTAAAACCCAGATGGTCCTGTTTGATTTAGTACTTCTGTTTAATTGGATCAGCTTGCCCTGTTTTTATAACTTAAAGTAGACTCTTGACTTAGCAGCCCATCACTAGTGATCAAGGGACGGAAATGTGCAAATTTTCTAGCATTTCAGCAAGGAGCATCTGTGTTTCTGATGGCTTAAGGGTATTAGAATGTAAGAGAAGAGACTCCTTGACAATGAAAGTCACAGATTTGTTATTAGATTATCTGTGGTGAGTTGGGACTTAATATATTATCTTTGAAATGAGGCATGACACTTGTCTCCATGTGAAGTCTGGATCAGCATTTTATGGAGCATCTGTTTAAGTTTTCTTTCAGGCCTTTTCTTAGTGGGGACTGTCATCACTGGATTTTCCTTCTATCTGACTGTTCTCTGTGCTTTTCTACCTTTTTTTTTTTTTTTTTTTGAGACGGAGTCTTGCTCTGTGTCCCAGCTGGAGTGCAGTGGCACGATCTCAGCTCACTGCAACATCTGCCTCCCGGGTTCAAGCAGTTCTCTGCCTCAGCCTCTGAGTAGCTGGGATTACAGGTGCCCGCCACCACGCCCAGCTAATTTTTTGTATTTTTAGTAGAGACAGGGTTTCACCATCTTGGCCAGGCTGGTCTTGAACTCCTGACCTTGTGATCCACCCGCCTTGGCGCCTCAAAGTGCTGGGATTACAGGCGTGAGCCACCATGCCTGGCCGCTTTTCTACTTTTATATATGGAGCGTGCAGATGAAGCCTGGCTCTTGGAAGTTGGGAGCTAGTAATAATATGAGATATGGCTAGCTTAAAATCTGAGAAGAGCTGTTTTTTTTTGGTCATCAATGACTAGGTTTCAGCCTGCCTCGTAATTGTATTTTAAATCTAATTAACAGTTTCTTAGAATGTCTAAAGATTCTTTGATTTTTTCTTTCTTTTTTTTTTTTTTTTTAGCAGTTAGTGGCATTACATTGAAAACAAGACCTAAAAAGAGAGTTAAGGTAATTGATTTTACTTTTTTTTTTTTTTTGAGACAGGATCTGGCTTTGTCACCCAGGCTGGAGTGCAGTGGTGTGATGTCTGCTCACTGCAACCTCTGCCTCCTGGGCTCAAGCGATCTTCCCACCTCAGCGTCCTGAGTAGCTGGGATTGCAGGCACATGCCACCATGCCTGGCTAATTTTTTTTTTTTTTTTTTTTTTTTTTTTGAGACAGGGTCTCGCTCTGTTGCCCAGACCAGAGTACAGTGGCGTGATCTCAGCTCACTGCAGTCTGTGGCTCCCAGGTTCAAGCAATTCTCATGCTTCAGCCTCTGGAGTAGCTGGAATCACAGGTGCACGCCACCACACACAGCTAATTTTTGTAGTTTTAGTAGAGACAGGGTTTCACCATGTTGGCCAGGCTGGTCTTGAACTCCTGACCTCAAGCAGTCCACCCGCCTTGGCCTCCCAAAGTGCTGGGATTACAGGCATGAGTACCACCATGCCTGGCCTAATTTTTGTATTTTTGTAGATGCTTTTGCCATGTTTCCCAGGCTGGTCTCGAATTCCTGAGCTCAAGTGATCCACCTTGGCCTCCCAAAGTGATGGGATTACAGGTATGAGCCACCGTGCCCGGCCAGTAATTGATTTTAATATTAATTTCTCTTTTTTTTTTTTTGAGGTGGAGTTTCACTCGTTGCCCAGGCTGGAGTGCAATGGTGTGATCTCGGCTCACTGCAACCTCTGCCTCCTGGTTCAAGCGATTCTCCTGCCTCAGCCTCCTGAGTAGCTGGAATTACAGGCATGCGCCACCATGCCCGGCTAATTTTGCATTTTTAGTAGAGACAGGGTTTCACCATGTTGGTCAGGCTGGTCTTGAACTCCCGACCTCAGGTCGTCTGCCCGCCTCGGCCTCCCAAAGTGCTGGTATTACAGGCGTGAGCCACCATACCTGGCTCATTTCTCTATTTTTGTGCATACCTTTGCAATTAATTTTGGTTATGATTTCCTATGGTAGATTGGAAGTTGCTCTCATATTTGCCCTCTGTTAGAGTAAGCTGTGGGGTTGTTGATCACTGTGTGGTTACACCCAGGCTGTGGCAGAGATTCAGGTCACATTAGCCAGCCTGCTGCCATTTGAGTTGAGTCAAGATACTGATTCTAGAGTTGGGCTTAATTAAGTCTTTAAAATTTTTTGTTTTGTTTGGGATTTTCTATTCTCCTTAACTGCATTGGTACCAGATCCAACGTTGACCTTATATTTTGAAATTTTGGTCAGTTTGTTTATATGGTGATTTTGCTTATACAGTGTTAGGGTTTTTTGATTTTTGGTAATTGTTTTTTGTCAAAATAGTAAGAATACATAAAGAATCAGACAGTACTACAAGGCTTATAATTAGAAAAAAAACACTACTTTATTTCTGCTTGTTTGTTTTTAACCACTTTTGCAATTTTTTTTCCCTGATGTATATTATCCATATTTCTATATAGTATGTTTAGGCTGTTTATTCTTTCTTTTTTTTTTTGATAGATGAAGTCTTGCTGTGTTGTCCAGGATGGCATTGAACTCTTGGGCTCAAGCAGTCCTCCTGCCTTAGTGGGGAGTACAGGTGTGCACCGCTGCACCTGGCTATACAGTTCTTTCTTGAGTTTTCCATTCTTACATATTATCTGTTGAGGCTGAAGGTGATGGCACAAGCCTGTAATCCCAGCACTTTAGGAGGCCGAGGCCTGAGATTGGGAGTTTGAGACCAGCCTGGCCAACATGGTGAAACCCCGTCTCTACTAAAAATACAAAATTGGGCCGGGCACTGTGGCTCACACCTGTAATCTGAACACTTTGGGAAGCCGAGGCGGGCGGATCACCTGAGGTTGGGAGTTCGAGACCAGCCTGACCAACATGGAGAAACCATATCTCTACTAAAAATACAAATTTAGCCAGGCGTGGTGGTGCATGCCTGTAATCTCAGCTACTCGGGAGGATGAGGCAGGAGAATTGCCTGAATGTGGGAGACAGAGGTTGCGGTGAGCTGAGATTGTGCCATTGCACTCCAGCCTGGGCAACAAGAAGAAAACTCCATCTCAAAAAATAATAATAAAAAAAACAGGCCAGGCACAGTGGCTCACGCCTGTAATCCCAGCACTTTGGGAGGCTGAGGCAGGCAGATCACAAGGTAAGGAGATTGAGACCATCCTGGCCAACATGGTAAAACCCTGTCTCTACTAAAAATACAAAAATTAGCTGGGTGTGGTGGCAAGTGCCTGTAGTCCCAGCTACTCGGGAGGCGCACGCCTGTAGTCCTAGCTACTCGGGAGGCGCATGCCTGTAGTCCCAGCTACTCGGGAGGCTGAGGCAGAAGAATTGCTTGGGAGAACCTGGGAGGCGGAGGTTGCAGTGAGCTGAGATTGCGCCACTGCACTCAAGCCTGGTGACAGAGTGAGACTCTGTCTCAAAACAAACAAACAAACAAACAAAAAAAACAACCGGAAATTATCTAGGTATGGTGGCATGCACTTGTAGTTCCAGCTATTTGGGAGGCTGAGAGGTGGGAGGATCACTTGAGCTGGTAGGTCAAGGCTGCATGCAGTAAGCCATGATCACACCACTGCACTCCATCCTGGGTGAAAGAGCGAGACCCTTTCTTCAAAAAAAAAGGAAAACCATTTTTGTTATTTCAAAGAGGATATTTTAGATGCTTACAAGACCATTGGAAGGCTGGAAGAGCATAGATCAGGGAAACCTCGTTGCAGGAATTTCAAGAAATGGCTTCTGTTAATAATCTTAGCTGCCTTAAGCACCAAAACAGGCAGTTTGCAGAAAATTAGAAATGGCTGCAAACCACATGTCTGCCATCTGTCCGAGGCCACGCACGCTCTCGTTGCTACTGGAGAAGCAATAATGGCATCTACCCTTCTTCCATTGTGCAAATCTTCTTTTTTTCCTTTTTTTTTTTTGAGACGGAGTCTTGCCCTGTCACCCAGGCTGGAGTGCAGAGTGGCGCGATCTCAGCTCACTGCAAGCTCTGCCTCCTGGGTTCACGCCATTCTCCTGCCTCAGCCTCCCTAGTAGCTGGGACAACAGGCGTCCGCCACCACGCCCAGCTAATTTTTTGTATTTTTAGTAGAGGCGGGGTTTCACCGTGTTAGCCAGGATGGCCGCCCGCCTCGGCCTCCCAAAGTGCTGGGATTACAGGCTTGAGCCACCACGCCCAGCCCATTGTGCAAATCTTAAGTGTTGGTAGAATTTAAACCACAATGGCACTGATGGAGGATTCTGATAAATGTAGTTCCCAGGCCTCCAGATGAATCCAGAAGGAAGTAGAAGTGAAAGTTACAAAAGAAAAAAAATTTAGCGCCCAGTATAATGACTGTATCATTCGATTACCTTTACTTCCTTGTGTAGTTTTTCCCTAGACATAGTAATTGTCATTCTTTTCCTTCCTTCCCTTTTTTGTTTTCTGCTTGTTTTACGGAAAGTCACTGATTCATCCCTAAACTCTGACAGGTATAAACCTCTTCTCATCATTGAAGCACATTAGTGGAGCACCTCTTCCAGAGGCTTTATGAAAGGAGTCTTTGGAGAGTGAGACTTTTTTTTTTTTTTTTTTTTTGAGACGGAGTTTCGCTCTTGTTGCCCAGGCTGGAGTGCAATGGCACGATCTCAGCTCACCACAACCTCCGCCTCCCGGGTTCAAGCAATTCTCCTACCTCAGCCTCCCGAGTAGCTGGGATTACAGGCATGCATCACCATGCCCAGCTAATTTTGTATTTTTAGTAGAGAACGGGTTTCTTCCATGTTGGTCAGGCTGGTCTCGAATTCCCGACCTCAGGTGATCTGCCTGTCTTGGCCTCCCAAAGTGCTGGGATTACAGGCATGAGCCACCGCGCCTGGCCTCTGGAGAGTGGGACTTTTTTGAGGCCTTGCATATCTGAATTACCTCCTTTCTTCCTTCACACTTGGCAGTTTGACTGGATTAAAAAAATTTTTTTTTTTTTTGAGATGGAGTCTTGCTCTGTCACCCAGGCCCGAGTGCAGTGATGGGATCTCGGCTCACTGCAACCTCCGCCTCCCATATTCAAGCGATTCTCCTGCCTCAGCACCGCCCCGAGTTGCTGGGATTATAGGCATCTGCCACCACGCCTGGGCTAATTTTTTGTATTTTTGGTGACTAAAGGGTTTCATTCACCGTGTTGGCCATGCTGGTCTCGAACTCCTGACCTCGGGGTGATCCACCCGCCTCAGCCTCCCAAAGTGCTGGGATTACAGGCATGAGTCAACTGTGCCCAGCCTAGATATAAAATTTTCTACTGGAGATTATATTTCTTTGGAAATTATAAGCCCTTGCTTTGTGGTCTTCTAACCTTTTTTTTTCTTTTGAGACAGAGAATTGCTCTGTTGCCCAGGCTGGAGTGCAGTGGTGCAATCTTGGCTCACTGCAACCTCCACCTCCCGGTTCGAGCGATTCTTTTGCCTCAGCCTCCCGAGTAGCTGGAACTACAGGCGTGTGTAGAGATGGAGTTTTGCCATATCAGCCAGGCTGGTCTCGAACTCCTGGCCTCAACCGATCCTCCTGGCTTGGCCTCCCAAAGTGCTGGGATTACAGGCATGAGCTGCCTCACTCAGCCTCTTTTTTTTTTTTTTTTTTTAAGACGGAGTCTCACTCTGTCGCCCAGGCAGGAGTGCACTGGTGCGATCTCAGCTCACTGCAACCTCCACCTCCCTGGGTTCAAGCAATTCCCTGCCTCAGCCTCCTGAGTAGCTGAGATTACAGGCGCCCACCATCACGGCCGGCTAATTTTTGTGTTTTTAGTAGAGACGGGGTTTTACCATCTTGGCCAGGCTGGTCTTGAACTCCTGATCTCATGATCCACCCGCCTCGGCCTCCCAAGGTTTCTAACTTTTAATAGTGGCATTATGAAGTTTGATGCTATTTTGACTCTAGATTCTTTGTATGGGATCTGTGTTTTTTCTCTGGAAGACTTTAGGATCTTGCCTTTATCCCTGACATTCTGAAATGCAACCATGTTGTGCCTTGGTGTGGATATTTAAAAATTCATCATACTCAGCATTCAGTGGACCTTTTCAGTCTGGAAGCTTATTTCAATCTATCCTGGGAAATTTTCTTGTATTATTTCTTGTATTGATAATGTATTCTCACTTTGATAATTATTTATCTCCTCTCTCTTTCTGGAAACGCTGTTACTCAGATGGTGAAACTCCTAGGTTGGTACTCTAATTTTTTTTTCCTATTCAATTTTTCCTTTTTTTTTTTTTTTTTGAGACAGAGTCTCACTTTGTCATCCTGGCTGGCATGCAGTGGTGCTATCTCGGGTCACCGCAATCTCCGCCTCCTGGGTTCAAGGGATTCCCCTGCCTCAGCCTCCTAAGTAGCTAGGATTACAGGCGTGCGCCACAACGCCCGCCTGATTTTTGTATTTTTAGTAGAGACAGAGTCTTACCATGTTGGCCAGGCTGGTCTCAAACTCCTGACCTCAAATGATCCGCCTGTGTTGGCCTCCCAAAGTGCTTCGGATAACAGGTGTGAGCTACCACGCCCAACCCTAATTTTTTTTTCCTTCATTCAATTTTTGTGAGATTTCCTTAGCTGTTCTTCCGACTCTCTGTTGTCGCTTAATTCCTGTTATCAGTTTGTTTAATTTCCAAGGGCTTTTTGTTTTTTTTTTAGACAGAGTCTTACTCTGTCGCCCAGGCTGGAGTGCAGTGGCGTGATCTCGGCTCACTGCAACCTCGGCCTCCCGGGTTCGAATGATTTTCCTGCCTCAGCCTCATAAGTAGCTGGGATTACAGGCACACACCACCACGCCCAGCTAATTTTTATATTTTTAGTAAAGATGGGGTTTCACCCTGTTGGTCACGGTGGTCTCAAACTCCTAACCCTGTCTCTACTAAAATACCAAAAAAAAAAAAAAAAAAAATTAGCCAGGTGTGGTGACGTGCGCCTGTAATCCCAGCTACTCAGGAGGCTGAGGTAGGAGAATTGCTTGAACCCGGGAGGCGGAGGTTGCAGTGAGTCAAGATGGTGCCACTGCACTCCAGCCTGGCAACAGAGGGAGACTCCGTCTCAAAAGAAAAAAAAAAAGCTCTTGACCTTGTGATCCACCCGCCTTGGCCTCCCAACGTGCTGGGATTACAGACGTGAGCCACCACCCCTGTCTCCAAGGGCTCTTTTTATTATCTGAATTTTACATGTATTTTTGGACATTGTCAGGAATTCTGTTTTGTTACTTTGATTCTTATCTTTCGTGTTAGAGATTTTCTTCAGTTGTTTGATAATTCTTAGCTGCTTATTCAATTTTTATTATTTATTTGTTTATTTATTTGAGATGGAGTCTGGCTCTGTTGCCCAGGCTGGAGTACAATGGCACGATCTTGGCTCACTGCAACATCTGCCTCCCCAGTTCAAGCAATTCTCCTGTCTCAGCCTCCCAAATAGCTGGGATTACAGGCACCCGCCATCATGCCCGGCTAATTTTTGTAGTTTTGTAGAGACAGGGTTTTACCATGTTGGCCAGGCTGGTCTTGAACTCCTGACCTCAGGTGATCTGCCTGCCTCGGCCTCCTAAAGTGTTGGGATTACAGGTGTGAGCCACTGCACCTGCCCTTATTTATTTATTTATTATTATTTTTTTGAGACAGAATCTCACTCTGTCGTCCAGGCTGGAGTGCAGTGGCACAATCTCGGCTCACTGCAAACCTCCGCCTCCCGGGTTCAAGCGATTCTCCTGCCTCAGCCTCCCGAGTAGCTGGGATTATAGGCGCTTGCCATCAGTGTGGCTAATTTTTGTATTTTTAGTAGAGATGGGGTTTCACCACCTTGGTCAGGCTGGTCTGAAACTCCTGACCTCATGATCCGCCCGCCTTGGCCTCCCAAAGTGCTGGGATTACAGACGTGAGCCACCGTGCCCGGCCATTTATTTTTTAAGAGATGGGGTTTTGCTGTGGGGCTCAGGCTGGATTCAAACTCCTGGGCTTAAGTTATCCTCCTACCTCCAAGTAGCTGGGACTACAGGCTCATGCCACTGTGTCTGGCTTCTGTTTATTTTATTTTATTTATTTATTTATTTATTTATTTATTTATTTATTTATTTGAGACGGAGTCTCGCTCTGTCGCCCAGGCTGGAATGCAGTGGTGCGATCTCGGCTCACTGCAAGCTCCGCCTCCCAGGTTCACGCCATTCTCCTGCCTCAGCCTCCCAAGTAGCTGGGACCACAGGCGCCCGCCACCACGCCCGGCTAATTTTTTGTATTTTTAGTAGAGACGGGGTTTCACTGTGTTAGCCAGGATGGTCTCGATCTCCTGACCTCGTGATCCGCCCCCTTCAGCCTCCCAAAGTGCTGGGATTACAGGCGTGATCCACTGCGCCCAGCCTTGGCTTCTGTTTATTTTTAAGAATGTGACACTAAGAAGCTCATCAAGTGGTGGACCCTACTATAGGGTATTGGGATTACAGGCACCCTGGCAGGCTGGTAAAAGGACTCCTCCAGTCCCCTGCCTAGAGAGTATAAGCCAGTGGCAGGTGTTTGAGTGTAAGTCTGGCTGCCAATGTTTTTGGAGCCAAGTGAGAGAAAGGAGCTGGGGAGGTAGGAGAGGTCTCACCGTTGACTCATTAGGCTTTTCACTTGATACCCTTATTTCCGTCACTGCCCTTAGCTGTGACTAGTTCCTTTGGACTCTTTGGTTCAGCTTTTCTTTTTTTTTTTTTTTTTTTTTGAGACGGAGTCTCACTCTGTCATCTCTAGGCTGGAGTGCAGTGGCGCTATCTTGGCCCACTGCAACCTCTGCCACCCGGCTTCAAAGGATTCTCCTGCCTCAGCCTCCCAAGTAGCTGGGATTACAAGTGCCTGCCACCGTGCCCGGCTAATGTTTGTATTTTTAATAGAGGTGGGGTTTTACCATCTTGGCCAGGCTGGTCTTGAACTCCTGACCTCAGGTGTTCCACCCACCTTGGCCTCCCAAAGTGCTGGGATTACAGGCATGAGCCACCGAGCCTGGCCTGGTTTAACTTTTCTAATTTGCCTGGCAGCATGGGGAGGGATGGAGGAATCCATTTGTTATACAGACTTTTCTTTTTTTTTTTAAGATGGAGTCTTGCTCTGTTGCCCGGGCTGGAGTGCAGTGGTGCAATCTCAGCTCACTGCAACCTCCACCTCCCAGGTTCAAGCAATTCTGCTGCCTCAGCCTCCCAAGTCGCTGGCAACTACAGGCATGAGCCACCACAATCGGCTAATTTTTTTGTATGTTTAGTAGAGACGGGGTTTCACCAGGTTGACCAGGCTGGTCTCGAACCCTTGAGCTCAAGTAATCCACCTGCCTCGGCCTCCCAAACTTCTGGGATTACAGGTGTGAGCCACCGTGCCAGTCCCAGACTTTCAACCAGTCCTCCTGTTTAGCCCCTTCTACACTATCACCCCATCTTCCCGAGGTACCAGGTGCCTCTAATTTCTGAGACGTTTTGATTCAGAAGTTCATCTGTGGTGGGAATCTGCTTGCTTCTTCCCACTGCAGTGTTTTGTTTTTTTTTTTTACTTTTGTGAAGTTATTTATCACTAGTGCATTTGCTTTTTACCTTCCAAAACTTTGTTGACATCTCTCTCTCTGCTGTCTCCTTTCCCAGTTTTTTTGCTTGTTGTTTGGTTTATGTCTTTATAAAAAAAAATCCTGGCCAGGCACGGTATCTCACGCCTGTAATCCCGGCATTTTGGGAGGCTGAGGCAGGCAGATCACGAGGTCAGGAGATGGAGACCATCCTGGCTAACACAGTGAAACCCCGTCTCTACTAAAAATACAAAAAAATTAGCTGGGCGTGGTGGCAGGCGCCTGTAGTACCAGCTACTCGGGAGGCTGAGGCAGGAGAATGACATGAACCCGAGAGGTGGAGCTTGCAGTGAGCCGAGATAGCGCCACTGCACTCCAGCCTGGGCAACAGAATGAGACTCCGTCTCAAAAAAAAAAAAAAAAAATCCTTTTGCTGTAATTTTAATGGTGTTTTATGATGGAACATTGATTAATGCATGCAATATATTATGTTTAACATGTTATTCAACATATTCATCAGCTTTTCCTTGCCAATATCCATTCAGACACCACAGTGTCTTTACAGTTGATTACTAATACTCCTTTAGCATAGTGTTTTCTAGACTTCCCTAACACCAAGAATCACTTAAAGTGCTTGTTGGATATACAGATTACCAGATCATTCTCCTGGAAAACTTCTGATTTTAGTTGGTTTAGATTAGCGCCCAGGGATCTTTTTTTAAAGTGTGTTTGTTTTTAAACAAATGCCCTAAATATGTCTTATCTTCAGGCAAGTTTGGAAACCCTGCTTTAGAAGGATTCTTTTTAAACCATTAATGCCATCTTACATCTCCATGGCAAACTCCTTAGCCTTCCCCTAATACTGCTTTTGTATTCAGACTCTGTTTTAGCCTGTCTAGCTTTGGTCTGGATTTCTGAATTAGCATGTGTGTCTTTCCTCTGATTAACTCCCCTCTTTAGTATTAAATGTTGGCTGATGGTAATAACTTTGGGCTTGTGTGACTTCATTTTTTTTAGTCAGCGTCTCTAAACCCGCTCCTGGGATGTACAGGGGAGGAAATACTAGTTATGAACATTGAGCTGCTCTGCACCAATTTACTAAGTCCAGGAATCAGTGTTTTTGGTGAAATGGAAAATTGACTCAGGCTTTGAAAACAGATGTCCTAATCTGCCTTGGGTTTATGCAGCGTCATTTTTGGAGATGTTGAAGCACTGTGATTTGAAGTTTGTTTTTAACTTTACAATCAAAAGGACACAATTCTCCCTTTTGTATTATAGATTCCTACGCCTAGAAAAGAAAAAGGGTTGTATCTTTTGCTGCCAGTCTGTAAAGTATCTGGAAATGTGTTTGCAGCTGCTCCTTGGTTGTGAATTGCTTAGAGGTTAAGAGCCAAATAGTACTTGTCTTAGCAGTGTTGCAGAGGCTAACTGTGGTACCCTAGTTCTCAGTTCTTGGAAATCTTGTGGCTGTTATTAACTAAAATACAGCTGAGGAGGCCATGTTGGCTCTGACATAGAGTTGATTTGCATTCTAAGATGAGCAGCTCTATAGAAATAGCTGTAATACAATTTTACAACTTCCATTGAAACAGTTTTTTGGAAGGCTATGGCAGGAGGATTGTTTGAGGTCAGGAGTTTGAGACTGGCCTGAGCAACATAGTGAGATCCTGTCTTTGCAATCAAAATAAAACGATTAGCTGGATGTGGTAGTCCCAGCTACTCGGGAGGCTGAGGTGAGAAGATTGCTTGAGCCTGGGAGGTTAAGGCTGCAGTGAGCTGTGATTGTGCCACTTGCACTGCAATCTGGGTTGTAGGGTGAGACCCTTTCTCAAGGAAGAAAGAAAGAAAAACCAAGAAATTTTTTGTTGTTGTTGTTGTTGTTGGTTTGTTTTTTGAGACAGTCTCACTCTGTTACCCAGTGGCACAATCTCAGCTCGCTGCAACCTCCGCCTGCCGAGTTCAAGTGATTCTCCTGCCTCAGCCTCCCGAGTAGCTGGGATTACAGGCGCCCGCCGCCACGCCTGGCTAATTTTTTTGTATTTTTAGTACAGACGGGGTTTCACCATGTTGGCCAGGCCGGTCTCAAACTCCTGACCTTAGGTAATCCACCTGCCTCGGCCTTCCAGAGTGCTGGGATTACAGGCATGAGCCACTGTGCCTGGCCAAGAAACAGTTTTGATGAACAAAGTCACAAAAACAAAGCTACATCGAAAGTGTTATTGTCTCATTGATTATTGGTCACTGGCTGTGTTATAAGGCATGACTTTGAACTATTACTGATTTACTGCAGTTGACTATTTTCTGTACACGTCCGCCTATCTCCCAGTGCTGTACTTCAGTGCTTTCAGGATAATGAGATTTTTTCTTTGCCTTGAGGGGTTGGGCGTGAGGTCATTCCCTGACTTCTGTTTTGGATGATTTTCAGATATTTAATTTACATGGCTTTTGCATTAGTTATTCCTAGTCTGTCTTTTTAAATGAAGCTTTCTTTGCAGCTCTGGTTATTTAATTGAACACAGGAGTAGACTTCTCATTGATTTGTCATCATTTTAGATGAGAGGACTCAGCTCCTGGGCTGCCTTGTATCTGGGAATAACCCATAGTATCTAATATTTACCACATAAGGTAGTATATGAAGGTAGTCTTCCGAATTTACATTTTTAGGGCTTTAAAAAAATAATCTGGGGCTGGTCTGATGGTAGTGGGTTATCAGAGCTTATTAACATTAGTGTCACTGCAGTTGGTATACAAACCCCCCACTGCTAAATTTGACTGGCTTTAAAAAAAATCTGGGGGAAGAGGAAAGAGTCACATTAGTGGGGAAAGCTGCGTTTTGGGGATGCATTATGTTTTTGTTAAAAAAATATGTTTGAAAGAATTTCATCATTCAGTAGTTATATCTTCTTCCTCCTTCATTTTCTCTTTCAGAGAGGAGTAAAACATCCAGGTTTCATTTGTTGTAGAAGTCCTAGGATTTTTCAGGTTTTTTTTTTTAAGACAGAGTCTTGCTCTGTCGCCCAGGCTGGAGTGCAATGGTGCCATCTCGGCTCACTGCAACCTCTGCCTACCGGGTTCAAGCAATTCTCCTGCCTCAGCCTCCTGAGTAGCTGGGATTACAGGCATACGCCACCACACCCGGCTAATTTTGTATTTTTTTTTTTTAAGTAGAGATGGGGTTTCTCTGTATTGGCCAGGCTGGTCTAAAACTCCTGACCTCGGGTGATCCACCCACCTCCACCTCCCAAAGTGCTGGGATTACAGGAGTGAGCCACCACGCCCGGCCCGATTTTTCAGTTTTAATATTCATGATGGTTATGTGATTTTTTTTATTACTTGTTGGATCAGTCAGATTTGCTGCATAGTTGAATTTCTGTGATGAAAATTTCTGTAGTTGAAAAATTTTTTTCCCTTAAGTAACCTTGGAATTTTAATTAATTCCATCTCTACATGTGATAGAAATCTGTTTCACCAGAGGTTTGACTGAATTGAATTTCAAGAAGTGGTGGCACTTTCTCCATTGAGAGGAGAGGGCTGTGAGCTATAGAAAAAGCCTTTTTTTGGAGTGGTAGTGGTAAAATGTGTGTAACATGAATGTTATTCTAGTCTGTTTCCTTGTACTTTAGAGAAACCAGAAACACTTTAGTGGAAACCCTCTGTTATAGTCTGTCCTAGAACACATGGAGGCAAGTTTTTCATTCCTCTTGACATTATTCCCTGTGTGATTATAGGAACCTGTTTGGTTCCTGCCGTTGTTGGCTCCTGGAGTGGCATGTGACTACTCTTAGGCAGCTCCTGGCTCTTTTCTCATTTTGGGGTTCTTTGGCCTAGGGACTGGATGCCATTATGCCATTGTAGTAATGAGCTCCTACCTCCCATGCTGGATTGCTTTTCAGGAGCAAAGCTGAAGGACAGCTGAACAGGTGGGCAGATTACCAACAGGTGACTTTTAACCCTGGAAGGCCTTCAGTTAGTACTTAGTCTCTGGATGAGATTAAGCCAGGAGATCAAGTATAGTCTGTGGGATTAATGAGATAACCGATCGAACTTCTGGTTTGAGTGTGAAGCTGTCGGTTCATTTAGGTTTCTTTGGTTTTACAGTGTTGGTGTATTGGACAGAGAAGGGGACTACTTTTGGATTTGGAGGATGGCCTATATATAAAGCCTCAGATTTCATCTCTTCTCACTCTGTTCTAGCTATCCTGGTCTTTTTACTAGTTCTCTAACACACCAACTACATTCCCATGTTAGAATTTTTTCACTTGCTGTTATTTCTTTTCGGAATGCTCTTTCCCCAGATGTTTACATGGCATGCTCTGCTCATGGAGAGACTTCTTGGGAGAGCCAGATACTCTCCCCCAATGGCCCTTTCCCTGTGACTGTATTATTTTATCATTATTATTACTATTTTGTTGTTGTCGTGGTTAAATTCTCCTAGATCCTGAAGCCTGCAACCCTATCCAAAGGAAGACTCTAACCTGGGCAGCTGTAGTCCCAGCTACTGGGGAGGCTGAGGCTGGAGGATTGCTTAAGCCCAGACGTTCAAGACCAGCTTAGGCAACATAGTCTGGACAATCTATCTCTAAAAAATAAATAAGTAAAACAAAAGAACATTCCAGTCTATTCCTATACTCTACCTTTATGATTCTCTGTTTTTTTTACTCCTTTTATCAGTAACTGTTATACTGAGATTTTATTTCTTCCTTCTTACACTAGAATGTAAGCTCCAAGACAGTAGACGCTTGTCTTGCTCATCTTCTAGAACAGGGCTTAGCAACCTCAGCATTGTTGACAATGTAGACCAGATAATTCTTTTTTTTTTTTTTGAGATGGAGTCCCGTTCTGTCGCCCAGGCTGGAGCGCAGTGGCACGATCTCAGCTTACTGCAACCTCCACCTCCCGGGTTCAAGTGATTCTCCTGCCTCAGCCTCCTGAGTAGCTGGGATTACAGGCGCCCGCCACCATGCTTGGCTGACTTTTATATTTTTAGTAGAGACAGGGTTTCACCATGTTGGCCAGGTTGGTCTTGAACTCCTGACCTCAAGTGATCTACCCGCCTCGGCCTCCCAAAGTGTTGGGATTACAGGTGTGAGCCACTGCACCTGTCCTGACCAGATAATTCTTTGTTGTGGGCGGCTGTCTTATGCGTTGGAGGATGTTGAGCAGCATCCTTGTTTTCTATTCACTAGATGCCAGCAGCACTCCCTACCCTAGTTGTGACAAATATGTCAATGACATTGTCAATGACTCTGGGGAACAAAATCCCTCCTGGTTGAGAGCCATTGTTCTAGAAAAATACTTTGGCACTCAGTGGGTGCTTCAATATTTATTAAGTGGTTAAGTTGTGGATACTTAATTGGATGATGGATGCATGAGTGCATTCAGCATATTAAAATTTTTTGGAGCATTGAACAACACGTATAGCCTTGTGTTTCTTTCTTTCCTCTTTTCATAGATATCTCCATTCTTCTGTCTGTTTTCTGTTTCTGGCATGTTGATCCATTCCTTGCTGCATTTTCCTCCACCCAGACTTGCTTGCTCTTTTAGACAATGCTACTCTTTTTTTTTTTTTTTTCCTGAGTCTCACTGTTGCCCAGGCTGGAGTGCAGTGGCGTGATCTCGGCTCACTGCAACACCTTCCTCCCGGGTTCAAGCGATTCTCCTGCCTCAGCCTCCAGAGTAGCTGGGATTACAGGCGCGCACCACCACACCCAGCTAATTTTTGTGTTTTAGTAGAGATGGGGTTTCACCACGTTGGCCAGGCTGGTCTCGAACTCCAGACCTTAAGTGATCTGTCTGCCTCGGCCTCCCAAAGTGCTGGGATTACAGGCGTGAGCCACCGTGCCCTGCCTGTGCTGCTCATTTTTTTTTTTTTTTTTTTGAGACTGATTTTCATTCTTGTTGCCTAGGCTGGAGTGCAATGGCACAGTCTCGGCTCACTGCAACCTCCACCTCCTGGGTTCAACGATTCTCCTGCCTCAAGCCTCCCAAGTAGCCAGGATAACAGGCACCTGACACCACGCCCAACCAATTTTTGTATTTTTAGTAGAGATGGTTTCACTATGTTGGCCAGGTTGGTCTTGAACTCCTGACCTCAAATGATCCGCCTGCCTTAGCCTCCCAAAGTGCTGGGATTACAGGTGTGAGCCACTGCGCCTGGCTAGGCCTGTGCTACTCTTATATTTACTTTTGTTCAATTCAGCAAGTGACTGCTGAGCAGCTACGGTATGCTGTAGAATAATGAGAGAGAACCCTAGAAAGATATGGTACTGTCTGTGCTTAAGAACTCATTTGTTGGCCGGGCGTGGCGACTCATGCCTGTAATCCCAGACTTTGGGAGGCCGAGGTGGGCGGATCACGACATCAGTAGTTCGAGTCCAGTCTGGCCAACATAGTGAAACCCCGTCTCTACTAAAAATACAAGAAATTAGCCGGGTGTGGTGGTGTGCGCCTATAATCCCAGCTACTTGGAAGGCTGAGGCAGGAGAATTGCATGAACCTGGGAGGTGGAGGAGGTTGCAGTGAGCCGAGATCGTGCCATTGCACTCCAACCTGGGTGACAGTGCGATACTCCGTCTCAAAACAAACAAACAAAAACACAAAAACAACTCGCTTGTTAAAATGGACATAGGTGTATGAAATGTTCCTCGAAAATTTAATTCTTATTTCAGGGTTTTTTTTTTTTTTTTTTTTTTTTTTTTGAGACAGGATCTTGCTCTGTTGCCCAGGCTAGAGTGCAGTGGCACAATCTCAGCTCACTGCAACCTCCAGCTCCCGGGTTCAAGCGATTCTCCTGCTTCAGCCTCCCAAGGTAGCTAGGATTACAGGTGCGTGCCACCAAGCCTGGCTAATTTTTGTATTTTTAGTAGGGATGGGGTTTCACCATGTTGGCCAGGCTAGTCTCGAACTCCTGACCTCAAGTGATCCACCTGCCTCGGCCTCCCAAAGTGCTGGGATTACGGGCGTGAGCCAACGCGCCTGGCCTTTTTTTTTTTTACTTTTTTTGAGACAGAGTCTTACTCCTTCACCCAGGCTGGAGTGCAGTGGTGCAATCTCAGCTCACTGCAGCCTCCACCTCCTGGGTTCAAGTGATTCTCGTGCCTCAGCCTCCCGAGTAGCTGGAGTTACAGGCGTTTGCCACCATGCCTGGCTAATTTTTGTATTTTTAGTAGAGATGGGGTTTCACCAACTTGACCAGGCTGGTCTCAAACTCCTGACCTCAAGCAGTCCACCCCCCTTGGCCTCTCAAATGCTGGGATTATAGGCTGAGCCAGTGCACCCAGCCTCAGGATAATGTTTAAATTGATACTAATGGGCCACCATAGGGTTAAGTTAGTAATTGTTAAATACTTATCAGAATGGGTGAAATTGCTGTCGAATTTAGAATCCAGTTTTAACAAAACCTACCCATTCAATTTTTACTTATTTTCATTTGTTGCAATTGTCTTTGGTTTCTTGCTGTTAATTCTATTTTTGTCTGAAACCTGGTTGAAAAATATACAAAGTGGACTTGGTCATTTTGAACTTTTTGTTTGATGTGAATGTTCTTGGGGTTGGTTGTTGTATTGAAAGGTTGTGAAAAGCTGATACATCAGTTTTTTTTTTTAATAAAAATTTAAAAGTTATTTCTTTTTTTTTTTTTTTTTTTTTTTTTTTGAGACTCTCTGTTGCCCAGGCTGGAGTGCTGTTGCACAATCTTGGCTCACTGCAACTTCTGCCTCCCAGGTTCAAGTGATTCTCGCACTTCAGCCTCCCAAATAGCTGGGATTATAAGCACCCGCCACCGTGCCTGGCTAATTTTTTTTATAATTTTAGTAGAGATGGGGGTTCCACCATGTTGGCCAGGCTGGTCTCAAACTCCTGACTTCAAGAGATCCGTCCGCCTCGGCCTCCCAAAGTGCTGGGATTATAGGCGTCAGCCACTGTGCCTGGCCTAAAAAATATTTCTTATTAAATAGAGACAAGGTCTCACTTTGTTACCCAGGCTGGTCTCTAAGCACATTCGATCCTTCTGCCTCAGTCTCTCAAAGTGCTGGGATTGCAGGCTTGAGCCATAATGCCCTGCCTGACTCTCTTTCTACCAAACATTTATGTTTCATCTCTGATGCTGTTAGAGAGATTTCATTTGATTTGAACTATGGGATCAGAAGAATTCCATTAGGGAGGAGTGTCTGGAATCTTTTTCTTTTGAAGACACAACTGTCTTCTCCTTAGATTATCTGGGAGATAGAGTAGTCAAAGCTGTTGTGGTTTTTTCAGAGAGGATCCTGAAATTTGTTTTACCTATCTCTGTTTCTTTGTATTGAGAAATGGTTTATTAGGATATTAAGTAATTAAACATATATTGAAGAAATAAAGATGATTTTCTTTTTGATATCTCAGATTCCTATTCATATGACTGATTCTTGTAAGGAAGGACTGGGACCTTAAGATTTTGCTGAGTGAGGGAGGTGGCCTGTTTTTTTAAGGTCAGTTTTTTTCCCTTTTGGGATTTTGTTCAGTGCTTTGATACAAAAACTGTAATTTACTTTGTAGTCAAAACTGAGATCAAAGGAAAGTACTGTTACCTGAGGCATGAAAATAGAAGATAGCATTAAGATTTAGAATTTTTCTTGATTTTCGTGTCTTTTTAAAATAACTTGCAATTGAAACCTGAGTTTTAGAGCAGCAGAATGCCATTTGAATAAAGGCCCCAGATTGTAGTGGTAACTAGGATACCTCTTAGATAATTTTAAGTGTACGAGAAAAGCAAGAACTAAACTGGATTCTTCATTTATCACGTGTAAAGGGTAGTAGTTGGTGTCTTTGTACTAAGGAAGTCTCCTGTTTTTAAAATGTAGGAATATTTGGAGTGAAACATTAGGAAATTGAATAGAAAAATAGGCTTTGTCTTTTTAAAGATGGATAGAAGGAAGCAGTTTTTTTTTTTTTTGAGATGGCTCTTCGCTCTTGTTGCCCAGGCTAGAGTGCAATGGCGCAATCTTGGCTCACTGCAACCTCTGTCTGCCTCCTGGGTTCAAGCGGTTCTCCTGCCTCAGCCTCCCGAGTAGCTGGGATTACAGGCATGCACCACCATGCCCGGCTAATTTTGTATGTTTGGTAGAGACAGGGTTACTCCATGTTGGTCAGGCTGGTCTTGAACTCCTGACCTCAGGTGATCTGCCTGCCTCGGCCTCCCAAAGTGCTGGGATTACAGGTGTGAGCCACCGCACCCTGCCAGGAAGCAGTTTTTAAAAGTGCATTACTTGAGTTTTATCAAGACTTATTTCTGAATTCTGTGATGAATTTGACATCAGGAAGATTTTTTTTTTTTTTTGAGATGGAGTCTCGCACTGTCACCTGGGCTGGAGTGCGGTGACGTGACCTTGGCTAACTGCAACCTCCGCCTCCCGGGTTCAAGCAATTCTCCTGCCTCAGCCTCTGGAGTAGCTGGGACTACAGGCACCTGCCACCATGCCTGGCTAATTTTTTGTATTTTTACTAGAGACAGGGTTTCACCATGTTGCCCAGGCTGGTCTCGATCTCCTGACCTTGTGATCTGCCCGCCTCAGCCCCCCAGAGTGCTGGGATTACAGGCCTGAGCCACCCTGCTGGACCGGACATCAGGAAGATTTTAAATAATACTCTCTGGTGTTTATTTTTAAGATATTGACTCCTGAGGATGTGCAAAGCGAATTTTATCATGTTTTTTTTTTTTTTTTTTTTTTTTTTTTGAGACAAAGTCTCGCTCTGTCAACCCAAGCTGGCGTGCAGTGGCGCATTCTCGGCTCACTGCAAGCTCTGCCTCCCGGGTTCACGCCATTCTTCTGCCTCAGCCTTCTGAGTAGCTGGGACTACAGGTGCCCGCTGCCATGCCCGGCTAATTTTTTGTATTTTTGTATTTTTTTTTTTTTTTTAGTAGAGACAGGGTTTCACCGTGTTGGACAAGATGGTCTCTATCTCCTGACCTTGTGATCCGCCCACCTCGGCCTCCCAAAGTGCTGGGATTCCAGGCGTGAGCCACCACACCCGGCCTTTATCTTGGTTTTTAAGATGGAAGGGCTTAAGAAAGGAATGAGAATTACTGTGTTTCCGAACTTGAGGCAGCCTCAAGATGTTTCTGAAAGTCAAGGTCTCTGAAGAGCACAGATGGTGAGGTTTGTAGTTCTAATTTAATAGATCAGAAAGGAAATACTTAAAATTCTGTAGAGAACCTTCTTGTTCTTTTCTAAATTTAATCTCAGGTTTAACCTCAAGACCATTAGATTCTTAGCTGCACGTGGTGGTGCTCACTTGTAGTCCTATCTTCTCGGGAGGCTGAGGCAGAAGGATCACTGGAGCCCAGGAGTTTGAGGTTACAGTGAGCTATGATGGTGCCAGTACACGTTAGCTATTAGATTCTTTTTTTTTTTTTTTTTTTTTTTGAGTCTCGCTTTGTCACCTAGGCTGGAGTGCAGTGGCGCAATCTCGGCTCACTGCCAGCTCCGCCTCCTGGGTTCATGCTATTCTCCTGCCTCAGCCTCCCGAGTAGCTGGGACTACAGGCGCCCGCCACCACGCCCAGCTAATTTTTTATGTTTCTTAGTAGAGACGGGGTTTCACTGTGTTAGCCAGGATGGTCTCAATCTCCTGACCTTGTGATCCGCCCTCCTCGGCCTCCCAAAGTGCTGGGATTACAGGCGTGAGCCACTGCGTCCAGCCTATTAGATTCTTAGTATTGCAATAGACAGTGCTTCCAGAAGGCTCAAATTTGTCCTTTGATTAATCACAGTTGGTTAGTGAAATTTGTCTTTCTGTTGTCAAATGTTATGAATTGTTTTGGTTCATTTTTTTTTTTTTTTAACTCAAAGTAGTTCTCAAAGCAGACCCTCTGCATTGGATTAGCGATTATAAGTCTCAGTCCTAATTTGATGTAAACAAAAAGCTTCTTTTGGGAGTTTTTCAGGGAAAGGAAAGTTGTTTTAATTTGAATTCACCTAAATGGGGCTGTTCTTGGAAACATATAGAGAACTGTTTGTATTCTATAACTAAGAAATTTGGAATGAGTTAAATTTCATTTGGGGAAAAATAGAAAATTGCTAAACCACACTAATTTCCAGGGGAGTTTTTTGTTTGTTTTCTCCATAGTGATTAGTGAAAAGGAAGAAGTCAGGAGACCTGGATATGAGGCCTAACTCTGCACTTTATTCCTGAGTGATCTTGGGCAGTTGCCCTTTGATGAGTCAGTTTTTCTCATGTACATGTAGGCACTCCCACTCCTGGGACTTCAGTGTCCTCACCATAAAATGGGAAGGATAATACATCATTATGTAATAAATGTCATTGATAGGAGTGTGTCATGCATACAATCCCTGTGGAGCCAGAAGAAAGCTTGAGAGCCACTGTTGGTAGTCAACACTAAAGTCAGTCACTTGATATAGATGGTGTTTCTTTGATTTAACTTTTTTTATGTACTTAATTTTTTAAGGGGTCTTGCTGTGTTGCCTAGGCTGGATCCAAAAACAAAGGCTCAAGTGATCCTCCCTTCTTGGCCCCCTGAATAGCTGCAATTATAGGCAAGCGCCACTGATGAATCTGTTTTTCAATTAGAGTTTGAATTGAGTCTATTTTAGGAAGGCATCTTTAACTGTGTAATATATTGCTTAAAAAAAATTGCTATGCTAGAGAATTCCTGCTTTGCTTAAATAAGTGGAGCACACTGACAGGCATAAGGCTGTTCCTTTTAGGTCATTATTCACCTTGTAGCACGGAGATTGGATCACCTATGGACATGGAAAGAGTAAAGGACTTGTCTGAGTCTTTTTTGGGTCATTCTAGGAGATCCTTTCAATTATGGCAATGGCCAATGGCTGATAGAACTAGAAACCCAGGCCGGGCATGGTGGCTCACCCCTGTAATCCCAGCACTTTGGGTGGCCGAGGCGTGAGGATCATTTGAGGTCAGGAGTTTGAGACCAGCCTGGCTAACTTGGTGAAACCCCGTCTCTACTAAAAATACAGAAATTAGCTGGGTGTGGTGGCATGCGCCTGTAGTCCCAGCTGTTTGGGAGGTTGAGGCAGGAGAATCGCTTGAACCTGGGAGGAAGAGGTTGCAGCGAGCCGAGATGATGTTACTGTACTCCAGCCTAGGCAACAGAGACTCTGTCTCAAAAAAAAAAAAAACTAGAAACCTCCTCAAAAAGGCAGGACCTCTGGTGACTGGAATTAGTTGAAAATGTTTGTTTCTGAATCAACTGTTATTTTCCCTGGTTTGTTTGGTTTTTTTTTTTGAGATGGAGTTTCGCTCTTGTTGCCCAGGCTGGAGTACAATGGCGCGATCTCGGCTCACCACAACCTCCGCCTTCCAGGTTCAAGCGATTCTCCTGCCTCAGCCTCCCTAGTAGCTGGGATTGTAATCCCATGTGCCACCATGCCTGGCTAATTTTGTATTTTTAGTAGAGATGGGGTTTCTTCCATGTTGGTCAGGCTGGTCTCGAACTCCTGGCCTCAGGTGATCTGCCCGCCTCAGCCTCCCAGAGTGCTAAGATTACAGGCATTAGCCACCGCGCCTGGACTTTTTTTTTTTTTTTGAGATGGAGTCTCACTCTGTCACCCAGGCTGGAGTGCAGTGGTGTGATCTCGGCTTACTGCAAGCTCCGTCTCCCAGGTTCACGCCATTCTCCTGCCTCAGGCTCCCAAGTAGCTGGGACTACAGGTGTCTGCCACCACACCCAGCTAATTTTTTGTATTTTTAGTAGAGACAGGGTTTCACTGTGTTAGCCAGGATGGTCTCCATCTCCTGACCTCATGATCTGCCCGCCTTGGCCTCCCAAAGTGCTGGGATTACAGGCGTGAGCCACCGCGCCCGGCCTATTTTCCCCTTTGTTTCCTACTAGCTTTCTTTGCTAATGCTGTGGGCACTTTGGAATGGAATGGTCACAGTAAACCCAGGGGATGCAAAGAAAAGAAAGGTTTTGTTTGTTGGTTTTTCTACTTCTTGTGTTTTCTTTATTTTAAATTCCTTTCCCCCACCTGGTGATAGATGTTCTGCTTATGATTTACTGTTTCGATCAATTTTTAAAGCCTCGTATGTTAAACGCCTGGCAAAGAAAGACTGCCCTTGGTTTTGAAAGCAGAAATAAAAAGGTATTTCCCTTGGAGGGAATTTATCGGCTTATTTCTTGAAGTGAGTACAGACACCATTCCCCACAGGAACCACTTAGCCTGAGGACTGTCCATTTTTTTGTGGTTAGAGGAAATAGCTCTGTTGGGCAGCCAGCCTATAGTGGCATCACACTGGCAGGAGTTGGGATTTTGAAGACTTTTACTGTCTCATTTCTGATCAAATTCTACTCTCCTGCAGTGGTTTTTGGTTTTATAGAACTGTTGGAAAAATTTCCCTTTCCTTTCATCATTCCCAGAGCATTGAGAGAAGTATTAAATTACTGCATTATTGACAGAGAGGTTTTGGTCACCCATGTAAGGAGTTCAGAACCAGGCCTTCCCAGTGGGCTGCCATGCTGGTTTGATTTTTTTTTTTTTTTGAGACAGAGTCTCACTCTGTCATCCAGGTTGGAGTGCAGTGGTGCGTTCTGGGCTTACTGCAACCTCCGCCTCCCGGGTTCAAGCAACTCGGCTGCCTGAGCCTTCCAAGTAACTGGGATTACAGGTGTGCACAACCATGCCGGGCTAATTTTTGTATTTTTGGTAGAGATGGGATTTCACCATGTTGTCCAGACTGGTCTTGAACTCCTGGGCTCAAGCCGTCTTCCTTTCTCCATCTCCCAAAGTGTTGGGATTACAGGCATGAGCCACCATGCCTGGCCTCCTAATCTTATTAATAACCTTGCTTAGAAGCAGTTCTTCCATGGATTGATTGGTGAGGTTGGTTACCATCTTGAACCTTTCTTGTCATCTGTAAGTTGTACTCATGGTGGCCATGTTATTTTGGCTTCCATTTTTTGGGGGGAGGGGGTCAAAAAATGGGATTTCCTTAAAATGGCTTTGTGGGGGTAGTTATTGTTCTTGAGTTCTGGTTTTAGTCTGATCTGTAAAATGAGGATTACTTGCAGACTATAATAGAGGGGCAACTATATAGTTTTTGAGTTTTAAGTGTTTGGTGATCTGATAAATGGCTGTCAGATTCCAGGGATGTGACTATACCAGATGTTGGTAAACTGTGGCCCATAAGTCAGATCTGGTCTACAGCCTGTTTTTGTATGGCCCATAAACTAAGAATGATTTTTCCTTTTTTTTTTTGAGACAGAGTTTCGCTCTGTTGCCCAGGCTAGAGGGCAGTAGCACTTTCTTGGCTCACTGCACCTCCACCTCCCGGATTCAAGCAGTTCTCCTGTCTGAGCCTCCCGAGTAGCTGGGACTACAGGCACATGTCATCACGCCCAGCTAATTTTTGCATTTTCAGTAGACATGGGGTTTCACATATTGGTCAGGCTGGTCTCGAACTCCTGACCTCAGGTGATTCACCTGCCTTCCTCGGCCTCCCAAAGTGCTAGGATTACAGGCTTGAGCCACTGTGCCCGGCCTGATTTTTACATTTTTAAGAGGTTATAAAAATCAAGAAAATGAGAAGATAAGCCTCAGACTGGGAAAAAATACTTGCAGAAGACATATCTATTAAAGGACTGTTATCCAGAATATACAAAGAGCTCTTAAAACTCAACAATAAAAAAGCAAAAACAACCCAATTAAAAATATGGGCCAGCCAGGCATGGTGGCTCACACCTGTAATCCCAGCTGTGAGGCTGAAGTGAGATGATTGCTTGAGGCCAGGAGTTGGAGACAAGCCTGCACAATACAGGGAGCACCCATCTTTAAATTTTTTTTTTTTTGAGACAGAGTTTCTCTCTTGTTGCCCAGGCTGGAGTGCAGTGGTGCGACATCTGCTCACCCCAACAACCTCTGCCTCCCAGGTTCAAGCGATTCTCCTGCCTCAGCCTCCCGAGTAGCTGGGATTACAGGCATGTGCCACCATGCCCAGTTAATTTTGTGTTTTTAGTAGAGACAGGGTTTCTCCATGTTGGTCAGGCTGGCCTTGAACTCCCAATCTCAGGTGATCCACTCACTTTGGCCTCCCAAAGTGCTGGGATTACAGGTGTGAGCCACCGTGCCCGGCCTAAATTTTTTTTTTTTTTTTTTGAGACGGAATCTCGCTCTGTCATCCAGGCTGGAGTGCAGTGGCACCATCTCGGCTCACTGCAAGCTCCGCCTCCTGGTTTCACGCCATTCTCCTGCCTCAGCCTCCCGAGTAGCTGGGACTGCAGGCGCCCACCACCACACCGCTACTTTTTTGTATTTTTAGTAGAGACGGGGTTTCACCATGTTAGCCAGGATGGTCTCGATCTCCTGACTTCGTGATCCACCCGCCTCGGCCTCCCAAAGTGCTGGGATTACAGGCATGAGCCACCGCGCCTGGCCCAAAAATTGTTTTTAAATTAGCTGGGCGTAATGACATGCATGCTTGTAGTCCCAGCTACTTGAGAGGCTGAGGTGGGAGGATTGCTGGGGCTCAGGAGTTCTAGGCTGCAGTGAGCCATGATTGCACCACTGTGCTCCAGCCTGGGCAATGGAGAGAGTCCCAGGGTCTTTAAAAAAAAAAAAAAAAAAAAAAAGGACACAAGGCCTAAATAGACACCTTACCAGAGAAGATAAACAGATGACAAGTAAGCATATGAAAAGATGTTCAGCATCATAAGTCATTAGGAAATTGCAAATTAAAACAATTGATTTAAACAGATTTACCAAGCCCTGGACTGTATCACAGTGGAACTAAAAGATAAGGTGTTCAGTCTCTTTTGATTACCATGCCCAGTTCTCTCATTCTCCTGGGCACTTGTATCTAATGGTAAAGCTGTTCTTAATGAGTTTCTTTTTCATTTGCAGGTATATGAATGACCTAAAGGTACAAATAAAGACGGAGAGAGAACAGTGCCAACTGGGAGCAGGGCAAGAATGCCAATTCCTCCTCCCCCGCCACCCCCACCTGGTCCTCCTCCACCTCCCACATTTCATCAGGTAGGTAGTCCTTCCATTAGGCTATCTCAAAACCTTTGAGTAAATAGGTTGATGGTCCTCACATACTTTTTTTTTCTTTTAACTCCTTTTGGTTAAAATTTCTAGATTTTCCTACTAGTAGCATTCCTATTCTTTAATTCTGTTTTTAACATTCCAGATTGTTATTCCTAGTATTAAAGGATACTTAGGGCTTCCTTGTACAAGACATAGTGTATAATCAATGACATGTGGTATAGGAAGGTGGAGAATAAACAAGTCCATCTTTTTCAGCTGGTTCTGATTCCTGAGAGGTCCTCTTAGGATCATAATGGCATGTCTGGTTTCCTTGTCCTGGTTCACTCTAAATGGAGATTTGGACAGGTGGCGTTGGAGTTGGAGCTAGTGTTTTCCCCTAAAACTATTTGCTGTATAAAAGTTAGTATGTTGTTTCTTTGGCATTTTTGAGAAAAGTGGTGAGGATTCCTTTTTTTTTTTGAAACGGAATCTCACTCTGTCGCCCAGGCTGGAGTGCAGTGGCACGGTCTCGGCTCACTGCAACCTCTGCCTCCTGGGTTCAAGCGATTCTTCTGCCTCAGCCTCCCAAGTAGCTGGGATTACAGGCACGCGCCACCACGCCTGGCTAAGTTTTATATTTTTAGTAGAGATGGGGTTTCACCATGTTGGCCAGGCTGGTCTTGAACTCCTGACCTTGTGATCCTCCTGCCTTGGCCTCCCAAAGTGCCGGGATTACAGGTGTGAGCCAC
The DNA here is from genome assembly GCF_000001405.40 of Homo sapiens. Classification (NCBI taxonomy): domain Eukaryota; kingdom Metazoa; phylum Chordata; class Mammalia; order Primates; family Hominidae; genus Homo; species Homo sapiens. The sequence continues at coordinate 40,257,266 of NC_000017.11, forward strand.
CGCGCCCGGCTTGAGGATTCTTAGTGGTTGTTTCTTGCTACCACTTCATCATCTCTTCTATTCAAAATCAGTTCATTTTAAAGCCAAGTCCATCAAGTTGAACACCTTATCAAGAAGGAAAGGAGTTTTTGGAATGTATTGGTTCGAAGACTGAAAGATTCAATAATAGGAAAAAAAGCAATGTGATTTTTGAACCAAGCAGGAAGCTACTTTAGCCATACCTAGATTGTGATACCTGGTGTCACATGAGAAGGAAGGAACCTGAGGCCAGGCGCGATGGCTCACGCCTGTAATCCCAACACTTTGGGAGGCTGAGGTGGGTGGATTGCTTGAGGCCAGGTGTGGTGACAAGCGCCTGTAATACCAGCCACTCAGGAGGCTGAAGCGGGAGAATTGCTTGAACCCAGGAAGCGGAGGTTGCAGTGAGCTGAGATCATGCCGCACTCCAGCCTGGGCGACAGAGCGAGGCTCCATCTCAAAAAAAAAAAAAAAAAAGGAAAGGAGGAAAGGAACCTGTATGCATTCTATTTTTGTAAAATTTGGAAGTAAAAGTGACTTCAGAGAAGAATAGGCCATGGGTGTGTGTATGTGTGCACGCATAGGTGTGTATGTGTGCTTATATGTGTATGTTAAGTGTTTAACAGTTGAGAAATTGTACCCCGAAGAGGAAAAGTGACTTGCCTATCTAATTTGTTTCTGAACTAGGACTAGAGTTCAGGTCTACCCACTTCTGTTTGTTTTCATAACCTGTAGTTTTTAGACATTTTGTTTTAGGAGTATGTATGAACTGCCTTTTAGATGAAGTTTTGTGTGGAAGCCCAATAAATGAAGGAGATAAAAGCAGAGCTTGGCCGGGCACGAGTGGCTCACGCCTGGAATCCCAGCACTTTGGGAGGCCGAGGCGGGCGGATCACCTGAGGTCGGGCGTTTGAGACCAGCCTGGCCAACATGGTGAAACCCCATCTCTACTATAAATACAAAAATTAGCTGGGTGTGGTAGTTGAGCGCCAGTAATCCCAGCTGCTTGGGAGGCCAAGGCAGGTGAATCGCTTGAACCCCAGAGGCAGAGATTGCACCCAGCACTTTGGGAGGCCGAGGCGGGCAGATCACGAGGTCAGGAGATTGAGACCATCCTGGCCAACATGGTGAAACCCCATCTCTATTAAAAATACAAAAATTAGCTGTGCATGGTGGCGCTTGCCTGTAATCCCAGCTACTCGAGAGGCTGAGGCAGGAGAATCGCTTGAACCAGGGAGTCAGGGTTGCAGTGAGCCGAGATCGCGCCACTGCACTCCAGCCTGGATGACAGAGCGAGACTCTGTCTCAAAAAAATAAAGCAGAGCTTGTATGGTGATGTTGGGGGTAGAAAGAGGAGGCAGTCAATGAAGGCTTTTAGGTAGGTGGTGATACTTGAGCTGAGTCTTAAGCCATGAGTAGAGTTTAGCCAGAAAGAGAGGAGGGAGGGAGGGCACTTGAAGTTGAGGAAGTAGAATGTGGAAAGATACTGATTTGGTATTAATTAATTAATTAATGAGACAGAGTCTCACTCTGTTACCCAGGCTGGAGTGCAGTGGTTGTGATCATAACTCACTGCAGCCTCTAATTCCTGGGCTCAAGTGATCCGCTTGCTTCAGCCTCCTAAGTAGAGGGGACTACATGTGCATGACACTGCATATAGCTAATATAAAAAAAAATTTTTTAGGCCGGGTGCAGTGGCTCACACCTGTAATCCCAGCACTTGAAACTCTGTCTCAAAAAAAAAAAAAAAAAAAAAAAGATAAGTTTTTTTTTTTTGTAAAGGCAGAGTCTCACTTTGTTGCCTAGACTAGTCTTGAACTCCTGGCTTCAAGTGATCCTTTTGCCTGGGCCTCCCAAAGTGCTGGGATTACAGGTGTGAGCCACTGTGCCGGCCGGCCTCGTGCTGATTTTTAGGAAAGCATATAGAGGTTTAGATTATTGCTTGAGGGGATGTGGTAGCAGATGCAGCTGGAGATGTAAGCTGAGGGTTTAGATTTTTCTTCTGGCGATCATGAGGAGTTCTTGAAATATTTCCCAGCTACTGGGGGCGCTGAGGCAGGAGAATGGTGGGAACCCAGGAGGTGGAGCTTGCAGTGAGCCGAGATCGCACCACTGTGCTCCAGCCTGGATGGTAGAATCTAAGACTCTGTCTTAAAAAAAAAAAAAAGCAAAAAGCAAAAAAAGCAATCAGAGGGTGGAAAAGGCCTGGGGCTTTGAGGCAATCAGAGCATTCACATCTTGGCTGTTTGTTTATTAATGATGTGACGTTAACTGTCCTAAACCTTTGTTTTCTCATCTTTGGAATGGGAATAATATAGTTTACTGTATAACTTTATTTAGAGGTTAAATTGAAGTAATAGGGAGACAGTAGGGTATGTTAGTTGAGATAGGATATGAGTTTTTAGTGTCACTGTTGGAGTTTGGACTCTTGTTTTATTGTTTACTAGTTGCATGACCTTAGATAGCTATTCAGCTTCTGGCCCACCCTTTCCAAATGGCGACAATGATAATAATACCTTTCTCATGGGAAGGTTTAGAGATTTAAATGAGCTAAGGCAAATATTGTGCTTACCACAGTGCCTAAGTCATAGTAGGGACTCACTAAATGTTTGCCTTGATGGTGATGATACGCATTAAATGTCTAACATACATAGTGTCTTAACATGCAGACTAGCACAAAGATAACTAAGTATTACTGCAGGCCTCCCATCAGAAGCTTCTGAATAAGAAGGAAATGGAGTTCCTTCACAGAAGATAGAACAGGAGGGGAAAAACTGAGAAGGATAATGCACATTGATATTGCTCTTTGGCATGTATATCTAATGAGGTTAGATAGACATCTCATGGAATCCAGTTTGCTTTAAGTCATTTATCCCAAGCTTGTGATAAAGGGAACTTTTTTTTTTTTTTTTTTTTTTTTTGCAGGCACATTCTCGCCCTGTTGCCCAGGCTGCAGTGCAGTGGTGTGATCTCGGCTCACTGCAACCTCCACCTCCTGGGTTCAAGCGATTCTCCTGTCTCAGCCTCCTGAGTAGCTGGGATACAGCATGTGCCACCATGCCTAGCTAAGTTTTTGTATTTTTAGTAGAGATGGGGTTTCACCATGTTGGCCAGGATGGTCTGGAACTCCTGACTTCAAGTGATCCACCTGCCTTGGCCTCCCAAAGTGTTGGGATTACAGGCGTGAGCCACCGCACCCGGCCGATAAAGGGAACTCTTTAGGGTGAACTTATATTTCTCTTATCCTCCAGGCAAACACAGAGCAGCCCAAGCTGAGTAGAGATGAGCAGCGGGGTCGAGGCGCCCTCTTACAGGACATTTGCAAAGGGACCAAGCTGAAGAAGGTGACCAACATTAATGATCGGAGTGCTCCCATCCTCGAGAGTGAGTCCGAGCTTCATTTCCTAGTGAACTGGCAGGATCCCAGGAGTGACTTGGAGACTTGGCTGGGTTCTTATTTTTATTGGGCCTTGAGTGGGAGAGTTTTGTCCTGGGATGTGCTTTGGCTCTCTTCTTATTCATTCTTCTGAACCTTAGAAGTTTCTTCTTGACTCTTGGAGAGCATCTCAGGATTAAGGTTACCATCTCACCGGGCATGGTGGCTCATGCCTGTAAGCCCAGCACTTTGGGAGGTCAAGGTGGAAAGATTGCATGAGCCTAGAAGTTCAAGGCTGCAGTGAGCTGTGATCATGTCACTGCGCCACTGCACTCCAGCCTGGGCAACAGAGCAAGACCCTGTCTCTCAAAAAGGTAAAAAAAAAAAAAAAAAAAAAGGCTGCCATCTCTTACTGTAACTAATGCTCATCAGGGTACATCCTTGACTGTCCTTTGAGGACACTGTCACATTCCTGGAAACCTCTTGACTGAAACCAAGGTTGATTTTATGATTGCTACAAGTGTCCATTCCTGTAGGCCTCTGGAGAGTGCTCACGTATTGGTCCCTGATTCTTTAGCCTTCTATCTGTCATCTGAGATGTGGAGAGAAGAGCCCAGATAACTATGTTGAACATTTCTTTTTTTTTTTTTAAAGACTGAGTTTTGCTCTTGTTGCCCAGGCTGGAGTGCAGTGGCACGGTTTCAGCTCACTTACTGCAACCTCCGCCTCCCAGGTTCAGGTGGTTCTTATGCCTCAGCCTGCCAAGTAGTTGGGATTATAGGCACGTGCCACCACGCCTGGCTAATTTTTTGTATTTTTAGTAGAGACGGGGTTTCACCATGTTGGCCAGGCTGGTCTTGACCTCCTGACCTCAGGTGATCCACCTGCTCAGCCTCTCAAAGTGCTGGGATTACAGGCATGAGCCACTGTGCCTGGCCCCCCAAACATTTATTTAACCCCCTTATCCCTTTGCCCTGAATAAAGGAAGATCGGCCACTTGTTGTTGTTGTTTTTTTTTTTTGGTTTTTTTTGTTTTTTTTTTTTGGAGACAGAATCTCACTCTGTCACCCAGGCTGGAGTGCAGTGGCGCGATCTTGGCTCACTGCAAGCTCCACCTTCTGGGTTCATGCCATTCTCCTGCCTCAGCCTCCCGAGTAGCTGGGACTACAGGCACCTGCCACCGCACCCGGCTAATTTTTTGTATTTTTAGTAGAGATGGGGTTTCACTGTGGTCTCCATCTCCTGACCTCATGATCCGCCCGCCTCCGCCTCCGCCTCCCAAAGTGCTGGGATTACAGGCGTGAGCCACCACGCCTGGCTTCACTCGTTCTTTCTCTTTCATCACAACAGAGTTTCATCCCTACACAAAGCTGTGGAGCAGAGAGGCCTAGCTTTCCTTTCTTTTCTTTTCTTTTCTCTTTTTTTTTTTTTTTTTGAAACAGGGTCTTGCTCTGTCTGTTGCTCAGGCTGGAGTGCAGTGGTACGATCACAGTTCACTGCAGCCTCGACCTCCCAGGCTCAATCGAGCCTCCCATCTCAGCCTCCCGAGTAGCTGGGACTATATAGGCATGCATCACCATGCCTGGGTAATTTTTGAAATTTTTTGTAGAGTCAGGTCCTACTATATTGCCTAGGCTGCTCTCGAACTCCTGAGCTTAAGTGATCCTCCCATCTTGGCCTCCCAAAATGCTGGGATTAGCAGCATGAGCCACTGTACCAGGCCTGCTTTTTTAAATAGAAGGGCAAAAACAAGACTGGTTTGTTTGCAAGCGATAGCCCAGATAGAGGAGTGGTTTCCCCTCATGATTTACTTGGTCACCAGCTGAGAGCATGTGAAATGAAAACCCTACTGGTATGCTTTCCAGAGCCGAAAGGAAGCAGTGGTGGCTATGGCTCTGGAGGAGCTGCCCTGCAGCCCAAGGGAGGTCTCTTCCAAGGAGGAGTGCTGAAGCTTCGACCTGTGGGAGCCAAGGATGGTTCAGGTATCTGATGAGTACTTTCCCAGGGTATTTCCCTGGTGTGTTAATTTCTGATGTCCCAAGTGGGCCATCTCAGGTTGAGGAGTATGGTAGAGGTGGGGGGAAGAAAGACTTGGGAGTAGGGGAGGAGTTATAGAATAGAATACAGCAAAAGCTGAGGGATTAAATGAAAGTGGATGCAACTTGGATAAAGAAAATGTGGCATATATACCCTAGAATACTATTCAGCCTTAGGCAAGAAGGAAACTTCTGTCATTTCTGATAATATGGATGAACTTGGAGGACATTATACTAAGTGAAATAAGCCAGGCACAAAAACACAAATACTGCATGATCTCATTTATATGTGGGATCTGAAACAGTTGAACTCACTCGTAGAAGTAGAGAGTGAAATGTTGGTTACTAGAGGCTGGGGGCAGTAGGCGTTGGGATTGGGAAAGGGGAGATGTTGGTCAAAGGGTACAAAGTTTCAGTTAGACAGGAGGGGTAAGTTTTAGTGATCTATTGCAGCAGTCCCCAGTTTTTTTGGCACCAGGGACTGGTTTCATGGAAGACAATTTTTCCATAGATGGTGGGCGGGGGATGGTTTCAGGATGAAACTGTTCCACCTTAGATCATCAGGCATTAGTTAGAGTCTCATAAGGGGCATGCAACCTAGATCCCTCACATGCACGGTTCACAATGGGGTTCGCCCTCCTATGAGAATCTAATGCTGCTGCTGGTCTGACAGTAGGCGTTGCTCAGGCAGTAATGCTTGCTCGCTCACCTTCTGTGTGCCCTGTTCCTAACAGGCCACTGACCTGTACAGGTGCATGGCCCCAGGGGTTGGCGACCCCTTATTATACTTAATGTATATTTCAAAATTGCTAAAAGAGTATATTTTATTTTATTTTATTTTATTTATTCGTCCCCCCCCCCCCCGCAAATGGAGTCTTGCTCTGTCGCCCAGGCTGGAGTGCAGTGGTGCCATCTTGGCTCACTGCAACTTCCGCCTCCTGGGTTCAAGCCATTCTCCTGCCTCAGCCTCCCAAGTAGCTGGGATTACAGGCACAGGCCACCACACCTGGCTAATTTTTGTAGTTTTAGTAGAGACGGGGTTTCACCATGTTGGCCAGGCTGGTCTCAAACTTCTGACCTCAAGTGATCTGTCCACCTTGGCCTCCCAAAGTGCTGGGATTACAGGCATGAGCCACTGCGCCTGTTGTAGAGTAGATTTTAAGTGTTTTCACCATTAAAAAAAATATGTGAGGTGATGGATATGTTAGTTTGATTTAATCATTCCACAACGTATACATATAACGAGACATTGTACCCCATAAATACATAAAATTATTACTTGTCAAAAATAAAGTAACATTTAAAATAAATAACAGTGTATCCTGAGCCTGAAACCGTATTAAAACCCAGAACTAGGCCGGACGTGGTGGCTCACGCCTGTAATCCCATCACTTTGGGAAGCCGAGGTGGGCAGATCACCTGAGGTTGGGATTTCGAGACCAGCCTGTCCAACGTGGTGAAACCCCATCTCTACTAAAAATACAAAAATCAGCCAGGTGTGGTGGCGCACACCTGTAATCCCAGCTACTCGGGAGGCTGAGGCAGGAGAATCACTTGAACCCAGAGGTTGCAGTGAGCTGAGATTGCACCATTGCACTCCAGCCTAGGCAACAACAGCGAAACTTCGTCTCAAAAAAAAAAAAAAAAAAAAAAAAAAAGAAAAACAAAAAACCCAGAATTATTCAATTCCTTTCCCTGCTGCCATGCAGGTTGCACTAAGGAGCCGAGTGAAGTAGGGATACTGACCAATATCTGTCCAGCTCTGTTGACCCTGTGTTGTCTATGTATTTGTAGAGAACCTAGCTGGTAAGCCAGCCCTGCAAATCCCCAGTTCTCGAGCTGCTGCCCCAAGGCCTCCAGTATCTGCCGCCAGCGGGCGTCCTCAGGATGATACAGACAGCAGCCGGGCCTCACTCCCAGAACTGCCCCGGATGCAGAGACCCTCTTTACCGGACCTCTCTCGGCCTAATACCACCAGCAGTACGGGCATGAAGCACAGCTCCTCTGCCCCTCCCCCACCACCCCCAGGGCGGCGTGCCAACGCACCCCCCACACCTCTGCCTATGCACAGCAGCAAAGCCCCCGCCTACAACAGAGAGAAACCCTTGCCACCGACGCCTGGACAAAGGCTTCACCCTGGTCGAGAGGGACCTCCTGCTCCACCCCCAGTCAAACCACCTCCTTCCCCTGTGAATATCAGAACAGGACCAAGTGGCCAGTCTCTGGCTCCTCCTCCTCCGCCTTACCGCCAGCCTCCTGGGGTCCCCAATGGACCCTCTAGCCCCACTAATGAGTCAGCCCCTGAGCTGCCACAGAGACACAATTCTTTGCATAGGAAGACACCAGGGCCTGTCAGAGGCCTAGCACCTCCTCCACCCACCTCGGCCTCCCCATCTTTACTGAGTAATAGGCCACCTCCCCCAGCCCGAGACCCTCCCAGTCGGGGAGCAGGTAAGTGCTTGGAAGCACCTTTTTCCCTATCATGCTGTGAGTTGATTTTATCTTTCCCCAGAGCACTCCTTGAAGACAGTAATTCGTTTATTCACTCAGTGGGTTTATTGAGTACCTTTTTATGTGTCAGGTCTGTTGGTAGGGAAATAGCAATAAATAGAAAAGACAAAAAAATTTGACAGTCAAACTAGTAAAATATATAAATACATAGTATGCAGTATGCTTTAGAGAATTACAAAGCAGAGGAGAGGAATAAGATATACTGGGGCGGAGGTCGGGATGATGATATCTTTAATTGGAGGAGTGGGGAGAGAGTCAGGACAGTCCTTACTGATACGGTGAAAATTTGACAAAGACCTTAAGAAAGTGACGAGTAAGCTTAGTAGTTATCTAGGAGAACAGCTGTTGCAGGCAGTGGGAACAACAAATGCAGAGGCCATAAGGCAGAAGTATTCTTGAAACATTTTGGGGACAGCAAGGGGGCCATTGTGGCAAGACTACAAAGAGTGAGGGGAGGGAAGAGTGGTAGGACTTGGAGGTTGGAAAGCTGGAGCTGCAGGGGAGAGCGCACTGCAGGATTTTGCAAAGACCTTGGATTTAACTGTGTGAGATGGGAAGCCACTGGAGGGTTTTAAACAGAGAAGTAGTATGATTTGATTCACCTTTTAAAAAGATCATTAACTCCTATGTTGAGAACAGACCGCAGGAGGACAAAGGTGACAAAAGGAGACCAGTTACTGGGCTGTTGCAGTAAACGGCCAGATGGTTAGGACTACTGTGAATTTGTGGGAAGATAGGTGTTCAGTTTGAGACAAGTTTGAGATGCCTGTTAGGTAATCAAGAAGAGACAATGAATTGGTAATTGGCTATCAGACTCCAAAGTTGAGGGGAGAGGTTTCGGCTAGAGAGATACATTTGAATGGTGTTGAAAACCACATGCTGGATGAAGTCACCTAAGGAGTGAATATAGATAAGAAGAGGCCTAGGAGGCTGAGGCAGGAGAATCGCTTGAACTCAGGAGGCAGAGGTTGCAGTGAGCCGAGATCACGCCACTGCACTCCAGCCTGGGCGACAGAGTGACAGTCCATCTCAAAAAAAAAAAAAAAAAAAATGAGGGCTGAGCCCTCGCCCTCCTACATTAGAGGCAAAAGAGATGAAGAATACCCAGCAGAGGAAACAGAAAAGCTTCTAGTGAGGATGGAAGGAGAAAAACCAAGAATGTGATGGAAAAACTCCAAGGTAGAGTAAGTGGTCAGCTGTGCCCAGTGCTGCAGATGGGTCAGGTAAGTTAAAGACCAAGAACTGGCATTGGTCTTAGTATCATGGGACCCTTTTGAGTAGTTTCAGTGGAGTGGTGGAGGGTGAAAGTGAAAGCTTAATTGGAGTGGGTTCAAGAATGCAGGAATAGGAGGAGAGAAATTGGAGATAGCAATATAGAAATCTCTTAAAGAGTTCGCTGTAAAGTCCAGGAGAGAGGGGTGAAGATAAGTGAAGTGATTGTTGGACGAAGATGTGGGGTTGAGAGTTGTTTTTTTCCCATCCCAAGATGGGAGACCTATTTGTATGCTGATGGAATGAGTAGCATGAAACTTAGGAGAGAGGGAAAAAATTGAATCAGAAGAGAGGGAACAGATTGCCTGAATAATGACCTGGAGGAGGCCAGAGAAAAGAGAATGTGATCGATAGATAAAAAGGGTTGGCCTTAGATAGGAACATAGTTCTTCCATAGTAACAAGAGGGGAGGCAGAGCATATAGGCTTAGAAGCAAGTGGGTAGGTGGGTGTAGTGGTAGAAGCATGTGGAAAGTTTATTCTAATTTGCTTCTGTTTTCTCAGTGAAATGGAAAGCAAGAGCATCAGCTGTGATTGAGGCGAGGGAAGGAGAAGGAGAGTTGAGGAGAGAGAAGAGGCATGAAATGGTCATCTGGAGCGTGGGAGTGTGGGTGGACTAGGGAAGTGTGCTCAGATAGGCAACCACGCGAAGGGCCCACTTGAGATTATGGGCCATACATTTCATGTGAGATTAATTAGTCTCATGTGTTCAGTTGTGATTTGCAGGTACAGAAAAAGAGTAGAGCTGTGTTTAACCAGCGTTAGCATGTTTTAGGCATGTGCGACTCTAAGGGAGAGTGGGGCAGGAAGGGAAGGGTGTATGTGAGGGAGTGATTGCAATAATGGAGCCTAAGCTGGGTGAGGAGGGAATTTAGGAACCCTGGAAAAAGAAGAGGTTGTGTAATCTCGTTATAATTAGCATAACTGAAATTTTAGAGTGAGGGAGACCGTGACAGCTCTCTGGGGCCTTATTGGACATGGGAATTTTGGCTCCCATATCGTTGTATCATTAGACTTTGAGACATACCCTCCACAAACAGCTTCTTGGCCTTTATTTATTTATTTGTTTGTTTGTGTTTTGAGACAGAGCCTTGCTCTTTCGCCCAGGCTGGAGTGCAGTGGTGCAATCTCTGCTCATTGCAACCTCTTCCTCCCAGGTTCAAGTGATTGTTGTGTCTCAGCCTCCTGACTAGCTGGAATTACAGGCATGTGCCACCATATCTGGCTAATTTTTGTATTTTTAGTAGAAACGGGTTTTCGCCGTGTTGGCCAGGCTGGTCTCAAACTCCTGACCTCAAGTGAGCCACTGCGCCCAGCCCTTAGCTTTTATTTTAAAGTCAGTTTCTACAGGTATAGAACATTGATTAAGGAGTTATGTCATGGAGTCTGGGCATGATGGCTCACGCCTTAATCCCAGCACTTTGGAAGGTTGAGGCCAGCAGATCATTTAAGCCCAGGAGTTCGAGACCAGCCTGGGCAACATGGCAAAACCCTGTCTCTACAAAAAATAATTTTAAAAAATTAGCCTGGCATGGCGGTGCATGCCTGTAGTCCCAGCTACTTGAGTGGCTGAGGTGGGAAGACCACTTGAGCCTGGGAGGTGGAGGCTGCAGTGAGCTGTATTAGTGCCACTGCACTTCAGCCTGGGCAACACAGCAAGACGTTGTCCCAAAAAAAGGGTAAAGGTTATATCATTAAGTAGCAAGGCATTAAAAGTCCATTAACCTGTGTGCAGCTTCTTTGTTCAGTACATACAGATTTGTACTCTAGCAGCTGGCCATCTAACATAGGGCAGCCAAACAGTGGCCTACTGCATTCCTGATCCCATATCTCCCTAGCTTTAGCCATAATGAGGTAGTGCTAAGGTGGCCCTTGATTCTATAAAGTTCAGGTTTGACTTTTTTTTTAACTTAGGGATTTTACAAAAGACTCTTTGTCTGAGCAAAGCTCATATCTTTCTGACCTCATCCAGGAATAGAAGAAGAGAAAAATGCAATTTCCGTGGGTTGAGCTGAGCACTTTTAAATGTCTGCAGGCTTTCTTGCTTCCCACTTTTCCATTCTTTCTCTGTGGTAGCTAGGACTACAGGAGTGTTGCCACCATGTCTGGCTCATTAAAATTTTTTTTTATTTTTATTTTTTAAGATGAGGTCTGTGTTGCCCAGGCTGGACTCAAACTCTTGGGCTCAAGCCATCCTCCCACCTTGGCCTCCCGAAGCCCTGGGATTACAGATGTGAGCAATTGTACCTGGCTAGAGCAGCAATTCTTAAGAGTGATAAACCAGAAAAAAATTGAGATATTTTAGTCAGAGATCATTTGAGTATTGCCTCGATTTGTTGTGTGACATTGGACAGATCACTGATTCTCTTTTCTCACCGATTCTCTTTTCTCACCTGTAAAATGTACATTTGAAAAGTACAGTGGGGGTCAGGGACACAGGCTCACACTTGTAATCCTAGTGCTTTGGGAGGCTGAGGCAGGAGGATCGCTTGAGACGGAGTTCAAGACCAGCCTGGGCAACATGGTGAAACCCCATTACTACAAAAAATAAAAAAACTAGGCCGGGTGCAGTGGCTCACGCCTGTAATCCTAGCAATTTGGGAGGCTGAGACAGGCAGATCACCTGAGGTCAGGAGTTCAAGACCAGCCTGGCCAACATGGTGAAACCCCATCTCTCTACTAAAATACAAAAATTAGCCAGGCATGATGGCGGGTGCCTGTAATCCCAGCTACTCGAGAGGCTGAGACGGGAGAATCGCTTGAACCCGGGAGATTGTGGTTGCAGTGAGCTAAGATTGCACCACTGCACTCCAGCATGGGTGACTGAGCGAGACTCTGTCTCAAAAAATAAATAAATAAATAAATAAAAATAAATTTAAGAAACCTAGCCAGGCGTGGTAGCGTGTGCCTGTGGTCCCAGCTACTTGGGAGGCTAGGATGGGAGGATCACTTGAGCCCAGGAGGCAGAGGCTGCAGAGAGCTGAGATCACGCCACTGCACTCCAGCCTAGGCAGCAGAGCAAGACCCTGCCTCAAAACCCGCCCCCCCAAAACCCAAAAACTAGCATTATTGGTTCATAGAGTTTGTTTCAAGAATTTTTTCTTTGCAGAGTAAAACACTGTCTTTTTTTTTTTTTTTTTTTTTTGAGATGGAGTCTTGCTCTGTCGCCCAGGCTGGAGTGCAGTGGCGCGATCTCGGCTCACTGCAAGCTCCACCTCCCAGGTTCACGCCATTCTCCTGCCTCAGCCTCCCGAGTAGCTGGGACTGCAGGCACCCGCTACCATACCCGACTAATTTTTTTGTATCTTTAGTAGAGATGGGGTTTCACCATGTTAGCCAGGATGGTCTCTATCTCCTGACCTTGTGATCCGCCTGCCTTGGCCTCCCAAAGTGCTGGGATTATAGGCATGAGCCACTGCACCCGCCAACACTGTCCATTTTTAAGGGAATTTGAGAAAAATAGAAACCATCATACTTTTCTCAAAATTAGGGTTAATCTTGGATTACAAAAGCCTGTCTCCCATCCCAGGACTTCTTTTGGAAATTGTTTTTTAGGGACTGGAGTTCTGGCTCTGTCACTTGAAACAGTCTTAAAACTGGATCTGGGGCCGGGTGCGGTGGCTCATGCCTGTAATCCCAGCACTTTGGGAGGCTGAGGCGGGCAGATCATGAGGTCAGGAGATTGAGACCATCCTGGCTAACACGGTGAAACCCTGTCTCTCTACTAAAAATACAAAAATGAGCCGGGCGTGGTGGCGGGTGCCTGTAGTCCCAGCTACTGGGGAGGCTGAGGCAGGAGAGTGGCATGAACCCGGGAGGCGGAGCTTGCAGTAAGCCGAGATCGTGCCACTGTACTCAAGCCTGGGGGACAGAGCGAGACTCCGTCTCAAAAAAAAAAAAAAAAAAGAAAAATAACTGGATCTGACAAAGAGCCCAGAAGCTTATTGGAGACAGCAGAACCTGGCTGGGATGAGGGAGGGAGCTGGAGAAGCCAAACAGATCACTCTTACCCTGCTCTATTTTGCCATTCCAGGTCGTCTCATCGCTGTCACCTGCCTGGTGTCTAGCTGGTGTCGGTGTCCTTGTGAACCTGGCTAACCCTGTTTACCTTGCTGCCCTGGCCTAGGAGTAGATACAAATTCTCAGGGCCTTGAGGAATCTGGGTTTTAGGGAATATTTTTGAGGGCTTAAAGAAGCTTCTATTCTTAAAGAGCTTTAGTTTGAGTAGATTTGGAATCAAAACAAGGCTCAGAGATCTGCTGGGAGTTACAAGATTTCTCTTTAATTATTGCATCTAGTGTCCCCTGTTTCTACTGAACAAAGCTTGGAAACAGTGAGGAAGAGTTGACATTCTGAGTGTGTCTTACGGGAAGCAAAAACATTTATTGGGCTTATTGTGCCAGATTGTGTGTGTGTGTGTGTGTATGTTATTCTATTACTGTGTTACATGCTTAACTATAGTCACTACAGCAATTCTGATAGTAATCAGGAGGAATAATAAGATACTCTTTTCTTTGAGACAGTCTTGCTGTGTCACCAGGCTGGAGTGCAGTGGCGCGATGTTGGCTTATTGCAGCCTCCATCTCCCAGGTTCAAGCTCCTCCCACCTCAGGCTCCAGAATATCTGGGATTGCAGGCGTGTGCCACCACGCTTGGCTAATTTTTGTACTTTTTTAAAATTTGAGGTGAGGTTTCATCATGTTGCCCAGGCTGATCTCGAACTCCTGGCATCAAGCAATCTGCCTGCCTCAGCCTCCCAGAGTGTTGGGATTACAGATGTGAGCCACTATGCCTAGCCAAGATACCGTTTTACTACTAAAAACAGTTTTGTCTGTTAAGCTGAGTAGTCTCTTCACATACTATTTAGGTCACAACTATTTATTGGGCCACGTGCTGTGGCACATGCCTATAATCCCAGCCCTTTGCTGAGGCGGGAGCATTGCTTGAGCCCAGGAGTTTGAAGCTGCACTGAGCTATGATTCCACCACTGCGCTTTAACCTGGGTGACAGAGTGAGACCCTGTCTCTTAAAAAAAAAAAAAAATTGAACATGGCCTAGATACCAAAAGATGCACTTCCAAGCCACTGGATTGTAAATCTGGTTGGGAAGATACTATGCAGAATACTGGGAGTTACGAAAAGCAGTGTGGGAGAGTAGAAAGAGCAGACATGTGCCTTGCCTATTTTTATTTGATCTGTGACCTTAAACAAATAACCTGAGTCCCAGTTTTCTCATTTGTGAAATGGGGATAATATTACATACTTCGCATGTGTGGCTATAAGACTTTTTAAAGATTTAATACACCGAAAATGCCTGGAACATAATAGATACCCAATAAATGGTAGCTGCTATTATTGTTAGTTAATACAGAGCATAGGAGTAAGACAAACACGTTAGAATCTATTATATTCCAGTCATATTGCCATTTCTTGACACATGCTTTTGACGTTACCTTCTACTTGGTGGCAAATTTTCATCTTTTAAGAGTGAATTTGATTTTTGGAATCACCAAAAAGCAGATTCAGACATAGGTATGAACATTTTCTTTTTTTTTTTTTTGAGGCAGAGTTTTGTTCTTGTTGCCCAGGCTGGAGTGCAATGGCACGATCTTGGATCACCGCAACCTCCGCCTCTTGGGTTCAAGCAATTCTCCTGCCTCAGCCTTCCGAGTAGCTGGGATTACAGGCATGCACCACCACATCTGGCTAATTTTTGTATTTTAATAGAGACTGGGTTTCTCCATGTTGATCAGGCTGGTCTCGAACTCCCGACCTCAGGTGATCCTCCCGCCTCGGCCTCCCAAAGTGCTGGGATTACAGGCGTGAGCCACCGTGCCTGGCATAGGTATGAATATTTTCATTGGTGATGGTGGTGGGGCGACCTCAGAAATGAAATGTGACCATCATATAATAGTGTTTACAGCTCTGACTGATAAACTTGCTTTGGAGGCAATTCCAAAAGAGGTGTTTGCAGTGTTTGAGCAATGAGACTGTTACTGGACATATGTAACTTCCCACAATGAATCTGCTGTATATATTTTGAAAATCGCTCATTGATATTAGAGTAAGTGACATAGCCTGTATATGCTGTGGGAGAGCAGAGGTGGAGGGACTCAGAAGAAAATGGATTGCTTTGGGAAAGCCTTGAGAAGATGGGACTTGGATTGAACCTTGAAGGGTAGGGAGGATTTGGTAGTAAGGGAAGGGGGGATATCAGAATATTGTGAGGGGAGTCACAAGAGCAAAGCATATAATTTGGTTTATTCAGCAAACATTGATTGAGCACCTGCTGTGTGCTGTACATTTGGCTGAACTTGGGAACCCAGAAGGAGGAACTGCTCTGACATCAAGGGGTACACAGTATACTGGGGAAAGAGCACACAGAATAAATAATTATAATAGTCTATTCAAGTGGTAGGTATGCACAAGCTGCAGTGGAAGTGCAGAGGAGGGCTCCTAACCTAGCCTAGCAATAAGAAGGGAAGAGGAGAAGCCAAGCTCAAGCTGATTGGTGTGGTAGGTTACTATGTAAGCAAAGGCTTTGAGACTTTATTTTTTTACTTATTTATGTATTTGAGATGGAGTCTCTCTCTGTTGCCCAGGCTGGAGTGCAGTGGCACAATCTGGGCTCACTGCAACCTCCACCTCCCAGGTTCAAGTGATTCTTGTGCCTCAGCCTCCTGAGGAGCTGGGACTACAGGCACACGCCACCACACCGGGCTAATTTTTTGTATTTTTAGTAGAGATGGAGTTTCATCATGTTGCCCAGGCTGGTCTCCAACTGCTGAGCTCAGGCAATCCTCCCGCCTCGGCCTCCCAAAGTGCTAGGATTATAGACGTGAGCCATCACACCCAGCCACAGTTTGAGACTTTATGATTTAGGCAGTGCAAAGCCTTTGAAAAAACTGGATCAAGTTTTTAGGGAGGTTGGTGAGTTGGTGTTATGCAAAATGAATTTGGAGGGGTAAGAGACAAAGCAAGGAGAACATTCGGAAGGCTTTTGCAGTAGAGAACAGGCTAAATATAAGGAAGACCTGAATTAGAATTGTGGAGGAAGGCATGGAAAAGCAGGAAAAAAATCAAGAACAGATAGGGTTCTGACTGACTGGTAGGAAATGTAAAAAGGCCATACATTTATTCTGAATGTTGGTATCTGGAAGAATGGTGATGCTGTTCAAGTAATAAGGACAAAGGGGAACCAGGCACTGTGAGCCTCTGTGGGGTGTGTTACTCTTTTAGCTCATGTGTTTCAAGTCATTCTACCCCTTGCCGTCTCCACATCCAAACCTAACTACTTTGGATTTTAATTGCAGCTCCTCCACCCCCACCACCTGTGATCCGAAATGGTGCCAGGGATGCTCCCCCTCCCCCACCACCATACCGAATGCATGGGTCAGAACCCCCGAGCCGAGGAAAGCCCCCACCTCCACCCTCAAGGACGCCAGCTGGGCCACCCCCTCCTCCTCCACCGCCCCTGAGGAATGGCCACAGAGATTCTATCACCACTGTCCGGTCTTTCTTGGGTGAGTAGCTAGCTATCTGTAGTCTCATGGTTCCTGCGGTGACTTCACCCACTCCAGTGCCATGGCTGCTAGATGGCCACCATAGAGTGGGAATGGCCACATGGGATCCTTTGTTCACAATAGTTCTCCTGCTGACTTCATCCTCAGAGGTATGGGCTGTGTTCATTGACTTCCTTATCTTGATATGAATTCTAAGCATGGATGCTTTGGAGTAGATTGAAGTAAAATCAGCAAGTGTTGTGCTAACTCTAAATCCACTCCAAAGATCACTTTTTGTAGCTAGCTTTTAGGTCAGAGACTCTGTATCTTCTTTAGGATTATTCAGACAGGACTTATGTATTCTCCTAGGAAGGAGTGTTCCTTTCTAGCTCTTCAAAAACAAAACACTTGATTGTTCTTGGAATTATTATTTTTTAATTATTTTTTATAGAGACTGGGTCTCTGTTGCCCAGGCCGCTGTCAAACTCCTGGTCTCAAGCAGTCCTCCAACCTTGGCCTCCCAAAGTGCTGGGATTACACATGTGAGCCATCACATCCAGCCTTTCCTTGGAATTCTTGAAAAAAAAAAAAAAAAAAAAAAAAAAAAAAAGAAAAGTCCCATGGCACATTGCCTGGAAAGAAAAAAGAAGAAAGAATGACAAAAAATATTAAAGAAAAAAGGATTGGGCGTGGTGGCTCATGCCTGTAATCCCAGCACTTTGGGAGGCCAAGGTGGGAGGATTGCTTTTAGCCCAGGAACTCAAGACCAGCCTGGGCAACATGGTGGAACTTCATCTCTCTAAAAAATACAAAAATTAGCTGGGTGTGGTGGCACACGCCTGTGTTTCCAGCTACTCAGGAGGATTGCCTAAGTCCAGGGAGGTTGAGGCTGCAGCAAACCATTGATCACATCACTGCACCCCAGCCTGGGCGACAGAGAGAGAATCTGTCTCAAAAAAAAAAAAAAAAAAAAAAAGTCGGCTGGGTGCAGTGGCTCACGCCTGTAATCGCAGTACTTTGGGAGGCCGAGGCAGGCGGATCACCTGAGGTCAGGAGTTTGAGACCAGCCTGGCTAACATAGTGAAACCCCATCTCTACTAAAAATATAAAAAATTAACTGGGCATGATGGCACGCAGCCATAATCCCAGCTACTCAGAAGGCTGAGGCAGGAGAATCTCTTGAACCCAGGAGGTGGAGGTTGCAGTGAGCCAAGATTGTGCCACTGCACTCCAGCCTGGGTGACAGAGCAAGACTCCGTCTCAAAAAAAAAAAAAAAAAAAAACAAAACCCAAAACATTACACACATTAATCCAAAGCCACTAACTAGCAGTGTTATTTTGAGGAAGTCACGTTACTTCTCTGGGCCTCACTTCCCTTATTTGTAAAATTAGGTTGACTAGATCAGAAGTGTATCAGATTAACTTTTCCAAGATTATAAATGTTGGGGGGGCTCTACCTAAGAGATTCTGATTCCTTGGTTCTGGGATGTAACCCTAAGTAAAGGTTGTCCATAGGCTATTGTTAGACCCGTCTGTTGAGGACCCTTGGAAGAAATCTCTGAAAGGTCCCTTGCAACCCTAACACTCTAGATTTTTTTTTTTTGAGATAGCGTCTTGCTTTGTCATCCAAGCTGGAGTGCAGTAGCGCAATCACGGCTCACCGCAGTCTCGACCTCCCAGGCTCAAGCAATCCTCCCATCCTTCAGCCTTCCAAGTAGCTGGGACCACAGGTGTGCACCACCATGCCTGGCTAATTTTGTATTTTTTTTGTAGAGATGAGGTTTTGCCATGTTGCCCAGACTGGTCTCAAACTCCTGGGCTCAAGCTACCCACCCACCTTGGCCTCCCAAAGTGCTGGGATTACAGGCATGAGCCACCATGCCCAGCTTCTAGATTCTTTAATGGTTGCTGTCCTTACCTACCCACTGTCCTCCATGTTCTAGTCTATTCCTATTAGGTATGCCAGGGTTTTTGCTTTAAAGATATATCCTTATTGTAGAAACCTTTGGGATGTGATCAAGCCGCACTTACAGAAAATTTGAGCTTTCTGATGGAGGGGCTGTAGAAAGTAGTAGTAGAAGCCATGAGATGGCTGTCCCAACTATGTAAGTGAAGGTAACATGGACTGAAAGGGAATCATCTGGTCAAATCTCTCACTAGTCATAGACAGATATTCCCATTTTAAATTAATTCCTACCAATTTCTGGATTTAGATCAGTTGTTTTCCCGTGGTGACAGTCTGTAAGATGTTATTAAAACCCAGAATTGGCTGGGCCTGGTGGCTTACGCCAGTAATCCCAGCGCTTTGGGAGGCCGAGGCAGGTGGATCACCTGAGGTCAGGAGTTCAAGACCAGCCTGGCCAACATGGTGAAACCCTATCTCTACTAAAAATACAAAAATTAGCCAGGTGTGGTGGTGCCTGCCTGTAATCTCAGGGACGCTGGGGCAGGAGAATCGCTTGAACTTGGGAGGTGGAGGTTGCAGTGAGCCAAGATCATGCCACCGCACCCCAGTCTGGGCAACAGAGTGAGACTCCGTCTCAAAAAAAAAAAAAAAAAAAAAAAGAATTATATTTCTTTCTGCTACCATGCAAACAACTGAGCTCCTTTCCTGTTCTGTGCCTGACTTGGTGGAAAGGTTTAAAGAATCAGCTCAGGCTAGGCGTGGTTCACACCTGTAATCCCAGCACTTTGGGAGGCCAGGTGGGGAGATTGCCTGAGCACAGGAGTTTGAGACTAGCCTGGCCAAGATGGTGAAACCCCGTCTCTACTAAAAATACAGAAAACTAGCCGGGTGAGGTGGTGGGCACCACTGCACTCCAGCCTGGGTGACAGAGCGAGACTGTCAAAAAATAAATAAATAAAGAATGGGCTCAAAGACGCACTACTTAGTACAGAGAGGTTTTGAATACATGCTCTGTGCATGCAAGGCACGTGGGGTGATGCTGCTGCTGTTCTCAGGGTGGTTGGTTTGGTGGGGCAGTAGGTCCTCACAGTACCTCAGAATGCCTGAGAGATTAGTAAGTGGGGAGGGTCGAAGCGATCAGAGGCCTGTGGGAGCACAAGCAAGGATGATAGGAATTAATGTTCTATTCTTTTCGCAGATGATTTTGAGTCAAAGTATTCCTTCCATCCAGTAGAAGACTTTCCTGCTCCAGAAGAATATAAACACTTTCAGAGGATATATCCCAGCAAAACAAACCGAGGTGAGAATAATAATAAGAAGGTTTTTCCATAATTGCATAGAATGTAGAATCTGTGCATTTTCTTAGGTTAAAATTTGCTTCTCGCTGGGCACAGTGGCTCATACCTATAATCCCAGCACTTTGGGAGGCCAAGGTGGGTGGATCACGAGGTCAGGAATTCGAGACCAGCCTGACCAACATAATGAAACCCTGTCTCTACTAAAAATACAAAATTAGGCTGGGCGCGGTGGCTTATGCCTATAATCCCAGCATTTTGGGAGGCTGAGGTGGGCGGATCATGAGGTCGGGAGATCAAGACCATCCTAGCTAACACGGTGAAACCCCGTCTCTACTAAAAATACAAAAGATTAGCTGGGCGTGGTGGCACACACCTGTAGTCCCAGCTACTCGGGAGGCTGAGGCAGGAGAACTGTTTAAACCCAGGAGGCGGAGGTTGCAGTGAGCCAAGATCACGCTACTGTACTCCAGCCTGGGTGACAGAGGGAGACTCCGTCTCAAAAAAAAAGAAAAAAAATTGCTTCTCATCATCTTCGTTGTCCTTTTTTTTTTTTTTTTTTTGAGATAGGGTCTCCCTATCGTCACCCAGGCTGGAGTGCAGTGGTGCCATCTCGGCTCACCCCAAACCTCTGCCTCCCAGGTTCAAGTGATTCTCCTGCTTAAGCCTCCCAAGTATCTAGGATTATAGGCGTGTGCCACCATGCCGGATTATTTTTGTAATTTTAGTAGAGACTGGGTTTTGCCTGGTTGGCCAGGCTGGTCTGAAACTCCTGACCTCAGGTGATCCGCCCGCCTCGGCCTCCCAAAGTGCTGGGATTACAGGCGTGAGCCACCTTGCCTGGCCACTCATCTTCATTTTCTTAGGCAAAACAATAATAACACGTAGTCCCCAGATTTTAAAGGTTAGCTTAAAGAGCCTGTCTCTCATTTTAGGAATGTGTGGGTTGTTCAGATTCTGGTGGGTGACCTGTATGTGTGTGGTCTTTATTTTGTTTTTTTTCAGCTGCCCGTGGAGCCCCACCTCTGCCACCCATTCTCAGGTGAAGCCTGGCTTGGTCCCGTTCCTCAGGAAAAGGATGGACCTTCTCTTCTTCTCAGATGGTCCCTTCCATTCCCCTGAAACCTGCATGAGAGCTCCTAACATGTTTCTCCAATGCAATCAAGCCCTAGACTCCAAATGTCCTCCCAGCTCACCTCCATCTATGCATCTCATCTCTGGATTTGGTGATCAGACTCTATATTGACAGTAGGATCTCAAACCCTGCATCCATCCTTCCTCCAGCAAGCCCTGCTAGCCACATGAGGAACAAGTTTCCGTGTCTTCTGCCTTCCTCTTGGGGAAAGGTGCCTTGTTGTGATGAATTAACTCACTGTTAGGGCAGGGTGGAGAATGGTACTCCTTCCTTCTCCTGTCCACTGTGGGGGAAGCTTGGCAGGTATATTATATTTCATCATTTAGGAGGCTGGCATGACCAGGACTTATGGGTGGGAGGGGAGCATTTTTAGTGAAGCAAGAAAGGAGTTTGCCAAGAAGTGATCTGTTTTAAAGGTCATATTTGGAGAAAGGGCAAGGAATTGGGTCTGCTTTATTTTTGGGGGTATTTTGTTTTTGTTCTCACCTGCTGCCCCCCCACCCCACCACCCCAGGGATAAATTGGATATAAACACTAAATACTAATCAGTTGAACTTAACATTTAATAAAAAGAAAGGGTGAAATAAACTGAAGACCATTTTAGAACTAGTCAGTTCTCTGCAGCAAAGGGAACAGGAGCCATTTGAACCCTCTGGGACCCCTCACCCCACTGCTTCAGGGTGCTAGGCTGAGGGATGTTTTTCCTCCCCCTTACCGCCCATGCCCTTGAAAGAAAAGTCACTTTTTGTGGAGGGCATCATTCATTCCTGATTCACAAACCCCAAAAACCTCTGGTGGGAGATAGGAAGATAGGGCGTGGGCCTGGGCCTTAACCTCAATCTTGTGTCTGCCTCAGTCTTTTCTGACTGGCCCTGAAGTTGTCAGTGGCTCTTTCTGTCCTTCAGCCCCTGGAAGGTGCTCCAGGATAACAAAGAAGGGCAGGTTGAAGCCCCTCATGGAAGGAGCTGGCTTTGTGGGGCTGCAAAGGACTTTTAAGTCCTGCCTGTACTGAAGTTCACAGCCCACCTGACTGAGCAGACTCTTCCTGTTCCTTTCTCTACCACCCTTGCCTTCCCAGGACTGCACGGTTTAACACAGCAGAGTACAGAAGGGTGAAGAAGTGAGCAGAGGCTTATGAAGATATTCAGATACTCTTCTATGCCAGGAAGCACAAAGACTTTGTTGAGATTTGCCTCAGTTCAGTAGATCTTCCTTGGCAGCCAGCCATAGGTTGTTTCTTTGTCTTCCGGGTCCTAAAGAGCACAGAGAAAATGGAGGTCCCCAGTCTAGGTAGGAAGCTGATTGGATGAGGACTTCTTTTTTTCCGACAGCAGGATGGGGCTCTTGGGCTCCACACACCAGATGCTTTGGTTTTCTACAACTGTTGCTATGTGTAGAGGGTGCTCAGAGCGTGGCATGAGAGCAAGGAGACCATGGCTACTCTTTGAAATGGATGGGGAAAATTAGCTTAAAAATTTAATCACGAGATTGCGCCACTGCACTCCAGCCTGGGCGACAGAGCCAGACTCCGTCTCAAAAAAAAAAAAAAAAAAAAAATTTAATCACACACATCACAGGCTTAAACTGTCTTAGAGACCTTTCCAGTTGATTGGATCACAGGCTAGGGATCTGTGCATGGTGCCAGGTGAAACCCAAGTCTCCCCAGTGCTAGGTGAGGGAGGGCTCAACGGGGGTAATGTGTATGGGGTCTGCTGTCCTTTGCCATCCCCTGGACCATATTAACTCTGGGACAGACCATGATTAGGTCTGTCACCAAACTTTTCCTAATCATTTTTTATGTATCATTCTTCTTTCTAATCTGTTAGCAGTTATCTCCCAGAAGTATCCCTAGCATCCTGAAGCAAACAGAACTGCCGGGCGCTGTGGCTTATGCCTGTAATCTCAGCAATTTGGGAGGCCGAGGCGGGCGGATCACCTGAGGTCAGAAGTTCGAGACCAGCCTGTCCAACATGGTGAAACCCCGTCTCCACTAAAAACACAAAAATTATCTGGGCGTGGTGGCATGTGCCTGTAGTCCCAGCTACTGGGGAGGCTGAGGCAGGAGAATCGCTTGAATCCAGGAGGTGGAGGTTGCAGTGAGTGGAGATGGCGCCACTGCGCTCCAGCCCGGGTGACAGAGTGAAACTCCATCTCAGAAAACAAACAAACCAAACAACTGAGAGAGGGCATGCTAGTGGAGGGAAAAGGAGAGAGTACAAGAGTTGATACTGCATCAGAGTTCCAGGGCAGATACTGACAAGTGACTGAACTTTGACTGTGAAGTCTTCCCATTTATTTTTGAAATGGGAGTCGATGCCTTTTGTACGTTATCAAAGTGTTTTTTTTTTTTTCCTCCTTTACTCAGACATAGAGCATCAAAATATCACGAGTAAAGCCAAACCCCAGCTTTTCACTGGGGCTGATATCTTCCTCCCCATGGCCCACTGCCCCCTCATATTCCCCAGCACTTGGACTGTGTCACATGGGTATTGATTGTATACTTGTTGTCTTGGCCTCATGCAAAAAGGCCTGGGTCTAGATCTAGTCAGATGAGTTTTTTTTAGAGCATGTTGATGATACAACACCTGTTTAAATGTCTGCCTTATATGTTATTTGGTCCCACTGTTAATAATAGATTTATTACTATGTATATTTACTATTGAAGATGGGAATGTGATCTGCATAGTTATCAGTCTATTTTGTATGTTGTAAAAAGCTTCTAATTTAGGTTTAAGGTGGGCTGGCTACAAGAGCACTAAAACTCCTCACCTTTTAAACTGCTCTTTTTATCTGCTTGTGGGAATGTCGTCTCTTTCGTGGAAGATTGGGTGGTCTCATGTTGAGGCTGTTGCCCAGTCCCATTAACTCCCTTGTCCCCCCACAGAAGGAAGAGACATTGCCCAGCTAAGCATCAGGAAGCTGTGTTAAAAGCCCTTCTATGGGTTTGGTTTTGTGATGTTTTTCCCTAATGGGAAAAACGTTATAGTTGTTTCTTACTGCCCTGTCTGGGAAGCAGGGCAAACCTCCAGGTTTTTAAATGAGCTAGATGCCCCTCTTCCTCTTCTCTGGTCACTGAACCTGGACCAAAGCACTTTGATATTCCAGGTGTGATTTTCTCTGTCATGGGGATTTGCTCCACTGCAGAGCCCCATCATTTTCACAGCGTAGGCCAACAGAGTGAGAACCTAGGGCTACCCTAGCTGATGGATGTGAGGCTGCTGTCTACAGGAGCTCATCCCAGCCCTGTTAACTGGCAGTGGCAAGGATACTCGTCATCGGCCATTGCACTGGGGAACTCCCTCACCCCATGGCTTCCCAACTTGAAACCCAGATTTACCTCCAGGGAGAGGTGAGAAAAAAATTGTAAATAGACTTGCTAAAGAGCAACTCAGGGTTGGGGTGTGTTTTAATTCTCCTGATCACTTGAAATAATCTGTAGGCTGAGTGCTTATGGGGGTGGGGGAGAAGGGTGACTCCAGGGTCCTTCCATTTTGTGAAGCTCTGGGGGTGGAGTGTGGGCATCTGAGGCCCTATGATGGCACTACATTGAGCTGTCTGCCCTTCCGGAAACCCAACCTGCAATCAACTGCAAATCAAATTCTTCACATTCCAGCTACAGTCTTTCTTTCCCCATTGAATCTCAGTCCCTGGCCATGTGGTCAAGGTGGCTTTCTGTTAAGCTACCCTAATTTCGGGAATGGGAGGGGAGAGAGGAGGGCCATTACAACTCTGCCTTCAAGACTCATCTCTTAAAAACAAAACGAAACAAAACTACAACCACCATCAAAACCACACGCAAAAAAAAAAAAAAAAAAAAAAAGGATAACTTTAACCGAAGGAAGGGTTTGGTTCCATTCAACTCCACATTCATTGTGCCTTTACTTGCATTAGATTTCTGTGCTTTCTTCCTTTCCCTCTTTGAAGCAATTAAAATCTTCCTTGATAACTGCTGTTTCTTTCTACTCTTGTTTCTGGCAATTTAGTGGGTTCCTTCTCTAGTGGTCTTAAATCTCATTCCACTGGTGGCAAGATGGGGCCTAGCCTTCTTTTCACATGTCTAATCTTTTCCTTTCTCATGGTGCCCTCCATGGAAGTCACAGTCAACACTGAATAAATGACTAGAATGACACGTGTGCGTGCGCACGCGTGTGCGTGTGTGTGTTCATCTGTCTGCATGTGGATCAATTTCTTTTAGAAAATAATTTATTGTATGATTTATTTTGGAGTTATATTCTGATTACAGTGCTCCCTCTCCCAAATAGCATTGATTTTTTCCCCCCTCTAAAATGTATAATCTGGTCTCAGGTTGGATTCTTTGGTACATTTCTCTCTTCTGGATGCCATGCAGCTTAATTAAAACCTTGCTTAAAAACAAAAAGTGAAAATTGTGTACTCTTGTCTGGAATACCGCCTCAGGTGGTGGCACAGAGAGGGGAGAAAACCTTTGCCTCATAATTTGGGTAAGTGTAGTGGTTTGATTCCAGGTCCCTTGAAAAAGTAGATCTACTGAATTGGGCAGACTCATCTATAGCTTTCTGAGGGTCTTCTCTCCTCCTCTCCAGCTGTATTTTGAAAATTACAGTTCTAGTTGGCTGGGCGCGATGGCTCATGTCTGTAATCCCAGCACTTTGGGAGGCCAAGGCGGGTGGATCATTTGAGGTCAGGAGTTCAAGACCAGCTTGGCCAACATGGTGAAACCCCGTCTCTACTGAAAATACAAAAATTAACCGGTGTCATGGCGCATGCCTGTAGTCCCAGCTACTCGGGAGGCCGAGGCAGGAAAATCACTTGAACCCAGGAGGCGGAGGTTGCACTGAGCTGAGATCATGCCACTGCACTAAAAAAAAAAAAAAAAAAAAAAAAAAAAAAAAAAAAAAATTCTAGAGTTCTAGTTACCCTTCCTGGGAGATTCTGATGGTCCTTATTTTATTATTATTATTATTTTTTTTTGAGACAGGATGTTGCTGTCATCCAGGCTGGAGTGCAGTGGTGTGATCATAGCTCACCGCAGCCTCCAACTCTCAAGCTCAAGTGATCCTCCCACCTCAGCCTCCCGTGTAGCTGGGACCACAGGTGTGTACCACTATGCCTGGCTAATTTTGAAAATTTTTTTGTAAAGACAGGGTCTCCCTATGTTGCCCAGACTGGTCTCAAATTCCTGGGCTTAAGTGATTGTCCCACCTCAGCTTCTCAAAGTGCTGGGATTACAGGCATGAGCCACCGCACCCAGCCAGTCCTTATTTTATATTTCCACCTAACTCCCCTTTGCCCACGATTTCAGGGAACCTAGGAGGCTTCCTGGCCTTGTGACCTTTTCCTTGAATCTCTTATAATTCTTTCTACCTGTGTTGCATGGCAGATTCTCAGATTGAGGCTAAAGAAAAGAAGGGTGGGGACAAAGCATACAGAATGTGTGTATCTGTTTTTATGTGGGTGTTGGCTGTTTTTCGTCACTGCTTTTTAAGCTGAATCTTAGCTGGTTTTCTTGAACTTTGACTTTAGGTGTAAAAATTCAACCAGACATTCTCTCCTTACTGTGGTCAGCTGACATCATAACCACTAAGGCTTAATGAGCTTAACTTGCACTTTCATCACTAGCAAAGGTCTTGAAGTTATTTCTCTTACTGATTCATAATGGGTGTGTGTATGAATCACTCTCACATAATTTAGATATAAAAACCTATGAGGATGAGGGAGGGAGGGGAAGAAAAAAAAGGACTCCTTTCATTTTCATCCGTACTTCCCAGATGGGCTGAATCTCCGATTATTTGACCCATCATTGTTATTAATATGGTTAATAAACTACCTATTTATTGATTGAATTGTTCCTCCTGACTTGAAATAGCCTGCAAATGGAGCTTGCCTAAATGACCTTCGACTTCCTAACCCTATAATTCATTCTGTCTTCTTGTGATGGTATTGCTAGTGTGTGTGTGTGTGTGTGTGTGTGTGTCTACACACACAGTCACACAAAAGGATGCCAGACAGGTTCTTCCAGTGTGATTTGATTCCTTCTCCATGATACTGTGTATGAGTTAGCAGGTGATAAGGACACTAGTTTTCCTTCCATTACTGAGGCAGAGCTGCTTGCCATGAATGTACCTCTTAAGTATTTCCCAACCCAATCTAACCATGAACTAAACGACCCACTGGAAGAAAGCTGCCTGTCTCCAACTTCCTAGTACTCTGCAAAGAGAGGTAAAGGAACTATGGAAAATGAATTAGAACTAGAAATATGTCAGCCTCAGGATTCTGACTGCCCCAGAGGACAACTGGGGAAATGCTTTGCCTCTGACATCACTGGAGCCCAGTCTGGATCATTTTCACACATAATTGAATTCATTCTCCATTCCTAGGCTTAGGGGTGTGAGACTTAAAAGACTGTATGCTCTCCAGCCACAAGTGTTTATGCAAAGGGTGGATGTCCACTTGGCAAGAATGTCCTTTCCATTCCTTCATTCAGCAAGCTCTTATTGTACACTTTACTCTGTACCAGGCATCTACAATATGAAGATGAAAAGTCTGTTTTTGCCGGGCGCGGTGGCTCACGCCTGTAATCCCAGCACTTTGGGAGGCTGAGGCAGGTGGATCACCTGAGGTCAGGAGTTTGAGACCAGTCTGTCCAATATGGTGAAACCCCGTCTACTAAAATTATGGGCGCCTGTAATCCCAGCTACTCAGGAGGCTGAGGCAGGAGAGTTGCTTGAACCCGGTTGGGTGGAGGTTGCAGTGAGCTGAGATTGTGCCACTGCACTCCAGCCTGGGCGACAGAGCGAGACTCCAAATAAAAAGTCTTTTTTTTTTTTTTCCAACTTGGAAATGGGTCTCCCTATGTTGTCCAGGCTGTCCTCAAACTGGGCTCAAGGGATCCTCCCACCTCAGCCTCCCGAGTAGCTGGAATTACAGATGCATGCCACTGTGCAAGGCTAAGACATGGTCTTTGACTCCAAGGAACTCATAGTTTAGTAGACTTCAGGATAGCTACCAGGAGAAACCTATGCAGGATATTAAAAGGCTTTATGGGAGTTAGCCAGGGAAGATGGATGGTTAGTGGCATTCCAGACAGAGGAAACAGCAAAAACAAAGGCACAGAAGCAAGAAACAATATGATGTGTACGCATCACGTTACTGGAGGATCATTATTAGTGCAAAGGAAAAGCTTCAAGTAGATAACCTTTCAGTCCTGACATTCTGTGATTATTTGCCTGCTTCCACAGTGGTCATTTACACCTGTAGGCTTTTCTTGGGCCACTGCTATGTTTCCTAGTGTCTTCTTTTCTTTTTTTTTTGAGGCGGAGTCTCGCTTTGTCGCCCAGGCCGGAGTGCAGTGGCGTGGCGTGATCTCCACTCACTGCAAGCTCCACCTCCCGGGTTCACACCATTCTCCCGCCGCAGCCTTCTGAGTGGCTGGGACTATAGGCACCCGCCACCACGCCTGGCTAATTTTTTTGTATTTTAGTAGAGACGGGGTTTCACCGTGTTAGCCAGGATGGTCTCGATTTCCTGACCTCGTGATCCACCCGCCTCAGCCTCCCAAAGTGCTGGGATTACAGGCGTGAGCCACCGCACCCAGCCATTTCCTGGTGTTTTCATAGGTTCCAATATGCATGCTAAGTACTCATAGCTTCCTAGGTTGTTTACCATAACCACCCCTTACAGCTGGCTGGGCACACATTACCATTTCAGGTTATTAAGGGCAATTCTTAGGTGCCCATGTTATAAAAATACGAACAGTGAAGGTTGCTTCCTGAGTTCTACTATCCTACTAAGACATCAGAAATACCATCTAGTCCTTTTAAAAGCTTCCACTGTGGCCAAGAGCGGTGGTTCATGCCTGTAATCCCAGCACTGTGGGAGGCTGAGGTGGGTGGATCATGAAGTCAGGAGTTTGAGACCAACCTGGCCAACATGGTGAAACCCCTCTACTAAAAATTCAAATATTAGCCAGGCGTGGTGACGCGTGCCTGTAGTCCCGGCTACTCAGGAGGCTGAGGCAGGAGAATGGCTTGAACCCAGGTGGTGGAGATTGCAGTGAGCCGAGATCATGGCACGGCACTCAAGCCTGGGTGATAAAATGAGACTTGTCTCAAAAATAAAAAAAAAAAAAGCTTCCATTGTGTGGTAACTTTCTCCATTCATGGCAGCCCATTCTCTTCACTTTTGTAGTTTTCAGCTGCTAAAAAGCCTTCACGAAATGTACTCCACCATCTCTTCCTGTTTAGAACCTGAATCTGTCTAATCATCCCCCTATGATAAAGTGGTCAAGAGTTTGATTTTCTGTCAGAGTTCAGAGTTCAAATTCTAGCTCTTCCACTTACTAGTTGTGTGACCTTGGGCAAGTTTACTCAACTCCCCTCTACTGTAGTTCCCTCATTTGTAAAGTGAAATAACACCAGGTTCATGGGGGTGCTTGTGAAGATTAATAAGGTGATGTAGGTAAAATACTGAGCACAGCCCCTGGCATACACTTAAGCACTCAATATTGGCTCTCTTCATGAACTAGGTACCAATTCACTGATGATCGTAATATTGTTGCTTCCCTCTTTCTAGGCTTTATGGCTCTATTTTGTTTGTTACTGAGGGGTAAAAGATAAATGTTTACCATCACCTAGAATTGGGTTCTGGCCTCTAAAGGAACCTGAGGCTTAGATGAATTATTGGCTTTGGAAGCTGGCCTTCAAATTACTGCGCTAATTTATATTTTTCATTAAAAACTCAGCTTGCCTCTTCTATATAGCTGTCTTCCCTGGCCCTGAAACCCTAGTGTTTCGCCATAAAAGATTTTAAAATTAAGGGGTCATAATTCCCTCCCCATGATGTGTGGATTAATGGTAAGAAGATGCACAGAACATAATATTCTTAGGTTGAACGAAATAAAAGTAAAGAGTTGGCTCTGTTTCTCACCTTTGAAGCACAAATCAAGAGATACTATGATGAAGCATAGTTTTTCTTTATATAGGTGTGTAGAACTTTACCATAAAAATCACTAGTTCAGCCATCAGGAGATCTGGATCCTAGGCTCTTCACTGTCACCAAGATGCTGTGACCTCTAACCTTGTATAGAAGTTTGCTTTGTACTTTGCGAGGTTGAGCATTAGAGAGGTAAGGAAAGTGCCTAGCATCATACCTGGCGCACAGAACCCAAAACGGTAGGTATCATGTAGCAGTTCTGAAAATCTAGCCCATCAGGATGATGCAAATGGGTACTTTAGGCAGTGAGAAGGGGAACCACATCTTGACACTTCCAGTCGAAGGAAGAGTGCGACTGCGCGGCAGCAAAGACTACGCCTCCCAGCGTGCTTTGCGGCGGGCCGGCCCGCTTTACCCAGAGTCGCCCTGCCGCAATCGCGCGTCTTTCCACCGAGGCCCCGGATGTAGATTCCCTCCCCCGTTCAGTGGTCGTGGCCTCACAGCGACTCTAAGACTTGGGGCTCTCTCATTGGCTGTAACTCTTCCACTGGATTGGTAGCAAAAAAAGAGGCGGTGCCCAAGGCGAAAGGCTCTGTGACTACAGCCAATCAGAATCGAGGCCGGGCTTTGGCGGGAGGTGGGAACGCTGTGGCCATTCGGATTTGGCGCGAGCGCGGCTGGAGTTTGCTGCTGCCGCTGTGCAGTTTGTTCAGGGGCTTGTGGTGGTGAGTCCGAGAGGCTGCGTGTGAGAGACGTGAGAAGGATCCTGCACTGAGGAGGTGGAAAGAAGAGGATTGCTCGAGGAGGCCTGGGGTCTGTGAGGCAGCGGAGCTGGGTGAAGGCTGCGGGTTCCGGCGAGGCCTGAGGTGAAGTGAAGGGAAAAGAGCTGAGCTCGCTGGAGGTCTGAGGTCGGGATCAGGGAAAGGGCAGGTGCCCTCGGGGTAGTTCTAGCAGTTATGCGTGGTGTGAAGGAGGTGAAAGTTGTAGGAAGGAAATATTCTGGGGTGCGTTGAGAGCTGCCTAGAATGAGGACTGAGTGCAGGGGCGGAAAGAACTGAGGGAAGACTGAGCTGCAGTGTGAGGGCTTGGGATAGAAGAGACTAAATGTGGCGGGTGCTGGGCTGAACTGGTGATAAAGACACCCCGCGTGCCTGGAGGGAGGAAACTAGAAGTTCTATATAAATCAATTCATGTAACTTTTTTTTTTTTTTGAGACGGAGTCTCGCTCTTGTCGCCCAGGCTGTAGTGCAGTGGTGCGATCTCGGCTCACTGCAACCTCTGCCTGCCGGGTTCAAGCCATTCTCCTGCCTCAGCCTCTTCATGTAGCTGGGACTACAGGCGCCCGCCACCACGTCCGGCTAATTTTTTTTTTTTTTTTGAGACGGAGTCTCGCTCGGTCTCCCAGGCTGGAGTGCAGTGGCGCGATCTCGGCTCACTGCAAGCTCCGCCTCCCGGGTTCATGCCATTCTCCTGCCTCAGCCTCCCGAGTAGCTGGGACTACAGGCGCCCACCACCACGCCCGGCTAATTTTTTGCATTTTTAGTAGAGACGGGGTTTCACCGTGTTAGCCAGGATGGTCTCGGCCCGTCTCGGCCTCCCAAAGTGTTGGGATTACAGGCGTGAGCCACCGCGTTTGGCCGTAATTTTTGTATTTTTAGTAGAGACGGGGTTTCTCCATGTTGGTCAGGCTGGTCTCGAACTCCTGACCTCAGGTGATCCGCCCGCCTCAGCCTCCCAAAGTGCTGGGATTACAGGCGTGGGCCACCGCGCCCGGCCCATTTCAGGTAACTTGTTATTGCATCGCTCAATTGGTTAAGAACTTGGGCTCTGGCACCAGATGCCCGGGGTTACATTCCTGTTTTTCTGTGACTTTGGGCCACTGTTTATCTCAGTTTTCTCATGTGTAAAATAAAGGCTAATAATAGTACCTACTCCTAAGATCGTTGTTAAACGAGTTGGTACCTAAAGTGTTTATAACAGCGCCCTTCCACGTAGTAGGTAGACAACAAATGTCAGCTGTTCTTGCATAGATTTGGATGTGAAGCAAAAGTGAATGCTAAAATAAGTGTGATAACATAATTAGGAAATAAGTGTTAATCATCAGTATAAATAAATTCCATGTTAGTTATTTTCTCTTCACTTTCACATATTGACTAGTTGTCCTCTTATTTTTTTTAATCTAGCTGTGCTGTCGTCATGCCTCAAACCCGATCCCAGGCACAGGCTACAATCAGTTTTCCAAAAAGGAAGCTGTCTCGGGCATTGAACAAAGCTAAAAACTCCAGTGATGCCAAACTAGAACCAACAAATGTCCAAACCGTAACCTGTTCTCCTCGTGTAAAAGCCCTGCCTCTCAGCCCCAGGAAACGTCTGGGTAAACCATCCATTATATCACTTTTTCACTAGCAGCTCGTGACCTTTCTTTTCTTGGTAAGATGTGTGTCCTTTGAAGGAGCTTTCTAAGTTCAGTTAAGACTTCTTTTTTTTTTTTTTTTTTTTTTTGAGACAGAGTCTCGCTCCATCTCCCAGGCTGGAGTGCAATAGTGCGATCTTGGCTCACTGCAACCTCCGCCTCCTGGGTTCAAGCGATTCTCCTGCCTCAGCCTCCCAAGTAGCTGGGATTACAGGCGCCCACCACCAAGCCTGGCTAATTTTTTTTTTTTTTTTTTTTGGATTTTTAGTTGAGACAGGGTTTTGCCATATTGGCCAATCTGGTCTCTGAACTCCTGACCTCAGGTGATCCAACTGCCTCGGCCTCCCAAAGTGCTGGGATTATAGGCATGAGCTACCGCTCCTGGCCTAAGACTACTCTTCATTTTAGTTATTTTCAGAATGGTTGCTAAGTGCTTACCGAACTCCAGAGTTAGACACTTACTGAGGTCACTCTGAACTACTTAATAAGTCTGATCTTCAATTCCTTAATACTGAACTTAGTTCTGTCAATGTTTTAAGTTACCTTGTAGTTACATGGTATTATGAAACTTACCTCAATATTTGTGAAATTAAAAGAAACAAAAACGTGACATGATGAATATTTTCCATCCTTTAGGACAGTGATTGGTAATTCTTTCTTGTTTTGGAACATTTATTTTTAAATGGGGGGTAATTTGGTTGTTTCTGGAGACATTTTTGGTTGTTACAGCTGGGGGTTGCTACTGGCATAGTGGGTAGAGGCCAGGGATGCTGCTAGACATTACAATGCACAGGACAGCTCCTTGACAATGAAGAATTATTTGGTCCAAGATGTCAGTGGTGCCAAGGTTGAGAAAACCTGTTTCAAAATAGCCTTACAATTTCATCCTACTAAAACCCATTTGGTTTCTACTAAATGCAGTAGTCCCCACTTATCCATGGGGGATACATTCCAAGACCCCCAGTGGACGCCTGCAATCGAGGACAGTACCAAACCCTACATATACTGTGTTTTTGATTTGATAACCAAGTCAGCTACTAAGTGACTAGTGGGTGGATAGCATATACAGTGTGGATATGCTGGCTGAAGGGATGATTCATGTCTTGGGTAGGATGGTGCGGGATTTCATCATGGCACTCCACAGCATGCAATTTAAAACTTGTCAATTGTTTATTTCTGGAATTTTCCATTTAGTATTTTCAGACTGAGGGTAACTAGAACGGTGGATGAAGGGACTACTGTAGTAAGATCAGTGGTGCCATCTGGTGACCAATATTTGCTGCTAAGTGAGAAGGCATTTTATTTTGGTGGTTCTGACTAAGGTAGAAATTCACCTCTTTCTGGAAGAGGCAGAGGTCTTGCACATCCTTTTACTATCCAATGCTATGAGTGACTACATTTTTATTTTATTGTGTTTCAGGCGATGACAACCTATGCAACACTCCCCATTTACCTCCTTGTTCTCCACCAAAGCAAGGCAAGAAAGAGAATGGTCCCCCTCACTCACATACACTTAAGGGACGAAGATTGGTATTTGACAATCAGCTGACAATTAAGTCTCCTAGCAAAAGAGAACTAGCCAAAGTTCACCAAAACAAAATACTTTCTTCAGTTAGAAAAAGTCAAGAGATCACAACAAATTCTGAGCAGAGATGTCCACTGAAGAAAGAATCTGCATGTGTGAGACTATTCAAGCAAGAAGGTTTGTTCTTACATGGCAACTGTTAGTGCAGCCATTGTAACCAAGGCTGATGACTCCAAATGAAACCACCCACTGGGTCTTCTCATTCACCTTCTGTTGTGTCTAATTGACCTTTTATGTCTGGCACAGGCACTTGCTACCAGCAAGCAAAGCTGGTCCTGAACACAGCTGTCCCAGATCGGCTGCCTGCCAGGGAAAGGGAGATGGATGTCATCAGGAATTTCTTGAGGGAACACATCTGTGGGAAAAAAGCTGGAAGCCTTTACCTTTCTGGTGCTCCTGGAACTGGAAAAACTGCCTGCTTAAGCCGGATTCTGCAAGACCTCAAGGTACATTGAGAGTCTGAATTATGATACTCTTGGTAAAATGATACTTGGGTGTTTTTGTTTGTTTGTTTGTTTTGTTTTGTTTTGTTTTGTTTTTTGAGACGGAGTCTCGCTCTGTCGCCTAGGCTGTAGTGCAGTGGCGCGATCTCGGCTCACTGCAAGCTCTGCCTCCCAGGTTCACGCCATTCTCCTGCCTCAGCCTCCCGAGTAGCTGGGACTACAGGCGCCCGCCACCATGCCCAGCTAATGTTTTTTGTATTTTTAGTAGAGACGGGGTGTCACTGTGTTAGCCAGGATGGTCTCGATCTCCTCACCTCATGGTCCGCCCTTGTTGGCCTCCCAAAGTGTTGGGATTACAGGTGTGAGCCACCGCACCTGGCCTGTTTTGTTTTTGAAACAGGGTCTCTGTTGTCCAGGCTGGAGTGCAGTGTTGTGATCTCAGCTCACTGCAGCCTTGACCTCTTGGGCTCAGGTGATCCTCCCACCTCGGCCTCCTGGATAGCTGGGAATACTGGCACTCACCACTACACCCAGCTAATTTTTTGTAGAGACAGGGTTTCACCATGTTGCCCAGACTTGTCCTGAACTCCTGAGCTCAAGTAATCTGCCTGCTTCAGCCTCCCAAAGTGCTGGGATTACAGGTGTAAGCCACTGTGCCTGGCTGGCACTTAGTTAAGAAAGAGGGCTAGGCACGGTGGCTCACACCTGTAATCCCAGCACTTTGGGAGGCTGAGGTGGGTGGATCACCTAAGGTCAGGAGTTTGAGACCACCCTGGTCAACATGGTGAAACCCTGTCTCTACTAATAATACAAAAAAAAATTAGCCGGGCATGGTGGCAGGTGCCTATAATCCCAGCTACTCGGGAGGCTGAGGCAGGAGGATCACTTGAACTCGGGAAGCAGAGGTTGCAGTGAGCTGAGATCGCGCTACTGTACTCCAGCCTGGGTGACAGAGTGAGACTCTGTCTCAAAAGAAAAAGAAGGCTGGGCATGGTGGCTCACGCCTATAATCCCAGCACTTTGGGAGGCCGAGGCGGGCGGATCATGAGGTTAGGAGATTGAGACCATCCTGACTAACACAGTGAAACCCCGTCTCTACTAAAAATACAAAAAAAATTAGCCAGGCGTGGTGGCGAGTGCCTGTAGTTCCAGCTACTCGGGAGGCTGAGGCAGGAGAATGGCGTGAACCCACAGGTGGAGCTTGCAGTGAGCCGAGATCGCGCCACTGCACTCCAGCATGGGCGACAGAGCAAGACTCCGTCTCAAAAAAAAAAAGAGTTAAGAAAGAGTAGGCCTGGTGCGGTGGCTCACACCTGTAATTCCAACACTTTGGGAGGCTGAGGCAGGTGGATCACCTGAGGTCAGGAGTTCAAGACCAGCCTGGCCAATGTGGCGAAACCCCATCTCTACTAAAAATATAAAAATTAGCTGGGTGTGGTGGTGCATCCTTGTAATCCCAGCTACTTGGGAGGCTGAGGCAGGAGAATCACTTCAACCCGGGAGGCAGAGGTTGCAATGAGTTGAGATTGTGGCATTGCATTTCAGCCTGGGCAACAGAGTGAGACTCCGTCTCAAAGAAAAAAAAAAGAAAGAAAGAAAAGAAAGAGTAGAAGTTTAGAAGATTGAGGGTTTCTTCAAAATAAAACATTTGTAATTTCATTGTTTAAATCTTTCCAAATGAAAGTAGAGCTTCCTTACGTGCTGTTAGCTCTTCAAAGACATTTTAGGCTCTATCAGATCTTTATTTTCTGAGGCCAAAATAACTCCCATATTTGCATTTTTTTTTCCAGAAGGAACTGAAAGGCTTTAAAACTATCATGCTGAATTGCATGTCCTTGAGGACTGCCCAGGCTGTATTCCCAGCTATTGCTCAGGAGATTTGTCAGGAAGAGGTATCCAGGCCAGCTGGGAAGGACATGATGAGGAAATTGGAAAAACATATGACTGCAGAGAAGGGCCCCATGATGTAAGTATTGTTCTGCTTCATGTTGCTCTGTGAAAATCTGCAAGGTCTGTTGCCCATAAAAAGTACATTTTGTATATTTTCTCTCTGAAGGATAGTTACATAAACTTAAAGGGAAAGAAGAGAAGGAAGATACACCTAATTTTAAATTGGATTACTTATAGATGATGTGGGGTATCCTTGTAGCAGTAACTAGAGATAGGTTAGATTATGATCTTTAAACTGGTCTCAGCTTTAGGAAAGTGACCTGAAGTCAGCCTATATCAAACATTAGAGGGTTAAGAAGGTGAATATGGATACTAACTGTTTCTCTTTTTATAGTGTGTTGGTATTGGACGAGATGGATCAACTGGACAGCAAAGGCCAGGATGTATTGTACACGCTATTTGAATGGCCATGGCTAAGCAATTCTCACTTGGTGCTGATTGGTTAGTGCTCAATTGTTAATGTTACATGGTGGTTCTAAAGTATTTTTTAAGAATATATATTCAGCTTATTTATCAGCTATTTTATCTTAAACCAGCTTTCTGCCGTGTCAAAATAAGAAAGTTAAATGACTATGTACATCTTACCTAATAGATACATCTTATCTATTGGGATGGGGTAGGAGACAAGTGGCAAGCAACAATTAGAATGCTAGATTCTATAACTGGAGATTTATTTAGCTTTCAGAAGATTTAGTTTTCCCTTTAGGATAATTTGACCAATGATCAATGTTGTTGATCTCCTCCTTAGGTATTGCTAATACCCTGGATCTCACAGATAGAATTCTACCTAGGCTTCAAGCTAGAGAAAAATGTAAGCCACAGCTGTTGAACTTCCCACCTTATACCAGAAATCAGATAGTCACTATTTTGCAAGATCGACTTAATCAGGTCAGTGCCAACTATTTTGCCAAATTATGTGTTCCTTGGATCACCTGTGCTAGGAAAATTTAACAATAGTTCTAAAATATTTTTGCCTTGATTGCTTTATTAATGGAGCAAGGAGTTCCTATGGACCATAGTGAGAACATTTTTATGTGAATTTCAGCTTCATTCATTTACTGGGTGTCTCAGTGTTGAAATAAAAGCAGGAGTTAGAGGAATCACCCAAGCGCTTTTTTTTTTTTTTTTAGATGAGTTTTGCTCTTATCGCCCAGGCTGGAGTGCAATGGCGTGATCTCGGCTCTCTACAGCCTCTGCCTCACGGGTTCAAGCGATTCTCCTGCCTCAGCCTCCCCAGTAGCTAGGACTACAGGCACCTGCCACCACGCCCAGCTAATTGTTGTATTTTTAGTAGAGCTGGGGTTTCACCGTCTTGGCCAGGCTGGTCTCGAACTCCTAACCTCAGGTGATATGCCTGTCTCGGCCTCTCAAAGTGCTGGGATTACAGGCATGAGCCATCGCACCCAGCCTCAAGTGCTTTCTTTAATGACCTTTAAAAAATAGGGCCTATGAAAAAACTTTTTCTGTTGAAAATGACTAAATAGATTTTTTATTTTTGCTAATTTCAGTTCTGATTGCTTTTTTCCATTTATGAACTTCTACTGCATCCGTACAAAAAGCTTAAATGTGTGAAAACTCTCAAACGTCTCCATTATTTATGAGAAGAAAAGGCATCTTTTTAACCCTAAAGAGTTGCCAATCAAGTTTAGGGTTAAATGTGAAAATATTTATGCTTGGGACCTAAATTACAGAGGGAGAATCTTATGGTTCAAACTGTCATCTTCTATGTCTTGTCTGAAGGTATCTAGAGATCAGGTTCTGGACAATGCTGCAGTTCAATTCTGTGCCCGCAAAGTCTCTGCTGTTTCAGGAGATGTTCGCAAAGCACTGGATGTTTGCAGGTGAGTTACGGCTCTGTTGCATTCTTTTATTAAAAAAAAAAAAAAAGAAATGCTGTTAATTGTCTCATGTAACTCAAGTGAATGTGGCTTAAGAGGCTCTGTTCTGCTACTTTTTTACGCTCAGAAAGGAGGACTTGTTTCTCAGTGGGGAGCTCTGGATTTCCACCGTGTTAATGTCTGAAACATTATCAGTCCATTACCTACAGAGGGAGAAACAAATGAGATGTTGCTGGCACTCCCTGTGGTGATTATAGATTGGTTAATTACATTTGTATTAAAAAAGACTCCAGTTTACTTTTCCATTAGCTGGTCTCAAGCAGGTTTATTTATGGACCTGAACCGTCTTTGCCTTTAGACTTGTTCCCCTTCCTTTCCTTTTGTGAGCACCCCTTCTTCCCTTCAGTTGGTGGTCCCCCACAGTTGTACTCCAGACCTCTTTCTCCCTTCCCATCCTCCTGCCCCTCCTGCTGGGGAAAGCCTCTGTGCCGACTGATGAAATTTCTTCCTTCCCAGTAGGGACACTGGGTCCATTAAAATGATACTTGCTGTGCTGGCCTGCTGGTCCAACCTCCCCCT
The DNA here is from genome assembly GCF_000001405.40 of Homo sapiens. Lineage (NCBI taxonomy): Eukaryota > Metazoa > Chordata > Mammalia > Primates > Hominidae > Homo > Homo sapiens. Next base: position 40,296,033 of record NC_000017.11, read on the forward strand.
ATTGCTATGCAGAAGACCCAGGTCTGGCTTATGGCTTCCTGTGGGCAAGTACTTTGGAGAGAGCAGTGGGAGAGTAAGCTCTTCCTATTGCTAGATTGCATGATCCTGAATTTGAAAGTTTCCCCTAATCAGCAAACTACTTGGGTAAAGACTGCAACTATGAGCAATAGTCATGTAGGCTAGCGTGGTTTAGCCTACACATATCCTATGTATATATAACTGAAGATATCCCTTTTAGGTTTGGTGTGTATGGGTGATGCTGACTCCCTTTAGTCAGTCACCCACACTACATATCCTCTCTCCTACCCATGACATTTTCTCCTCATCCAAAATGTTATCATTGGCTTAATGTATGATGACCTACTTGGCATCCATTAGGAGGAAACCATTGAAGTTTCTCAAATCTGATGTCCATGAATTATTTCAAAGCAATTAAGTCCCCTTATCTGAGAAATAACCCAGTTTTGTTTGGGGGCTTTAAAATTATAAAACATCATAATTTTAAAGTTACACGTAGGATATGTGTAGGCTAAACCATGTTAGCCTACATGACCATTGTTCATAGTTGCAGTCTTTGAGCAATGGTCATTAATGTGCCGCTTTTGAGGCTGGTGGTTTGGTGTGTTTGGTTTGGCTCAGACTAAATTAATTTTAGAAATTTTTTTTATAGGAGAGCTATTGAAATTGTAGAGTCAGATGTCAAAAGCCAGACTATTCTCAAACCACTGTCTGAATGTAAGTAGTTTATCTCCTTCCTGTCTTCCTTTGTAACTAGAAGCTTAGCTTTTCTGAGGAAAGAGGTAGAAAGATGAAATGAACATAGTTAAATCCAAACTCACCCATTTTTATGTGTGTCTGTGTTTTTAGTCCGTTTCGTCTACTTTATTTCAATCTTGCCTGCCAGTACTATAGTTCGTGCATTACTGGAAATGAGTTCCCAGGGTATTGATTGCGTAAATGGCTGGGACAGAGTAAGTTTTTTTTCCAAGCTCTGGAAATGAAACTTGTAGACAATGAGGTTGGATCAGCTCTCTGGGTGCTTATGTTGCGTGCACTTTAGGTCTCAATATAGGTGAAAGCAAAGCCTGATAAATAAGGGAGAATTGGGTAAAAGAATTGTGAAGCCAGGTGCGGTGGTTCACACCTGTAATCCCAGCACTTTGGGAGGCCAAGGCGGGAGGATCGCTTGAGCCCAGGATTGTGAGACCAGCCTGGGCAATATAGTGAGACCTTGTTTCTACAAAAAATTTTAAAAATTTTGCAGCCATTAAAAATATGAGTTCATATCCTTTTTAGGGACATGGATTAAGCTGGAAACCATCATTCTCAGCAAAGTAACACAGGAACAGAAAACCAAACACCACATGTTCTCACTCATAAGTGGGAGTTGAACAATGAGAACACATGGACACAGGGAGGGGAACATCACACACCGGAGGCTGTTGGGGGTGGAGGCCAAAGGGAGGGAGAGCATGCAGGACTTAAAACCTAGATGACAGGTTGATGAGTGCAGCAAGCCACCATGGCACATGTATACCTATGTAACAAACCTGCATGTTCTGCACATGTATCCCAGAACTTAAAAAAAATTAGGCAAGCATGGTGTGTGCCTGTAGTCCTAGCTACTTGGCAGGCTGAGGCAGGAGAATCACTTGAGCTGGAGAGGCAGAAGTTGCAGTGAGCCGAGATGGTGCCACTGCACTGCCAGCCTGGGCAACAGAGCGAGACCCTGTCCCAAAAGAATAATAATAAGAAGAATTATAAGTTCAACTTGGGATATCTCAAGCTTTTAAACAAGTCTAGAGGGTAGAGGTAAAAAGATCATACTGCTACAGTAAGCTGCATGGTATCACAAATGACAAAATTAATATTCCATTCCCTCAGCCTTGTTTTGGTTGTGGCAAATGTAAAATGGCCATGAACTACGTATCTTACAGTATTTGATATCCAGTGTTAGTCTTTATAAACAGAATAGTAAGATTTGATTGTTTCTTTTTCACTCCTACACTGGCTGGGAGTTTAAGTAAAATTGTTTCTGGCATTATAGTTCTGCATGAAATTCTTTCTTTTTTTCATCAATTTGCTAAAATAAAATAATTAAAAATGTTTCAGAAGTAGCCAAAAATAGTGCTTAGGCTAATAGTAGGCAATATATACCAATGTATAGACTTAGATACTGGTTTCTTCCTCCTTTTCAACTTTTCAGATTATCCCCTTTTCCTCCTCCTTTTTCCCCATCAGTAACATTTAGGCTTGTCACTGGCCCCTGTGAGCACCACTAACACAAACATAATTCAAAAAGGTAAAGAGGTTGTAAGTTCTATCTTTTGACTTCTGGTTTGTGCGGGATTGGCTTTTTTCTTTCTTTTTTTTTTTTCTTTTTGTGTAAAACAAGGTCTTGCTTTGTCTCCCAGGCTGGAGTCCAGTGGTGCAATTATGGCTGGTGCGATCATGGCTCACTGCAGCTGCAACCTCCCAGGCCCAAGCAGTCCTCTCACCTCAGCCTCCCCAGCTCCAGCTACTGCTAATTTTAAAATTTTTGTAGAGTCAGTGGGTGGAGGAGTCTCCTTATGTTGCCCAGGCTGGTCTCAAACTCCTGGGATAAAGTGATTCTCCTGCCTCAGCCTCCCACAGCTTTGGAATTACAGGCATGAGCCACCATACCAGGTTGAGATTGGCTTTCAAGGGCTCCAGAAAGCTATAGGGAGAATGACTTTAACTAAATATAAGAAGAAAATTTATAATAACTAGAACTAACTGGGCTTCCTTGAAACATAGTGGGTTCTCCAGCATTGAAGATATTCAGACAAAAGCTGGATAGATGCCACTTGTTGAGATTGTTCTAGAGAGGACTCGGCCAGTGGATAGGGAGTAAAAATAGACTTCTAAATTCCTTTCAATTTTAAGATTCTTTTACTTGATCTGTGATCTCCGGTTTCTCCATTAGTCCTCTGCAGCATCCCTTTGTGGTAATGTAATATTATAGAAGTAAATTGTTGTGGGGCAACTGCAAGTGATTTCAGGAAGTAACTTCAGGTAAAGGTTGTTACAGAACACATTTCTTTGTCTTGGAATTCATGCATCTCCAAACGATAAGGCCATAGTCTTTTTTTTTTTTTTTTTTTTTTTTTTTTGAGACAGGGTCTCGCTCTGTCACCAGGCTGGAGTGCAGTGGCGTGATCTTGGCTCAATGCAACCTCCTCCTCCCAGGCTCAAGCCATCCTCCCACCCCAGCCTCCTGAGTAGCTGGGACCACAGGCACACACCACCACACCCGGCTGTTTTTTTTGTATTTTTAGTAGCGATGGGGGAAACCCATCGCCTTGTTGCACAGGCTGGTCATGAATTCCTGAGCTCAAGCCATTAGTTATTTTTCCTGATCCTCTCCCTCCACCCTCCTATAGGCCCCAGTGTGTGTTGTCCCCACTATGTGTCTATGTGTTCTCATCATTTAGCTCCCACTTAGAAGTGAGAACATGTGGTATTTGGTTTTCTGTTCCTACAGTAGTTTGCTAAGGATATAGTCTTATGAAGCTTATTGGCAGTTTCCCAACCCCTGGCTTTTATTAAGATGATGATATCTGGCCAGGCATGGTGGCTTACGCCCATAATCCCAGTGCTTTGGGAGGCCGAGGAGGGCAGATTGCTTTGAGCTAAGGAGTTCAAGACCAGCCTGGGCAACATGATGAAACCCCATCTCTACAAAAAATACCAAAAAGAAAAAAAAAAAAAAAAAGATGGTGCTATCTGCTAGCATATCCAATGACATTTTCTCAAGTGTTGCTCTACTGCTAATCAGCTTGGGCAAGTGAACCAAACCTCAAAGGTCATTTGGGGAAGCCATCTGAAGGGCTGACATGGCAGCGACTTCACTCTCCACATTTAGCCACTCATTTGATCCAAAATATTCGGTAATTTTCCAACTTTTTTTTCCCTTTCTTTTTTTTTTATATGGAGTTTCACTCTTGTCGTCCAGGCTGGAGTGCAGTGGCACAATCTTGGCTCACTGCACCTCTGCCTCCCGGGTTCAAGTGATTCTTCTGCCTCAACCTCCCAAGTAGCTGGGATTACAGGCGCCTGCCACCACATCCAGCTAATTTTTTGTATTTTTAGTAGAGATGGAGTTTCGCCGTGTTGGGCAGGCTGGTCTCCAACTCCTGACCTCAGGTGATCTGCCCGCCTTGATCTCCCAAAGTGCTGGGATTACAGGCGTGAGCCACTGCACCTGGCCTTTTTTTTCCTTTCTTAATTACCAAGCACAGTCACCATCTTTGCTTCAAGGTTCTGTTATTCTATACCTCTGAGATACTAGGAACTAGCCTGGCATGGTGGCACGTACCTGTAATCCTAGCTACACAGGAGGCTGAGGCAGGAGGATCACTTGAACCCAGGAAGCCAAGGCTGCAGTGAGCCATGATAGTGCCACTGTACTCCAGCCTGAGTGACAGAGATCCTGTCCCAAAAAAAAATACAGTAGTTCTCTGGTCCTTTCATGAGGTGGGTTTTGTTCCTCTGACATTAAATTACATTCCATAGGACAAAACAGCTCACTATTTGGCCCAGAGAAAGGGTAACCCTACTTTTCAAGTCATCCCACATTATTTTGACATCCTTAAGAGAATAGCATTATCTCTCATCCTTTGGCCTCTGGTTAGAGATTTAAAACCTCTGCTTTGCCACCATGTGACTATACTTGAATTTCCTTTAGCTCAAACTTAGTATCATCTGTCTCATCATACATACACACACACAGTATTTTAGAAATCGAATTAAGCTTGGCTTATTTACTTTATAGGTAAATCACCTTCTGAGCCTCTGATTCCCAAGAGGGTTGGTCTTATTCACATATCCCAAGTCATCTCAGAAGTTGATGGTAACAGGATGACCTTGAGCCAAGAAGGAGCACAAGATTCCTTCCCTCTTCAGCAGAAGATCTTGGTTTGCTCTTTGATGCTCTTGATCAGGCAGTTGAAAATCAAAGAGGTCACTCTGGGGAAGGTAAGTTGGGATGGAGCAGATGGAACGGAGGTAGAGATCAGAATCTGCTTTGCAGAGCAGGTATTTTCCAAAAGGCCTATGATACTTCAGCTGATAATAAATTTAAAATGGATTTTAACAGTAAGAATTAATACTGGTACTATATAAAAGGCACCTATTTCCCTTGGATTGTGGTTGAGAGTTTATCATTAATCCTTTCCCTATCCTCCCCTTCATTTCTGCATCTCTCTAGGAAATATATAAAGCCCCTTTCCTACATTACTGTATAGGTTTTCGGGAATATCTACAGAAGCCTGTTCAAAGATTTTATTGAAAAGAGGAAGAAATAGGGTATTCAGATAAGTTTTTGCAAACCCAGACTCAGGTTTCTTAAATGATTAAAGGCTATAAGCAATGTGACTTTTAAGCAGCGTTTGTTCTCCCTTGTTTCCTACCAGTTATATGAAGCCTACAGTAAAGTCTGTCGCAAACAGCAGGTGGCGGCTGTGGACCAGTCAGAGTGTTTGTCACTTTCAGGGCTCTTGGAAGCCAGGGGCATTTTAGGATTAAAGAGAAACAAGGAAACCCGTTTGACAAAGGTACAACTGCTTTTTTGTGACAGTGTTTTTAATTGTCCTATTTTGTAGAGTGATGCTAAAGTAAAGGTTTATTGTTAAACAAGATGACCACAGTTAGTTAAACAAGTCGTTTTTTGTTAGGTAAGGTTTAAGGTGTGTAAAGATGGGAGTGTGATATGAATATTTTTTCAAGCCATTGGAAAAAAAAGTGTTTAACTTGCTTGCCTTTTGTGAGAAAAAGTTTAATATGGTAGAAGTTTGTATACTGACAACTTTGCTTTTGTGAGTTCCCCAGTGTGAAAAATCCTTTTCTCTTCTTTCCAGGTGTTTTTCAAGATTGAAGAGAAAGAAATAGAACATGCTCTGAAAGATAAAGCTTTAATTGGAAATATCTTAGCTACTGGATTGCCTTAAATTCTTCTCTTACACCCCACCCGAAAGTATTCAGCTGGCATTTAGAGAGCTACAGTCTTCATTTTAGTGCTTTACACATTCGGGCCTGAAAACAAATATGACCTTTTTTACTTGAAGCCAATGAATTTTAATCTATAGATTCTTTAATATTAGCACAGAATAATATCTTTGGGTCTTACTATTTTTACCCATAAAAGTGACCAGGTAGACCCTTTTTAATTACATTCACTACTTCTACCACTTGTGTATCTCTAGCCAATGTGCTTGCAAGTGTACAGATCTGTGTAGAGGAATGTGTGTATATTTACCTCTTCGTTTGCTCAAACATGAGTGGGTATTTTTTTGTTTGTTTTTTTTGTTGTTGTTGTTTTTGAGGCGCGTCTCACCCTGTTGCCCAGGCTGGAGTGCAATGGCGCGTTCTCTGCTCACTACAGCACCCGCTTCCCAGGTTGAAGTGATTCTCTTGCCTCAGCCTCCCGAGTAGCTGGGATTACAGGTGCCCACCACCGCGCCCAGCTAATTTTTTAATTTTTAGTAGAGACAGGGTTTTACCATGTTGGCCAGGCTGGTCTTGAACTCCTGACCCTCAAGTGATCTGCCCACCTTGGCCTCCCTAAGTGCTGGGATTATAGGCGTGAGCCACCATGCTCAGCCATTAAGGTATTTTGTTAAGAACTTTAAGTTTAGGGTAAGAAGAATGAAAATGATCCAGAAAAATGCAAGCAAGTCCACATGGAGATTTGGAGGACACTGGTTAAAGAATTTATTTCTTTGTATAGTATACTATGTTCATGGTGCAGATACTACAACATTGTGGCATTTTAGACTCGTTGAGTTTCTTGGGCACTCCCAAGGGCGTTGGGGTCATAAGGAGACTATAACTCTACAGATTGTGAATATATTTATTTTCAAGTTGCATTCTTTGTCTTTTTAAGCAATCAGATTTCAAGAGAGCTCAAGCTTTCAGAAGTCAATGTGAAAATTCCTTCCTAGGCTGTCCCACAGTCTTTGCTGCCCTTAGATGAAGCCACTTGTTTCAAGATGACTACTTTGGGGTTGGGTTTTCATCTAAACACATTTTTCCAGTCTTATTAGATAAATTAGTCCATATGGTTGGTTAATCAAGAGCCTTCTGGGTTTGGTTTGGTGGCATTAAATGGCAATTTGTGACTGAGACACCAGAGGGCACCCTTATAACATTGACTACTTTGAAAGGGGATGCTTGAGGCTGAGGTAGTTTTGAGGGAAAGGGGGAAGTTCTAGTTTGATTTGTTTGGGAGATTGCTGTCCTTTCATAACTGAAGCAAATGCTTGAAATGTAAACCATGTGTGATACGAATGATCTGAGAGCCAGTGACCAAGTCTGCTTTTCCCTGAGCTCTCCTGCTGCCGCCTCTACCTTTCTGACATGGCCTTCCATTTGGAACTTGATATGTGTACAAGTGATCTGTTGGCCACTGTTTCATTCATCCTGACCACTGTATCCGTGTAATGTGATCTGAGCTACAACAGGTGGTATGGGATAGAGGCAAGGAAAGCAGAGAGAGCCCTCTGAAATGAACACTACCCACTGGTGTGTGTAGCACATGATAGTCTGTAGGCATGAGTCTGAATGTTGTTCTCACACTCCTTTACTAGAGTATTCGTTCCCTCTGAAGGTAGTTTGAACATGGAAACACAGTTCTATACCTAGAAGGTTGGAAAGTGTCTGGGACTATAAGGGTTAACATGCATAATTGCAAAGATTGTCCGAAGGCTGATGGAAAGCAGAGACTGAATGGGATTGAGAACAGATGCGAAGCTTGATTTAAATTACATTTTATTGGATGCTGCAGCCTTAAGAGACGTGACTGCTTTACAGTTTGTTTCCACACTGTGGGCAGCTGCTGTCTGTTCTGTGTCCACAGTAGGATCCTGCCCAATAAGGAGCAGCCTCCCCACCTCATTGTGTTTGAGGCTTGGCGCCTTCCTCTTAACTGTAGGGCTTGAGTCAGGAACATGGCTTGACTCGCAGTGGGGCTGCTATGTATCCTCCCTGGCTTCCAGCCAAAATCACATTGGTAGATTCAAAGGGGCCAAATTTCTTTCCCCTCTATCTTTCCCTTTCCCCTGGTTTTGGAAATAGAGTTTTCTGTCTACTGATTTGTTAGTTTCCTTTTCTTCTCCCCTCACTGTCAATTTCTAGGTCATTGCTGCTCTTAAGACTTTAGCAGTTGGAACAGGGTTGGTTCTGTCAATGATGCATGAAGCAGACTTAGTGTCCCTGCTTGGCTTCTGCTGCCCTTGTGGGAGCAAAAGCTGATATATGTTTGTCAGTAAAGTCTTAAGTGTAATTCAGACTGCTGAGGAAGAAAGCCCTTTCCTTGCTGGCTTTTCTCCCTGAAGCTGAGAGCTTCAGGAAGGTGGTAGGAGTTTTAGTGGGATGGGATGGGATGGGCTTGTGGTTAGCAGTTTTTGCCAGGATCATAGGCTGCTTCACTTAGAGTAGTGGCAAAGATGCTGACCTACATTCTTCCTTTTGAAGGTGATGGAGTGTGTGTCTATATCCTGGTTTATCTCTCTCCCCCACCCCAAGGAAGCTGATTAAGCTTCCATAGAGTGTTGGGTGTTGCCATGGAAAGAGCATAGACAAAATAAATTGTGTGTTTCAACCCCAGAGCTGCCACAGATGTTTCTGGCTCAATGGAGACTTGCCTGTGGCTAGCTAACTCTGCAAGAATGTGTGAGGTCCAGGCTGGGGGTGGTGGCTCACGCCTGTAATCCAGCACTTTGGGAGGCCGAGGCGGGCGGATCACCTGAGGTCAGGAGTTTGAGACCAGTCTGGCCAACATGGCGAAACCCTGTCTCTACTAAAATAAATTAGCCAGGCATTGTGGTGTGTTCCTGTAATTCCAGCTACTGGGAGGCTGAGGCAGGAGAATCGCTTCAACCTGGGAGGCAGAGGTTGCAGTGAGCCGAGATCGTGCCATTGCACTCCAGCTTGGGCAGCAGAATGAGACTGTCTCAAAAAGGAAAAAAAAAAATGCTGGGTGTGATGGCTCATGCCTGTAATCCCAGCACTTTGTGGGGCCAAGGCGGGCTGATCACTTAAGGGTCAGGAGTGCAAGACCAGTCTGGCCAACATGGCGAAACCCTGTCTCTACTAAAAGTACAAAAATTCACTGGGTGCCATGGTACACACCTATAATCACAGCTACTTGGGAGGCTGAGACAGGAGAATTGCTTGAGCCTGGGAGGTGGAGGTTGCAGTGAGATGAGATCATGCCACTGTACTCCAGCCTGGGTGACAGAGTGAGACTCTGTCTCAAAAAAAAAAAAAAAATGTGTGAGGTCTAAGCTACCCAGAGATCAAAAAGTTGGCAGAGCCTTATTCTCTCTGCGCCCCCTCTTTTGCATTGCTCCCTACCTTTACTAAGTGTCCCTTTGAATATACATCAAGCCAGGTGTGGTGGCTCATGCCTGTAATGCCAACACTTTGGGAGGAGGCAGCAGCGGGAGGATTACTTGAAGTCAGGAGCTTGAGACCAGCTTGGGCAATATAGTGAGACCCCCTTACCCTTCTCTACCAAAAAAATCTTAAAAATCAGCTGGGCATGGTGGCATGCACCTGTAGTCCTAGCTACTTGGGAAGCTGAGATGGGAGGATGCTTTGAGCCCAGGAGTTCAACTCGGCATGGGCTATGATCACACCACTGCATTACATCCTGGGTGACAGAGCGAGACCCTGTCTCTATAAAAGACAGAAAGCAGATACACCAATAAGAATGAGAAGTTGGGAATAAGATGTGATTTAGGTTTTATATATATATTATATACATATTATATATATTTTATATATATAATGTATATTATATATAATATACATATTATATATTATATACATATTATTTATATATATATATATATATATTTTTTTTTTAGATGGTGTCTTGCTCTGTCACCCAGGCTGGAGCAGTGGCGCGATCTCTGTTCACTGCAAGCTCCGCCTCCCGGGTTCACACCATTCTCCTGCCTCATCCTGAGTAGCTGGGATTACAGGCACCCGCCACCATGCCCGGCTAATTTTTTTGTATTTTTAGTAAAGATGGGGTTTCACTGTGTTAGCCAGGATGATCTCGATCTCTTGACCTCGTGATCCGCCCGCCTCGGCCTCCCAAAGTGCTGGGATTAGAGGCTTGAGCCACCATGCCTGGCCGGTTATATATTTTTTAAATATCTTGAGACGTGTTACCTTGACTGCTGAGGGAGGACAAAAGAGATCCAAGATTGAAATTTTATTTACATTTGTATCTGTGCCTAGCAATTAGTATAGTGCCTAATACCTGGTAGGTACTCAATAGTTGTTTAACAGATAAGTGAACCAAATAAGATACTGCCTTTCCCTCAGTGGTGAGAACAGTTCTAAGCTGAAGGTAAACGTTGGTGGTACTTTTGCACAGAGGTGGAGCAGGCCCCTGCATAAGAAGGGTGCTCTGTCTTACAAAATGTGTCTTGGCACAGTTTTGGAGCATTTATTAGCCTCACAGATGCATTCCAATCACTCCCTCTGATGTAGTGGCATTTTGCTTGAGGCAACTTCCATGTTGCTGGTGGGACGCTTTGGCTATGAGGGGAAGAGTCTTATCTACAGGCTGTGAAGAGGGCTGCCTGTCTGGATGTCACTCAGTGTGGCTAGATTGGCCAGAAGCTGGGTCTGTAGGCAAGGGTTTAGGGAGGAGCCCACCTTTGATGTCCCTCTTTTTAACTTGGGGCAAGTTGTGATCTCAGGTTCTTCCTGAAAAGATAAGGTACTTTCTAAGATACCTTCTCTTAAGCTACAAACAGTGCAGGTCTTCCTCTTAGAAGAGGTGTGTTCCGTAAGGGGAGAAGGTGTGCCCTCTGGCCTCCCCTTGATTTTCAACCCCAGCCCCAAGGCACTGGTAGTGGAAGTTAATTGGGTGCAAGGGGCTTGGGTAAAGGCTGAAGACTGGTGAAAGGAGAGAGCCAGCTTCGTTTTTTAAAAAGCTCTAATTGAGTTCTGAATCAGCCTCACTCCCTTTGATCCCTCCTCTGTTTCCCACACTGCCTGAAAGAGCTAGATCAGCACTTTATAACAAGGGTGCGCCTGCTCCCCGCACCGCCCCCCGCTCCTGACGCTCTCTGCTGCCGCCATCCACTGCTTGTCTCCTTCAGTTAAGATAATGAAGATGCTGAGAGATAAAATGTGTATTTAATAAGGGTGGGGGTAGGGAGGCGGAAAGGGGCAACCAGGGCCTTCCCTAGTTTGGGGCCTCGCCAAGACTTAAGCTGAAAGCAAAGCTAGAGTAAGACTTGGCCCCAGGGTGTGGGGGTTTCTGGGCCTCAATCCAGCTGACTTCACTGCCTGCTGTTTGCCCTAAATTCCCCCACCTCCACCCTCTCACCCCCACACTGCTTTCTTCTTGCTCCCAATGGGAAAAAGGACTCTTGCTTCAACTTTCTTTTCAGCTGGTAACTTGGCCTTTGGTGCGGTGCCCCCCACCCCAGTGTCAGCTGCAAGGTCGGGCTAGGGCAGCCCCCTCTAGCCTAGGCCTGTAGAAGCTGTGGGTTCACAGTGGGGGGTGAAAAAGCTGGAGTTAATGAAGACCAGCTGCTAGTCTGGGTTCTGCCTACAGCTAGCTGGAGGCCAGCCTTTGGTGGTGGTTGATGGGGGGGTGGGGTGACCTCCATCCATGGGCACAAGGATATCCTGTGGCAGCTAGGCTTGTGCTTCTCTCTGAGCTTAGTTTTATCCTTAGTTTATAAGAGAGTATCTGTTTCCTTCCCCTACTCCTCTCCTCCCCAAATAACACTCAGCTCTTATTGAACTTTATAACTGTAGTGGTGGCCCAGCTGAGATCTGAGGATCTCCAAACCCTTTTGTAAACACTCATTAACTGCCTGGGAAGAACGAAGAGCCCTGTTTAACAGCTGGGAGAGAACTGAGGCACATTAGGGTGAAAGGTTTGACCTAAACTCACCCCATGGACTCCACCCTGGGGCCTTCCATCCTTAGTCCAGCTCCTTTACTCAGTTCTTCCTGCAAGACAGAGGTGGAGGCATTGCTGGTGTCTTCTCCCCTTCTAGGGAGAGGCCATGCCCTCTCCCCTCAAGTCTGTCGCTGACTTCCTCTGGCCCTTCCCCTCATGACGTTTTCCCTGCTCTGCTGCTAGAGATATGTGCAACTCTCCTTGCAAAATGTTCTCAATCCACAACTTCAGAATTCTTATCCAGCTTTCTCTTGCCCATCTAGCCCACCAAACCTGAATTCTCCCTTTTGAGCTACTGAGAAGACTGGCTATACTAAACTGAATCAGTGACCTTGAAGTTGATCTGTTGTATTGAGGTCCCTCTGCCCCTATATTTATCCTAAATGGTATCTAGGAAAATATTCTCTCTTTAACTTGTTTATTCTGGTCATAAAGATTCGGGACATTACTGAGGGCTGGGTAGGGGCACTAGTTGACCTCTAGGTTCTACGTCCTGTTCTTCCACTGACAATTACCATTTCCAGTAATAGGTGTAACCCAAAGTTCTTTTTTGTTTTTTTCTCCTTCCCTAACCCCACCTGTTTATACTCTTGCCTATATATGTGTATTTGCAGACCCCACACATTCCCAGATACACATACATTGGTCCTACATGTTTCCCCTGTTTCCAGCTGCCATCTAAGTGAGCCTGCACTTTTTACATGCTGAAAATCTTTTTTCACCCTCTATGGCCTCCTAGGTCCTTGGGAATAATTGGGAGGGATGAAGGGACTCCTGCAGTCCATGAGGAAGAGGACAGAAGTGAGCGCCCAACCAAAATGAATGCTCCCTTTCCAAAATCTCTAGCTGAATGCCTTAGCAGGAGTGGCAGGGAAAGAGATCTTAACCCCACCTCCAGCACCAAAACCTAAATCCATCTGCTCAGGGCAGGCAGGAAGAAATGTCTATTTTCTCCTGTTTCAGGTCATCCTATCCTCGAGTTATCCATATGCTGTGTATTTGAGACAGGGAACTGTTCCTGTCCCCAGCCGATGACCAGACGCCCATCTTTCTTCCAGTGGGTTACTTCTCCCCCATCAGTCCTTCGCTCTGCGCCCGCTGACCCAGTCGGGGCTGGCTGGTGGAAGAGGGCGGGGAGAGCCTTCTAGTTGGCGAGTGGGCTTTAGGACCCAACGGGAACCCGTGCCTCTTGCAGCAGCCTAACCCAGAAGCAGGGGGGAATCCTGAATCGAGCTGAGAGGGCTTCCCCGGTTCTCCTGGGAACCCCATCGGCCCCCTGCCAGCACACACCTGAGCAGGTAGGACCATGCACACCCCTTCCCAATTCTTTGGCCGCCTTTGACCCCGGCCTCTGCTTCTGATCTAGCCATTTCCTTCTCGCCAGTTCTGGCTTTCCCCATCCCTCCTCTCCCGTCGCTCACTGTAGTCCTGGGAGGTGGGAGCCTGGGAACAGTGGGGTGTCTGAAAGCTCAGAGCCCTCTGCACCCTCCAGCACCCTTCCTGCATTTCTCCTGAGGCAGTTCCCGTTCTCTAGATAAGAGTGGGGAGTAGGGGGAAGGTCTGCCCAGGCCCCACGCCCTTGCACCCTCCTTTGCGGTATTGCCTAATACCCCTTCCCCCACCTCACCTAGACTGGAGAATTGGCAAGTGCTGAGGTAACAGAGAGAGGAGAGAGCCAGAGAGGGACCTGAGCTTTCCCAAGGGATTTCTTTCTTGCTTCCTCACCCAAAGAGCTCAGGACTTTGCCCCTACTCCCTACACACCTTGTAGGGGAACTAATGTCCCCTTCCAGGTTCATCTCACACTTGGGTGGCTAAAGGCTTTGCTAGAGGGTAGTGGAGGTTGTGAGCATTTTGGTGAGCTTTTCCTCTAGGAAAGTTCTTTCAGCTTAGAGCCCCCATCCATGTCAACATTTCAACACCTGCTGCAGAAGCCCCCCGACCCCACCTGTGTGTGTGTGTGTGTAGGGACAATGTGGTTGTAAGATCTAGAAGCTTTGGATAGAGGTGGCTGCATGCATTGAAGGGGAGGGATACCAGAGTGTGGCCCAGGCCAGAACAGGCTCAGTCCAGATGGCTAGGGAAGGGGGTGTGGACCAGATTGAGGAGGTCACCCAGCCTTGCCAGCTCCCTGAGCTTCTTGGCTTTCAGAATCTCAGGCTCCTGGTGTTTCTCTAGAGCTACAAGGTCCCCAAGCTTCTGCCCCGCTACAGGCTCTCTGGGAGAGGGCTAGATGGCACCTACTGTTTACAGTGGCTTATTTTTCTCTCCTGTGGTGGGCAGACAGGCCCTGCTCTCTGAAGATCTAGGGCGTGTCATTCTGGTTTGGTGGGTTTACAGGAAGGGTGTACACCTTGTCTGACTTACCATGTGTGAGTGTGTGTCTTGCTTCTGGGGGTAGTAGACTGGGGAGGGGGGTGATAGAAGAGACTGGTCACACTGAGGGAACTCCTCTAGCAATCAATGTATGATAGGAATGGGTGGCATGTCCCCATCTGGTAGCTCTGTCTAGGTGTGGGGTGTGCTCTGCATTCTTCCATGGCTCCCCGGGTCCCCTAAAGGTTGGTTTTAGAGGACAGGGTGGATAATGAATTGGCTTCAGACTTCGTTCTGGTCTTGATCCAACAAGGAAAGTAGAGATTCTGACTGTGAGCAGTGAACTAGGAATCAGAGGCCTGAACTGGAGACTTAGACTGGTTACTTAACTATATGTGTTTATATAGGTCTTCCCCTTTGCTAAGCCTTAGTTTCTCCATTTGTAAAAATGGCTATCAGTAGCAAGCAGGGACATTGCCACTAAAACCACAGAGACAATGTATCGTAAAGCTCACTGCAAACGGTAGTAATGGCTGGGGGAATCTAGGATGGAATCCTCTTCCTAAATCTAGGTCAATCTCTCCGCCTTTAGTTTTCTTCCCCCATCCTTTGCCCATCTGGGGGATGGAGGAACTAGGCAGGGCTATTGCCCCGGTTACTGCAGAATTCCCCTAATGCAGGTTGTAGCTGTTACCAGAGCACCTGTGGTCACAGAGTACAGATCTCTCCACCAGGCATTTCTTCCTCTGGGGCCCCATACTTGCTCCCCTGAGCCATGTCTCCACCTTCCTTCTGCCATCCCTGCTTGGCGTCCTTGTCTCTCTCTCCCCTGCCCAGTGGCCTCCTTGTCTGGCTCACTGGGCAGGAGCCCTAATCGGATTCGACAGCTGAGATATGTGTGGCGGCTAAGAGCAGGCAGGAGGGAAGCCAGTGGGAGGATGGTATGAGGACTGCCCCTGGCACTGCCCCGGCCTCCCAAGCACCACCTTGGGCCTGCTGATTTCTTACTTGGCTTGGCCCCAAGGAAGGGGTGCCAGAGGAAGCTCAGGAATGAACAGGCTGGGGTCTGGAGACTAGGAGAGGAGGAAACACACCAAGGTCCTCAGGACCTGGTTGATATTCGATGACCTTAATGTCAGTGTCACTGACTCTGACAAGGAGGAAAGGACAGCGATGAGCCAGGCTGACCCCCGCCACCCCATTCCCATAGCCCCACTTTCTTCTCTCTTCTTGTTCAGAAATGTTTCACTTTGCCTCATCTAGCCCCTTTGGCCAGTAGGTCACATCTGGGAGCTTCTGGGGGTGCCACATGTCTGCCTCAATCTGGGCTGTTTCCTCCCCTCCAAGATATTTCACTGTCTCTGGGCTGGGCGCCAGGACTCCTGGGTTTCCCTGCCTGTGGTGCAGGGCTCCCCTGCAGGGCTCCAGAGAGTCGCTTAGCTGGTTTCCTTCCTCCTTTGTGGGGAGGGCCTTCCCCTAGGGCTGGGAGGTGTCAGGAATCCCAGGTGGGACAGGGGTGGGGGCACAGTAGCCTCTGGCACTGTAGCACCCCAGCTTCTCCCTCCTAGCCTCTGACTCAGCTTGGGGGCAGCACATGCCCAGCCTGGCAGGCATGGCCTATTCTTGCCTCCAGGCTTCTCTCTTTACAGAAGCCTACATCTCCTGCTCTCATTTTTTAGTTTTTTTCCCCATGATATCTGCAGGTGGCTAGTGAAATCCCTGGTTTTGGGGAGCAAGGGACTAACATAATTGAGGCTGGGGCACTATTTTGTCTTCCCTCCAGTTGGGCCAGGATGAAGGAGACTGTCACAAACTTCCCCAAGCCAATTCCTTCTGCCCTCAAAAGACCAGTCAGTGGAGCCAGGCCCTGCCCTTTGGGTGCCCACAATGTGGTTGGCACTGATTTGTCAGAAATTGGGAAGGTTTCCCTCTAGACCGCTTGCCTCCTTTCTCCTCCTCCCGCAGGGTAGGGGCAGCTCTGTGATTGCAGGCACTTATGGGCAGGCCTCCCCCTAGGAAAGGGGTGTGGGATGCCCCCAGGATGGCCAAGTTGGCGCTAGCCCCAGGCTGGAGTGCTGGACATGATTCTGACCTGGGAGTTAGTGGGGGTAAGGCAGGGCATGGGCCTCCCTGCCCCCCTCATTTCCTGCTCTTTGGGCAGCTGTGGGCGAGAAAGGCTGCAGGGACTATTTTTAGTTGGTCAGTCCCCTGGCAGGAGGGACGTGCAGAAAAGCACGGGGCAGGCAGAGGGGCTGGCCAAGGTGAGGGTAAGCAGGCAGGCAGAGGAGTGAGGAAGGGCCAGAGGGGCAGAAGACAGCAAGGAGGCATGGGGAGCAGGGGCAGGACCTTACCCAGAGGGGCATGACCCAGGTAGATGGGCCGGGCTGGACTGGGTGGAAGAGTCCTGGCACCCTACAGGGTTTTCTTTATCCAGCTGGACTCAGAGCTGGAAGGGGTTTTAGAGGCTACCTAGGCAATCCCTTCCCCTTGCAGAGAAGGAAACTGAGGCCTAGAGAGAACACTCAATCAGTCATTGGCTGTGTTGAGACCTGAACCCAGGCCCTCCCTTTGCACCATTTTTCTGTTGTCATGGTTCCTCACCACAGCTCAGTGTGCTTCCCTTCCCTACTGCAGCAAGGAGGACCACGAGCCAGGCACACCTGGTCCATTTTCCCATCTGCTTTTTTGTGCAGGGTCTCTGAAAATCCCAGCTTGGTTTGTTTATAAGTCTCCATGTGGAAAGAGTCTGTGTCCAGGCTAGAAGGAGGTCAGAGTTGGGTTTGTTTGGGTGGCCTGTGGCCACTGGTGTGAATGGAGCTGCTGGACAGGCTCCAGCAGGCTCACAGGCTGGTGAGCTGTGGGGCTAGGAGACACCTTACAGAAGGGACGTCCAGACTCCCCAGAGCCCTTTGTGAGCCCTCCTCCTGCCCTGCCCAGGACCTGTGGGTCATGGTGGTTGTTTGCCCATCTCCCCAACAAAAGAAGGGAGCAGGGCTGAGGAGTGGGGAGATTACTACTGGCTTCTGATCGCTAGTCAGAAGGAGGCCCCCTCTGAGGCCTGGAGGCAGGGAAAGTTGGGGCAAGTTGGGGTGTGTATGGGGAGAAAACTCAATGGAGAATTGTGGTCCCTCAGAATTCAGTCTGCTTTCTGTCTTCTGCCTCAGGCTCTCCCCACAGGCCACCATGCTGCACAGCTGCAGGGGGAACCATTCCATAGACTATGATGTGAATGGCACCCCCTGGGGTTGTTCAAGGCCCTGCCTGTGTAGCCACACGTGGTGCATCTGTCTCCCACCTTCTTCCTTCAAATTAGTTCAGACCCACCTGGAAGGAGGTGTTCCAGACAGGCCTTAATCCAACACCCTCTCCCCTACCCTGCCTCATGCCACTCAACATCTCCTATTCCTCTGCTGCCCACCCCCAACGCACCAAGCAAGTCATGGTGCACCACCAATTGTGGTTCAGAAGCCCCTCCCCTTCTCTCTACGCAGTTTCTGTGTCTCTTGGGGGCTGATTTATCATACCCCCCATCAAGCCTACTGCAGTGTGTGAGAAATCAATAGTGCAAATGGATTGAGGCTGTTTAGCCTGTCAACTCTCCTTGGGCCCCACCAACTCTTCTGGGACTTGCGGAGTTGCTCAGTCCCCTTCTGGCTCAACATACACATATTTAGTGGTTGTAGCCAGAGCACTGAGCACAGGAATTATTCTTTCTGTTGGTCTCTGTCTCATTCTCTCTCATATACTAGGCTGGTCTTAACATGACAAATACTCTTGAACATTTATTTTCTAGCTTGGGTGGACGGGCTTAAAGGGCAGTAGGCTGCCAGCCAGAGGTAGGGAGGGAGGCAGGTGGGTGAGGGATATGGCGGGTGGAGGGGTGGGGTGGGGGTGGGGACGAGCTGGGGAAGGGATTGGGTGACAGCCCACCCCATCAGCTCTGGTAACTCAATCCCTGCACCCCACCCTCCCAATTTCCCTCCTGCTCAACAACTTCAGCAGCTGCTGGCAGAAGCAAGGCTGGCAGAAGTGTGTTTGAGTGCATGTGTATATGAGGGGAGAGGGTGAGAGGGGCTGTGGGGGCAGGGAGTGCTGCCAGGACATGTTAAAGGAGACTCACAGCCTGGGTACAACTTGGGTGGCAGGAGGAGGTGGGGCAGGTGGGAGAGTGGGTGGTGAGTGATGGGCAGGCTGCAGTGGGGGCAGGGCAGCACAGGGGTCTCACAAAACTTGTTGGCACTGGAGCGGGGCCTGGTGTGGTGGGGGTGGGCAGTGGTGAGGGGGCAGGGGCTGGCACAGACATTGCTGGCCCCAGAATGCTGAGGCCCATTCTTTGCCAGGGGGCGCATGTAACCATGGAGGGACAGTCTGCCCCTGTCTGCAATCCTTGGGCTGTGCCTGCTGGGCATCACAGTCTTGGTGGTGACTAAGTCACTTCTGTCCTGGGGCTGGCAAGGTGCCAGGCTCAGCTCTTCTCGGTAGGTGAGTCACTGCCCTGGCATCTCCCCCGGATGCAGCTGAGTCACCCAGCCATGCCTGCTAGGCAGGTGGGCACCAGGCTTGTGGTGGGGGTGGAGGGCTATGTGTGCAGCCCCCAGTGTCTTCTCTGATCTCTCTCTGGCATGTCCTGGCCCCACCCATAAACCTGCAGAGCCAGGCAAGGATGGCGCTTCTCCCTTGTGATCCACTAAGGGGTGAAGGAAAAGGTAGCAGGGCACAGAGTGGAGTCATACATGTTTGATTTGGAGTAAGTAGGGGAGGAAAGAGTTGAGGAGGGAACATTGATTGGGTTATATGTATATATATATATATATATATGCTTATATGTGTATATATATATATATATATATATATATATATATATATATACACACACACACACACACACACACGTATATATTTATTTATTTTAACAAAAAAGACACAGGGTCTTGCTATGTTGCCCAGACAGGTCTTGAACTCCTGGAGTCAAGCAACTCCTGGCGTCCCATCTTGGCCTCCCAAAGTGCTAGAATTAAAGGTGTGAGCCACCATACCTGGCCTGGGTTTGAATCCCAGCCCTGCCATTGACAAGCTGTATGACGTTGAGGAAGGCAATTTTCTTTTTGAGCCTCAGTTTTTTCATCTCTACAATGGCAACAGGAGCCTGCCCCTTCAGGACTGTGAGAATCAAATGGAGTGGGACTATTAAGGTACTTGTGGGAGGAGCTCCTTTTGGGATGAGCTAGGAGGCTTGGGAGGGGAAGAGGAGTCAGCTGGAGCTGGTTCCAACAAACTCCCGCACCATGGTCTTGGAGGGCCAATTGCTTCTCATCATCTCTTCGGAGTATCACTTAATGCTGTTCTTCAGGAGTTTCCACAGGCTGTGAGAAGACAGCCTTGTTGTACTAGAAGTGTGGGCCCTCCTAGGGTGTCTCAGAGCTATATTTTATCTCTTTTGACTACTGAGAACTGCCACTGGCCCTGGTACCTGTCCAGACTCTCTTCCTTCACTTCCTCTAGTTTGAAGAGGGATGGGGCTCAGACTCCTCCCCCAGCCTATCTCCTGTGTGCAGGGAAACAGTAGGCCCCAAGGAGTGTCCTTCTTAGAGTGAGGCGCCCCGAGCCTGTGGCTTTTCTCTCTCTGCTAGTTTCCTGCTGCTCCCTGGGTACCCTTCTCTCCTCCTGCATCAGAGTCCCTGGTGGGAGGGGGTGGTGGAAGCCCTGTTATGAGCCCAGCATAGCTGGAGTTCAACTGCTGCTGCAGATTGAAGACTCCTGGTCCCCCACCTGGGGACCTCTCCTGCCTTCTGCAGTCAAGCTTGGGTAGGGCTGGGCCTTGGACAGGTGGTACTGGTTTCCCTGGACAGGAAGGAAATGCCCCAAAGATGTGCATGCTTTGTGTTTGTACACACGGGTGCTGGTCTTGTTTGAGTGTCTGACCCCTGCGGGGGGTGGGTTTGTGTGTATGAATTTCTTCCCTCATCCACACATGGGGCTACTTCTGTGTCTGTGCAGAAGTGTGCCCCACCCTCTGCTTCATGCCCTTGTCTGTGCACAAATGTGTTTGGATGTACTTGTTCATGCGTGGATGTGCATACATGCGTCGGGGATGTACACATCCCTGCCCTGAATGTGCACGTGGAAATGCATTTGTACCAGGATGCCTGACCCTATGATGGCAGGTGTACCTGAAGGTCGTCCCACTTGGGAGGCAGTGTAGCTGTGTGCATGCATGCTTGCATTCTTGTGTCCATGAGCCTTCCCCTCCAGCCTCAAGGAAGGAAGACAGGTAGGATCTAGGTTGGGAGGTGTCCGTGGGCACTAGGGGCGGGCTGGCGCTGACTCCAGTCCTGGGCTGGTTCTCACCTGGGCAGAGCTCCCTGCTGTTGGCGGGGCTCAGGCTGGAAGGCCCTTGGGGGAGCGCGGCTGGGGGGTAAGGGGTTAAGCGGTGGCGTCCACATCTGGGAGCCATTGGCGCATTCCTGCCGGCTGAGCGCATGTTTGCGGATGAATCTGGACAGGACAGGGCGGGAGGGGCTGGGCGGGAGGTTCGCACCGGCGGACGGAAATCCAGACGGGAGCGGGAGACAGCTCCGGCCCAGCAGGCGGGAAGGGGCCTGGGGAAGCGCGGCCCAGCACTGCTGGGGCAGTTTCCCGTGCGCCGGCCCTCAGGGCAAAGGGTCCCGCCATCCTGGCTTGTCCTACCTTACCATGGCTCTTGGGCTAAAGCCAGGGACAATCAGATACTTCAATTCTAGACCCGGCTCTGCAACCGGTGCGACTGTGCACAAAACCCAGTGCCTGCTCTTGGACTCTCTTTCCTTGTTTGTAAAGCGGGGTCCGTCGGACCAGTGGGTTTGAGAGCTCTGCCACCGGGTCAGGCTGAGAGTCTCCTCACTGGGCTGGAGGCCTGGGAGTGCAGCACTTCCCCTTCCAGTGGGAAGTTCTGTGGGGGCACTTGTGGCCACTTCTCTGCCTGGGAACAGGGCGAGAGGGGAGTATTCTAAGCAATTCTGCTTCCCCCTAAGCCCGCCAGTGGACTGCTAGCGATGGGGACAGGATCCTCCCAAACAGAGCTGCAGGCTGGGAGGGGGGTCATGACTGTATTGGGGACTGGGGGTCTCTCAGATGGAGGGTGATTCAGATCCTGTCCAGCTGGAACATGAAAAAGAGCTTTCCTGGCTTCTCCAGACTTGTTCGGGAGAGAGAAGCTTGAGTGTGAGTCTTTGAGCACGGAGGGGTGCTCCTGGGCGCCCCTACTGGAAGATCCAAAAGTCTTGCCCTTTGAGGAGAAGAGTACTTTAAGGGGGCTGGGAGGGTTGGGTTGAGCCAGGGTTCCTAGGACCCACTGGAGCTGCAGAGGTGTTTGGGGAAAGAAGAGATATACTTGCGGGAGATCTACTCCTGGACTCTTTTTTTTTTTTTCTTTTTCTTGCAGCTGAGATAATTAAGATCCAGGGAAGGGAAGTGACTTGGTCAAGGTCACACAGCTCTCAGTTCCAGCTGGTCCCTAGAAGAGGATTATAATTATAGGATTCAGGGGCTTGACAGCTAGGGCAGGAGTCACCGCACTCACTTCCATATTACGCCGCCGCCTCACTTCTCAGATTTAGGTGTGGGTGTGTGTGTGGTTGGGGGGAAAGGAGTGTAGGATACCACACGCTGCGGTCTTCTCCACCGAGCGCTATTTTCATTCTTTCCGCAGAACCTCACCCCGTTCTTGCTCTGAATCTTCGGTTCTGGGTCTGAGGGAGGGATTCTCCCGGATTCCCACGGTCCAGTCTTCAACTAGGAGTGGCTCCTTTAAGACTCGCCCTTCCCGAGGTCTATTAAGGAGAGGCGGGGGCGGGCGTGAGCCTGTAGATCCGCCCCTGACTGGTGATTGGTCGGTGGGCGGGCAGGGGCGGGCCTGAGGGACAGGGCCTCCCCCTACCTCTGCTCCGTACCCTCCGCCCCTTCAGTCTGGGGCTCCGGGTAAAGTTTCAGCCTCCGCACGTGACTCGCTATGGCCGCTGCCATCGCCCCGCGCCCCTGAGCCGCGGCCCCCTGGACGGCTCCTCTCCCGGGACCCCGCACCCTGATGCCGAGCAGCACCAGGGCGCCGGGTTAGGGCAGACGCTGTGCTCGCTGGCACCCCGAACGGGTTGCTTCCCCCGCTGCGAGGTAATTCCTCCCCTGGGGATTTTGGGGAGCCCCTGGTTCCCGCAGGCGTCGGGGCCCCATGTCCTGCCCCAGATTGGTGCTGCGGGAGGGGACTGGGTACCGGGAGGCTTCCGACGGGAACCCGGGGTTTCCTGGGCTTCCCAACTCGCTGCCGCCGTGTCCAGGGTGGGGGAGCCCCGTCTGTGAGTCTGCCTGCGCCGTGTCTTCGCGCGCAGCCTTGAGGCGTCTGGGGCCGTCTGCTGCGCGTGTCCCCCGCGCTCGAGCTGTTGCAGAACCGCCGCTGGGAACTTCTGTTCTTTTTCTCTTTAATGATAAGCAAAACAAAAAGACTTGAATTCAAACCTGTTTGGGGAGAGATCGGATGCTCAACGGACTAGCCCCCTCTCTTTTTCCCTCCTGTTATCTGAGCTGCCCTGTGGTTTGGGGAGAATCAGCCAGGGGGCCCACTCCCACCAGAGGGAGCCGGCCGGGGGCCGGGCCGGTTCAGCTGGTGTCCCCCGTGGAGTGAGGGGAACCGTCAGAATTGGGTGCGGGAGCCAATGCAGTATGTGTGTAGGGGTGTTCCTGGGTCTTGTGCCACCATGGGGTGTGGGAACTTTTTGGGGTGAGGGGAAGACGGAATAGACTGACTTGTCGACTTTGCTCTGCTGAGGGTGTCTGGGACCTGGTGCCACCCACGAGGCTTGGAAGCTGCTGGCCAGATGTGTGTGTGAGCCTGTTGTGGGGTTGGGGGGACGGCTGGGAAATGAGCTTGGCTATGTCCCCTCATCTCCTCTCTGGGCACTGGCCTATTGTCAGGCTGCTCCTTGCGAAAGGAAAGACAGGCCTCCAGTGTGCTAGGGTGGGGATGGGGACCAACTAACCCGGAAACCAGACAGAAGAGCTCCCCAGCCTTGGAGATGTTTCTGCACCCTCCATCCTGTCTTGGATCAGATGCCCAGTGTGATGGCCTGGAAGGGTACCTCCTGCCCCCTCTGGCTCTGTCTTCTGTAACCAGGTTGCCTTCTGTCTGATGGCTGTGTGCACATATGTGTATGTAGATATTCTTGGAAAGGATTGTTTCTGAGAACACCCCCCGACCCCCCCACCCCCTGCTGCTTACCCCAAGGATCACTTCTGCCCCTGACACTCCCCCTCCTCAGTTTCCTGGCCAAGACATTCTGGGATGTCTCTTATACCCTTCTCTGGTTGCAGTCTTCATAGGGCAAGATTGTTTTGGGGGAAGTGGTTCTGTAAGGACCTTCCAGGTCTTGCTAGGAAATTGGACCTCAGGCCCCAAACTCTCCTACAGGGCTCCATGAAGAGGCTGTGCCGGGGAAGCCCCGGGTTGGAGTGGGGGTGGCTTGGAGCCTTGGGGCTTCCCCTGGAGGGGGCCGGGGGGGGCGGGTAGAGATGAGGCTGGGGGAAGGAACAAGAGAAAAAATATTTGGAGTTGGTTGTATGATGCTTCTTCCTGGAGGAATAAGAGGGGGTGGTTGTGGAGTCAGGGAGTTTGTGGCTGTGAAAAATGGTATGCTGGAGGGAGCTGGGACATCAGTACTGCCTGGGAGTCTGGACCATGTGGTGTCCTGAAAGAGAGGTCAGGAGGGTCAGACTGGAGTAGCCTCTTGGGAGCTGAGGATCTTGGATTTGCAAGGATTTTGAGGGTGTGATTGAGTGTATATGAGGTGTCACTGCAGGGGTTTCACCATCAGACTGGCGACGGTGGCACAGATGCAGTGGCAGTTCTGAGAAGATCCTGGGGTTGAAATGGCTTAATCCTGGCCACATCCTCCTTCCTATAGCCCCTAAATCTCTATCCCTTCAGTCTGACCCTAAATGCACCGGCTGCCACCCTGGGACACCTTTTTAGTCCCCTTCCTACTCCCAACCTTGAGGCAGCCTGGCAGGAAGCCAGCTGTGGGCAGCCCCATCCTGATCACCCATGTGCCTCCCCCGCTGGGCACAGTCACCCACACATGCCATGACGTGGTTCCTGCCACCCCATCTAAGTATGGGGGAGAGGACATTGTCTGAGTGGCCCCTCAGGTCTGTTTTGGGGACATTCACCCAGACCCCAGCTAATGCGCGCCCCTTCCCCTAAACCATTTAGTCTTGGAAGCTGACTCTGCCCTCTGGGACCTTTTCTTCCAGGCCACTCCTTGCTCAGACTCCAGTCTCAGGTGGGATGGTCCTCAGAACCGTGTGATGTGACGGTGGGGCCTGTCCCAAAATACAAACCCCAATGCCCAGTTTCCAGTCCTCTTGGAAGCATGGGCAGGACAGGACTTAGGCTAGGCTGGAGGGGTGGTTTCTTTTGACCTCTGTGGGGTCTATTAATATTTGGGAGCACTGCCTGGGATCTGGGGTGATAGGCATCTGGGGATGGTAATCCTGTCCCTGCGACAAATAAGCGGGGTAATCTCCGCTTGCTCAGTACCCACACCCATCTTGTGTCGGTAGTTTTGGGAGTGTGGGAAGCTGGCAGGGCCCCTGGCAAGATGACCAGTGTTGTCTTGACTTACTGGGTTTTGGGAAAGGAGTATGGCAACTGATACCCCGGCTCCCAGGGCTTTGGCTGAACATTCTCTCTGACGCCTGCTGTCTTTCCTCCCTCTACTCCCCTCTCCACCCTCTGGCTGCTGTCTGGAGCCCACACAGTTTGTGGGGGGATGCACGGTGGGGGGCAGGGCCTGGATCTCCGTGTGTGTCCAGGGAGTATTCTGGGAATTGGCAGGATTGGCTGAGGGTGTCTTGGTGTCCCCGCAGGGTGGGCGGCATGTGGGGACCTAGTGTGAGAATGTGTCAGCGTTGGTGTGTCTGTCCCCAGTCTGGCTCGGGTGTGGGTGTCTCGGGTGTGGGTGTCTCTTGCTTCGTCTGGATCTTGCCTCCCGCTCCAGTCCCGCCCTCCCCTCGCTCCCCCCTAGCTGGGACCGCCTGCTTGCTTTCCCTCTCTCCCCACAACTGGAGCCTCCCTTGCCTGTTCCTGGAATTTGGAGAGGAGGAGGAGGAGGAAGAGGCAGGCAGACAGACCTCCCACACTCTAGCCCGCCCACCTGGCATCATGGGGAAATGAAATAGGTGCTATGGAACTACATTTTCCCTGGCTTCCCTAGACCCTCCAGCACACATCATGAGGGCCAGGGGCCAGCTCTTATGGAAAGGCCATGGGCTGTCCATCCCTCTGGCCAGTGACACCTCCTTCTACTTAACATCCTGCCCCAAAGGGCCCCTGCTGGACCTCCAGGCACCACTGTCAGCCTGGGGAGCCGGTGGGGGGATTAGGCTGCTGCCAGGCTGGCCCGCACCTGTTGCCAACCCCAGCCCTATAACTGGAGCTTGCTAGGGAGGGGGCTGCAGAATGACAGGTGTAATTTCTGCAGCTAGGCAACTCCACCCCCCCAACTGGATATGCCTTTCCCTTCTGCCGGAACAAGGGAAGACTTCCCCTTCGCCACTCCAAGTGTCAACCTGATCTTATGGATGATGCCCCTGTCCTGCCTGATGACCCCCACCCCCATCCCTGGCTGCAGAGCTGGGCTGCCCTCCTTCAAGTTTTCAGAGCTGTGCTGCCCTGGCAGGGCTAGGGGTGTGGGGGTGTGTAGATGGGGGTGGTTCTCTGTTAATGTTTTAATTGCCTAAAAACTGGGAGCTCAGCTCTGGGCCAGTGGGGAGTCTGGGTCTGGCTGGCCGCCCGGTTTGGGCTAAATATAGTCTGGGACATCTGCAGAGAAGGGGAGGGGGGTGGAGGGAGGTTCCATTCCCCCACCTTCAGCCAAGGTGCCCTCGTCTGGGCGGGCACCTTGGAGCAGTGAGGGGGATTCCTCAAGCACAAAAGGCAGGGGAGAAGTGGCAGGGAAGAGGTGGCAGGGGAGAGGTGGCAGGGGCTAGGCACAGTTGGGACCTTGCTTGCCTGGAGGCCAGTAGATGCCGGAGATGAACCTGGAGGCTCAGGACAGGGCAAGAGTGGGGCACGCCGGGGCTGGGTCCTCTGGCTGTTCCCTCTCCCCACAGAGTTACTTGAGGTCAGGCAGTCTCCATGTGTCACTGTACCCCGCAGGCAGTGTCACCGTGACCCACTCGCTGTGTGTCTGTGTGTACACACCTACCTTGGAGTGGCTTTATCCCGGCCCTCCCCCCGGAGCCTCTGTCCCCTGGGTCCTACCGCAGGTCCTCAGCCCTCCTTCCCTCTGTCCCTCGCCCTACAGTGAAACCTTCAGCCCAGGAATCGAGACTTGAGAAGGGGAAGCTGCGGTGGGGAGTTCTCTGATCTCCAGTCACGGCAGGAAGTGGAAAAGAGGGGGGTTAAGGGGGGGACCCATGAGTGGCAGGCAGGGAGGGAGAGCCCTGTCAGTCCTGTGACCCACTGTGCAGATCAAGGAGGGGTTGGCCCCCTTCCTAGTGGTCCCCCTTCCCTCCAGCTCCAGGTAGGAGAAACCTGGGGGACAGCTGATTCCCCAGGGGGTGCAAACAATCTTCATCACCCCCCCAACACTAAGAAAAAAAATGTCTTCCTGTCACGTGGCTGTCACTTCCTGTCCCACTGTGGTTCCTGGGATGTTTGTTGTTGGTTGCCATGGTGATGTCTGCCGTGGGCACTACCCCTGGTTCTTGTGGGGAAGGAGCTACCCCTCCCCACCAGGCTGGGGGGGTACTTGGGGGACTTGACTAGGGGGTCCTTTCAGGCTGAGTGTGTGTGGTCTCTGATGCCCCAGATTCCCCAGGACCCCCCAGACTTCTGTCTGTGGGGAGGAGTCACTGCCACCTACTCAGACTGAGTGCTGGGGAGACTGTGACCGCATCTGGCTGTGCCTGACCGTGGCTGTGACTTTGTGAGTCTGACTGATTTTGCAGCCCTTGTCCCCTCTGGCCGGGGTTCCTCTCGCTCATAGAGATGCCCATTCAGGGAACCTCTGTGCTCCCTATCTGTCCTCATATACAGTTCTGGAGCCTGCTCCCATCCTGTGTTCTGATGGAAACCACCTTCCCCAGGGAGTTTCTGTGGCTTCCTGGACTCCAGGCTGGAGTGTCAAGGGGCTGTGGGGCAGGGTCCTAGGTTGCATGTGTTTGGGGCTGGGGAGGTGGGGGCTCTGCAGACTATGCCTTCCCCTGCACACACAGCCTGCACCCGCTTCTCCCTTGTCTGGCAGGCGCTCTTCTCTAAGGGGAAGGCCATGGGGATCTGTGACCTATTATCCCTATCCACCTGTGGGCTTCCCTGTTCAGCTGGGGATGGTGAGGGGAAGAGATTCCCCCTAGTTCTAGCCCCAACTGAGTAGGCGGGTGTGGAGTAGGAAGTTGCTTGGGGGGGGGTCAATGGGTCGGAGGGGGGGTATGGGGCAGGGCACAGTCTGACTCAGGCCTGGTCTGGGGTCAGAGCCAAAAGGATATCCTGAGGCAGGACTTGGTGGGGGGGTGTATTCCTGGATTCCCTGCAGCGTGGGTCCCCAGGGTGGGATGCTGAGAGGGGGCTGGTACCATCTAGTCCTGCTGGCAGTTTGCCCTGGGACTCAGAATATGGCATACGCAGGGTTGGGCTGAGCTGAGGGGAGGGGTGAGGGCTGCTGCAGCCTATCTCCCCACCCTGGCCCTGCCTGTATCTCTGTAAGCTGTCCCCCCATTGTGAGAGAGCTGTGCTTCCTGCTTGGTAGCATGGAGGGGAGGTAGTGGTGAGGGGGCAGCTGCCAAGGTGTGAGGGTGGGGAAAGCCCCGTGCCAGGCTGGATGTGAGGTCGGTGGTTTCCAAGCTAGGGGGTCCCCTTTTGTCTGTGCCCCTTTGGTCCCTCACCCAACAGAGCTGCCTGCGTATGGTCCACACATTTCTGTGGTCTGGCTGTGGCCTCAGTAGGCTCATCTCTTCCTCTTCCCATTTTTTTTTTCCTTCCCTGTGGGTTGGTCCCTCTTCTTGAGGCCTGAATTACCCCCTGCCCTTTCACCTACTCGTTGCTTGGAGTAGGGAGGCTTCAGTTCTGGTTCTACGTGGACCTCTCAGACACCCTGGGCTTCAGAGGTCCTGACCATGTCCCCCGGGGGATCTGGGGTATGGCCCCTGGGGATGGAGGAGTTGGGAGCACAGCCCTGACCAGCAGAGACCCCCACTTCCTCCTCCTAGAACCTGGACTGCCCCGAGCTTGGATTGTCCAGTCACCCTTTCTGCCTGGTATCCAGTCACTGGTGAGATTATGGCGTGTGGGGGTCCTGCAGCTCTGTGTAGCTGGGGAAAAACCCTGGGCTGAGTGGAGTACAAGCTGTGGAGACATTGGACCTATTCTTTTGGGACAAGGCACTGTGTCTTGAGGCAATGGGCAGTGGTAGCACCCGGAAGTGAGACACTAGGCTTCCTCCTTCCCCTAACTCCCAAGAGGACATGCTTATGGCCTGCACTGACTAGGGCAGATTTTCAAACCAGTCCTAGCTCTAGCAAGGCTGGCCTGGGGTTCTGTGGGGTTGGTGGGGAAGAGGCACCCTCCAGCTATCCCAGCCACCCTCAGGTGATCCTTCTCCAGCCCTCCTAGGGAAGCCTCTTTTAAAATGAGGCTGGGCTGGCCGGGCGTGGTGGCTCACGCCTGTAATCCCAGCACTTTGGGAGGCCGAGGCGGGCAGATCACCGTGTCAGGAGTTTGAGACCAGCCTGGTGAACATGGTGAAACCCCATCTCTACTAAAAATACAAAAATTAGCTGGGCGTGGTGGCAGGTGCCTGTAACCCCAGCTACTAGGGAGGATGAGGCAGGAGAATCGCTTGAACCCGGGAGGCGGAGGTTGCAGTGAGCCGAGATTGCGCCATTGCACTCCAGCATGTGTGACAGGGTGAGACTCCATCTCAAAAATAAATAAATAAATAAATAAATAAATAAATAAATAAATAAATAAAAAGAGGCTGGGCTAACCTGGCTTCCTGCAGCCCAGACCCTGGTGAACAGACAGGAAACAGAGGACCCGAGTGGCCGGATTGTAGGCTTGCCAGGGAGGAGAGGGGTGAGAGCCTTGGCCAGAGGGGACCCTTGAAAAAGCGGGGAGTAGTCATCACTGCTCCCCAACCCCTGTCTGCAGATATGAGGGGCGCTGGGGAGGGGAGAGGTTGTGGCTTTGTATGTATGGGAGTGTGTTTTCCTGGAAAGTTTCTAAATGGTTCTAGTTTTGAATCTACTCTGTTCTGCCCTGCTTGGCCAGCTCCTGGCGGGACAGGGGTCCAAAGGCGGCAGGGCTTTGTTTCTGCCAGGGCTAGAGTCCCTCCTGCCCAAGTTGAGCTTGAGCTCTGGGTGTCATTTGCATATGATTCACTAACTGTCTAGAATGCTTAGGAAACCCCCAGTCTCCCCTTCTTTTAAGCTCCCCAATACTTTTCCCCTTCTCTCAGCCCCTCTGAGACTGCCTGACCTCTATTTCTTGGGAACCGTTGTTTTGGGGGAGACTGGAGAACAGAGAGAATGAATGAGGAAGAGAGGTTGGGGCCAGTCCCGGCTGAGTTTGGGGTCCCCTGCTCTTCTGTCCTGAGTATAAGGGAGGAAATGGTCTATTTCTCTTCCCCTTCTCCCCTCCCTAAATCCAAAGGTTTCCCTTTTTTGGTTTGTGAAATGAAAGAAGGGAATTTGGGAATGGGTTGTGGTCAGGCCTCCACCCACACCCCGAATATCCCTTTCCCCACATCCCTCTCCTCCATCCGAGGGAAGCAGACCCTGGGAAATGGGTAATTCTCCCTCCTGGCCCCGTCAACAGATGTTGCCCTGGGTGGGGTGAGGCAAGGGAAAGCAGGCCGACTGCTGAGGGGCACCAAGGTGGTGGCAAGAGGCATGGGGATGGAGGGCTCCAGTTGCCCGGGCCTCCCCTGTGCCAAGCTCTGGTCTGGGTGCTTTCCAGGACTTCCTGTCTGAAATCGCACAGCTCGTTGTTGAGGTAGGCAGTTCACAGGCGAGTAAACAGATGCTTAGAGAGGTTAAGTGACTTGCGTAAGGTCACCCAGAGTGGCAGAGCTGAGATTTGACCCTTCCGACTTCTGGTTCTTTCTCCCATCTTCGTGGCTCAGAAAGCTCTCACCTTTTTCTCTAGGTGTGTGACTCTGGGGTGTAACGCGTGGGCAGCTAGGGATGCTGATGCTGGAGAAGGGATCCTGGCACCTTCTGAGGGTGAGAGCGGCCCCAGTGGGCAGGAGTGTGGGGCTGGTTGCAGGTGCTCTAGCCCCCTACCCCTTTTTCTGCTGTGCTTAGGCTAGGCTCCATATATTGGAGGTGTGGGCCTGTGGTTTTCTCTCTCTCAGGGGAGGGTGCCCGTGGGCAGTGGAGGTGGCTGGCATAGGGTGGAGGTTGGATGTGGGTAGTTTGTTTTCCCTCTCTTTGGTACTGGTTTCGATTCTCTGCCGAGGCCTTCTCCACCCCTGGGGTGTAGGGGGCTGGGGCCCAGGTGTCTCTCTGAGGGTCATAGCTTCTGATGGACCTTCTGAGGCAGAGTCTGTGCCCTTTTGGGCCCACCCTGGTCATCCCTACCCTTGCCCATCCCTGTTCTCTGGTCTTTCTGGCCCTTGGCCTATTTCTGTGACCTTTAGCCCTCCTGCGGCTCAAGGCCCTCCCCAGGGAGCTGAGTAAATTTGCACTGAAATTTGCAGGCAGAGCTGGGTTAGGCTTTTTGGAGGCTCTGATAGGGGTCTGGGGAGGCCTTCCAGCCTTGCCC
This sequence comes from Homo sapiens, assembly GCF_000001405.40. Classification (NCBI taxonomy): domain Eukaryota; kingdom Metazoa; phylum Chordata; class Mammalia; order Primates; family Hominidae; genus Homo; species Homo sapiens. The sequence continues at coordinate 40,327,093 of NC_000017.11, forward strand.
TGTAGTGTGTGTGGGTGGTGGGCTGGGGGTGAGGTGGGGGTAGTGGGGATTGAAGTTTGATTCAATTTCAAACTCCACTGGGGCAGAGTTGAGGTGGCTGTGGTTTTCTCTTCTCTGGGAGCAAGGGTGGGTTCCAGAGGGTCCAGGCTGGACTGACTAAACTGGCCTCCCGACCCCCAAAGGCTGGGTCAGGATGCCTGAGATCTGGAGTGATGGCTTTCTGGGCCTCAGCGTGGGTTACAGAGGCCTCACTTTGGGTTAGCTGCCCCTTGGGCCTCACCTTGAGAGAGGCAGGCCTCTGTGGATGTGAATTCACCTGAGTGTTTGTGGACCTGGTGCATGGGCTGGGCCCACAGGGAGGACCTCAGAGCATCTTCTGGCAGAAGCAGCAGGTACAAGGGCCACCCTGGCTGTGTGAGGTTCGGAGAATGTACAGTTTGGGAGACTGTGGGGCTGTGGTTGTGTCTTTGGGGAGCTGTGTACTGGGGCCCATGCATGCAGTTTCTGAGCTGTGTTCATTGTGTGGTGGAGCCCAGGTGTGGAGAGATGGTATCTCCAGGTTCCTTCTCCTCACATGCATGCCTGCACACACACAGGCTGGGGCTGCAGGCGTGCTCTTGCCCACCCAGATGTTTTCTGTAGACCTGCATGCATGAGTTTGTATGTGTATTTGTGTGTGAGGGTCCAACTGTAGGAACTGATGAGGTTCTGCCAGCCTCTTCTTCCCTTGCATGGCTCCCCCAGCTCCAGTTCCCGTTGTGTGGGGCCCCACAGGAGTTGGGAGGGGGCCAGGGCGGCAACTGGTCCAGTGGGTGGGGCCCCTGTTCCTCTGACATCAGCCCTCTCAGCCTAGGAGGGAATTGGCAGGGGCCTGGGGTAGGAAGGGAGCTCTTTATTCAGGAGTGAGGAGAGAGGCCCTATGATTGTCATAATGAGTAACAGTAAAAATCGTGGTTATTAGCAAGGTCCAGATTTTACTCCTGGGGCAGCCTCCCCTCCCTAGCCCAGTACCTGTCCCCTCCCACCCTCTCTCCCTCAGTTCCACACAGGCTGGCTGGCTCAGCTGGGCCAGAATTCCTGGCCTCTTCCACAGTGGCCTTGGCAGGAACTCCCCCTTCCCAGGCCTGGTCTTCAACCAAATGCTGGCCATGTGCTTGTCCCCTGGACTCCAGATTTGAGGCTAGAGTCTGGAGTTCAGAGCTTGGAACCTAGTGTAGCCTGAGCTTGGGGTGGAGTGGCAAGGTATAGGGGGTGTTGGAAATGGACAGTCCTTATTTTGAGTCTCTGTGGCCCTGTTTCTTTTCTTTCTTTCCTCTTCTTTTTAAAACAGCTTTATTGAGATATAATTCACATACCATAAAATTTACCCATTAAAGTGTACAATTCAGTGGTTTTAGTATATTCAGAGTTGTGCAACTACCACCACAATCAATTTTAGAACACTTTCATCACCCCAGAAAGAGCCCCCATACCCAGCAACAGTCACTTCCCATATTCCTCAAATCCACGCCCCAGCTCCTGGTAACCACAAGTCTGCTTTCTGTCTCTATAAATGTGCCTATCCTGGATATTTCATATAAATGGAATCCTACAATACATGGTCTTTGTAACCGGTATAATGTTTTCAAGGAATATCCATATCATAGTATCAGTACTTCATTCTTTTTTTGGCAGAATAATGTTCCATTGTAGGGACATACAACATTTTATTTATTCGTCAGTTGATGGACTTTTGGGTTGATTCCACTTTTTGACTATTAGGAATAACGCTGCTGTGAATGTTCATGTATAAGTCTTTCTGTGGACTTACGTTGTCATATCTCTTGGGTAGATACCTAGGAGTAGAATTGCTGGGTCATATGCCATCGCTGTGTTTAACCTTTTGAGGAACTGCCAAACTGTTTTCCAAAACAGCTATTCTATTTTACATTCCCACCAGCAATATATGAGGATTCCAATTTCTCCACATCCTCGCCAGTACTTGTTATTATCTGTCTTTCTTATTAGAGCTAGCCTAGTGGGTATGAAGTGGTATCTCATTGTGCTTTTTTTTTTTTTGAGATGGAGTCTCACTCTGTTGCCCAGGCTGAAGTGCAGTGACACAATCTCGGCTCACTGCCTCCCAGGTTCAAGCAATTCTCGTGCATCAGCCTCCTGAGTAGCTGGGATTACAGGCATGTGCCACCACGCCTGGATAACTTTTGTATTTGTGTGTGTGTTTTTTTTTTTTTGGAGACGGAGTCTTGCTCTGTTACCCATGCTGGAGTGCAATGGTGTGATCTCAGCTCACTGCAACCTCCACCTCCCTGGTTCAAGCGATTCTCCTGCCTCAGCCTCCCAAGTAGCTGGGATTACAGGCACCTGCCACCATGCGCAGCTAATTTTTTAGTAGATTTTTGTATTTTTTAGTAGAGATGGGGTTTCGGCATGTTGGTCAGGCTGGTCTCAAACTCCTGACCTCAGGTGATCCACCTGCCTCAGCCTCCCAAAGTGCTGGGATTATAGGTGTGAGCCACCGCACCCAACTGACTTTCGTATTTTTAGTAGAGACAGGATTTTGCCATGTTGGCCAGGCTGGTCTTGAACTCCTGACTTAGGTGATCTACCTGCCTTAGCCTCCCAAAGTGGTGGGATTACAGGCGTGAGCCACCGCCCCCAGCCTCATTGTGCTTTTGATTGGCCATGTTTCTTTTTGTCTGTCTCTTTTCTTTTGTCTTTCATATATGTATTTTTCATATATAAATACATGCATATGTATTTATATATAACCTGTACCCAAAATGGATTTGAAACATCCTCTTGTCCTCGTATGGATATGTTCTTCGTGTTCTCTCTCTTTGCTCTTGTTGCTGCCTATCTGTCTCACTGTGTTATGGAATCTCTGGGTTCATCTCTGTCTCTGTCTCTACCCCATGGTATTATCTGTGCATATCCTCTGGTGCCAGCTGTTCAAACAGGGTGTGGATCTGTATTCACACTGGTGAAGGGGGCATCTGGCCTTTCATCTTCTGCCCACCTCCCACCCCAGTTCATGTGTTTTGCTTCTGCAGACAGAAGTATGTGGGTGAACCTTGAGATCAATCTCTCCTTCATTGCCTGGGGGTAGGAGGCTTCCTGGGCGGTCCTTGCCCTCCTACACATCGCCTACCCCTGGACCATCCATGCTGTTAAGCATTGGAGGTGATACCTAGGAGTCCTTGGTTCCCATTTTCCTATTAGTGTGTACGTAAATGGGCCTCCTCCCAGGGCCTGTGGGACAAACCCGTCTGGGGTGCTGGGGCTTGGATCTGGGGGGGAAGTGGTGTAAGAGGGGCCCCCTGGCTTAGGAGTCATTTTTCTGAGAAGTGCCAATGCTTTAGGGAAGCGGCTTTTCCTCCCCCTCCCTCTTCCCCCCCAGCACACGTTCTCTGCATCTTGACCTCAGGTAACCCTCACTGGGGGAAGGAGGGCCAGCTGCCCGTTTCTGCTGCAGTGATCCCTTGAGGTGGCACTGTGGACCCTTTCCCCTCAGGACTGTGGGTGAGAGGCCCTCCAAGGTTCTGGGCTCTGTCCCTGTCTCCCCAGCCTGGCTGTGCTATCTGCCACCCCCAGCAGTGTCTGGGCCCTGCTTCCAGGTCATCTCTGCCAGCCAGGCATGGTGCCAGCTGTCTGCTCAGCTGGGTGCCACGGGAAAATCTCCGGCAGCCCAGGTTGGGGAGCTCCACGGGGAATGCCTGTGTGCCTGTTCTTCAGTGCCCACTCACCTGTCTTTCTTTTTTCTGCAGCATCACAGGACATGGCCCCCTCAGCCACCTAGCTGGGGCCCATCTAGGAGTGGCATCTTTTTTGGTGCCCTGAAGGCCAGCTCTGGACCTTCCCAGGAAAAGTGCCAGCTCACAGAACTGCTTGACCAAAGGACCGGCTCTTGAGACATCCCCCAACCCACCTGGCCCCCAGCTAGGGTGGGGGCTCCAGGAGACTGAGATTAGCCTGCCCTCTTTGGACAGCAGCTCCAGGACAGGGCGGGTGGGCTGACCACCCAAACCCCATCTGGGCCCAGGCCCCATGCCCCGAGGAGGGGTGGTCTGAAGCCCACCAGAGCCCCCTGCCAGACTGTCTGCCTCCCTTCTGACTGTGGCCGCTTGGCATGGCCAGCAACAGCAGCTCCTGCCCGACACCTGGGGGCGGGCACCTCAATGGGTACCCGGTGCCTCCCTACGCCTTCTTCTTCCCCCCTATGCTGGGTGGACTCTCCCCGCCAGGCGCTCTGACCACTCTCCAGCACCAGCTTCCAGTTAGTGGATATAGCACACCATCCCCAGCCAGTAAGTCTGGGTGTGGGGGCTGGGGTGGGAAGGGACTGTGGAGGGTGGCAGGCCTCAGAGCTTGGGCTCTGGGCACGTCTGTTCTGCTGTGAGTGGAAGGCACGGTGAGCGACAAGGTCTTCTCCAGTTGGGGTGACCATCATTTGAGGTCTTAAAAATGAAAGCCCTATGGCCTATAGGCTGATCATGGTGGTTGTGTTTGAAGTTGGGGGTGGCAGAGGGGGAGATGAAACCATGCTGTTCTGGCCTGCAGTGGCCCTCGCACCCCTCTTCTGTGCTCTGCTGTTGGGGCCTTATAAATAGCTCCAAGGACTGGACACACAGGTTGGAGGTGGGTAAACAAACCTCTTGACATTTGATGGAAATGGCAGCTCTACCTAGAGTGAGAGCAGCACACCACCTACGCCCCACCCCCACTCAGTGCCTCTGAGGGAAAGGGCTTGAAGGAGCAGACCGAGGAAGGCTGGCTGGAACCCCACCTCTCCCCCTGCCAGCTCCACCCCCGGCCATGCTAGGATGTGCTTCCCTTTGTGGGGAGGATGAGAGGGAGGGGCCCACGGTCTAGCTGGGTGGATAGGGTGAGTGTCCCAGGAGGGGACACTTGGCCTGGACTCTGGCCTCGGACGCATGCATGGTCTTGGCAGGGCCTGTGTTTTCCTTGCCTCCACCCTCTGCCATGGAGGTCACTTGTTGGCTGGGCAGGGGTCTCAGTACCCTTCGCCGGCTGGCCGAGCCAGGTAGTGGGAGGTGGCGGCAGCTCTGGCCAGCTGGCAGAGTCCAGGGCTGGGGCCTGCCAGGCCGCTTACAGTAACTCTGGCCCCCAGGGCCCAGCTGGGCGCCAGGCCAGGGCTGGGGGGAGGAGGGAGCCGGGGCCTGGCCTGGGACGGGAGAGGGTGGAAGCAGCAGAATGGGCCATGGGCTGCTGGCTGGCCGGCTGGTCAGCTGCTGACCTGGGAAACGTGTCCCCACCTCTCCTGGCCAGCAGGGACTGCACACCTTGCCCTGTGCACCCACCACCCCTCTCACGGCTGCTGGCAAGCTGCCTGGCACCACTGCCCTATGTGCCTGGCTGGGCTGGGTCAGTGCCCCCTTCTCAGTGTGGGGGCAGCGCTCTCTCCCCGGAGCCAGGGAGTCTCTTTGTCCCTGGGGCAGGCCCTGGCTGGGCGCCTCACTGCCCGCACTGGCTGGGTGCCCACCACCACCACTGCTTCCTGGATCGCCTCCTCTGGCTTAGCTGTGGCCCCCTCCCTCCCAGGCTCCACCAGCCACCAGGAGCAGGGACTCTATGTCTGTGTTTCTTTGTGTTCCCCGCCCTTTATGCCCTGGGGCCAGGGGGCAGGCAGGTGCTGCCTCAGTTTCTCCTGCCACCCCTTATCAAACCTTCATCTTCTGTTTCTGCTGTCTCTTCTCTCCACCTCATATAGGAGTATGGGATGGATGGAGTCTGGGGACTCTGATTCTGGTCTGGTCCTATAGTCTGTGTTAGTGATGGGGAGAGGCCAGCCTCTGGGGTTTGGGGCTACTAGGGAATGCATTGGTGTATCTTTGTAGAATATTCACTGCATTTAAAGGGACTGTGATTTACATTCTGGACTTGGATCACTGGAACTAGAAGACTGTCTGCTTCCTGACAGGGTAGGGTTTTATTTTTATTTATTTATTTATTTTTTTGAGACAGAGTCTTGCTCTGTCACCGAGGCTGGAGTGCAGTGGTGCGATCTCGGCTCACTGCAACTTCCGCCTTCCGGAATCAAGCAACTCTTCCGCTTCGGCCTCCCATGTAGCTGGGACTACAGGCGTACGCCACCATGCCCGGCTACTTTTGGTATTTTTAGTAGAGACGGGATTTCTCCATATTGGCCAGGGTGGTCTTGAACTCCTGACCTCATGATCCGCCCGCCTTGGCCTCCCAAAGTGCTAGGATTATAGGCATGAGCCAACGCGCCTGGCCATTTTTATGTTTTAAGACAGGGTCTTCCTCTGTTGCCCAGGCTGGAGTGCAGTGGCACCATCTTGGCTTAATGCAGTCTCGGCCTCCCAGCGATTCTCATGCCTCATCCCGAGTAGCTGTGATTACAGGTGCGTGTCACCACACCTAGCTAATTTTTTTTGTATTTTTAGTAGAGATGGGGTTTTGCCATGTTGGCCAGGCCAGTCTTGGACTCCTGGCCTCAAGTCATCTGCCCGCCTCAGCCTCCCAAAGTGTTGGGATTACAGGCATGAGCCACTGTGCCTGGCTTTCTTTCTTTTTTTTTTTTCTCATAGGGTCTCACTCTGTCTCCCAGGCTGGAGTGCAGTGGCATGATCATAGCTCAGTGCAGGCTTGAACTCTTGGGCTCAAGGCGTTCTACTGCCTCAGCCTCTCGAGTAGCTGGGACTACAGGTGCGTGCCACCACACCAGGCTGATTTTTTGATTTTTCATAGAGACAAGGTCTCACCATGTTGCCCAGGCTGGTCTCAAACTCCTGAGCTCAAGCAGTCCTCCTATCTTGGCCTCCCAAAGTGCTGGAGATATGGGCATGTACCACTGCACCCAGCTCAGGGTAGGATTTTTGACGGGGGAGGAGTTAGGGACCTGCGACCTGGTGCCTGTGGACAACTTGTCCTAACCCAGGTGATGGCAACAGAGTTCCCAGACACTCTGTCCATCTGGAGCCTGGGCTCATTGGAGGGTTGGAGGTGGGGGCTGGGGCCTGGCCCCATCCTTGCCCATCCTGGCCAGAGGGAGCAAATGCTTTGCCTTCCCCTCCCCTCAATGTTGCAAGCTTCTTCCTCTTTCTTAGAGGTGGGTGGGGAAGGCTTCCCATCCTGGTAACCTTCTCCCCAAATGTGGGTGGGGTGCCCACATTTCAGGCAAGTGTAGCCTTCTTCGGCTTTCTCCACCCAGGTTAGGCAATGCCCCCTTCCTGCCCCCTCCCTCTGTGAGCCTTTTGGTTTCCCTGCCCCTCCCCTCTCCCTAGTAAACAACAACAACTTCTCTCCCTGCCCAGACCCTTAGCTTCTGAGCTTCTCACTGACCTTCCTCTTCTCTGGGACAAGGTGTGGCCATGGGTCTGAGGGAGCCTGGCATCTCCCTCCTTCTGCAGAGCCAGGGCTGCCTGGTGGACAGAGCTCCTGAGCTCTGAGTAGGAAAGCATGGCAGATAAAATTATCACATGCCTGGCCTCAGAGATGGAGGCAGTTTAGCCTTCCCTGCTTGCCTGGCCTTAGGGCTGGTGCTGAGGGTGAGGCAGTTCCCAGGAGAGGTGGCAATCCATGGTCCTCCATTCCTGCAGGAGCAGTGGTATGCCCCAGTCTGCCCATACCCTTTTTGTAGGAATTCTTGCTGATGAGGCTTCCTACTCCCATTCCCCATCCAACAAAGGTGTTGGGTCCCTCCTCCCCCTCATCCCTTTCCCCAGGTGGGGAGGAGGCAGCACATTAGGTGGCCTGGGTGCGCCCTTCAGAGACCTAGTAGCCTATGGGACCAACAGAAACCCTCTCCAGGTCACTGTGGGGAGGGCTGTGTATTTGTTCTGCTACAGCCAGGGTGGGAGCCCTAGAGATGGTCCGGCGATTCTCCCCGCCCCCTAAACTGGCCCCTGGGGCTTGGTCTCTGAAGACTGGTGTTTACTGTGGAGGTCTCAGATTCTGTGTGCACTACGGGTCAGGGCTGTGTGTGTTTTGGGGGTGGGGTCACGGTTGGGTGTGTGTTGGGAAGGGGATTAATGACTTGTGTGTATTGGGTGAGAGGGTTAGAGAGCTGAGTGTGTTTTGGGGGAATTAAATCCAGAGCTAAGGAGGGAGAGTCAGCCTGTCTGTGTGTTGGTGTTGGGGCTGGGAGGGGGAGTGACTTAGGGCACAGAGTGTTTAAAGAGGAGTGGTCTTTCGTTTGGGTTCTTAACCTTTCTTGGCTGGAGGGGAGAACTGATCTGCCTTTTTTTGTTCACCCTGGGAATTCCATGGGCAAAGGGGTCTGACTGGGGGCTGTGGAGTAGGCATTTAGTGCTGAGTTTAAAACTTGGACACTGGGCTGGGCGTGGTGACTCATGCCTGTAATCCCAGCACTTTGGCAGGCCAAGGCGGGCGGATGACCTGAGGTCAGGAGTTTGAGACCAGCCTGGCCAACATGGTGAAACCCCATCTCTACTAAAAATACAAAAATTAGGCAGGCGAGGTGGCACGTGTCTGTAATCCCAGCTACTCGGGAGGCTGAGGCTAGAGAATCGCTTGAACCCAGGAGGCAGAGGTTGCAGTAAACCGAGATCATGCCACTGCACTCCAGCCTGGGGGATAGAGCGAGCCTCTGTCTCCGAAAAAAAAAGATAATAAAATAAAACTTAAGACACTGGCTGCGTGCAGTGGCGCCTGCCTGTAATCCCAGCACTTTTGGAGGCTGAGGTAGGGACTTCAGCCCAGGAATTTGAGACAAGCCTGGACAACATAGTGAGACCCTGCCTCTACCAAAGAGAAGAAATTAGCCAGGTGTGGTAGCGTGTGCCTATAGTCTCAGCTACTCGGGAGGCTGAGGTGGGAGGATTGCATGAGCCTGAGAGGTTGAGGCTGCAGTGAGCTATGATCACGCCACTGCACTCCAGCCTGGTGGGTGACAGAGCAAGACCCTGTCTCAAAAACAACAACAACTTGGACATTTATGTCACATACAACTTGCTGATAACCTCTCTGAGCATGTTTCTTTTTTGTTGTTGTTTGTTTTGAGACGGAGTCCTGCTCTGTCGCCCAGGCTGGAGTACAGTGGTGCAATCTCTCAGCTCACTGAAACCCTCTGCCTCCAGGTTCAAGCGATTCTCTTGCCACAGCCTCCTGAGTAGCTGGGATTACAGGCGCCCGCCACTATGCTGGACTAATTTTTTTGTATTTTTAGTAGAGATGGGGTTCCTCCTTATTAGGCTGGTCTTGAACTCCTGACCTCAGGTGATCCGCCCACCTCGGCATCCCAAAGTGCTGGGATTACAGGTGTGAGCCACTGCACCTGGCCAAAGACATTTATTCATTTATTTATTTATTTGTTTTAGACAGAGTCTAGCTCTGTTAGCCAGGCTGGAGTGCAGTGGCACGATCTTGGCTCACCGCAACCTCTGCCTCCCAGGTTCAAGCCATTCTCCTGTAGCCTCCCAAGTAGCTGGGACTACAGATGCATGCCACCATGCCCGGCTAATTTTTTGTATTTTTAGTGGAGATGGAGTTTCACCATGTTAGCCAGGATGGTCTCGATCTCCTGACCTCCCAATCCGCCTGCCTCGGCCTCCCAAAGTGCTGGGATTACAGGCATGAGCCACCGCGCCCGGCTTGTTGTTATTTTTTTGTTTTGTTTTTGAGACGGAGTCTCATTCTGTCACCCGGGCTGGAGTGCAGTGGCTCGATCTCGGTTCACTGCAACCTTTGCCTCCCGGGCTCAAGCGATTCTCCTGCCTCAGCCTCCCAAGTAGCTGGGACTACAGGCGTGTGCCGCTACGCCCAGCTAATTTTTGTATTTTTAGTAGAGGTGGGGTTTCACCATGTTGGTTGGCCAGGATGGTCTCCATCTCTTGACCTTGTGATCCGCCCGCCTCGGCCTCCTAAAGTGCTGGGATTACAGGCATCAGCCACTGTGCCTGGCCGTGACCCAGACCCTTTGTAGGTGGGAGCTGGAGAGAATGGGATGCTAACATCTATAGAGCACCTACTGTGTGTCAGGGGCTTTGTCTGTGTTTTACAAATTTTAATCCCTGCAATCCTGGAAGAGGGACATTATCCCCACTTACACAGAGGACACAGTGCTGGGGGAGGTTAAAGTACTGCAGAATCATGACTGTAGGATTGTAAAGCTGGGCTGTTTTCCACCATCTACATAGGCAGCTTTGAGAGTGGATTGTGGGGCACACTCTTGGGTGTGGGAAGTGTGGGGGGTGGGGCTTAGTGCTGACTGAAACCCCCTTCCCCACTGTAGAGGCCCTTTCTCTGCCTTAGAACCTACCTTTCCCCGGTAGGGGGTGTAGGGAAGGCCCAAGCCATACCCCCTCCTCTCTGTTTTGGATCCTGAAGGCTGGAGAGAAAGAAAGATAAGGGGCCTGGGCCAGATCTCCATCCTGTCCTGGAAGCTGTGGATACAATCTGTTCACACCATCCCCACCCCCAAATCTGCCCGCTGTAGCCCACGGGAGTTTGCAGAACTCAGCGGGCACCCTCCCCCCGATCTCCAGACACTGAAGGAACAGAATGTAAAAGCCACAGTTCTTATTCTTAATTTGTTTCAATTTGTGGATGGAGGCAAAGAAGTTGCAAGCCATCAACAGAGGAGCCGGGGATGGGAGCCCCAAAAGGGTGGCTGCATGTTTGCTTCGTGTGCCTAGAGACTGGGGAATGCCCGAGGGTCTGGGTGAGCCCCAGCAGAAGGCAGAAAGGAGGAGGTTGTGTCCTTCCCTTCTTCCTATCCTCTGCCACTTCCTCGCTGTTGCAGTCTGTGCATACTGCCTCCTTCCCTGCTTCCCACTCTTTCCCTGGACAATAGGAGGGACAGCCCAGGCGGAGGGACAGCCCAGGCAGAGGGACAGCCCAGGTGGAGGGAGTGCTGCCTAGCAATGCCTTTCTTGGAGTCCGAAATGTAGAGTCAGACAAAAGAACATGACATGGAGTTTTTAATGAAAATGGGGTCCCTCACCTTTTATCTCCCAGCAAGGATAATGCACAGGTTCCCTCTGGACAAGATCCCAGCATAGACGCGGGGAGGGAACTCAGGGAAGGAAGCCCGTCTTCCTTTTAGGTGGGTCAGGGCCGAGGTATTGTGTCTACCCCATGCCAAGGGATGTGTTGCTTATGGGGCTGTACCAGTGCAGGCCTGCCTGCCCTTTGAGGGAGTAGTGTCTGTGGGAAGAGGAAGTGGTTTCCATCTCTAAGTCATTTTGGGGCAGTGCCTTCTTCCTCCTCCTCCTCTGTGGAGTTGGGGCACAGCGAGGGATTGGGCCTCCCAGGGTTGACTGGAGGCCACTCAACCTTTGGCTGTCAGAAATAGAGGTGCTCCCCTCCCCATTTTGACTTCTGGGTTGCTGGAAACCTCAACCAGCCCACAGACCAAGGGCCTTCCATGGGCAGGAGTCTTAAAGGACAGTTCTTCCTGTGTGGCCTTGGGCAGGTCACCCAAGCTCTCTCCAAATCTGTTTCCTCCTCCTTAAAGCAAGACTTCTGGCTGGGCACGGTGGCTCACACCTATAATCCCAGCTACTCGGGAGGCTGAGGCAGGAGAATCACTTGAACCCGGAGGTGGAGGTTGTAGTGAGCCGAGATCGCGCCATTGCACTCCAGCCCGGGTAACAGAGCAAGACTTGGACTCAAAAAAAAAAAAAAAAAAAAAGCGTGGGCACGGTGGCTCATGCCTGTAATCCCAGCACTTTGGGAGGCCGAGGTGGGAGGATTGCTTGAGCTCAGGAGTTCAAGACCAGCCTTGGCAAGATAGCGAAATAGCGAAACCCCATCTCTACAGAATATACCAAAATTAGCTGGGCATGCTGGTGCACACCTGTAATCCCAGCTACTTGGGAGGCTGAGGCATGAGAATTGCTTGAATCCGGGAGGTGGAGGCTGCAGTGGGCTGAGATCACACCACTGCACTCTAGCCTGGGTGACAGAACGAGACTCTGTCTCAAATAAATAAATAAAAATAAAAAAATAGAGCAAAACTTCTAATCTCTCCTTGGCTGGGCGAGTTGCCGTTAGGCCACGGTCGCCTGCTTCCTGCTGAGGCCCTTGGTGAGTTTCACGTACCCAGCAAGGCTGTGATAGTGAGGGGCAGGGTAGAGCTGGGTACTGTCTTGGGGGATGGTGCCACTCTATACTGGGAGCCAGTGTCCACCTGGCACTGGGCCTCATGATTTCCTGTTTGTTGTCCCCTCCAGATGGGGTTGGGGACAGGAGGGGGCCCTGCCTGGCACAAGTGGGGGCCAGTTTGGCCTGCACCTGCTGAGGGCTTACTAAACGCAAAGCCCTGAGAAGGAGCTGAGGGAGGGATAAGGCTGAGCAGGATGGGGCCCCAGGCCTGCAGACAGCTGCCGCTGGAGGCCCCCCAGCCCCAGCTGCGGGCCAGAGCCTTCCTTGTTTCCCACTTCTCCCACTGCCCCAGGACACTGTGTTCTGCTCTGACCTGCCCCATGACCTTGCTGTTGCCCAGAACGGGCCTCTTGCCCTAGCTTCTCCTCTCCAGCTCCGGAAATCCTATCTATCCTTCAAGGAACATCTTGAATGCCGCCTCTTCCCAGAAATCTTCACAGATGTTCCCCCTTGCTTGCCACACTCTGCCTCCCTACTTAGAATGCCTGTGGGTCCTTATTTATTTTTTAACAACACTCATCTCGCTACCCAGAAGTTGCTTCTCCCCTGTTCCTGCCATGAGCTGTAACCATTTGGGACATCTTTTCCTGACCACAAGGTCTTTGATGGCAGGGACAGAGTCTCAGGTCCCTTAGCGCCTTGCAGCTGTGAGCGCAGAGCCTTGCTCCATCATTTGAAAGATCCCGAAGGCATGGAAGCACTCTGTCCTCTTCGCCATTAGTCTCATCCACTGTCAAGATTTGCATACCTGCCCCCAGACCCCAGCATTCCATCTGTAGCCCTGACTGCACTTCAGGGCCCCACATCCACCTGTCCAGCAGCCCAGTGGACTTCTCTGCTTTGCAGTCTCAGGAACTTCACTGATGCGTAAGTCACACACAAGTCTCTTTGCTACCTCTTTTCCCATACCCCTTACCCCCACCCCCCCACGTTATTTGTACCTTTAAAATGTTTATTGAATCCACCTTCCTCTGTCCATCAGCACTTCCAGTTTCCTAGGCCAAGCCACCCTTGTCTGATGCCTGGACTGCTGCAGTAGCTTTTACCTGGTCTCTCTTGCCCTCCTATAATCCATTCTTCACACAACTACTGGAAAGATCTTTTTACACTGTAAATCTGATCTTTCCTTTGCTTGGAACCTTTCTATGGCTTTTCCTTGCATTTAGGATAAAATCCAAAAGCCTTACTGAGGCCTATAAGCCCCCCTGGTCTGGCCTGAGCCCACCTCTCTAGCCTGGTCTTGTGTACCTTTTCCTTTTGAATTTTGTGCCCCATGATTCTAGCCTTCTGCCAGTTCCTTCAATGAACTCATCAACTGCTGTAACCCCAGGGCCTTTGCACAGACTCGCCCTTTAACTGGAACTACACTCCTTTCTACTCTTTGCCTGATTAACTTACAAACTTTCTCTTATGGTAGGTCTGTTTTATTTGAGTTCTTCCCTAATTTAGTTAAACCTAAATTAGGTACCTATGTTAATTCTTCAGAGCATAATAGCATTTATCTCAGTTTGCAATTGTGTGTGCATACAGTGATTATTTGCTTAATGGCTGTTGCTCCCTAAGGTCTACAAGGGCAGGTTCCCCAGGGTGTCCACATAGAAGGTGCTCAGAAAAATACCTTGAATTGGCCTAGCTTGGTAAGAACATGGGCTTTGGCAGCAGGAAGTTCAAATACCTGCTCTACTCTTTATTATTAGTAATGTGATCTTGGACAACCCACATAGCCTTGCTGAGACCTGTTTTATTTGTAAAACATCTCTTGGAGTTGCTGTGAGGATAAAATGACAACATATATAAAGAGCCAGGCTTCTTCTAGAAGAATGTCCTTGGGTAGCATGTACATTTCCATCCTTCCTTTTAGAGAGTGGGGGTAATAGGATACCCCCTCCTCCAGGGGTATCCCCTCTTTCTAGGGACCTACCCAAGCTAGGCCTTTCTTCCAGTGAAACGTGCATCCCGAGGGCTTCTAGGATGAAGTAGTCCACTGGAAGGCACCAGCTCTTCCTTTTATCTCTCCAGAGCTGGACAGTGCACCAGGGGCCGGTACTGGTTCCCCAGCTAGGAGACACCTTGGGCGGGGCTTTGCTCGCCGGAAGCACGCAGAGCGTGGGGAGGAGGGCCCCCTCTGCCTGTGTTTGTGCCAACAGCACCCGCGCTGCCGCGTCGGGTTCCGGCGGCCGGAGTCACACATGATGTCACAGACAATGACACAAGCCGGTGTCTCATTCCGACACAGCGTCCGAGCTGCACAATGTCACACCCGGGTGCCAAACACTTGGCCCCGCGCGACCCGGCCCTACGCCTCCTGCCGCCGCTCTCCGCGTCTCCGGGGGAGGTGGCCCGGTTCGGCCGGGCAGGGGGCTGGCGGGCGAGCCCCGCGGGCGGGCTGGCGAGCGGGTGATGTCACGGGCAGCGGTGGGTGGGTCACTCGGAGGTGAGGCGCCGCCAGGCGAGTTCAGCGAGAGTTCAGCCGCATTGCATTAGGCAAATGAGGCCCGGCCTGGGTGGGGGTGTGTGTTAAGGGGAGGACACCGGGACCACCCCCCTCTTCCCCGCCCCACCACCTCCTCCACCACGGCTTCGCTCGGCCAGGGACTGACCAAACCTTGGGGGAGCCTGGGAGCCGGAACTGGTACAAGGGAGGACGCCCGCCCCTCTTCCGTCCTTGTCCCCTCGCAGCCCCCTCCTCTCCCTGTACTCGGCGTCCCTCTGTACTCTGTGTACTCCTCATCTGGAGCCTTTCCCCCTTCCTGCTTCTCTCCTCTCCTCCCCCTTCCCAGGCTGCCCCCACTTGCCTGTCCACATGCCGCCTCTCCCTCTCGGTTCCCTGCGTTTCTCCCGCTGCAGCCGGACGCGCCGGGAATGGGTTAAGCCAGGGGCGGTGCCTGGACGGGGCGGGGCGGTGGAAAGGGGGTGGTGCCCGGAGGGGAGGGGGCGCGCAGAGCTGGGGTGGGGGGGCCGTGGCGCGTACCACCAGAGACCGAGCGAGTCGCCAGCTGCCCCTGGCCTGGCGGGGGCGGAACCGCGCGGGATCCCCACCCCCACCCGGAATCCTCGCCACGGAGAATCCCTGGAGAAGCCCCGGATCCCCGGCTGGGAGGAGGAAGTGCTCGTTGACCCCCAGCCCCGCGCTGATCCCGCCCCCGGCCTGCGGACTTGGGGAGCCGCTGTACTCTGCCTCGGACGCCACGAGACTCTAGACGGGAGTCCCCTCGAGGTGAAGCCGCTGAGTTCCCGGGCCCCGCCAGGCTTCCCTGGGAGAGCCGACGGACCCCCCCTCCCAGCACACACAACTTCCCTGCTTTTCACCGGGACTGGCGGAGCGGCCGGCGGACTTAGACGCGGGGACTTCAGGGCAGGGGGCGCCCCCTGCCCGGGTCACCAGTCGGGGCGAGGGGACGTCTCCTCTCCCCCAGCTGCTCTGCTCGGATGGCGCCGCCGGCTGAGTGACGGGGGCGGCGCGCAGGACTTCCCAGCTCGGACCTCTTGCCTTCGAGGGGAAAGATGTACGAGAGTGTAGAAGTGGGGGGTCCCACCCCTAATCCCTTCCTAGTGGTGGATTTTTATAACCAGAACCGGGCCTGTTTGCTCCCAGAGAAGGGGCTCCCCGCCCCGGGTCCGTACTCCACCCCGCTCCGGACTCCGCTTTGGAATGGCTCAAACCACTGTACGTACCGGCCTCTCAGTCTGCTGTTGTAGGGGGTGGGAGTGGGCGGTAGGGCTTCCACTACTACTCGGGGGTGAGAGTCCCGGGGTGTAGTGGAGGTCCTGTCTCTACCTTTCACTTAACCCGTGTTGCCCTTGCTGGACAATTGAACCCTCCCGGCCGCACCCTCCCCCCAGTAACCCTAAGTGCAATTTGTGTTAGATTAGGGCTGAGGAACTTTGAGAGTTCCTTCTTTCAAGCAACATTCCTTCATCTCTTGTTTCACTTCTTCCAGGAGAAATGAAGCCCAAGCCCCTTGCCCCCAGTTTATATCTTCTTGCCTGGAATCCAACAGCTTCACAGCAGGCTGGAGGGTGGGGTAAAGGTCCTGTCTGTGTGGGTTTGTCTGCTCCCGGGGGAAGGCCCCCCCGCCAGATCCCACTTGCCAAAGCCCGAGGGAGAGCCCCTTCCTGTGCGACAGCTGCTGCCCCCAGCCCTTGCTCTTGCGTCATTAGAGTGGGTGTCAGGGGAGCACTCAGTGTCTTTGGTATTGACAGTGGGGTGTGGCAGAAAGGGGCAACTTCATCAGACACCCGTCTGCCATCCTAACCTTCCATCTTGGCAAGGGGCACTGGGTCCTTATGGGGTTGTTGTCCTGGCCCCAGACACTTGGCTGTCATCTTTGAGGCTTTCATCCCCAGGAGTGGAGGGGAGAAGCTGCTCTGGTGAGAAGAATCCCTCTCCCCCTAATCCTAATCCGGTTTGTTCTCTGGGGAATGAGTTTGTTTTTGTGGGTCTGGGGCTGCTCTGGAAATGAGGACTGCATCCCTTCCCAGCTCCGCCACCGAGTCCTTTTGTTACCCTGACTTCACTTGGGGATAGGGCCAGGTCCTGGGCTGTGCCTTCCTAAGAGGGGCACTGATGAGAATCCTAGCATCCTGGCAGCCTGGTCACTTTCTCTCCTTGTTGCCCCCTGCCTGGGTGCAGGCTCCTCTGGGAGGAAGGGCTCTGTGCACACTCAGGAGCTCGGAGCACCAGGGTGTACACCTGGGCATTTTCCTGCGCAGCTGTGAGGCAGTGTACACTGGGTGGGCGGGAGCAGGCGCAAGGGGGTTATTGTTAGATGGCTCAGGTTTCTTCCCCTCCTGGGCTTTGGGCTCTTTGCTGGAGGGGAAGCTCTTCCGTGGAGGATCTCCCACCTTCCTGGACCTGCTGCCTCCCTCCTGCCTGCCAGGGAGGAGGGGTGGAGTGGGTCTCGGGGGGGCCCTGGCAGATTGGAGAAGGTTGAAGGGCAAAGGACTTACCCCACCCCTCTTGCTGGGAGAAGAGAGACCTGAGATGGACAGACAGCCCACCTCTGCCCTCCCAGAGCCACTTCTATCCCAGCTTTTCCTATTGTCCTGCCCCCGACCATTTCCTCTAGGGCCGAATCTGCTGTGTGGCTGTAGACACAAGAGGGAAGGTATCACCCTTGACTTTGGAAGAAGAGAGAGTGAGAGGATGACTCTAGGACCCTTTTTCTCATTCTCCCAGTGCTGGAGCAAGACCCCCCTCCCCTAGGGGGATAGTTGGAGCAGGGCTGCCAGAGTCACCCCTTCCACTGCCTTGGCCACCTTCTCCAGAGGGCTGGAGAGAAGCTGGGATCTGAGACCTTGGTCTCCAGCCCCTGTCTCTTCTTAGCCCATGGGGACAGCTCAGCTCTTCCTGGCCCAGAACTGGAGAGGGAGGAGGATCACAGAGAGTAGGACAGGCAGTGTATTGGTGAGCCCTTCCCCTAAACCACTGGACATGGGGAAGTGGAGACCTGTCCCCACATCCATTCTGGGGTGGGGTAGTAGACCTAGAGGCCTGGGTTTCCAGTTCCCGTAGTCTGAGCGTGGGTGTGCATATATAAGTGAGTGAGGTGTCAGTGGACTCGGGTCCTGAGGCTGTGAGGTTGGGAGTGATGGGGGTCTGGGGGCTTGCCTTGAGGCACAGGAAGGACCCGGAGTCTGAGGGTGGCAACTAGACTCAGTCTAGAATATGTGGGGCCAATGCCACCACCTTGGAAGGGTCCCCTTGGGTGTGTGGAAGTCCGCTGGTGACTGGAGCTGCCTCCAGCCCCCTCTTGGGGAATTCTCCACTCTCCCCTTTACTGCCACTGAAGGTGGGAAGAGCAGGTTGGCTCTGGGAGGAGGTGGCCTGGGTTCTGCAGGGCCCTAGGGACATTGCCTCCCTCCCCAGAGCCCTCATTTCGGTGCATTAGAGGACAAGGGGGGTGCACAGGATGTGGCTCCCCATCTGTCTCCCACCAATCTCCGCCACTCACACCTCCGCCCGCTCCCAGACGTCCAAGAATGTGAAGCACGTGGATGCCCGTAGTTGGGGGAGGGGGAGACGCTTATCAGGCGGCCGCTGGGCTAGGGGCCTTCTTCCGCTGCCGCGGTACACCCAGAGCTACCCCCGCCTCTCCCCGGGAGGAGGAAGGACGGTACAGAGGGCCCTACGCCCCCTCCCCAACCATCCCCAGGGGCTGCGAGGGGAGCTGCGGAGGAGCGGGCGCCAGCTGGATTGGGAGGGGAGCCGCTGGCCGGGGGCCCGGCTGATTTCCTGCTGATCTCCTCCAGGAAACCGGCCCCTTGTGCGAGCCTGCGAACGGCTCGGGGGCGTGGGGAATCCGGAGTGGAGCGCTCTGCGCCGCCCGCCCTGCCAGGATGGGGAGCGAGGGAGGGGCACCCTGGCAGCGTCGGCGGGAGGGGACGCCTGGCTTCCTGGGTCAGTTCCAGTCCTCTGTTGGGCGCTGGAACTTTGAGCTGAGAAGGTGTGGTCCTTCTCTAGCCCGAGTCCTTCTGCAGGAAGAGGAGAGATTGGTGGGCTGGGCCTCTGGGGAGGGAGGTTAGCAGGGATGGGCCAGGCCCGGGCAGTCCCTCCCCCGTTGGTGTCCCTCCCCACTCCACCTGTGTGTGCAGGGAGTTATGGCCGTGTCCTAACTCTTGCAGAGGCTGTGAGGATTCCGGAGTTCCCCACACCTCCGGCCTTGGTCCTTGTACCTCACCTCCTTGGACTGCTGGCTGGAGGCCTGGGGAGGTGGGGCATCGAGCTCTGGGTTCAAAGGGCAGAGCAGGGAAACCTCAGAGCTGGGTTACCTGGGTGACAGGTGGGGATGTGCTGGAGGTAGGGGGCAGGCTATGTTACAGCCTCCAAGGCAGTCAAGCTGCCGTTGGGTGGGCTAAAAGGAGGCCTTGCCCAGCCTAAACTGTAGTCCTTGCCTCTGGTCATCTCTCCCATTCTGCCAAAAAATAATTTTAAAAAGCACATTCTCTCAGTTCCGTAAACACCCTCTGTTGGACTTTGCTTTAGCTCCATGTTTTTATGGCTTTTTGCCCTCTAGTCTGTCCCAGGCCTTAGAGCTGTTTACCTCTCATCCTGGTATCCCCCATGACTCCCCATACCCTAGCTCCCCTCGTGACATCCCGCTCTGTACCCCCAAAGCTCCCTCAGTCCTTTCTCCCTCTCCAGTCTGGTTCATTTTAGAAGTGGGGCCTTGGGAGAGGCGGGGCCCAGGGCAAACGGTGGATTAGGAGGGGTGGGGAGGTCAGTGCCTTCTTCCTCTGCTTGTCGGAATGCTGACCAAGATTCTAGGCCATGGTCCCCCCAACCCTCCACATACCCCCTTGCCCTTGATCTCCCCTCCCCCCACCAGTCTGGATTGTCTATTGTTACTGCTTTTACGTCTTGGAAAAAGTTAGCACAACAAAGGGCTGCTTTGTGGCTCACCCCCTCTGCCTCCTGGCCTCACCCAGGCCCCCCAACCCCGCCCCCCCAGCAGCTGTTCTCAGGCCTCTCAGCCTGTCTGATTTGCTTGTCTGGCCTGGGGAGAATGAGGTGGGAGAAAACCAGGCCAGGGCAGTTGGTGTTGGAGTGAAGAGCAGACGGCGGTGGGGAGGTCAGGAGAGAATCTGCTGGGCTGGGGATGGTGTGGGCATCAACTGTCCCATTGCTGCAGGCTGGTCTTGGGGCAGGGAAGGGGATGGGGGGCCATAGCAGTGCTGGTCAGCCAGGCTGGCCTGGGAAGTGGTGCCCAGGCACTACTAAGAGCCAGGAAAGCCCTGCCAAGGTTGTTGGCCTAGTTCCCTGTCATCAGCCGCCTAGCAGCCCCCACTGTGTCTGCAGGTAAGGGGGGAGGGTGGTAGCACATAGTCAGCCCCTGGTGTTCCCATGCTTCCTTCCTCTGTGCCCCAATTTTAGGGCCATGTGATTTGGGGCTATGTGACTCATGTCTGTAAGGTGCTTGGGCCAGGAGCTGTGGGCACCTTTAAATGCCAGCCAGTCTCATGTGCCGGAGTTTGGGGTAGGGCTAGGTAGGATTGTGGAATATGGGAGGAGGCAGGGATCTGTCTACCTAGGGAGGCATCCTCATCCATCCTTGGCCCTGGACAAGAGAACTTGAACGTTGGTAGGGGCCTCAGGACGATGCTGCGTGGCCCCTTGGGAATCTGGGATTGTCCTGGTCATAGTTCTTATCTTGCACCCAACACCCTTAGCTGCCCAGGCTTTGGACATGGATAGCCCCTACCCAACCCAGCCCTGTTCTGCCTACAGTGATGGGCATGGAGCCAGACACTGGGGAGGATTTGGCCAGTGAGGGCTGCCCCTGCTGTCTGGGTCACCCCTCCTGGCTGCCCTCTTGGAGCTGAATAACAGAAGGGGAGGGGTTAGTAACCCGGACATAGTATTGAGGCCAGACAGACAGAGCATTGATGGGAACAGACCCCCTTTGTCATGCCATCTCTCCCCAGATGGGGGGTACCCAGAATAATGGGCTTTTGGGGCCCTGGGGACTCTTCTCCCTGTATTCAGGGTATCTCCCCCTATCTCAGGGAGACACCTCCTACTGTGCCCAGCATTTGTGACTCTTCTTTGCACCCCCTGCCTTGGGTCCCTGGCCCTGGGATTGTTTGGGTGGAGGAGGGGCAGTGGCTGCTGGCAGAATGGGGTGGAGGGGGGAGCGGAAGCAGAGGGGGCGGGGGAGTGGCCGGCTTTGAATATCCTGTTGACCCCAGTTTCCTCTGCCCCCAGCTTATGTCCTCTTCCCTCCCTCCTCTTCAAGCGTTAACTCCTTCCTAACTCGGGGGGAGAACGGGGCCAGGCCGCCCAGGGGCAAGAGCTTTAGAATCAGGGTGACCCCCACCCCTACTCCCCAAGCACAGTCACGGCACACATACAAATGTGATGGTTTATCATTGTATCTTTGTGGTTTTGAAGGTGGGGGTCCTAGGAGTCCAGAGGAGTGATGGGGTGCTGGAGGCTTCATTGGCAGCCTCCTGCCCTGAGTCTGGCTGGGGAGTCCCAGTTTTCTTAAGACTTGAATCCTGCCAGCAGTGGTGAGGCTGGGAGAGGCTCTTAGGAGGGACGGTGAGGCAGGGTGGAGCTTGGTACTAAGGATGGCGACCTAGGTCTCTAACTGCCCCTCCCCTCTTCTCTCTCTAGCCATTGAGACCCAGAGCAGCAGTTCTGAAGAGATAGTGCCCAGCCCTCCCTCGCCACCCCCTCTACCCCGCATCTACAAGCCTTGCTTTGTCTGTCAGGACAAGTCCTCAGGCTACCACTATGGGGTCAGCGCCTGTGAGGGCTGCAAGGTGAGTTGAAGGGGTCATTGGGAAGGACAGCTTGATGAGGTCAATGGGATGTCCCCACTTCTGTGTCCTGGGAGTGTGCAGTTGGGGGGTGTCCCTGAAGTTGCTGCTCTTCTTTCTCTGTGGAAGTTGGCAGCAAGCAGGGACACCTACCACAGTTTCCCCACAGGTCCTCCCCCATAAATGTGCAGGGCTCCCTCAAACCAGAGGTCCCCTCCTGCCTCAGCTCCTTTCCCTGTCTCTATCCTCCAGCTGGCAGGGCGTACGCCTGCTCTGCCACCGCTGCCCAGGTTGCCATGGTGAGCTGGCTGCCGACTGGCTCTTGGCTGGGGACCCAGGAGGCCTCCCCCGGCGGCCCTGCCTGAACCTCACCATGGCAGCCTGGCAGGAGGCAGTTAGGAGCAGGCACCCTGCCTTAGCTTCCCCTTCAGGTGCCCGGGCTGTGGGCTCCCCAGTGTCTGGCTGGATTTCCCCATCCTCACGTTAGGTGCCAGGGTGCAGGTATACCTGGTCCTTAGCAGCCCTGCGCCCGGCTTCTCCTCCTTTCCCTGGGGCCTGAGCCTCTGTGTGCGTTTCTTCCTCCAGAGATTGGGGCTCAGAATCTTCACAGCTTTGGGCCTTGCAGCTCTGGGCTGCTCTTCAGCCTGGAGTAGCTATCCCCAGATGTGGGACGGAGGTCAAGGGCAAAGCACAAGGACTCAGGCTGTGTGTCTGCCTGTCCTGTCTGGTTGTTCCTGGTCTGTTCTTCCTCTGTCCGCCTGTCCCTCTGGTCAGCCTGTATGTGGAGCCCCTGGCCAGCCTGGGTCTGTGTCTGTGATGGGTCGGTGCACACCTGTCTTGGTGAACTCACATCTTTCTGCCTTGCTCCTGAGTGCATGTGTGTGTTCGCCTCCATTTCTCTGGCCAGCCCGTGTATCTGCCTCCTGGCCTCTTCGGGCTTGTCTTCTTTTCCTGTGTTCTGAGTTCAGGGGTGTGGGTTCCAGATCCCTGGCTGTTGCCCAGTTAGCCCCATGTCTTCCTATTTCTGACTCACCAGCAGCCCTGAGGTCTTTTCCCTGGAAGGGAGGAGTCAGGTGTGTGCTGTGGGTTGGGGGAAGACTCCTGCCCATCCTGCAGTGTTGAGGCAGGTACTGGGATTCTCCTGAGGAGGATCCTTTTAGGTGAATCATTCTCCCCAGCTTTTCTGGCCTGCTCAGGTAGGCGATGGGCAAACGCTTGGGGGCAGCAGCTGGCCTGGCCCTCCTCCCCTAGACTGAGACCGTAGCCAGGCACTGCTCCCACTGTGGGTGTGGACAACCTGACTCCCTCCCCTCCATACCCAGGGCTTCTTCCGCCGCAGCATCCAGAAGAACATGGTGTACACGTGTCACCGGGACAAGAACTGCATCATCAACAAGGTGACCCGGAACCGCTGCCAGTACTGCCGACTGCAGAAGTGCTTTGAAGTGGGCATGTCCAAGGAGTGTGAGTGCCATAGGGCAGGGGCCGAGTCCCGCCTCAGTTGGGGTCTCAGATGCTCCTAAAGACCAAGGGAGCAGGGCTCTGTGGATGTTTGTGCACATGCATGAACACGCATGCCGTGGTGTGCGGGCTCACGGTTGAGGATGGTTTGTGTGTAGCTGCAAGGACCTGTTTGCGAGTCTGGCTGGCTGTGTGTCCACGGGCAGGTCTGTGCTCCGGGACCGTGTATGTGTAACCATTCCTGTTTCTGCACGTCTGGCTGTGTGTGCTTGCGTATGTGTGTGTGTGTGCATGCTCCAGGATGGCTTTCTTCCAGGCCGTGCTTGGTTTTGGGGTGGGGCTCAGAGGCATAGGCAGTCCCTTCTGATTGTGAGTCTTAGGGGAGGGGCTTGAATTCTGAGGGGTGCTTGGCTGGACTTATGTGTGTATGGGGGGGTGGAAGGGCTGGCACAAGGATCCAAAAGCCATTGTCTAGTTAAGCCTGGGATTCAGAGTTGGAAGAAAGAATTGGGACTTCTCAGATCCCAGAGGAAACGGGGTTTCCACTTTGGGCTCAGCTGAGGCCTGATGGAGGGAGGGAGGGAAAGGCTGGACAGGGAGACCCTCTTGTGTTGAATCATGGGTGTTGCCATGGTGACCGGTGATTGATGATGTCAGAGATAAATGACGCTGACAGACGCCTCCTTGTCTGCGTGGCCGTTGCCATGGAGCCTGAGCCTTGGGGGATGGGATGGGGGAGGGGGCTGCAGGACCCCCTAGCCCTTTGTGGGGAGGGCAGTGGGGAGGGGGCACGGGTGAGATGGTTCTGACTGTTGCACGAAGAGCCCCAGACAGGAATGGAGGGGACTGGAGTGTCCTGCCACAGGAGGCTGGGGGTGCCTTGTCCTGAGCCCAGGAAGTGGCTCCTGCTGCAAGAGTGGGTGACAACTCAAGACCCACAAGCCTGGAACCCTTCGCTTAAGGGCTGTCACCTCCTCCTCTCTGTTTGTGCCACCTTCTGCTCTTTTCATGGCAGAAGGACCAGGGAGGGGACCCCTTCTCCCTCCCACCGCCAACTCCCCTTCTCCCTCCCACCGCCAACTCCCCCTCTCCCGGCTGCTCTGTGCCCCGGAGCTGAGCAGCTGCCATTTCAATAGAATTAAAGCTTCCGAATGATAAACGTCTTGTCACAGCTGCAATTTTCTCTTCCCAAATTATCCCCCCACTCTCCCTCTCCCTCTCCCTTCTCTCCCCTGCACTTTATTGAATTTGCAGAATCGACATGAGTGATCTCCAAATTATGCCAGCTACCCCCACCTCGCTACCCCCTCCCTGAGCCCCTCCCCCACCCTCCCTTCCTCCCGCGTCAGCAGCCACCACCACCAGCCCTGTGAGTGATTGTGTGTCTGGATAATCGGCTGGTAACGACCCCATCGCTTCTTTAAAGCCGAGTGGTGTGTGCGGCTCAGCGCCCCTGGTGATTTGTCAGCTCCCCAGCTAATGGGCCAAGAGATTCTCCCCGCCAGGTCCCCCACTCTCAGGCTGGGGAGCCCTACTCCCCACTTGCCCCAGGAGCTGCTCAGAGCCAGTCCCAAGGGACCCCCAGGGAGACTGCAGCTGGGAGGGCTGGGTGAGTGGAGGCGGGAGAAGGACCTTCCTGGGGAAAGAGGAGGCAGAGCACCTAGGAGGGCACCGTCGCCTGGAGTGTGAGCTGGAGTAGACGCGTGGGGGATAGCATGCGGCTGGCTATGGGGTGGGGTGGGGGGTGTGTGCAGGGCCACAGCTGTGCTCATGGGGCTTCTGGGGCAGAACTTGATGTGTGGGTTGGGTGGGCATGGAGGGCTGGAGTGCGTGGCAATGCCTTGCCTGCCCGTGAACGCGTGCTGTGTGCGCGTGCTTACAAGCCTGGGTGACCTCCTCAGCAGCTGGCAGCTCTCTGTCAGGCTGGGGGTGGACGAGGCCCTGAGCAGCCTGCAGCTGCCCTCTTAACCCCCTCTGCCCTCCACAGCTGTGAGAAACGACCGAAACAAGAAGAAGAAGGAGGTGCCCAAGCCCGAGTGCTCTGAGAGCTACACGCTGACGCCGGAGGTGGGGGAGCTCATTGAGAAGGTGCGCAAAGCGCACCAGGAAACCTTCCCTGCCCTCTGCCAGCTGGGCAAATACACTACGGTATGGCTTTCCCCCGGCCTGCAGGGTGGGATTTGCCCAGGGCCACAGGGCCAGGATGGGCCCCTCTCAGGCACCCCTTCTTGTGCCAGGCAAGATCTCTGCGTCCTTCCCTTCCCCTCTCTTCTCCCTCCTCCTGCTGCCTCTTCCCAAGGAGCTCCCAGGAAGTGAAGGCTGGGTAGAGGGCAGGCCTGTGGGGGCTGGAGCCAGGCTGAGAAGGGGTGCCATGGAGAAGAAGGCCCTCACTCTCCCTCCTCCCCCAGAACAACAGCTCAGAACAACGTGTCTCTCTGGACATTGACCTCTGGGACAAGTTCAGTGAACTCTCCACCAAGTGCATCATTAAGACTGTGGAGTTCGCCAAGCAGCTGCCCGGCTTCACCACCCTCACCATCGCCGACCAGATCACCCTCCTCAAGGCTGCCTGCCTGGACATCCTGGTGAGGGTCTGCACCCTGGCCCCCAGGCACTGCCCCTGTGTCCTGGGTAGATGTCCTTCCAGCCAGACAGCCACCCTCCTAAATGTCTGTCTGCAATCAACCTGTCCAAATGCCCACCGCCCAAATGTCTGCCCTTCCTCTCCCCATATGTCCACCTGTCCACTCGTCTCCCTGTCCACTCAGCCACCTAGCAGCCAGATGTGCAGGAGCTCACCTGTTCACCCATACACATATCCAGCCACCCAGCCATCCATCCATTTAGCCAGTAATAAAGATTCACGTAGGAGCCAGGTGCAGTGGCTCATACCTGTAATCCCAGCACTTTGGGAGGCCGAGCGAGGCAGGAGGATCACTTGAGGCTGGAAGTTCAAGACCACCCTGGGCAACATAGTGAGACCTTATTTCTGCAAAAAACTAAAAAGATTCACCTAGGATCCTCTGGCCAGTGTTCGAGCTGGGTGTCAGGAACCCAGCGGTGAATGCACCA
Source organism: Homo sapiens (assembly GCF_000001405.40). NCBI lineage: Eukaryota > Metazoa > Chordata > Mammalia > Primates > Hominidae > Homo > Homo sapiens. The sequence continues at coordinate 40,352,995 of NC_000017.11, forward strand.
CCATCCCCTCTCTTGAAAACCTTCCATGTGAGGCAAGAGATAAGTCAACAGAGGTTGCAAAACTGTGATCAATGCTTCCTGGAGATTGGGGGAGGGCTTGTGACTGCTTGGGCCTGAAGGATGATGTCTCAGAGGAGGTGACATCTAGGGGTTTGTAGAGGGGGAGGTGAGAGGGTAGCCCTAACTCAGGAGCAGGAAGTGAAAGACTTGCTGCTGTGAGGCCATGCTGAGCTCAGGGGACTGCCGGGCACTCGGTGAGGTGAGCCCGAGGGTAGACTGGGCTGGAGGCTGGATGCAGGGGGTGGGGGCAGGAAGAGGTGGTGGGAACTGCCAAAGCCTAGGCTGGAGGGAGCACTCTCCTTCCTGCTGTCCCTGACAAGGGCTCGGTCCACCTGTTCCCTCTTGGTCACCTCCAGGGTGGGGAACCTGGGATTTGACGAGACTGTCATTTCTTTTTATGTTTTTCTTTTTTGAGATGGAGTTTCACTCTTGTCACCCAGGCTGGAGTGCAGTAGTATGATCTTGGCTCACTGCAGCCTGCAACTGCTGCCTCCCGGGTTCAAGCGATTCTCCTGCCTCAGCCTCCTGAGTAGCTGGGATTACAGGCACCCGCCACCACACCCGGCTAATTTTTGTATTTTTGTAGAGACGGGGTTTCACCATGTTGGCCAGGCCGGTCTCGAACTCCTGACCTCAGGTGATCCTCCCGCGTGAGCCGGCAGACTGTCATTTCTCCATGGGCACCTCTGAATGTTGAGGCGGGTGATGGGTGGGAGGTTTAGATTGTGCTGCCTGCAGGGGCTCCCATCCCCATGCCGTGGATGCAGGAGGTGCCGTCTGGGTTCCTGCAACCACATTCAAGCCAATACACATTTACTGAGCGCTTGTTGTGTACCTCATCCTGGGAGCTGTAGGCAGCAGCCCAGTGTTCCTTAGCTCCTAGAAATTCTAGGTCCCCTCTACATTCTTTGCATGTAGGCAGGATGACCTGGACCTGCACTATCCAGTACAGTAGCTGCTCACCACATGTGACTCTTTAAATTTAAATTAATTAAAATTAAACTCAATTCAGTTCCTCAGTTGCATTAGCCACATTTCAAGTACTCAGTAGACGCATGTGGCTGGTGGCTGAGGTATGGATGGTGCAGACGTAGAACCTTTCCATCATTGTAGAAAATTCTATCAGACAGCATTGCTCCGGCCACCTGCCAGGTGGTCCTCCGGGAGTGCTGGTGCGGAGTGCTGGTGCCGAGTGCTCAGAGTGGGTTCGGGTTCAGTCCCTGAACCCAAGCATCCTCTGCACCCAGATCCTGCGGATCTGCACGCGGTACACGCCCGAGCAGGACACCATGACCTTCTCGGACGGGCTGACCCTGAACCGGACCCAGATGCACAACGCTGGCTTCGGCCCCCTCACCGACCTGGTCTTTGCCTTCGCCAACCAGCTGCTGCCCCTGGAGATGGATGATGCGGAGACGGGGCTGCTCAGCGCCATCTGCCTCATCTGCGGAGGTGGGCAGGGGGCCTGGGTCTGGGGGCTGGGCTGGGACGGGGGTGCAGCCCTGGAGTCTCTTCCAGGGAGCTCTTTCAGGCCACCTCTGTTAGGTATCTCTAGAGGGCAGGGTCTGGTCTGCAACTACACAGCAAGGGGGCCATGTGGGGCCTGGACTCCTGTTCCCGATTTCTGGGCAACACCCCTTCTAGGGAGGTTAAGAGTGAGGGTTTGAGGGTCGGACCAACCAGGGTCACCTCCTGGCCGATGCATGACCCTGAGCAGGTTGCTGAACTTCTCTGGGCCTCCGTTTCTGTACAGTGGGGGCGGTAACGGTCTCTAGCTCATGAAGTTGATGGGAGGATTACGGTGGTAACAGATACTGTGCAGGTGCCCAGAGCGAGCTCCAGTGCTTGTTAGTTGCTATTTTATTGTTGTGATTTCTGCCATTTCATCTGGTTTCCAGAATAACAGGGGGGAGTGGGAGCCTGCCTGGGAACCCTCTCCCTGCTTGAGGATGGCACTGCCCATTTGGGGTCCCATCCCACTAACTGGGCTCAGGGAGGGTTTGGGGCACCCCCTCACCCTCAGCTCCCGTTGCTCCCTTTTAAGGGCCTCTGTACCCTGCGGCAGCAGAGACCCCATGCCCTGCCCTGTGTGGGGAGGCGCCTGCGAGCTGCCCTCCTCCATGGCCTGGGCAGGCACGCCCCCCGGTGGCCGAGGCTGGGGGTGCAGCTGTGTTCCCAGCTGCTCAGGGGGTGGTTCTGCTTCCTCAGACCGCCAGGACCTGGAGCAGCCGGACCGGGTGGACATGCTGCAGGAGCCGCTGCTGGAGGCGCTAAAGGTCTACGTGCGGAAGCGGAGGCCCAGCCGCCCCCACATGTTCCCCAAGATGCTAATGAAGATTACTGACCTGCGAAGCATCAGCGCCAAGGGTGAGGCTCACAGACCTGGAGGGGTACCGGCCCCCGACACCTGGCCCAGGCCCCCACATCCAAGCCAGCACCCCATGTCTTTGTGCCAGGACAATACGACACCTGTCCCCATCTGTGTCTAGGCTGAGGTCCCCTAGTGACTCCACTTTGCCGAGGTGGCCCGCCTGTGTCACCTTTGTGTGGTAGTTCAGATCGTGGCTCTGGAACCAGACACGTGGGTGTGTGTCCTTGTGTGGGTCACTCAACAGCTCCTAGCTACAGTTTCCCTTCCGAGGGCGGGGATAACATTCGTGTTTACAGAGGGGTCGGGATGATCCCTAGCACACAGCACAGGGGAAGGAAGGGCTTGGCGTCTAGCCCAGGCCGGCAGTCTGGCCCTGGAGCCGGAGTTCGGGACCACTTTGCCCCATTGCCACCAGCCTCTGGACCTGGGGGCTTAAGAGAGCTGGCTCGTGTCAAAGAACTGAATCCCAAGAAAGATGCTAATATCAGCAGTATTGATCTTCCCACCTCGAGCCAGGCTTGCTGGGGCTGGGGGTGGGAGGGCTGGCCCAGCGTGCTGACCTCTGCCCCCTCCTTTCCTGCAGGGGCTGAGCGGGTGATCACGCTGAAGATGGAGATCCCGGGCTCCATGCCGCCTCTCATCCAGGAAATGTTGGAGAACTCAGAGGGCCTGGACACTCTGAGCGGACAGCCGGGGGGTGGGGGGCGGGACGGGGGTGGCCTGGCCCCCCCGCCAGGCAGCTGTAGCCCCAGCCTCAGCCCCAGCTCCAACAGAAGCAGCCCGGCCACCCACTCCCCGTGACCGCCCACGCCACATGGACACAGCCCTCGCCCTCCGCCCCGGCTTTTCTCTGCCTTTCTACCGACCATGTGACCCCGCACCAGCCCTGCCCCCACCTGCCCTCCCGGGCAGTACTGGGGACCTTCCCTGGGGGACGGGGAGGGAGGAGGCAGCGACTCCTTGGACAGAGGCCTGGGCCCTCAGTGGACTGCCTGCTCCCACAGCCTGGGCTGACGTCAGAGGCCGAGGCCAGGAACTGAGTGAGGCCCCTGGTCCTGGGTCTCAGGATGGGTCCTGGGGGCCTCGTGTTCATCAAGACACCCCTCTGCCCAGCTCACCACATCTTCATCACCAGCAAACGCCAGGACTTGGCTCCCCCATCCTCAGAACTCACAAGCCATTGCTCCCCAGCTGGGGAACCTCAACCTCCCCCCTGCCTCGGTTGGTGACAGAGGGGGTGGGACAGGGGCGGGGGGTTCCCCCTGTACATACCCTGCCATACCAACCCCAGGTATTAATTCTCGCTGGTTTTGTTTTTATTTTAATTTTTTTGTTTTGATTTTTTTAATAAGAATTTTCATTTTAAGCACATTTATACTGAAGGAATTTGTGCTGTGTATTGGGGGGAGCTGGATCCAGAGCTGGAGGGGGTGGGTCCGGGGGAGGGAGTGGCTCGGAAGGGGCCCCCACTCTCCTTTCATGTCCCTGTGCCCCCCAGTTCTCCTCCTCAGCCTTTTCCTCCTCAGTTTTCTCTTTAAAACTGTGAAGTACTAACTTTCCAAGGCCTGCCTTCCCCTCCCTCCCACTGGAGAAGCCGCCAGCCCCTTTCTCCCTCTGCCTGACCACTGGGTGTGGACGGTGTGGGGCAGCCCTGAAAGGACAGGCTCCTGGCCTTGGCACTTGCCTGCACCCACCATGAGGCATGGAGCAGGGCAGAGCAAGGGCCCCGGGACAGAGTTTTCCCAGACCTGGCTCCTCGGCAGAGCTGCCTCCCGTCAGGGCCCACATCATCTAGGCTCCCCAGCCCCCACTGTGAAGGGGCTGGCCAGGGGCCCGAGCTGCCCCCACCCCCGGCCTCAGCCACCAGCACCCCCATAGGGCCCCCAGACACCACACACATGCGCGTGCGCACACACACAAACACACACACACTGGACAGTAGATGGGCCGACACACACTTGGCCCGAGTTCCTCCATTTCCCTGGCCTGCCCCCCACCCCCAACCTGTCCCACCCCCGTGCCCCCTCCTTACCCCGCAGGACGGGCCTACAGGGGGGTCTCCCCTCACCCCTGCACCCCCAGCTGGGGGAGCTGGCTCTGCCCCGACCTCCTTCACCAGGGGTTGGGGCCCCTTCCCCTGGAGCCCGTGGGTGCACCTGTTACTGTTGGGCTTTCCACTGAGATCTACTGGATAAAGAATAAAGTTCTATTTATTCTACACATGCCTCCAGCCTTGCTGCCTCCACCCCCTCCTCTTGGCGTCTGGTCTGGGGGCTTGGGATGGGTTTCGTCATGTGCTCTGGGCCTGTGATGGCCAGGAATGAGCACTGGGGCCAAGGGGCTGGCCAGGGCACCCTTCCAAGCTGCCTTCTGAGGCTTACCTTGTGCTGGGGTCTTTGGAGATGCTGAGAAGGAGAAAGTCCTGCCCCTTGGGAAGCCCTCAGTCTGGGGATCCACACTGCCCATGTCAAGGAGCCCCAGTCTGGGAGTGGGAGAGAAGAGGAGGAAAGCTGCCCCCACCTTCAGGGAACCCCCAGTCTGAGGGAGGAAGCCGGAGCCACCCCTAGACATTTCTGGTCCTTGGGAAGCCTTCACCATCACGGCAGGAATGACAGATGGCACAGGAGCTGGGGTCAGGGACTCATAGAAACCTAACAAGAGGCCTGGCGCAGTGGCTCATGCCTGTAATTCCAGCACTTTGGGAGGCTGAGGTGGGCGGATCACTTGAGGTCAGGAGTTCAAAACCAGCCTGGCCAACATGGTGAAACCCCGTCTCTACTAAAAATACAAAAAAGTTAGCTGGGCGTGGTGGCGGGCGCCTGTAATCCCAGCTATTAGGGAGGCTGAGGCAAGAGAATTGCTTGAACCTGGGAGCTGGAGCTTGCAGTGAGCCGAGATCGTGCCATTGCACTCCAGCCTGGGCGACAGAGCAGGACTCCGTCTCAAATAAGAAAGAAAGAAAGAAAAAGAAAGAAGGAAGGAAGGAAAGAAAGGAGAAAGGAAAGGGAAAGGACGAAAGAGAAAGAAAGGGAAGGAAAGAAAGGACAGAAAGGAAAGAAAGAAAGAAAGAAAAGAAAAAAGAAAGAAGAAAGAAAGGAAAGAAAGAAAGAAAAAGAAGAAAGAAACTTAACAAGAACACAGGATTGGGATGGAAGCTGTGGGGGCCTAGCCGGGAGGGAGTAAGGCAAAGGGTTCCTTCTGCTAGAGGCTGCCTGCCATTTCTACATTAACCACCAGGTGGCGGCAGCGCCTTGCTTGACTCACCGGCCGCCCTAGGCTGGAGGCAACCGCGGGGACCGAGGCGCTTTTCCTCCAGTAAATATTTTCTAACATCTTTACGAGTCTGAAATGAAATCTAACATACTGTACCTGTACACGTGATTTCACAGATCAATATGTTGTCACAACCGTATTATAAAGGATAAATTGAGGGGCAGTGCTATGTGTTTCAATAGATTAATGCTTGCCCCTCTTTTGAATGAATACATTTGGATTTAAAAGAAGGTTGGAAGCCATTCTGTACAAGAAGCCCAGGAACATTAAAGAGCATGGGTGGATGTTGGAATAAAAATCGGCATGTTTGATCTATAATAAAACAATGCAAAAAAAGCCCAAACAAAACCCTTAATGGTTTTTTCTTTATCTTTTCTTTTCTTTTATTTTTTGAGACAGAGTCTTGCTGTGTCACCCAGGCTGGAGGGCAGTGGCGCAATCTCGGCTCACTGCAAGCTCCGCCTCCCGGGTTCACGCCATTGCCATTCTCCTGCCTCAGCCTCCCCAGCAGCTGGGACTACTGGCACACGTCGCCACACCCGGCTAATTTTTGTATTTTTAGTAGAGACGGGGTTTCACTGTGTTGGCCAGGATGGTCTCGATCTCCTGACCTCATGATCCGCCCGCCTCGGCCTCCCAAAGTGCTGGGATTACAGGCGTGAGCCACCGTGCCTGGCCTCAAAACCCTTAATGTTTTACATGTAAAACAGGGTTTGGGCCCAGGGTTTTCACTTATGCCAATGTCCAGTTGGACATTCTAAAGTTGTGCCTGAGGCTGGGCGCAGTGGCGCAAGCCTGTAATCTCAGAACTTTGGGAGGCAGAGGCTGACGGATCACTTGAGTCCAGGAGTTCAAGACCAGCCTGGGCAACATGGTGAAACCCTGCCTCTACAAAAAAAAATACAAAAATTAGCCTAGCCTTGTAGTGTGCATCTGTGGTGTCAGCTACTTGGGGGGGGGGCTCAGGTGGGAGAGTTGCTGGATCCCTGGAGGTTGAGGCTGCAGTGAGCCGTGATAACACCACTGCACTCTAGTCTGGGCAACAGATGGAGACCCTGTCTCAAAGAATAAAAATAAAAACAAAAAAGTTGTGCCAAGCAGGTTTTTATTTCAAGAGGATATCTTGACGTCCATAGCCCTTGCCCACTAAATGCCAATGGGGTCCCCCATCATTGTGAAAACAAAGCAGTGGCCCCCACATTTACAAAATGCCCCTTGGGGTAGTGCCTTTGCTGTTTGGAACCTCTAGTCTTGGGGTTGTCCTCAGTGGTCCACAGTTCACTGCTGTCGAGCAGAGTTGCTCAGCTTCAGCACCAATGTGAAGATCTGAGCCAGGTTGTGGGGGCTGTCCTGTGCATTGCAGGATGCTAAGCAACATCTCCAACCTTCCGCCCATGAAACCCTAGTGGTGCTTCTCTCCCACCCCAGCTGTAACAACCAAATATGTCTCCAGACACTGCTAAACGCCCCCCTGGGGGGCAAAATCACCCCCATGTGAGATCCACTGCTGTGGAGTGTGGTCCTCCAGGGCTGATGTGCTTTGCACTGAGCCAGGGCCCATCCTCCGCAGAGAGACTGAGCCAGAGGAAGGTGACCGGGATGCCACCTGGGCAGAGCTGCAACAGGCTTGACAGGCCTACGGGAGTGCAGGGCAGAGGCACTGAATCACGCTTGGGGCAGGGCTCAGAAGCCTTCCTGGAAGAGGTGGCCTCTCTCAGCTAAATCTCTTTTTAATTTAGTTTTATTTATTTTGAGACGGAGTCTCCCGCTGTAGCCGAGGCTCATTGCTAAATCTCTAGAGGAAAGAATTGGCTAGGTGGGTGCAGATTTGGAAGACTTAGTATGAAAAAAAGAATGTAAACTATCTCCTTAATACTTTTTAATATCAATGAGGCATTAAGATGAAAATACTTTGGGTGTGCTAGGTTAAATAAAATACGTGACTAAAATTAATTTCATTTGTTTCCTTTTACTTTTTTAATGTGGCTAATGAAAAACTTGAAACTACATACATGGCTCATATGCTATTTCCATCGGATGATGCTGATCTTGAACATCTTCTGACACACAGTAGGTACCCTACAAATATTTGTTGAATGAATACATCTGGAAAACAGCGGCACAGCCCCATCTGGGTTTGTGTGGAGGGGTCTGGGTTGTGGACACAGAACTGTCATCAGAGAGATGGTGCCCACCATAGCATGGATAGTGTTCGGGCATGGCAGTGGTGTAGGCCTGGGGACACCTTCAGTTTCTCATCCAACACATATTTACTGAGCACATACTACGTGCCATGGAAGGGGAGAGAGCAATGCCATCCTGCAGGAGAAGTGCTTTCCCTACGGAAGCGAGGGGCATCCAGCTCTGTCTTGGGGTGGGGGCTACCAGGGGAGCCCTCTCCTTGAAGGTGTCTGTTTTCTTCCCAAGTGACAACAATAGGTGGGTGGGCATTAGCTAGGGGAGGAGAAGGCTGCAGGAAGCAGCGGCTACTCTGGGCAAAGGAACAGCACGTTCAAACGCTTGGCAGCAAGCAGGTCTGGTGCTTGTTAGAAGAGAAAATTCCCTATGGTTCTGAGCACACCTGGAAGCCGGTGCTGTGGAGTCGAAGGCCTGACAGGGGCAGGGCTTCAGAAGGAAGCTTTGTGAAGGCGCTTGACTCACCCTGAGGGCAGGGGTGCTGCCCTCAGTCCCGGGTTTAAGTGGGGGGCGCTATTCAGAAACACCTCCCACTGCTGTGTGGGGCACAGGAGAGCTGAGAAAGACGCCAGGAACTCAGAAGGACAGGGTGGGGTGATGGCGGGGAACGCACAGCCTGGTAGGCAGGATGCGGTGAGGCCCGCAAGGTGCAGTCCGATGACGGCCCCTGGATTTCTCGCTTAGGTCCTGGGTGATCTTATGGAGAGCAGCCCACTGGCTGGTGAAGGGGGAGGGCAGACGGGAGGGGAGACACAGGAGGGGGATGCGCTGCATAGGCAGCAGCTCTTCGAATGCCCGCAAGTAGGAAGAAGGGGGTGGTTGGAAGGGAAGGCAGGGCCGGGAGCGCGTGTGTTTTGGGAGCTTTCTCCTGAGGACAGAAGGGACTTTCCCGTTTATAGCCTGGGGGAGCAGTAGCGGCGGGGAGGATGAAGATGGAGGAGGGAGGCATAACACACGTCTGGGTTGCCCTCTGGCCCGCCGCCCACCCCCACCCCACCTCCATGAAAGCGCCCAGCCCCCGCCTCGCCACAAGGGGTACTGTGAGGATGTTGCTCATAGGCTCCCGAGGATTGAGGCCTGCCCGGGGAAAGGGAGCCTCTCCTCCTCTTCCCTCCCTGGGCGGGGTCTCTTGGGAGGGGGGGACAGACCTCCTGTGATGCCCTGGCAGGTGGGCTGGGTTAGGGTGGTAGGGAGGGAGCCATTGTGGCTGCAGCTGGCATCGGATCCTGGCCACCCCCGCAGTGCATATCAGAGATCACACACACACGCGTGCACACACAGAGGTCACGCCGGATGTACACATGCACACATAGCGCACAAGGATGTTTCTGTGTACAGGTGTGCACACGCAGCCCACACAGAATGGACATGTGCGTGTGTGCACAATGCACTCACACAAAGCTCACAGGGATGTGAGTACACAGCTCTCAAGGGGCATATGTTTCTGTGTGCATGTGCACACAGCTCACCCGGGAGGGTTACGTGTGTCTGTGTGCACAAGTGGGCCTCACGCAGGGTGTACACATGCGCGCACATGCACAGCGCTCACACAGGGTGTACAGGTGCGCGTGCACACAGCTCACAGTGCTTATGTGTCCGTGTATGCACACTCGCAGAGAGCCCACAGGGGGACCACTCTCTCTCTGAACACAGAGAGTGCCTGAGAATGCTGGCATCACAGTTGTTTTTGTCCCCAGTAAAACAACCACTCTCCACCTTCCGCTCTGTTCTCCCCCTCGGGTCCACTCTCTCTCAGGGTCCTGGTCTCCTTCCTTTCCACCTGGGTGGTGGCATCCAGGACCTGCCTGAGTTCATTCTCCGCCCCCAGCCCGGCCTGCCCCAGGTGCCGCCGGCAGCCACTGGGAGGCAGTACGAGGCAAGTGCGATGCCGCCCGCGGGCCGTCCCCACAACGCGTCTCCTGCCGGGGCAGGTCCCGCGACAGCTCTGGTGGAAGCAGCTTCCGGCTTCTGCGGTGCGGGCGGAGGTGGCGGGGTCCGGCCCTCGCCGTCCAGTCCGCGCGAGGCGGTGCCCGCCCCTAGATGGCCAGATCTCGGCGGCCGGTGGCCGGTGACGCCTTGCCGCGGCCGCTGCCGCACTCGCGGAGGCTGGCCGGCGCCGGGTGCGCATAGGCCGGCGGGGCGCACGGCTCGGGGCCGGGGCGCCGGGAGGGCAGGGCCGGTGGCGGAGGTGGCGGCGGCGGCGGCGGGAGCAGCTTCTGCGCCTCTTCGTGTGCACGGTTGCAGCGGTTGTCACGCTCCCCGGCGCGCGGGCGGCCCTTCCAGAGCAGGTGGCCCAGCTCGGCTACGCTGAGCAGCGCCGACAGCAGCCCCACCGCGAAATAGAAGAGCACGAAGACGGTCTTCTCGGTGGGCCGGCTCACGAAGCAGTCGACCGTGTGCGGGCAGGGCGGACCGGCGCACGCGAAGTGCGGGGCCACGCGGAAGCCGTAGAGCAGCGCCTGGCCGCCCAGGAAGGTCAGCTCGGCCAGCAGGCGCAGCGCCACGCTCAGCAGGTAGCAGCGGCGCGCGCGGCGGGCGCGCAGGGCGCACGGCGCGCACTGGGCCTCGGGCAGTCCGGGGGCGCACTGCGCCGCCGCCTCAGCGCCGCCCGCCTCCTTGCCTGCCCGGTGCATGGAGTAGACGACGAACAGCACCGGGGGCGCCGAGAGCAGCAGGATGTGGAAGAGCCAGAAGCGGTAGTGGGAGACCGGGAAGGCGCGGTCGTAGCAGGTCTGGCGACAGCCCGGCTGCAGCGTGTTGCACACGAACTCCTCTTGCTCGTCCTCGAACACGGCGCCGCCCACCGTGGCCAGCACCAGGATGCGGAAGATCAGCATGACCACCAGCCAGAGGCGGCCCACGAGCGGCGACTGCAGCTGCACGGCGTCCAGCAGCGAGCCCAGGAACGCCCACTCCCCCATGGCGCTGGGGACGCGGGGCGGGGAGTCAGGGGATGGGGCAAGTCAGGGACCCCTGCCCCTTCCAAGCCTATCGGGGTGGGGTCCGTTGGACCTTCTCTGACTTCAGGGTGAGTCGTGAGGTAGGAGAGGCCCGGGTTTAGCGATGAGACCAGTATGAAACGGAGGGCCACGGGAGGGCCCGAGGGGAGCAGGCGACGCTCAGCTATGGGTTACCTTCTCTTTGGGACCGATGGGTGCTGGGGAGGATCCCCCATTTGCATTTTAGCCGCACCCCCTGAGCCGTCTCCGTTCGACCCTGGGATCCTCCAGATCCCAGATTCTTAGGAAGGACCTTGGAGATCAGCTGGACCAGCCCCTGACTTGCCTGGTTTCGGAAGCGGAAACCCAGCGGTGCCCTTAGCTGTCAAGGATGCTGTGGGAAGAGTGGAGCCTCGAACCCGAGACGCTAGACCCAATTTGGTGCCCATGGGAGGAGTGGGAGTGGCAGAGGCAGCGAGACCACTCCTTTCTTGGCCCACCATTTCTCTCACCATTTTTACTGCAGTGAACTCCTCTCAGGGTGGGGGGCTGGTACAGAGGCAACTCCGCTTTCATAACTCTCACAGGGTCCTTTGTCGGAGGTGTCCCTGCCCTCCTACCCCAGCGTGGTGGGAGTGCGACGCCAGGCTTCTCCCTCCTCCCTGGCCTCCTGTGCCTCCAGCCTCCACATCTCCTGAGATCCTCCCCACCCCACACTTACACAGGTCCCCACACGCCCCTGGTGCCCCTAAACCGCCACCCAACCCCACTCACCCTGGGGCCGGGACTGGGGTGTCAGAGCTGAGCCAGGGACCTTGGGAGGTGGCTGGGACCGGCGCCTCCTGCTCCCTCTTTCATTTTCCCTTTCGGATTTGGCCAGGATGGAGGACAGGACAGGATGGCTGAGAGGGGCTAGCGCTCCCCCTTCTCTTAAAGGAACAGGGTGACCCTGCTGGCTGGCTCCGCCCTTGGGAACAGGCACGGACCACGCCCCTTGCTGGGCTCTGTGGCCCTCACTCTTTAGCTAAATTTCCATCTGGAAATGGGGGAGGGGGGTAACCAGAGCCACATCCTTTATCGAGGAAGCTGGGGGATTCCTAGAAGCCCTTCCCAGACAGACCCTCAGTCTGGAGCCTAGATCCACTACGCACTAACCATGCCCTGTGAAGATGGTCTTCGGGGACAGAGGGAGGTTTGGTGCTGGAGTTTAAGGGGCAGCAAACATCTAACAGCTTCTGGTTCCAGCTCTGCCACCGCTCACCTTGGACAAATCATTCGGCGGTACTGAGCCAGGCTTTCCTGCCTTGTCAACAAAGGCGGCCAGTCCAGCTGACCCCCAAGTTTCCTTCCAGCTTTACATCTTTTTTGGAACGGGGTCTCTCTACATAGCCCAGGTCGATCTTGAACTCCTGGCTTCAAGTGATCCTCACACCTTAGCCTCCTGAGTAGCTGGGATTCTCTACTTCTTAATATTGAATTCCCAACCATATTACAGAGAACCAAAAAAACCCTTGTGCCTGCAAAAAAAAAAAAAAAAAAAAAAATCCCATATGGAAAACCATTAAAATATCCCAAGTGCCTGGCTTTGATAGTTAAATAAAATCTTTGGTTTCCTTCCCACTTTTCTGTTATTTCCAGCTTTACTATAATGAACATGTTATTTATTTATTTATTTTTAATTTGTTTGTTTTGAGATGGAGTCTAGCTCTGTCGCCCAGGCTGGAGTGCAGTGGCATGATCTTGGCTGAATGCAACCTCCGCCTCCCGGGTTCAAGCGATTCTCCTGCCTCAGCCTCCCCAGTAGCTGGGATTACAGGTGTGCGCCACCACGCCCGGCTAATTTTTGTATTTTTAGTAGAGGTGGGGTTTCGCCATGTTGACCAGGCTGATCTCGAACTCTTGACCTCAAACAATCCGCCTATCTCAGCCTCCCAAAGTGCCGGGATTACAGGCGTGAGCTACCACACCCGGCCTAACATGTTATTTTATTATTTATTTATTTATTTATTTATTGAGACAGAGTTTTGCTCTTGTTGCCCAGGCTGGAGTGCAGTGGTGTGATCTCAGCTCACCGCAACCTCCTCCTCCCGGGTTCAAGCGATTCTCCTGCCTCAGCCTCCTGAATAGCTGGGATTACAGGCATGTGCCACCATGCCCAGCTAATTTTGTATTTTTAATAGAGACAGGATCTCTCCATGTTGGTCAGGCTGGTCTCGAAATCCTGACCTCAGGTGATCCACCTGCCTCGGCCTCCCAAAGTGCTGGGATTACAGGCTTGAGTCACCGCGCCCGGCCTCATGTTATTTTATAATGTGAAAAATAGGACTTTTTCCCCCCAGAAGGCTCTGAATTGAGAGTTCCCTCCTACTGCCCTGGGTGGCGGGGGAAGCTGTTTTATGGAGAAGGGAGTAAGGGTGACCGACGGTGATCTGAGTGGTCAGGGAGGGGACACTCCAGGCTGAGATGTTTGGTTGTCTGCTCTGCCTTCCTAGGGGTCCGCCTGAGTGCATAGCAAAACCCGCTTCACCTATGCACCTGCTGGGCCAGTCCCCGTGTGGAACCCCGTTAGCTCCATATGCCAATGAGCTCATTCGATTCTCTGTCAATGGTGGCATGAGGGCACTATTTACACCAGGGGAAACTGAGACTCAGAGGGTCTAAGCCACTTGCCTGCTGTCGCGCAGCCGGTAAATAGCAGATCCAGGCCTATGCGAGGCCCAACTAGTTCTTGAGCCCAAGCTCTTGAGCCTTTCATGGAACTGTCCTCCATCCAGCCTGGCTGGGCTTCCCAGGTGCTGTCCCAGGGCCTGACAGTCCCCAGGAGGGGTTGCCTCTATGCCAGCCTTGTGTGGGGCTGGTGGGTGCAGGCACTGGAGGGAGGTCATGCCTGCCCCTCTGAAGAAGGGCAGCAGGACTCACCTCCTTGGTCACAGTTCCTCTCCCTATCAGCCATGGGTGCCTGTGTGGTTTTCCATATGCTGACGCAGACCCCCAGGTCCACTTTCAGGAAGGGGAAGGCACGTACCCTTCACCCACCACTCCCTCCAGCTCAGGGGCCCAGCCCCCGCAGGAAAAACTCTAGGTAAACTCCTGCTTGTGTGTGTTGGGGAACCCTCCTGCCCTCGTGCAGGCTTCCCTTGGGAGTGGGCCTGGGTGGGGGACGCTGCCCTGGAGAAAGTCCAAGGGAAAAAGCACATGCTGGAGCCCCAGATTCTGAAAACAGGATGTGGGTTGGGGGCGCTGCTGGCCTCACCCTCCCGACCTCCCTCTGCCCCTGGCAAAGCTGCTACCGGCCCCCTGCCCCCAGCCACAGGGGCTCAGGGTCACATCTCATCTCCCTTGACTGTCCAGGAATGGTCCCCACCCCGTCCTGTCCCGTGGCTCCTGCTGGGTCAGGCCATTGGCGCCACCTGGAAAAAGCCCATCAGCCCTGCGGGAATGGAAAGCAGCTGAGGCGGTGGGCCAGGGTGGGGTGGGAAGTGGAGAGCCTACAGTCACCCTGTGCTGTCTGCAGCCTGTGATGCCACAGGGCCAGACCCAGAGACTCTACAATCTCAGGCCCGGTCCTCCTTCCCTGATAGCGCCATCCAGCCTGAGAGGAGGTGTTGCTGACGCTGCCTCCATCTGGCAGCCGGTGGCCCATTCTCGGCCATGCCTAAAGACTGGGGCCGGGGGCTGGGTGCAGTGGCTCACGCCTGTAATCCCAGCACTTTGGGAGGCCGAGGCAGGCGGATCACAAGGTCAGGAGATCGAGACCATCCTGGCTAACACGGTGAAACCCCGTCTCTACTAAAAAATACAAAAAATTAGCCAGGTGTCGTGGCGGGCGCCTGTAGTCCCAGCTACTTGGGAGGCTGAGGCAGGAGAATGGCGTGAACCTGGGAGGCGGAGCTTGCAGTGAGCCGAGATGGCACCACTGCACTCCAGCCTGGGCAACAGAGCAAGACTCCATCTCAAAAAAAAAAAAAAAAAATCTGGGGCTGGGCTGAGAGGCCAATCCTGCCTCGCTCCGGTCTCTGTTCCAGACACCTCTCCCTGGCCATCGGATTGTGGGGCCACTGCTCATGTAAGACACACATAGGTGCACGTATGTGTTTGTACCCAGTAACTATCAGCCATGGTCAACCCCACCATGTTCTTCAACATCGCCGCTGGCAGTGAGCCCTTGGGCTGTGTCGCCTTCGAGCTGTTTGCAGACAAGTTTCCAAAGACAGCAGAAAACTTTGGTGCTCTGAGCACTGGAGAGAAAGGGTTTGGTTATAAGAGTTCCTGCTTTCACAGAATTATTCCAGGGTATATGTGTCAGGGTGGTGGCTTCACACGCCATAATGGCACTGGTGGCAAGTCCATCTGCAGGGAGAAATCTGATGATGAGAACTTCTTCCTGAAGCATACAGTCCTGGCATCTTGTCCATGGCAAATGCTGGACCCAACACAAACCGTTCCCAGTTTTTTATCTGCATTGCCAAGACTGAGTGGTTGGATGGCAAGGGTGTGGTCTTTGGCAAGGTGAAAGAAGGCATGAATATTGCAGAGGCCAGGGAGCGCTTTGGGTCCAGGAATGGCAAGACCAGCAAGATCACCATTGCTGACTGTGGGCAACTCTAATGAGTTTGACTTGTGTTTTATCTTAACCACCAGCCCATTCCTTCTGTAGCTCAGGAGAGCACCCTCCACCCCATTTGCTCACAGTATCCTAGAATCTTTGTGCTCTCGATCAGTTCGCTTTGAGTTCCCTGTTTTCCTTGTTCCTTTCCATGCCTAGCTGGATTGCAGAATTAAGCTTATGATTATGAAATAAAAACTAACTAAATAAATAAAAATAAATTATTTGTAAGGCCTGGCATGGTGGCTCATGCCTGTAATCCCAGCACTTTGGGAGGCCGAGGCGGGTAGATCACCTGAGGTCAGGAGTTCGAGACCAGCCTGGCCAACATGGTGAAATCCCGTCTCTACTAAAAAATACAAAAATTAGCTGGGCATGGTGGCACATGCCCGTATTCCCAGCTAGTCAGGAGAATTGCTTGAACTCAGGAGGTGGAGGTTGCAGTGAGCCAAGATCGTGCCACTGCAGGCCAACCTGGGCAACAGAGGGAGACTCTATCTCAAAAAAAAAAAATTATTTGTAGAGATGAGGGTCTTGCCATGTTGCCCAGGCTGGCCTGGAACTCCTGGGCTCAATTGATCCGCCAGCCTTGGCCTCTCAAAGTGCTAGGATCACAAGTATGAGCCACCATAACTGGCCACTTATTTTTTATTGTTATTTATTTATTTATTCTATTTACTGACATCCTTGAGCCATCACACTGCTGTTTTGTCTCCTGTGCCCTGCTAACATTTTAAAAAGTCCTTACAGAAATGCTGTCTTTTCGTGAGGCTTTCCCCAGCTGCCCTAGCAGAAATTTACCCCTCTGTTTCCTGTCCCTTCTCAGCTTTATTTCCTTTGTATTGACTACTACATAACTATACACACACACACACACACACACACACACACACACACACACACACATAGAGAGAGACGGAGCCTCACTCTGTCACCCAAGCTGGAGTGCAATGGCACGATCTCAGTTCACTGCAACCTCCGCCTCCCAGGTTCAAGCAGTTCTGCCTCAGCCTCCCGAGTAGCTGGGATTACAGGCACCCACCACAACGCCCGGCTAATTTTTGTATTTTTAGTAGTGACGAGGTTTCACCATGTTGGCCAGGCTGGTCTGGAACTCCTGACCTGAAATAATCCACCCGCCTAGGCCTCACAAAGTGCTGGGATTATAGGGGTGAGCCACCGCACCTGGCCAATTTTATCTTTTTCTTATGTATCCTGCTTAGCGTCCATCTCTCCCAATAGCACAGGTGATCCACAGGGAAGGAATTTTTGGTGCTCTGCTTACTGTCCCATCCCCAGCACCTAGAATGGTTGGGGGCACACAGTGGATGCTCAGTAGATGTTTGTTGGGTGGATGAATGAATGAAGTGGGTGGAAGTTTCTGCCCTAAGGTGATAAGAACTCTGAGTGTCTCAGGTCTCAACTGCTGGCTCTGGTCTCCTCTAGGGCTGTGGGCATTTAAGTGGCCAATCCAGTCTCAGGTCAGCAATCAGAATTTCCCATCCTAGATAGAAACAAGAACTCAAAAATGGATTCATGGTAAACACCTGCCCCCAGCTCGGCTGGCCTTGGGTCCATGCCTGGGTGGGAGAGGGAAGGGGTGGAGGGCGGCAGAGTTGGCTCTTCTTGGTCCCTTCTAGTCCTTCTGCACCCTCCCCAACCTGGCTGCAGCTTCTGACCCTTCATATTCTTCCCAGCGCCCCGAAAACCTTCCAGACCAGATGACTTCTGCCACCCCAGGGTGGCCCCACCTCCTGGCTCTTGCCTTGGAGCTTGCCTTTGGCTCCCTATGGACCCCTGGGGCCCTGCATTTTCAACACCTGGGACGCGCCTTCGCATCTAGCCTTTGCTCCCTCCTTTGGCTCCATGATTATTTAAGATTAGGTTTGGGGCCGGGTGCGGTGGCTCACGCCTGTAATCCCAGCACTTTGGGAGGCTGAGGCGGGCGGATCACGAGGTCAGGAGGTTGAGACCATCCTGGCTAACACACGGTAAAACCCCGTCTCTACTAAAAATACAAAAAAATTAGCCAGGCGTGGTGGCGGGCACCTGTAGTCCCAGCTATTTGGGGGGCTGAGGCAGGAGAATGGCGTGAACCCGGGAGGCAGAGGTTGCAGTGAGCCAAGATCGCGCCACTGCACTCCAGCCTGGATGACAGAGCGAGACTCTGTCTTAAAAAAAAAAAAAAAAGATTAGGTTTGGATGGAACAACAATTCCAAACAGTGGCTTAAGCAAGAGAGAAGTTTGTTTCTCTCTCACATAAAAACTCTGCCCCAGCTGGGTGCGGTGGCTCATGCCTATAATCCTAGCACTTTGGGAGGCCTAGAGGGGCGGATCACCTGAGGTCAGGAGTTCAAGACCAGCCTGGCCAACACGGTGAAACCCCATCTCTACTAAAAAATACAAAAATTAGCCGGGCGTGGTGGTGCACGCCTGTAATCCCAGCTACTCAGGAGGCTAAAGCAGGAGAATCGCTTGAACCCTGGGGCGGAAGTTGCAGTGAGCTGCGACATTGCACTCTAGCCTGGGCAACAGAGCGAAACGCAGTCTTAAAAAAATAAAGGGCTGGGCGCGGTGGCTCACACCTGTAATCCTAGCACTTTGGGAGGCCGAGGTGGGCGGATCACCTGAGGTCAGGAGTTCGAGACCAACCTGGCCAACATAGTGAAACCAGGTCTTTACCAATAGCCGGGCGTGGTGGCACGGGCCTGTAATCCCAGCTACTCGGGAGGCTGAGGCAGGGGAATCGCTTGAACTCAGGAGGCGGAGGTTGCAGTGCACCCAGATTGGGACACTGCACTCCAGCCTGGGCGACAGAGAGAGACTCCATCTCAAAAGAAAAAAAAAAAAAGAAAAAAAAGCCTGCCCCATGGAGTCCTCAGGGGCGCGGGCACCTCGCTGCCCCCGCCACAGCCCCATGCTGTCTCCCTCTCGCTCTCTCTCTCTCTCTCTCCCCCTGTCTCAGAAAAGGGCCAGGAAGTGGCCACTTTACCGATTTGCTCACATGTCATTGGGTAGGATGAGCCCCACGACCACACCTATCCGCAAGGGATGCTGGGAAATGTAGTCTTTATTCTTGTGCCCAGGAGGGAGCAGGGAGACTCCCTCGCTGTCACAGATCTGCTTCTGGCATTGGTCCCCCACGCTGACATGGGTCGTTGGACTCACTGGGTTCCTCCCAAGTCTTTGCCCCCATTAGCTGCTCTGGAGGAAGAAGGAAGCCTCCACAGTCTTGTCTGTCACCTTGTCCCTAGGCCCTTCCAAACCACTGCACCTCTGGGCTTTCCTTCACACCCCTCTGCCAAGCCTCATCCCTTCTTTACCGTCCTTGGGCAGAAGGGTCATTTCCTCCGAGGGGAGCTCCTGCGTTTTCGCCCATTTTTAGGTTGCACATGTAGCAACCTTGCTCTGGAAAGACAATGAGTGTACCTGAAGGTGGCTGGGGCCTGCGGTAGCCTCTTCTTAGTGACCAAGGGGCTTGGGAATCCCTTTCTTCCTTTCCTTGAAAGCCCTTCTTTTTCCTGAGTGAACTGACAGGTGAGAGAAATTGCTTTGGGATTGGGGCTGGGGCAGGGGAAGGATTTGAGTCATCAAGAGGCATTTTTCAGAGTCCCTCCCCTGCACCCCCCCCACCACCCCTTTGCCATGCAGCTCTGAATGGCCTGTGTTTTTGTACATGTCAAGATGTGTAAGCAATCACTATCACTGCCTGTAGCCTGGGGTCCCGATCCTTTTTCCATCACCCCAGCCTCATGATCCTGGACTTGGTCTGGGATGGAGAGTACTCCGAGATCCCTGCCCTTCCAGAGTCTCTCAAGGGGGACTAAGCAGGTCAGTAGTGCAATCAGGTCAGCTCAAGATCAGTGGACCCACAGACCACTGAAGCTCCCTGCCTGAAAACAATTCTGGACCCAAAGGGCTGTGCTTGGCACAGGCCCTGGAAAGTTACTAGGGGCAGAAGACAAGGTCATCTATGGATGGAGCTTCCTTTCTTCCACCTAAAAACTGTCAAGCGCATCCATGTGAAGAGACCACCAACAGGGTTTGTGTGAGCAACAAGGCTGTTTATTCACTTGGGTGCAAGTGGGCTGAGTCCGAAAAGAGAGTCAATGAAGAGAGATGGGGAAGGGGTTGCTTTATAGGAGTTGGGTAGGTAATGGAAAATTACAGTAAAAGGTGGTTATCTATTGTTAGCAGAGGAGGGGGTCACAAGGTACATGGTGGGGAGATTATAAGACTCATTGTCCAGAAGAAGAATGTCACAAGGCCGATTGATCAGTTAAGGTAGGGCAGGGACAAGTCACAATGGTGGAATGTTGTAATGTTGGTTAATCAGTTAAGGCAGGAACTGGCTGTTTCACTTCTTTTGTGGTTTTTCAGCTGCCCCAGACTTCTTGGCTCCTGCAGGCCATCTGGACGTGTATGTGCAGGTCACAGGGGTTATAATGGCTGAGCTTCGGCTCAGAGGCCTGACAAAAACACATTTATGGGTATAATATCTTTTTACACTCATCATGATGTATTGGAGCTACCTTGAGCCCAATGAAGATATCGTCTGTAATGGTTAATACTGAGGGTCAACTTGATTGGATTGAAGGATACAATCCTGGGTGTGTCTGTAAGGGTGTTGCCAAAGGAGATTAACATTTGAGTCAGTGGGCTGGGAAAGGCAGACCCACCCTTAATCTGGGTGGGCACAATCTAATTAGCTGCCAGCACGGCTAGAATATAAGCAGGCAGAAAAATGTGAAAAGAGTGACTGGCCTAGCCTCCCAGCCTACATCTTTCTCCCATGCTGGATGCTTCCTGCCCCCCAACTCCAAATTCTTCAGTTTTGGAACTTGGACTGGCTCTCCTTGCTTCTCAGCCTGCAGATATGGCCTATTGTGAGAACTTGTGATCATGTGAGTAAATACTTAATAAACTTCCCTTTATATATATCTATTCCATTAGTTCTGTCCCTCTAGAGAACCGTGACTAATACATTGTCTTACCCAAGAGAACACAAATCTGACTCCTGAAAGTACCGAGCAAGTAAGAGGGAATGTACCATGATGCAACTGCTTTGAAAACCAGCTCCTCAGTTTCTTATGAAGTTAAACATACACTTAACATGTGACTCGACAATTCCACTCCTACGTATCTACCCAAGAGAAATGACAAGTTATGTCTAGAAAAGGATATGTACTCTAATGCTTATTACAGCTTTATTCATAATGAGCCCAAACTGGAAACAGCCCAGATGTCCATCAACAGGTGAATGGAGAAACAAGATGATACCATGGAAAAATATTCAGCAATAAAAAAAAAAGAAGGGCCGGGGCCCTTGGTCTTGATCTCCTGACCTCATGATCTGCCCGCCTCAGCCTCCCAAAGTGCTGGGATTACAGGCGTGAGCCACCGCGCCCGGCCAACATGGATGCATTTCTAAAACATGCTGAATGAAAGAAGCCAGACACAAAAGCATACGTACTGTGATTTCATGTATATGAAGTTCTAGAATAGGTGAATGTAATCTGTAATGCTGGAAATCAAATTAGGGTTTTTCTGGGGCTAGGGGTTGAAGAGGCACATAAGAACTTTTTGAGGTGATAGAAATGCTTTATATCTTGATTGTGATTGCGGTTGTTCAAGTGGATACATTTACCATTTACAGCCATACCACCCTGAACTTGGAAGCTAAGCAGGGTTGGGTCTGGTTAGCACTTGGAAGGGAGGAGTTCACCTTTATCAAAAAGTCATCAATCTTTACACTTGGAATGAATGCATTTTATGGCCGGGCGCGGTGGCTCATGCCTGTAACCCCAGCACTTTGGGAGGCTGAATTGGGCGAATCACCTGAGGTAAGGAGTTCAAGACCAGCCTGGCCAACATGGTGAAACCCCATCTCCATTAAAATACAAAAATTAGCCAGGTGTGGTGGCGGGTGCCTGTGGTCCGAGCTACTCGGGAGGCTGAAGCAGGAGAATTGCTTCAACCCAGGAGGCAGAGATTGCAGTGAGCTGAGATTGCATCACTTCACTCCAGCCTGGGTGACAGAGTGAGACTCCGTCTGAAAAAAAAAAAAGAATGGGTGCATTTTATGTATGTAAATTACAACTCACGGTTGATTAAAAAGAAAAAAGCAATGCATATCTGTGCTGAAAATCATTGAGGTGACAATGAAAACAGAGAGTAAGACTTTCTCTAAGTCATCATTACACATCTCTCTCTCACCTCTCCGGTGGACTTCTTTCCTTCTTCTCCCCCTCCTCCTCCTTTTTGTCCTCCTACACTCCACACTGGTCACCCTCTCCTCTTTTGTTGACTGTCTTTTCCCTATTCTTTATGAAATAGGGTAATCTGGCTTGCTCCTGATGATGCAGGACAGGCAAGCCCCAAAAGTGAGGCTTAGCCCAAGAGAGTTTTTGGCTTTGCCCAGGAAAGAATTTAAGGGTGAGCTGGTGGTGTTAGCAATTTTTATTGACGCATTGATGCACAGCAGCAGCAGAGGTGCTGCTCCATGCGGAGCGGGGCTACCCCATAGGCAATGTGCCCAGAGAAGCAGCTCAGAGGCAGGTCTGCAGTCACATGCATACCCACTTTTAGTTATATGCAAATTAAGGGGAGGTTTATGCAGAAATTTTTAGGAAAAGGATGGTAACTTCCCGGTGGTTAGGTTGTTGCCATGGAAAGGGGCGGTAACTCCCCTGGGTGTTGCCATGGCAATGGGAAACTGACAGGGCCCACTGGTGGGCACTGACGGAAAGCTGCTTCCACTCATCCCTGTTTTAGCTAGTCCTCAATTTTGTCCGGTGTCCCAGGCCTGCCCGCAGAGTCGAGTCCCGCCTCCTACCTCACTATCAGTTTGAATTTCTAATGTTTGAGTTACACATTTTCCCCCCCTTTTTGTGGAGAATAGGTTCTAGCTATATTGCCCAGGCAGGTCTGAACTCCTGGGCTCAAGATATCTGCCCGCCTCTGCCTCTCTAAGAACTGGGATTCCAGGCGTGAGCCACAGCGCCCCGTGAGTTTCTAATGTTTGAAAGGGATTTTGAGCTCAAAATCAGTATCCTTGGGTTTGAATTTATTTACAGTTGATCAAAACTTTAAATTTTAAAAAATCCAATTTTTTCCTTTTAAGCCTTCAGGTCCAATTTACACAGTTTGTTATTCTAGTTATACATTTAATAATTTGGGGCCGGGCACGGTGGCTTACACCTGTAATCCCAGTGAGAGGTGACAGTGTGCTGGCAGCCCTTGCTCGCTCTGGGTGCCTCCTCTGCCTGGGCTCCCACTTCGGTGGCACTTGAGGAGCCCTTCAGCCCACCGCTGCACTGTGGGAGCCCCTTTCTGGGCTGGCCAAGGTCGGAGCCGGCTCCCTCAGCTTGCAGGGAGGTGTGGAGGGAGAGGCGCAAGCAGGAACCGGGGCTGCACGCTCGGCCCTTGTGGGCCAGCTGGAGTTCCGGGTGGGCGTGGACTTGGCAGGCCTTGCACTCGCACTCAGAGCGGCCTGCCGGCCCTGCTGGCCCCGGGCAATGAGGGGCTTAGCATCCGGGCCAGCGGCTGCAGAGGGTGTGCTGGGTTCCCCAGCAGTGCCGGCCCACTGGCACTGTGCTCCATTTCTTGCTGGGCCTTAGCTGCCTCCCCACGGGGCAGGGCTCGGGACCTGCAGCCTGCCATGCCTGAGCCTCCCCTCCTGTGGGCTCCTGTGCGGCCCAAGCCTCCTCGACGAGCACTGCCTCCTGCTCCACGCACCCAGTCCCATCGACCACCCAAGGGCTGAGGAGTGCAGGCACACGGCACGGGACTGGCAGGCAGCTCCACCTGCAGCCCTGGTGCGGGATCCACTGGGTGAAGCCAGCTAGGCTCCTGAGTCTGGTGGGGACTTGGAGAACCTTTATGTCTAGGCTAGGGGATTGTAAATACACCAATTGGCACTCTGTATCTGGCTCAGGGTTTGTGAATGCACCAATCGACACTCTGTATCTAGCTACTCTGGTGGAGACTTGGAGAACCTTTATGTCTAGCTAAGGGATTGTAAATACACCAATCATCACTCTGTATCTAGCTCAAGGTTTGTAAACACACCAGTCAGCACCCTGTGTCTAGCTCAGGGTTTGTGAATGCACCAATTGACACTTTGTATCTAGCTACTCTGGTGGGGACTTGGAGAACCTTTGTGTGGACACTCTGTATCTAGCTAATCTAGTGGGGACATGGAGAACTTTTTTGTCTAGCTCAGGGATTGTAAACGCACCAATCAGCACCCTGTCAAAAACGGACCAATCAGCTCTCTGTAAAATGGACCAATCGGCTCTCTGTAAAATGGACCAATCGGCTCTCTGTAAAATGGACCAATCAGCAGGATATGGGTGGGGCCAGATAAGAGAATAAAAGCAGGCTGCTGGAGCCAACAGTGGCAACCCGCTGAGATCACCTTCCACATTGTGGAAGATTTGTTGTTGTACGGTTTTCAGGTTGTACAGATCTTACTGCTGTCTCTCTTTGGGTCCACATTGCCTTTATGAGCTGTAACACTCATCTGGAAGGTCTGCGTCTTCACTCTTGAAGCCAGTGAGGCCATGAACTCACCAGGAGGAATGAATAACTCCACACGCGCCCCCTTAAGAGCTGTAACACTCACCGCGAAGGTCCGCAGCTTCAGTCCTCAGCCAGCGAAACCACAAACCCACCAGAAGGAAGAAACTCCAAACACATCCAAACAGCAGAAGGCAGCAGAAGGAACGAACTCCGCACACACTGTTTTTAAGAACTGTGACACTCACCGCGAGGGTGCACAGCTTCATTCTTTAAGTCAGTGAGACCAAGAACCCACCAATTCCGCACCCACCAGCACTTTGGGAGGTCGAGGCCAGCGGATTGTCTGAGCTGAAGAGTTCGAGATCAATCTGGGTAATACGGTGAAACCCAATCTTTACTAAAATACAAAAAATTAGCGGGGAATGGCGGCCTGCGCCTGTAATCCCACTCCGGAGGCTGAGGCGGAAGAATTGTTTGAACCTGGGCGGTGGAGGTTGCAGTGAACTGAGATTGTGCCATTGCACTCCAACGTGGGCAACAGCAAGACTGTCTCTCAACAAAATAATAATAAGAATAATCACTTTCACGTATTATCTAATTTTTAATTACCTCACTTTTGAGAAGTCAAATTTGCCTAAGCATAAAACATCTAATTGATTACATTTCTAAACACTTCTAATGCCTGAGGGGGCAGACGTGCAACTCTAAAAAAACAATATCTTCCTATGCATTAAAACAACTTGTAAAGCAAATAAACCAAATTTACCAATGTGGTAATTCATGTGCTTTTTTTTTTTTTTTTTTTTTTTTTTTTTTTTTTTTTTTTGGGGTTGGAGTAGCCTTGCTCTGTCTCCCAGGCTGGAGTGCAGTGGCACGATCTCAGCTCACTGCAACCTCCACCACCCACGTTCAAGCGATTATCCTGCTTCATCCACCCCAGTAGCTGGGACTACAGGCTTGCGCCACCATGTCCGGATGTCCGGCTAATTTTTGTAGTTTCAGTAGAGACAGGATTTCACCGTATTGGTGAGGCTGGTCTCGAACTCCTGACCTCAAATGATCCTCCCACCTCGGCGTCCCAAACTGCTGGAATTACAGGCGTGAGCCACCGCACCCCGCCCTAATTCAGGTTCTTTTAAGTTTTACAAAAATGTTATAATGTTTACAAATTTAATCAAGTTCCTTAAGCCTTTCAATGTTAAATCATACCTAGAAAATTGTGCATTTAAATTGAAAAAAACAGCTGGGTTCCAAGATTTGAGGGAGAGTAAAAACCAAAACCAAAAGAAACAGCTGGGTGTAGGCGTGGTGGCAAGTGTCTGTAGTCCCAGCTACACAGGAGGCCTAGATGAGAGGATCATTTGAGCCCAGGTAGTAGAGGCTGCAGTGAGCCATAGCCGTGCCATTGCATTCCAGCCCGGGTGACAGAGCAAGACTCTTGTCTCTTAAAAAAAATTGAAATTACAAGGCAAATCTGAAAGATTCTCTAATGTGACAGGTTGAAAGAATGTTACGTTCTCTTAAACATTAGAGACATTTAAAATATGCAATACAGACACATTATCCTGATGACTTTTAACACTAAATTATAAATACTATGGGTTTGATTACCTTATCATTTCCATATTATTTCTTTACCCTCAGGGATGTAAAGTCATCTGTCCCACTCCGAACAGTTTGACCATGTCAGGTGGACAGAGGATTTCTACATTAAAAATAAATGAAGACTGAGATTTAGGGTTAGTGATTCAAGGCTGAGATTTGGGACCAGGTTGCTGCTTTTTTTTTTTTTTTGACAGAGTCTTGCTCTGTTGCCCAGGCTGGAGTGCAATGGTGTGATCTTGGTTCACTGCAACCTCCGCCTCTTGGGTTCAAGCGATTCTCCTGCCTCAGCCTCCTGAGTAACTGGGATTATAGGCGCGCGCCACCACGGGTGGCTAATTTTTTTTTTTATTAGAGATGGGGTTTCACCATATTGGCCAGGCTGGTCTTGGACTCCTGACCTCGTGATCCGCCCACCTCAGCCTCCTAAAGCACTGGGATTAGAGGCGTGAGCCACCGCACCAGGCCCAGGTTGCTTCTTTTCTTGTAGTTGAGCCTGTCTGTTTTATCAGCAGCAGTCCCCAAGTTCACCCCTTTCAGTGGGAATTTGTTTTATAACTCACTTTGTCTAATTGTTCGCTCATGATTAGGTTCAAGTTAAGTCTTTTTGGCAAGGATACTCCATGAGTGATGATGTACGCTTCCCATTGCATCACATCAGGAGCACATTATGGCATTTGGTCTCATTACTGGTGTGCCAAGTTTGATCACTTAGTTAATGTGGTGTCTGCCAGAGCGCTCCACCTTTTCACTTTGTAATTTATCAAAGATGGGTTTTTATGTTCTCATATTTAGTCTTTTCATAGACTCTTTTGTCTAACAGAGACAATTATAAAGCACATAATTTGAGTTTGCACTCCCTGGATTCTACAACCACACAGATGGTAAGGCAACCATTTTTCCATCCAGCTCAAACTCCTGTTTCATCCGGCAAGAAAAGATACATTACTGGTTTTCTTTCTTTCTTTTTCTTTCTTTCTTTTTTTTTTTTGAGATGGAGTCTCCCTCTGTTGCCTAGGCTCGAGTGCAGTGGCGCAATCTCAGCTCATTGCAACCTCCACCTCCCGGGTCCAAGCAATTCTTCTGCCTCAGCCTCCCAAGTAGCTGGGACTACAGGCATGTGCCACCACGCCCGGCTAATTTTTGTATTTTTAGTAGAGACGGGGTTTCACCATATTGGCCAGGCTGGTCTTGAGTTCCTGACCTCGTTATCCGCCCACCTCAGCCTCCCGAAGTGCTGGGATTACAGGTGTGAGCCACCGTGCCCGGCACATTGGTGGTTTTAGTATGTTTAGTAGAGACAGGGTTTCACCATCTTGGCCAGGCTGGTTTTGAACTTTTGACCTCAAGTGATCCGCCCCCCTTGGCCTTCCAAAGTGCTGGGATTACAGGCGTGAGCCACTGTGCCTGGCCAAAACTTCTTTTTCTTTATCTTTTTTTTGAGATGGAGTCTCGCTCTGCTGCCCAGGCTGGAGTGCAGTGGCGTAATCTCAGCTCACTGCAACTTCCGCCTCCCGGGTTCAATCGATTCTTCTGCCTCAGCCTCCCCAGTAGCTGGGATTATAGGTGTGCGCCACCATGCCCAGCTAACTTTTGTATTTTTCGTAGAGACGGGGTTTCACCATGTTGGTCAGGCTGGTCTGGAACTCCTGACTTCGTGATCCTCCCACCTCCGCCTTCCAAAGTGCTGGGATTATAGGCGTGAGCCACTGCTTCTGGCCAGAGTATCACTTAGCAGGAATATTGGCCATCATTTCCGAGTCTTTCTTTTTTTTTTCTTTCTTTGTTTTTGAGGAAGAGTCTCGCTCTATCGTCCAGGCTGGAGTGCAGTGGTACGATCTCACTCAGCTCACTGCAAGCTCCGCCTCCTGGCTTCACGCCATTCTCCTGCTTCAGCCTTCCGAGTAGCTGGGACTACAGGCGCCCGCCACCATGCCCGGCTAAGTTTTGTATTTTTAGTAGAGACGGGATTTCACCATGTTAGCCAGGATGGTCTTGATCTCCTGACCTCGTGATCTGTCTGCCTCTACCTCCCAAAGTGCTGGGATTATAGACTGAGCCACCACACCTGGCCAGCCTTCTTTCTTCACACTGTTATTTTTCAATTATTGAAGACATATCTACTGTGTCAGAAGGGAGTCTTATGCACTGTACAAGGTGTTACTACCAAAAGCTGCAACCCAAGTAAAGGACCTGCTAATCTGCCTCATGGCCACCGCTTCAGACCTTGGAAAGTGACACGAGGCTCAGCGTTATCACATAACTGCAGTGTGGACCAGCAACTGCTGAGCACAAGCAGTCTATTCACCCTCCTCAGTGTCATACCTTTCTGCTGTCTTCTGATTGAGTTCTCTGCCTACACTCTCCTCCAGGTGATAGTTGTAGCCTTTACAGCAAACCAGTGGACAAGAAGCATCAGGGTCTTTGGAAATTTTGCTGTGCATTGGACCAGTAAAAGTAATTCCAGATCTGAAGACAGCTTGACTTTGGCTTATTTTTACTGATTCCTATTTGTGTTTTTCAGAAAGAGCTACTTGATCACCAGCTCTAGAAGTATCAGGAGTTACAATTATCCAATCTTATGCAAATTGGCTGGTGGGCTGCAAAGCTTGTGTACTTTTTGCAGTGGGGGTTGTACAAACAGAAAAATAAAGAATACAAGGGTCGGGCCAGGCACGGTCTCTCATGCCTGTAATCCCAGCACTTTGGGAGGTCGAGGTGAGAGGATCACTTGAAACCAGGAGTTCGAGACCAGCATGGCCAGCTTGGTGAAACCCCGTCTGTACTAAAAATACAAAAATTAGCTGGGCATGGTGGCACACGCCTGTAGTCCCAGCTACTCGGGAGGCTGAGACAGGAGAATTGCTTGAACCTGGGAGGTGGAGGTTGCAGTGAGCTGAGATTGTGCCACTGCACTCCAGCCTGGGCGACAGAGTGAGACTGTCTCAAAACAAAAAACAAGGCTCTTCTGAAGACGCTTTAATGAAAATCATTATTTCTTAGTCACCCCAAGAGCATGAATTTGATGTGGTTGGGAACTCAAGCTAAATATTGTGAAGGTGTAACTCTGTGTTGACCTCTAGCCATGCAGCTCAGTTGTTTTGCAA
This sequence comes from Homo sapiens, assembly GCF_000001405.40. Lineage (NCBI taxonomy): Eukaryota > Metazoa > Chordata > Mammalia > Primates > Hominidae > Homo > Homo sapiens. The sequence goes on from NC_000017.11 coordinate 40,381,673, forward strand.
ACTGTCCTGATTTCCCACAGATGACTTGTCCTACTGAGGACACCTATCAGTAGGTCAGAGAGCAGCTTTGTGAGCCTTCCTGCTGGTACCCAGAAGTGAGTTTGTGCCCACTAATTTTTTAGCATTTTAATTCCTCGCAACAGAAGAGACTGGCAAAACTCAACAATTCTCTGTATTTATTTATGTATTTTTGAGACAAGGTCTTGCCCTATCACCCAGGCTGATGTGCAGTGGCACGATCATGGCTCATTGCAGCTTTGACCTCATGGGTTTAAGGGATTCTCCCACCTCAGCCTCCTGAGTAGCTGGGACCACAGGTGCAAGCCACCATGCCCTATTAACTTTTTTTTTTTTTTAAGACAGGGTTTTGCTGTCTGTCACCCAGGCTGGAGTACAGTGGTGCGATCTTGGCTCACTGCAACCTCCACCTCCTGGGTTCAAATGATTCTCCTGTCTCAGCTGACCGAGTAGCTGGTATTACAGGCATGTGCCACCACACCCAGCTAATTTTTGTATTTTTAGTGGAGATGGGGTTTAACCATGTTGGCCAGGCTGGTCTCGAACTCTTGACCTCAAGTGTTCCACCTGTCTTGGCCTCCCAAAATGTTGGGATTACAGGTGTGAACTACTGCACCCAGACAAGAAAACACATACTTATTTTTATAAACTATAGGAAAGCACAAAGAAAACAAAAATCATCGAAATCTCATTCTCCAGATAAAAGCAGCTGACATTTTGCTGCGACTTGCAAAATGCCTTTGGATTCAGATAACAGTGGTTCTGAAACTTTAGCGTGCATCAGAATTAACTGGAGGGCTTGTTAAAACAGTGCTTCTGAGTCAGAAGTTTTGGAGTGGAGCCGATAATTTGAATTTCTTTCTTTCTTTCTTTTTTTTTTTTTTTTGAGACAGTTTCCCTCTTGTTTCCCAGGCTGGAGTGCATTGGCACAATCTTGGCTCACTGCAACCTCCACCTCCTAGGTTCAAGCAATTCTTCTGCCTCAGCCTCTCGAGTAGCTGGGATTACAGATGCCCGCCACCATGCCCAGCTAATTTTTTGTATTTCTAGTAGAGACAGGGTTTCACTGTTGGCTACGCTGGTCTTGAACTCCTGACCTCAGGCAATCCACCCATGTCAGCCTCCTAAGGTGCTGGGATTACAGGCATGAGCCACCACATCCAGCTGATAATTTGAATTTCTAAGAAGCTCCCAGGTGTCCCTGACACTGTTGGTCCAGGTATCATACATTGAGAAGCACTGGATATGTGCACCTTGGCTGTTCCAAGTAGGGTCTGCAACCAGAGGCATTGACATCATTTTGGGAACTTGTAATGCAGAATCTCAGGCCCCAGCTCAGACCTACTGAATCATAATCTGTAATTTAATAAGATCCCTAAAAAATTTTTAAGCACCAGGCACGGTGGCTCACGCGTGTAATCCCAGCACTTTGGGAGGCCAAGCGGGTGGATCACGAGGTCAGGAGTTCAAGACCAGCCTGGCCAAGATGGTGAAACCCTGTCTCTACTAAAAATACAAAAATTAGCCGGGTGTGGCGGTGGGCACCTGTAATCCCAGCTACTCGGGAGGCTGAGGCAGAGAATTGCTTGAACCTGGGAGGCAGAGGTTGCAGTTAGCCGAGATCGTGCCACTGTATTCCAACCTAGGTGACAGAGTGAGACTCCATCTCAAAAAAAAAAAAAAAAAAAATTTTTTTAAGCACAGGTTTGAGAAGGATTGGTTTATATTTTAAGCCTCATAGTATATAACAGTTACTCCCCCCACCATATTGAGGTAGAATTTACACATAGTGCACCATTTTATAATGTATAATTTGATGAGTTTTGACAAAATGATACTAAATAGTTTTGTACCCTTTTGTCTCTCTACCCAACATAATGAGGACTTTCCTGTAGTATTAGATGTTTTGGAAAAACATGACTTCTAATGGCTGTACAATACATTGTAGGTAAGGATGTTCCAGTTTAACCAATTCTTCTTTTATTTATTTATTTATTTATTTTTGAGACAGAGTCTCTTGCTGTTGCCCAGTCTGGACTATAGTGGCGCAGTCTTGGCTCACTGCAACCTGCACTTCCTGGGTTCAAGCGAGTCTTGTGTCTCAGCCTCCCAAGTAGCTGAGACTACAGGTGTGCACCACCACACTCAGGTAATTTTTGTATTTTCAGTAGAGACAGGGTTTCGACATGTTGCCCAGGCTGGTCTCCTGAGCTCAGGCAATCTGCCTGCCTAGGCCTCCCAAAGTGCTGGGATTACAGGCGTGAGCCACTGTACCTGGCCCAGTTTAACCAATTCTTCTATTGTGAGACATCTATGTTGTTCCCAATTTCTCACCAGTGTAAATAATGCTTCAATGAATGCTTTTGGACTTAAATGTTTTCGTTTGGACTTTAACATATTTTTCCACAGCTAAATTACTGAGGAAAGGGTACGGGACAGGCAAGAACAGGTATCCATTACTCAAGAATGAAAAGTTAATGAATTAAATTTTTCTGTTTGGGTTTCAGGAAAAATGGCTAGAAATCATTAAAAAAAAAATCCATTGCAGCAGAAACAGTGGGATGCACTGTATCTTAAAAACAAAAAGGGCCAGGCTGGGCACAGTGGCTCACGCCTGTAATCCCAGCACTTTGGGAGGCTGAGATGGGTGGATCACCTGAGGTCAGGAACTCAAGACCAGCCCGGCCAAACTGGTAAAACTCTGCCTTTACTAAAAATACAAAAATTAGCTGGGTGTGGTGGCGTGCGCTTGTAATCCCAGGTACTCGGGAGGCTGAGGCAGGAGAATCGCTTGAACCTGGGAGGCGGAGGTTGCAGTGAGCCGAAGCTGTGCCATTCCACTCCAGCCTGGGCGACAGAACGAGACTCAATCTTAAAAAAAAAAAAAAAAGAAAAAAGCCGGGAGTGGTGGCAGGTGCCTGCAATCCTAGGTACTTGGGAGGCTGAGGCAGGAGAATTGCTTGAGCCCAGGAGGCGGAGGTTGCAGTGAGCTGAAATGGTGCCACTGCACTCCAGCCTGGGCAGCAGAGCAAGACTCTGTCTCATGGAAAAAATAAAATAAAAAAAAAAAGACTCAGTAAACTTACTGTTGAATCCTTTACCAATTAATGCAACTTTTGAGTCTTTTCTCAATAGCCATTCTTTTGTAATTCATAACTTATATGTATTTAAGGAATGTTTCATACACATAGGAAATAACCACATTCTATAAAGGGTCTAAATACATAAAACTATCACGTTTATTAGCAAATCTTTATATCCTTTAATGTGTCAGTAGCTTAAGAAATAATGAAGGCCGAAGGCCAGGCGCAGTGGCTCACGCCTGTAATCCCAGCACTTTGGGAGGCCGAGGCGGGTGGATCACGAGGTCAGGAGATCGAGACCATCATGGCTAACATGGTGAAACCCTGTCTCTACTAAAAATATAAAAAATTAGCCAGGCGTGGTGGCAGGCGGCTGTAGTCCCAGCTACTTGGGAGGCTGAGGCAGGAGAATCGCTTGAACCTGGGAGGCGGAGGTTGCAGTGAGCTGAGATTGTGCCACTGCACTCCAGCCTGGGCGGCAGAGTCAGATTCCATTTCAAAAAAAAAATAAATAAATAAAAGAAAAAAAAAAGAAATAATGAATAGGCCTGGCATGGTGGCTCACGCCTGTAATCGCAGCTCTTTGGGAGGTTGAGGCAGGTGGATCACTTGAGCCCAGGAGTTCCAGAACAGCCGGGGCAACATAGTGAGACCCTGCCTCTACAAAAAATACAAAAATTAGCCAGGTGTGGTGGTGTGTACCTGTGGTCCCAGCTATTTGGGAGGCTGAGGCAGGAGGATCGCTTGAGCCCAGGAGGCAGAGGTTGCAGTGGGCCGAGATTGAGCCACTGCACTCCAGCCTGGATGGTAGAGTGAAACCTTGTCTCAAAAAAAGAAAAAAAGAAAAAAAAGAGTCAAGGAAACATTATCCGCTTTCAGTTAGCAAGGTCTTTACTCATCAGGAAATGTAAAACTTCTACTTTCAAAAGAGAACTATTGGCCGGGCGCGGTGGCTCAGGCCTGTAATCCCAGCACTTTGGGACGCGGAGGCAGGCGGATTGCCTGAGCTCAGACCAGCCTGGGCAACATGGTGAAACCCCATCTCTACTAAAAATACAAAAAATTTAAGCTGGGCGTGGTGGCTCATGCCTGTAATCCCAGCACTTTGGGTGTCTGAAGTGGGACGATCACTTGAGGTCAGGAATTCGAGACCAGCCTGGACAACATGGTGAAACTCCATCTCTACTAAAAATACAAAAATTAACTGTAATTTTTGTATTCCCTGTGATCCCAGCCACTTGGGAGGCTGAGGCATGAGAATCACTTGAACCAGGCAGGCGGAGGTTATAGTGAGCCGAGATCGTGCCACTGCACTCCAGCCTGGGTGATAGAGCAAGACAAGACTTTATCCCCCAAAAAACAAAAAAACCCAGAAAATCCCACAAATAAAAACACAAAGAATTAGCCAGGCATGGCAGTAGGCGCCTGTAGTCCCAGCTACTTGGGAGGCTGAGGCATGAGAATTGCTTGACCTTGGGAGGCAGAAAGCAGAGAATTGCAGTGAGCTGAGATCGTACCACTGCACTCCAGCCTGGGTGCCAAAATGAGATTCTATCTCCAAAAAAAAAAAAAAGGAAAAATATTTGATTCTTTTACTTTCTAAAAAGAGTTTACATACTTTCCTCCCACTATTTATTTTGTAAACAACTGGCATATTTACCAGATGGGGATTTCATCTTTGATTTGTAATCTGCTTTTTTCCACTTGGCAATGTCGTGAACATCTATCTTTTCATGTCAATAAATGTCAATAAATAAACAGTATAGATGATCATTCATTTTTTTTTTTTTTTGAGACAGTCTTGCTCTGTTGCCCAGGCTGGAGTGCAGTGCCATCATGGCTCACTGCAGCCCCCTGGGCTCAAGCAATACTCCTGCCTCAGCCTTCCAAGTAGCTGGGACCACAGGCATGCACCACCATGTCCAGCTGATTTTTACCTTTTTTTTTGTAGAGATGGGGGTCTCACTACGTTGCCCAGGCTGGTCTCAAACTCCTGGGCTCAAGCAATCTTCCCACTTCAGCCTCCCAAAGTGCTGGGAATACATGTATGAACCACTGTGCCTGGTCTACCTGATCATTTTTTTTTTCTTGATGGAATTTCACTCATGTTACCCAGGATGGAGTGCAATAGCACGATCTTGGCTCACTGCAACCTCCACCTCCTGGGTTCAAGCGATTCTCCTGCCTCAGCCTCCTGAGTAGTTGGGATTACAGGTGCACGCCACCACACCTGGCTAATTTTTGTATTTTTAGTAGAGACGGGGTTTCACCATGTTGGTCAGGCTGGTCTCGAACTCCTGACCTCGTGGTCTGCTTGCCTTGGGCTCCCAAAGTGCTGGGATTACAGGCGTGAGCCACTGCGCCTGGCCTACATGATCATTCCTAATAGGCACCTGGTATTCCATATTTACCATTTTAACCTTTTGGACATTTAGGTTATTTTCCATTTTATTATTACAGCAACTTCAATAAGCATCTTTGCATGTGGCTTTGTTTTGATATAGTTGTACATTCACATAGTTTTAAGAAATGGATCAGGCCGGGCATGGTGGCTCACGCCTGTAATCCCAGCACTTTGGGAGGCTGAGGTGGGCGGATCACAAGGTCAGGAGTTTGAGACCAGCCGGGCCAACATGGTGAAACCCTGTCTCTACTAAAAATACAAAAATTAGCTGGGCGTGGTGGCATGCACCTATAATGCCAGCTACTCGGGAGGCTGAGGCAGGAGAATCGTTTGTACCCGGGAGGCAGAAGTTGCAATGAGTCAAGATGGCCCCAGTGCACTCCAGCCTGGGCGACAGAGCAAGACTCTGTCCCAGAAAAAAAAAAAAAGAAATGGATCAGAAACAAGGACTCTTTCTGAAAGGAAAAAAAAAAGAATGGAGATCCATCGTATACTTTGCCCATTTCCCAATTTTGCAAAATTATATAGTAACCAGAATACTTACATTGAAGCAACCCATTGATCTTACTCAGATTTACTTATACTCATATTTGTGTGTGTTTACATAGTTTTTTGCATGTCTGATTCTTCTGTCAAACGAAATTCCTTTTTTTTTTTTTTTTTGAGACAGGGACTTGCTCAGGCTGGAATGCAGTGGCACAATCTCTGGTCACTGTAACCTCTGCTTCCTGGGCTCAAGCAATCTTCCCTCCTTGGCCTCCCAAACTGCTGGGATTACAGGTGTGAGCCACCATGCCTGGCCCAGATTTCTTTGAAAGGGCTAATTCCTCCATATCTTTGTCAACACTACTTTTGGGTTTTGTTCAGTTTATCCCTCTGTAACTCAAGATTACTTTTTTTATAGTTACTTTTTAAATAGTTTTTGACATTTAAATATTTCATCTATTTGAACTTAATTTTGGTGTAAGGTGTGAAAGAGATTTATCTGATTTTTTTTCTAAATGGATTAGCCAGTTGCCTCAATATATCTTACTGATACCATCAAGTAGTTGACTAGGTTATCAAAATAGTTGTTAAAGGAAGGTATCATTAAAAAAAAAAGATACATGCATATTTACTGATCAAGTGTGGTGGAGATGAAGAACTTAGTCCTCATGTATAAAATCTCAATAAAGAGTCTTTGGCCTTAATTAGGTCTTAATGCCTATCTCTTGGACTTATCACCTTAGCCAGAGGCTGTAAGGTCTGTCACAATATGATTGGAATGCTTCTGAAAGGGAAGTGAAGACTATATTTTAGAATAAGGAAAAGGGTGTAGTGTGTGTTTTAAAAGAGGCATTCTATGGGTTGCAATGTTTAGAACATTTTATTAAAGTACAAAATTGTTGGAATTTAGCTAATAGAAAAACATAGTAAATATTTACAAAAACGTTGATAACATTACTCAAGTCACACACATATAACAATGTAGACAGGTCTTAACAAAGTTTACAAATTGAAATTATGGAGATTTCCCAAAATGAATCTAATAGCTCATTGCTGAGCATGGTTATCAATATAACATTTAAGATCTTGGATCAAATGTTGTCCCCGAGTCTTCTGCAATCCAGTCCTCTTAGAAATTGGTTTCTCTCTTTGGGAGATTCAGACTCAGAGGCAGCCAGAGGGGACAGGTCAAGAGCTGAAATAATCACATAACTACTCTAATTTTCTTCATTCTATTGACTGTGTCAAGTTATAGACACAGCCAAAGTGTTTTTCTTCGGCCTCTGATGATTTGAGAAGATGAAGAACATGAGCAATTTCTCATTGCTTAAAGAAAAACTTGGCACATAAGAGGCTGAGTGTAGTAGAGTATCTGTACTAGAACCATAAAGTTCTATCTGATGGTAAATTATGTATAAAACTAAGATAAAACAGATAATTATGCTCTATCTCATATCTACTGAAAGTAGAAAAGGAGGAAGAGTGACACTTTTAAATCAAACTGCTCTAGTTTTAGCTTAGTGGATGGTTAATAAACACACTGCTTTACGCTGAAGTGATCAGATAGCTATTTCTACAGTTCAGAAGAACTTAAAAATCAGGTTTTAAAGACAAAAGAAAGCAGACTCAAAACACAGACAAAGCAGAGAAGAAAACAATGCCCATGAGATGGTCACTATTTAGACAGTATTATAAAAAGCTAAAGAACACTTGGGCTTTACTTCACTTTGATGTCTTGTACTAAAAACACCTTCCCCAAACTAAATTCAGAGGGGAGGAAGTTAAGAGCTTCAGGTAACTTTAAAACCAGTCTTGGGCTTGGTAAGATAATTACTTAAAATAATCGCCTCACATTTTAAAACAGATCATCTTCATCTGACTCTTCCAGGTACTTTATAGGTTTCTTTGCCCGTACAGATTTTGCCCGAGGAGCCACAGCTGAGTCAAAGTCCATATGGAAGTCATCACTCTCCCCCTTGGATTTCTAAAAGAGAAAAGCCCAGGTAACTTGCACATTGTAAATCTGACAACATAATTGTAATGTAAAAAAATGTATCAAGACACTATATTCAAGGAGTTTTCTATTTTCTACCAAGTAATAAGAAGCAGATCTAAGGCCAACTCTTCCATTGCCCAAATAAGTGGCATATTTAACTTTGTTAAAACTAAATATGTACAGTAAAAGCTAACAGAATATGAGAGTTAATTTTCTTAAAGATATGCCAAATTTTTAAGAGCAATGGCTTAGTTACGTGTTTCAGAACATCTACAGCAAAAGGACTGACTAGGATCAACACTCACCTTGCTTGTGACTGCTTTCGAAACAATTTTCTCAAAATTAGAGTCAGAATCATCAGAAGTGGATGGCTTCCTTTTGCGGCGATTCTTGGTTTTGGCAGGATCAGGCTTTTGAGAGACACCAGAATTCAAAGCTGGATCCCTTTTAGTTCCTTTTGGGGCAGCCCTTTTTTTGGCACCGGTAGTGGAGGTGGAAGACTGACCTGCAATTCAATACAGGCATTTGTCACAGCTGCTCTTTTTTTGAGATGGGGTCTCACTCTATCGTCCAGGCTGGAGTGCAGTGGTGTTATCTCGGCTCACTGCAACCTCTGCCTCCTGGGTTCAAGCGATTCTCCTGCCTCAGCCTCCTGAGTAGCTGGGATTACAGGCGTGTGCCACCACACCCGGCTAATTTTTTGTATTTTTAGTAGAGATGGGATTCCACCATGTTGGTCAAGCTGGTCTCAAACTCCTGACCTCAGGTGATCCACTCGCCTCGGCCTCCCAAAGTGCTGGGATTACAGGCATGAGCAACCGCGCCTGACCTAGTCACAGCCACTCTTAGATGAATTGTTCTCATTGCGAACTTTCTTCAGCAATGTGATGACTGTATATTTAACATAGGAAAAGACAATCTAAGAGAGGTGAAAACAGAGAATCAAAGTATTCTTAAACATTCTATTTTTTTTTTTTTTTTTTTGAGACAGCATCTTGCTCTATCTCGCCCAGGCTGGAGTGCAGTGGCACGATCTCGGCTCACTGTAGCCTCTGCCTCCTGGGTTCAAGTGATTCTCCTGTTTCAGCCTCCCGAGTAGCTGACTACAGGCATGTGCCACCACACCTGGCTAATTTTGTGTTTTTAGTAGAGATGAGGTTTCACTATGTTGGCCAGGCTAGTCTCGAACTCCTGACCTCAGGTGATCCACCCACCTTGGCCTCCCAAAGTGCTGGGATTACAGGCATGAGCCACTGCACCCAGCCTTAAACTTAATTCAATTTCAAGAATACGTTTTACGTTAAACATTGCAATTGCTTATAAATCCTATCCTTGTCACAGAAATGAACTAGATGAAGCCTGGTACTGAGAGAAACTCACTGATTTTAAACATTTGGACTACCTTATTTTTGGAGACAGGGTCTTGCTCTCTCACTCAGGCTGGAGTGCAGTGGCTTGATCATATAGCTCACTGCAGCCTTGAACTCCTGGCCTCAAGCAATCCTCTTGTTTTAGCCTCCCAAAGTGCTGGGATTACAGGCATGAGCCACTCTGCCTGGCTTTTGTTTTGTTTTTTGACTAGTCAAGTGCAGTAGTGAGAAGGAGGGAAAAGAGTAGAACAAGGAGTTTGATCTGTAACTGAACAATCAATAGAGATAACTTACTGTTTTGGAACAGCCTTGACTACTAATTTTGATTATAAAGATCGAAAAGAAATTGCTTCCAATTGGAAAACATTTAATCTGTAATATCAATAGTAAGTTTTGGCAATAAAAAAATTGAAATAGACACGTGGAAACCAGTTAGGTAATTGCAACATTAACCCATCTCAAAGATTTAGGCTTACTTTTTGCTGCTGTCTTCTTCACTGTCACATTCTTTTTAGGAACTGGGTTTGTAATTTCAGTTTCATCTGGGAAATGTGTAGCAGGAGGGCTTGAAGACAGTGGTACACTGCCCTTAACATCATCAGCTTCAAGGTCTATTATTTCAAATGGAAAGGAAAATAGTACATTTAAGCAACACATGAAAATCCATTTTCTGCTTTGTCCCTGGTATGAATTCCTATTTAAACACCAAATATGTGACTTTTCTGGAATATTTAAAACATACTCTTAAAACTTTGTTCTAATTTCTGAATTTTTTATCAGCAAGAACAGTTTTTATTTTTTGTATCTCTAGCACCTAGCAAAGTACCTGGCAAGCACTATGATTACTTTTAGTATACTGAATGCAGTACCTATTTACATGTGAAACTAAACCCAGTGAACAGTATCAACATAATGTTAATAAGAACTCAAATTTATTTCCAAAGGAAGTACTTGGATAATGTAGCCAGGATTAGAACCCAGTTGGATCTGAGTGTCCCAGTAAGGCAGATGTCTCACTACTTTTACTTAAATACATACCTGACACGACACTTTTCTGTGGTTTCAGTTCTTTGTTACTAAGTCTAGAATTAAAAAAAAAAATCCTGACAACCAATTCTAAATGTGTCAAGCAAAAAACAATATATTAGAAACAATCATGACAAAACCCATATTAGATAAGATACTTGCTTTGGGGAAGTTTTGGTCTTAGGTGGACTAGCATCTGATGGGACAAAATCTTCATCATCAGTTTTTTCATCAAAATCTGAGAAATCTTCATCTGAATCCAAATCCATTGTGAATTTTGTTTTTGCTAGTAAAAAAACCATATACAAAAAAATCAAAGAGGGTAGTAGGAGAAACAATTCATAGGTTGACATAACATTTCATGAATATTTTAGTTTTTAAATCTCCTGAAAGATGCTTCAGTGTTTCAAAGCTTTAACATAATTTACTGCTCTATTAAGACACAGTAATTTCTGGGGCAAAGTACCCTGAAGTATATTGGCCATTCCACTCTTACAGTTTATCTATAATGTTCTTTAGTTTTCCTTACTTGCTGCTCTCCGTGGCTCTGTTTCTCGTGGAGGGACATCAAAATTACTTTCGTCACTGCTCCTATCTGATTCTGAATCAGACCAGGGATTTCTCTTCTTTCCTTTTTTGATTGGCTTAAATGCCAATGTAGTTTGTTTCTTTGTCTTTGTACCTAGAGGGGAGATAGAAATTAATCACCTTTATATATTAGACCCACTTTTCTCCATCTATCATCCATCCATCCTTCAAATTTATTAACTCCTGTGATAGTTCTGAGAATACAATCGTGAAAAGAGACAGATATGGTCTCTGTTTTTGTGGTGCATATAGCTTGGTCACTTAATCTCATAAATAAATGTGGCCGGGCACAGTGGCTCATGCCTGTAATCCCAGCACTTAGGGAGGCTGGGGCGGGAGGATTACTTGAGCCCAGGGGTTTGAGATCAGCTGGGGTAAGATATAAGACCCTGTCTTGGCTGGGTGCGGTGGCTCACACCTGTAATCTCAGCACTTTGGGAGGGTGAGGTAGGCGGATCGCTTGAGCTCAGGAGCTAAAGACCAGCCTGGTCAACATGGCAAAACCCCATCTCTACAAAAAATACAGAAATTAATGGGCATGGTGGAGTGCGCCTGTGGTTCCAGCCACTAGGGAGGCGGAGGCAGAGGCAGGAGGATTGTTTGAGCCTGGGAGGTCGAGGCTGCAGTGGGCTGTGATCATGCCACTGTACTCCAGCCTGGGAGACAGAGTGAAATCTTGTCTCAAAAAAAGAAAAAAAAAGAAAAAAGGACTGTCTCTACAAAATACAAAAAACTTTTAGAAATTAGCTAGTCATGGTGGCGAGTGCCTATAGTCCCAGCTACTTGGGAGGCTGAGATAGAAGGATTGCTTGAGCCAGGATTTCAAGACCAGCCTGGGCAAGAGTGAAACCCTGTCTCAAAAAAAGTAGATACTCAAGGACATATATAGCTCAATCAGTGGAACAGAATTGAGACTCCATACATAAACCTTAACATTTATAGTCAATTGATTTTTGACAAGGGTGAAGACAAACATTGTAGAAAGAAGTCTTTTTAACATATGATACTGAAATAATTGGATATCTACCTGCAAAGAATCAGGTTGGACACCTTCCTTACACCATATACAAAAACTAATTCAAAGTGGATCACAGACCTAAATGTAAGAGCTAAAACTATAAAATGCTTAGAAGAAAACACAGAGGTTTACCTTCACGGGCTTAGCAAAATGGGAGGCCGAGGTGGGCAGATCGCTTGAGGTCAGGAGTTTGAGACCATCCTGGCCAACATGGTGAAACCCTGTTTCTACTAAAAATACAAAAATTATTTGGGCATGGTGGTGCGTGCCTGTAATCCCAGCTCCTCGGGAGGCTGAGGCAGGAGAATTGCCTGAACCTAGCAGGCGGAGGTTGCAGTGAGCCGAGATCTCACTACTACTGCATACTGCATGCCAGCCTGGGCGACAGAGCGAAACTCTGCCTCAAAAAAAAAAAAAAAAAAAGAATGAAGTACTAATATATGGGCTGCCACATGGGTTACCCTTGAAAATGTGTTAAGTAAAGAAGTCAGCTCCAAAAGACCACATATTATATGATTTAATTTATAGGAAATGCCCCTAGATTTTTTAGTGGTCACCCAGTGGAGAGGAGTTGGTGGCAAATGGCAAATGATTGTTAATGAGTTCAGTTTTCTTGGGGGGCAATAAATTGTATTAAAACTGTTTGTCTATACTAAAACCACTGAATGGCATACTTTATTTTTATTTTTGAGTTGGAGTCTTGCTCTGTCACCCAGGCTGGAGTGCAATGGCACAGTCTTGGCTCTCTGCAACCTCTGCCTCCTGGGTTCAAGCGACACTCGTGCCTCAGCCTCTCGAGTAGCTGGGACTACAGGCACGCACCACCACACTCAACTAATTTTTGTATTTTTAGTAGAGATGGGGTTTCACCATGTTGGCCAGGGTGGTCTTGAACTCCTGACCTCAAGTGATCCGCCAGCCTCAGCCTCCCAAAGTGCTGGGATTACAGGCATAAGCCATGGCGCCCAGCCAAATGGTATACGTTAAATGGGCAAATTTGGCATGTGAATATCTCAATAAAGATGTTTCAAAAAAAGTAGACAGTAAAGGCATTATCAAATGATTAACAGAATTATTAATTCTATTTAGTTCATTGAGTGGACATTATTTATATCCGAAGCATGATGTTGAACTCTAGAGATACTACAAACATTACTAATATGTAGTCACTTTTCTTAAGAAACTTTGTATACTAGAACCTCGTAAGTGGCTAGAAAATGAAATCTAATAAACTGGGTATTTTCTTAGATCCCAATTAAGGAATTCAAATTAACAAACTACTTCATTACAAAATATTTTCTATAATGAATCAAATCCCAAGGACGATATTAAAGAGGTCCAGGCCAGGGGCAGTGGCTCACGCCTGTAATCCCAGCACTTTGGGAGGCCAAGGCGGGCAAATCACAAGGTCAGGAGTTTGAGACCAGCCTGACTAACATGGTGAAACCCCGTCTCTACTAAAAATACAAAAAGCAGCCAGGCGTGGTGGCATGCACCTATAATCCCAGCTACTCAGGAAGCTGAGGCAGGAGAATCGCTTGAACCCAGGAGGTGAAGATTGCAGTGAGCCGAGATTGTGCTATTGCACTCCAGCCTGGGCAACAAGAGTGAAACTGTCTCAAAAAAAAAAAAAAAAAAAAAAAGAGGTCCAAGTAGAATTGAGATACAGTCCTCTTTCACGTTTCTCAATTCAACAAAAAGGTTTTGAACATCTATGTGGAATGTACTAGGTAACAAACACAATTTAATCTTCACTTTATACCATTTTTCTAAAAATGTTGTAATACCTGGTTCTCTTTTCTGTTTCTTTTCTAATCTTTGTTTTAGGCCTTCTAGTTCCACACCATCTTCTTGAGGGCTTCCTTCAGTATTTTCATTCTAAAAGATAGCAAAGTTAGGGTTGGATATAGAATAAATTCTGAACTATGGGATTAGAGATTTTATACATTTTTGGCTGGGAGCGGTGGCTCACGCCTGTAATCCCAGCACTTTGGGAGGCCGTGGTGGGCAGATCTCTTGAGGTCAGGAGTTCGAGACCAGCCTGGCCAAGATGGTGAAACCCCATCTCTACTAAAAATACAAAAATTAGCTGGGTGTGGTGATGTGCCCCCAACTACTTGGGAGGCTGAGGCACGAGAATCGCTTGAATACGGGAGGCGGAGGTTGCTGTGAGCTGAGATCCTGCCATTGCACTCCAGCCTGGGTAACACAGCGAGACTCCATCTCAACAACAACAACAAAAAAATTTTATACATTTTTTTTTCAATTTTAAGTGGACATATGCATCAATATTTTATGCATAATATTTTTAAGAGTATTACCTCTTTTTTTTTTTTGAGATGGAGTTTTGCTCTGTTGGCCAGGCTGGAGTGCAGTGGTGTGACCTTGGCTCACTGCAACCTCTGCCTCCCGGGTTCAAGCGATTCTTCTGCCTCAGTCTCCCGAGTAGCTGGGATTACAGGCGCCTGCCACCATGCCCGCCTAATTTTTTTAATTTTTAGTAGAGACAGGGTTTCAACCATGTTGGGAGGCTGGTCTTGAACCACTGACCTCAAGTGATCCACCCACCTTGGCCCCCAAAGTGCTGGGATTATAGGTGTGAGCCACCACAAGAGTATTACCTTAATTTTCTTTTTATTTTTCTTTTCTGCCTCTGCTTTCATTTCTATGGTTATTCGTGGAATGACTCTTTGACCACGCGGAGAAGGCAAAACTTCAGCCATTTGTGTTTTTTTCCCCTTGGCCTTCCCCCCTTTCCCAGGAAGTCCGACTTGTTCATCTTGTTTTTCCTTGGCTTCAACAGCCTACAGAAGGGATATAAGAAAGCAAGTTTAAATGTTAACAAAAACATTACAATATCTAAACACCCAACAGTTAAACTGATTTCATTTTGTTACATCTTAAAAACTAGTGATAAATTGCTCCATAACCTAGTATACTATCAACAATAGTGAAGATGTAATTAAAACACACCTTGAAAAGGAAGGTGTGGAGACAGAAGGACTGGGTTTTATTCCTGATTCTACCACTTAACCTTTTTGAGGAAAACAAGGGAGAAACTAAAAATAAAACATGTATATACATATATATTTGTAAACTCACATACAAAATATGAAAGGAAGTGATGCACACTTATCCAACCAACTGATTACAATGAGCTAGGCATCTATACTGAAGTGCAGTAATACAAATTTGCATGTTAAATTTAAGAAATAAAGCTTTTGGTGGTTTTTTTTTTGTTTTTTTTTTTTTAAGAGACACGCAGGCTGAGTACAATGGTACATGATCATAGTTCACTGCAGCCTTGAACTCCTGGTCTCAAGTGATCCTCCCACCTTGGCCTCCGGAGTAGCTGAGACTATAGGCCCACACCACCATGCCTGGCTATTTAAAAAAAACATTTTGTAGAGATGAGGTCTTGCTACGTTACCCAAGCTGGTTTTGAACTCCTAATCTCAAGTGATCCTCCTGCCTCAGCCTCCCAAAGCACATTGGGATTACAGGTGTGAGCCACAGTGCTGGCCTTTTTTCTTATGTTAAAATAATGTTGAGAAACAAATGTTATTAGGAAGATTTAAGTAACAAATAACCTTCTGAAACCATCTGGATAGCCCTGCTTTCTCCTTTTTTTTTTTTTTTTTTTAGATGGAGTCTTGCTCTGTCACCCAGGCTGGAGTACAGTGGCGCAATCTCGGCTCACTGCAACTTCTGCCTTCTGGGTTCAAGCAATTTTCTTGCCTCAACCTCCTGAGTAGCTGGGATTACAGGCGGATGCCACCACACCCAACTAATTTTTGTATTTTTAGTAGAGACAGGGTTTCACCATGTTGTCCAGGCTGGTCTCGAACTCCTGACCTCAAGTGATCTGCCCACCTCAGCCTCCCAGAGTGCTGGGATTACAGGCATGAGCCACCATGCCCTGTGGCTTTGTCCTTTTAAGTTGACTTGGGGGACTGGGTTGGTGGTCTTCTTCCACATTTAGGCTCTTTTTATCTTCTCAGTCCTAATATGTTCTTCCCTTTATCAAAAATCAACTCCTGCTCTTTTCTTTTTTTGTCCAGAAATGTCTGAATGTCTGGGCAGTCTCCTGGTATCATTTACTGTATTCTAAATAGTATTTTTTTTTTTTTTTTTGAGACGGAGTTCCACTCTTGTTGCCCAGGCTGGAGTGCAATGGTGTGATCTTAGCTCACAGCAACATCTGCCTCCCGAGTTCAAGTGATTCTCCTGCCTCAGCCTCCCAAGTAGCTGGGATTACAGGCATGTGCCACTACGCCTGGCTAATTTTGCAATTTTAGTAGAGACAGGGTTTCTCCATGTTGGTCAGGCTGGTCTCGAACTCCCAACCTCAGGTGATCTGCCTGCTTCGGCCTCCCAAAGTGCTGGGATTGTAGGTGTGAGCCACCGCACCCGGCCTTGTATTCTAAGTAGTATTTAATAATCTGTCCCTTTTTTTTTTTTTTTTTTTTTGAGACGGAGTCTTGCTGTGTTGCCTAGGCTGGAGTGCAGTGGTGTGATCTCGGTTCACTGCAACCTCTGCCTCTCGGTTCAAGCAATTCTCCTGCCTCAGCCTCCTGAGTAACTGGTATGCACCATCATGCCTGGCTAATTTTTGTGTTTTTAGTAGAAATGGGGTTTTACCATGTTGGCCAGGCTGGTCTTGAACCCCTGACCTCAAGTGATCCACCCAACTCAGCCTTCCAAAATGCTGGGATTACCAGCGTGAGCCACTGCACCTGGCCAATAATCTGTTCTTTTATACGCTATTTGGAATTTATCCTTATGCCTCTTATTTTCTTTTTATTGCCAATTGTGAACTATCTTGACAAAGGTATACTGCTGGAATATATTATTTCATTAATAAAAATTCTAACATGGGCATTATAAACTACATACCTCCAATTCTTCAATAAATGTAGCCAAGTCTTCTTTCCACAAATCTGATGGACTCTTTCTTTTTAATGTGTCCAGCTCTTGTTCCTTCATAAGATAATTACAAAATTGAGTTAATATATGTATACAAGCAGCATTTTCATGCAACACACAATTTTACTTTTACCATTAGAATAGAACAAAACTAAGCAGCATGTACCATCCTACTATCAACTCACTTTTTCATTTCTTAGCCTGCAGAGTTCATCTTTCTTTTCCTTGGTTAAATACCAAAGGGGCATATCAAGAAGATAGTTGAAGGTTGGTCCAGAATCTGTTACGGAGTCACTCTTTTCAGTTTCCTTTTCGTTGTCACTCTCTTCATTTTCTTCTTCATCTGGAACCTAAAGGATTAATTAAAATCTAGCTTTATTAGAAAATGTGAAACATAAACATTGTACAATACATAGTCTTTAACAATATAGAAAAGTGCCACCCAAGATTACCTTTTGCTGGGCTTCTTTCCAGGCCTTCACAGGATCCGAATCATATCCCCTCTGAATCAGAACTTTAATTAATTCTTTCTTAGGCTTATTTTCTATTTTTAAAAAAGTAAACAGAGATAATGATTTTGAGTAATATTTTAGGAAGGGGATAAGGTTTTACACAAGTCAAAAGTTTAAAACTGGAAATTAAACTGTCTTCGTGCTTGCATAAATTTGTATATCCCGGTATACAGGCAAGTCTCCCTAAACCATTGACAAATGTAAATTACCACAAGGGGGCAGTCAAATCATATATGATCAAATCATTTTTTTTTGGAGACAGGGTCTCTCTCACTCTTGTGTCCAGGCTGGAGTGCAGTGGCACTACCTAGGCTCACTGCAGCCTTGACCTCCCCAGCTCAAGTGCTGAGATTACAGGCATGCGCCACCACACCCAGAGAGTAGAAGCCATTCGTAATCTTCCTGCCTTTTTTTTTTTTTACCATCAGATTTATTATCTCTTCTCTGTCTCTTTTATTTTCTGTTCCTGTAGACATGATTAGTGTATCTATTCTCTTGGTCAATCAGTTTATGCAAGGTCTTCTAGCTCTCTATTCTCCTCATGTCTAATTGTCAACTAAATCTTGATTTCTCAAGATGCTCAGTCAAGGAAACATCATCTCTTTCAAACTATAAATACCTAATCAGATATTTTAAAGAAATGCGTGTATAAGTGACCAGGTGAATTAAATGGATTTTGCCTCTTTCTCCACCATTACTCTCACCAAAAATGTTTAAAGAAAGTTTGGCGTAACTAGAGTTTTAGTAAGCAGTTATTATTCCCAAAACATACCAATGATTATTTTGCCATCTATTTTCTCTAAGATAAAGCGAGCCTGATTATTCAGTTTAGCAGATTCAGCACCAAGCATTCCTAGGAGCCATTCTTTTCTTAATCCATAATATTTAAGTCTGAGTTCAAAAAAGTCTCTTAGAATATCCAACACCGTGTCATATTTCTTTAAACAGCCTACGTGGTCAAAAAGCACCTGAAAAAGGAAAACAAGATTAGAGCCAAGAATAGACAAATTGGCTAAACTTTATAAAGGTAGACTAAGATATACTTTTAAAATTGATATTAATCTTTAATATAAATTGAAACGTGTACATCTCACAAAACAAATACATACCATAGAGTTGCATGTGAGACTAGTTTGGAGTTTGAAGACTTTGTGTAGTCCAACTCTCTCTGCCTCTGCCAGTTTTTCTTCAGTCATCTTCACAACAAATTTCACAGTGGTATCTGTATGGTATTCCCTATAGTCTGTTATGAGAGGAGGTGTCTTCTCGGTGCCATTCAACATGGGTTCTAGAACTTGTTCTTTGTATGTCTAAAGAAAGAAATAATCCTGAAGTTTCTAAAATATAGGCTTCTGAATAGTCAACAGCAATAGTACAAAAGGTATTTCTTTTGATCACAAACCTAAAAAAGAAATCCATAATTATTTACCTGGGTCCATGTTCTGACGGGAAGCTCTGAGATTTCAATGGTTGTAGAATTAAGAATAGCTACTTCACCACTAATCACATATTGATTTGGAGCCAGTTCTTCAATAGTACCCTTGAAGTTCTTGTAACTTGGAAGCTAAATTGGCATTTAAAAAAACAGTATGTTTTCTAAATGTGATACTAGACGGAAATCACAACAGCGTTTAACAATAAATCTAAAGTATGAAATTAAATTTTATGTTTGCATCATCTTTAATCATACAATCTATTCAACTGAAACCCAAGGAAAAGTTAAGGCTCTTAACACACACAGAATACTTACCATTGGCAAAGGTTCTTCTCCATCCATCAAACGCCTGATGTTATTTACAATTTCACGCACATCAAAGTTGGGGATTTTGCAGGACCACCCAGTACCGATTCCTTCAGCACCATTTATCAGCACCATGGGAATAATAGGAATGTACCATTCAGGCTCAACACGCTGGTTGTCATCATATAAAAACTTCAACGTGTGATCATCTTTTGGTGGAAATAACAATCGAGCCAAAGAGCTAAAGAAAAGAAACAAAGAATGTTATTTTACAAAAATACTGAATTTCACACTTAACTTTTATGGAAAGGACATGTATTATACATGAAAATTATCTTGGTTTTACTTGCTGACTAATATACATTTAACAATATTTATTGAGCACTTGCTATGTGTCACGCACATGGACATAAAGTCTCAATCCTCAAGGAGCTCACAGTCCAGTAGAAGTTTGCAATTAACACATATTTTGTTAGGTGGTGGGATAAACAAGAGAAGAAAAAGTGGGAAAGTGACTGAAGAGGTGCTAAGGAAAGTTAAGCCGTTTCTGATAGGAAAACATTTGAGCAGAGAAAAGACACTGAGGGCGCCAGGTGCAGTAACTCGCGCCTGTAATCCCAGCACTTTGGGAGGCTGAGGGAGGCAGATCACCTGAGGTCAGGAGTTCAAGACCAACCTGGCCAACATGGTGAAACCTCATCTCTACTAAAAATATAAAATTAGCTGAGCATGGTGGCGTGTACCTGTAATCCCAGCAACACGGGAGGCTGAGGCAGGAGAATCACTTGAACCCAGGAGGCAGAGGTTGCAATGAGCCGAAATTGCGCCACTGCACTCCAGCCTGGGCAAAAAGAGCAAAACTCCATCTCAAAAGAAAAAAAAACAACAAAAAACAAACTGAGGGACTGAACCATGTGGATATCTAGAGAAAGAGTGTTGCAGGCAAAGGAACCAGTAAGTAAAAGGCCCTGAAGAGGAAATGTGCTCGGTATATTTGAGTATAGGCCAAGGACAGTGTGGCTGGAGAGGAGATGGTATGAGAAGGAATCAAAAGACATGGAAGGTGGGGACACGGATCACATAATGTCTGGTTAGCTAAAATAGGTCTTTAGATTTTACTCTGAGCAGTTGAAGGTTCTGAATCAGAGTGACTTATTTTTTAAAAAATAATTGGCTGCTTTAAGAAAAGATGATATGTTACAATAGTTTAGATGAGATGGGGGTGGCTTAGTATTTTTCCAATGCAGATCCTATAGGATTGGCTGAGGAACTGGATGTTAAGTATCAAGCAAAGGAGTCAAGGGTGACAAGGTTTTTAGCCTGAGCAATTAGAAGGATGGCATGGCATTCCATTTACTGAGACAGGAAAACTAAGGATTTGGTTTTAGACTTATGTTTGAGATACTTAACTAGATATCCAAGTGGGAAATGTTAAGAGGGCAGTCAGACATAAAAGTTGGGAGTTCAGGGGAGAGACCAAGACTGGAGATTTAAAGGTATAGAACGGATGAATGGGAGATCATTTGGGAATTGAGTGTAGGCATTGGAAAGAGATCTGATGAAGGAGCCCTGGAATGGGCCAGTATTTAGAGGTTGGGAAGGTGAGAAGGACCCAGCAGAGAAAGCTAATAAGGTAGAAGAGAACCAGAAGAGTCTACAGTCATAGAGGCCAAATAAAGAGTTTCAAGAAGGATGGAGCAATTAGTAACTGTTTGAATGCCACTGAAAGGGTGACTGGGATGACAGCTGAAAATTGACCATTCATAATATACTTTCCATAGGCTTGTAAAGGAGTAAAATTTCAATTGTGATATTTAGGAAGAATCAAAGTCTCCTTTACTCAGTCCCAAGCTCTACATCAGGATTTCTCAACCTTAGCATAATTGACATGTTGCACTGGATAATTGTTATGGGGGGGCTTTCCTGTATAAGCCTCACCCCTGGCCTCTGCCACTAGATGCCAGTATCTTCTGATTAACTGAGTTTTTGTATTTTTGGTGAACTAAATCTCACATTGTTTCAAAACTGGAAATGGCAAGTCACTAGAAAGTGAAAGCATACCTACCTGAGCATTGTAAAGATGTATCGTGGACTAGCAGAATCCTTGCCACCATGTAGCCTGGTACCAAACTGACCAATGGGCTGCAAGAGGTTTAGATTATTGCTACCCACAAAATTCTGAGCCAAATTGATAATGGTCATCATTAGTGACATCTGTGGGGAAAAAAAGATTCATTAAGCTGAGGCTTTTACTAATACAAATACATTATGACTTAACCTCACTATAATCCTGTAACATTTTGTGAGGTCTAGTTGTTTAGTGACTTTCCTCAGATTAATAGATGGCAGAAATAGTACTTGAACCTACAACTTCTGGCTCCAAGTTTAGGGCTGCCGTCCAACAATTTCTATTAAATCCCACTCAACTTTGAAGGCATAGTTCTTCTCCTTATCCTCAGCAAAATGAAATATTTCCTCCTTTGTGTTACAATGCTGTGTTCATTTCTATTCTAGCATGTATCACTTTATTCTATAGCTGTGTGTGTATTGGCCCTCTGGCTAAATTGTTATTATATCTTGGGGATAAGGAACATATTTTTATTTATTTTTGTATACCTGGTACATGGTAGGCATTCAACAAATGTTCGTTGGGTGAAAATTTATTGTATCCCTACTATATTTTGATTGAAAGCAACAAGACAACCATTATATTTAAAATTCTAGAAACCTGTAGGCAATCTAGTTCTTTAAAACTGTTTTACATAATTAATGCAAAAAGTAATCACAAAACATTGGTGTAAAGTCAAACAATTCAGACACATATAAAAAGTGAAAGTTGCCCTTTCCAGTTCTCAGGGGTAACTAAAGTGAACAATTTGGAACATATCCTTGTAGACATTTTTAGTTATTGTTCTGTCTCTTTTTTTCCTCACCTGAGAATAGACCCTGGATATTCCTCAGTGTCAGTGCACACAGTTTTACTGAAGTTACAGCACTGATTCCATGCATACATGTGTCACAATTTATTATAACAATTTTCAAATCAGTGGAGGTCTAAATTTTGACATCACAAAGTTATAATAAACATACTAAGCATTTTTTAATGTAGACCTTTGCAGACTTATGAATATCCCTGCAGGAATATTACTTTCAGAAATCAAAGGGCAAGCAGTTTTATTCTTTCACAGGTTTTACCAACTTGTTCTTTACTATGAATATATGAGCTTATACTTTCACCAAATCTGTTTTGAGAATGACTCTGCAGGGATTTCTGATATAATGCTTTCTGGAAACATGGATTGTGTGTTTACCTCACCATGATGATAAGAAGACATTTCAGCCACTGATCCAGCTAATTGGGCAACCTTTACTTCTCGCTTGTCATTCCGTTTGAAGCAAGTAAACAAAACCTTTCTCTGACCTGGTTTCAAACCTTTAAAATGAAATAAGAGCAAACGTAAGTATCCTCAATTTAACCAATTTTGGAATTTGATTTCCATCTTACAATGAAAACAGACTAACAAATTGGAACTCACCATCCACCATAGAAGGGATAGATCTCTCGTTATCAGAATTTGAGAACAAGATAAGTTCCTTGTTGATGAAGTCATTATATGTCAGATATGTGGTAGTTTGTCCATACAAGTAATCCTGAAGGACCAAATAGTATTACATGAGTCTACCGGTCTAAACAATGCTCAACACAAAAATCAAACAGAAACCTTTCAGAACTAAGAATTATTTCTGTAATTCTTAAGTCTTTAAAAAATATTGAATAATACAGAAATATTTTATATGTTTTAAAGATAAAGCAAATTTAACTGCTGCACAACTCTATCATATCAAATTTTTTACTAAAATAACTATTCAGTAAGTTTAATTTGCTATAGTATCAATACCAAAAGGTCAGTCTAACAATCCATTTTGTGGCATATATTTAAAACTTTTACCTCAGGAAGCCCAAGTAACTTTCGTTGTCTTCTATCCTCCATGAAATTAGTTAACCATTCCTTTCGATCATCTATCTGTTTTTTGCTAAAGGCCTATAAATTAAAGGATGAAAAGATGTCACTGGTACTAATAGGCTAATAGGTTCCAAAATATCCTTCTACAAAGAACGAACAACAGAAAAACAAAAATACTGTTTTCCTTTTTTTTTTTTTTTGAGACGGGAGTTACTGTTCTCTTGCCCAGCCTGGAGTGCAATGGTGTCATCTTGGCTCACTGCAACCTCTGCGTCCTAGGTTCAAGCGATTCTCCTGCCTCAGCCTCCTGAGCCCCTGGGATTAAAGGCGCCCGCCACCACGCCCAGCTAATTTTTGTATTTTTTTTTTTTTGAAATGGAGTTTCACTCTTGTGGAATGTGATGGCACGATTTCGGCTCCCACAACCTCCACTTCCCAAGTTCAAGTGATTCTCCTGCCTCAGCCTCCCGTGTAGCTGGGATTACAGGCACGTGCCACCACACCCAGCTAATATTTTGTATTTTTAGTAGAGATGGGGTTTCACCATGTTGGTCAGGCTGGTCTTGAACTCCCGAGCTCAGGTGATCCACCCGCCTCGGCCTCCCAAAGTGCTATGATTACTGGTGTGAGCCACTGCGCCCGACCTTTTTTGTTTTTTTTTTTTTTTGAGACAGAGTCTCGCTCTGTCGCCCAGGCTGGAGTGCAGTGGCACCATCTCAGCTCACTGCAAGCTCCGCCTCCTGGGTTCACGCCATTCTCCTGCCTCAGCCTCCGGAGTAGCTGGGATTACAGGCGCGTGTCACCAAGCCCGGCTAATTTTTTATTTTTTATTTTTTTTTATTTTTAGTAGAGACGGGGTTTCACCGTGTTAGCCAGGATGGTCTCCATCTCATGACGTTGTGATCTGCCCGACTTAGCCTTCCAAAGTACTGGCATTACAGGCGTGAGCCACCACGCCTGGCCTTTTTCCTTTTTTTTTGAGATGGAGTCTCACTCTGTTGCCCAGGCTGGAGAGCAGTGGCCTGATCTCGGCTCACTGCAACCTCTGCCTCTCGGGTTCAAGCGATTCTCCTGCCTCAGCTTCCCAAGTAGCTGGGACTATAGCTGCGTGCCACCACGGCCGGCTAATTTTTTGTATTTTTAGCAGAGATGGGGTTTCACCTTGTTAGCCAGGATGGTCTTGATCTCCTGACCTTGTGATCTGCTCGCCTCTGCCTCCCAAAGTGCTGGGATTACAGGCGTGAGCCACTACGCTCGGCCAATTTTCGTATTTTTAGTAGAGAGGGGGTTTCACCATGTTGGACAGGTTGGTCTCCAACTCTTGATCTCAGGTGATCCACCTGCCTTGGCCTCCCAAAGTCCTAGAATTATAGGCATGAGCCACCAAGCCCAGCCAAAAATCAAAATTTTCTAAAATATCTGATTCCTTCTCTGGGATATGCTTACTGGAAACATTCTATTCTATAAAACATTCTTTTTTTTTTGATACGGAGTCTTATACAAAAATGTAAATGTTTCAACTGGCTAAAGTAGTGATTTCTAAAATTAGAATGTATATAAAATACAACTCAAACCTACCAGGCTGATAGCAGCATCATCTTCAGGACCAGAATATTTGAACTGGATACGATGTCTTTTCATATCTGCAAAGTATTCTTTAGCTTCCTTTGATGTGCTGGTGCCCAAACCTATAAAACCAAAAATACCAAGTTCCTTCATATAGTCTTGTACAGGGTGTATAATAAAATGAGAAGTTCTATATGGGTTTCATTACAAACCTTTGTAATATTTGACTTTCCATTTTTTATGATTTGGAGTAGAACTCTTCCACTCTTCAAATTCAGGAAGGCTGTAAAATGCCATTTCTTGCTTGTTTTTAGATACCTGTGATAAAAAACAATGACTGTGGCTTTGTACACTGTGGGGTCCCCTGTATACCACTACATGTGACGGGGCTTATATGTATATCCAGGTTTGAGGAGTAGGGTCTTAAAATATCCATGATGGTACTTAGAAATTAGCGTACCTTTACAATGGGAGTGATAAATTCCTCCAGAAAACGATGTCGCAGAAGAGAGGGCCAGTTGTGATGGATAAAATTAATCAGCAAGCCTTTGATGTGGGAACCATCTTGGTCCTAGAAAGATTTGAAAGCCAAAGTTCAAAAGAACTGTTAGGCTGGGCGTGGTAGCTAACATCTGTAATCCCAGAACTTTGGGAGGCCGAGGCAGGCGGATCGCCTGAGGTCAGGCGTTCGAGACCAGCCTGGCCAACATGGTGAAACCCTGTCTCCACTAAAAATACAAAAATTAGTTGGGTGTGGTGGCATCCGCCTGCAATCCCAGCTACTCGGGAGGCTGAGGCAGGAGAATCGCTTGAACCCATGAGGCGGAGGTTGCAGTGAGCCAAGATTGCACCATTGCACTCCAGCCTGGGCGACAAGGGCGAAACTCCATCTCAAACAAACAAAGAATTGTTTAGAAATAAAAAAATATTATGACTGACCTACTGGCAATTTGTCAAATTTTCTATGGGAATCAAAAAAGGTCTGTTCAAATCCAGACTCACTTAACCTGTATTTGCAACATACATATGATATAAGCATATCTGATTAGATGTTGATTAGAGATGATGAATAAAGCTCCTATTTAACTAATTTATTTTCATGGCAAAAAACAATGAAATTAAATTAAGACATGCTTAATTTAGTTGAACAATCTAAAAATTTAATAACAAATCTGACCTGATCTGTCATAATCATTATCTTCCCATAACGAAGCGTCTTCAATGAATCTTCATCTTCATAGTTTTTCTTGTACTGAAGACCCACAATCTTGATGATATTGTTAATCTCAGCATTTTCCATGATCTGAAATGGACATATACCAAAAAAAGCATCGTTTATAAATTTGAAAAGAACAAAGAAATTTAACAGTATATGTTGCTTGGATTTTCTTGAGCTCCAGTATTTTGAGCTATTAGCTTATAATTTACTACATCAGAAAGGTCTGTTAAAATAGGCTACAATGTACCTAATTTCTCAAAATAAGCACAAATTGTCTAAAATATATTTTAAAATGCCTAATGAGGGAATTAAATATAAGCATAAAGTCTTGTATTATAAATTAGATTTAGATTCTGAAGATCGTCTTATATTCTACCTGCTTATGAGAAGCTTCTCGAACATTGAGTATTTTTCCTCTAAGAGGGAAAACCCCATATTTGTCTCTCCCAACCACACCAAGGCCTGAAACAGCCAAAGTTTTGGCTGAATCTCCCTCAGTCAGGATAAGCGTACACTCAGTGGAGTTTCGGCCCCCTAAAATAAAAATATACATATTAATATTAGCACATTTAGTTCAACCTCAAATATACTAACTTGAACATGCTGTTTATAGCCTTGTGATAAAACACAATTTACTATATAATGAGCAAAATTATTTGTTAGGTAATAGATCATAATATAAACATTCTTGTTTTATACTCCAAAATAATCACCTCAATATTATTTATAACATGGAAATGACCTAAATCTTCCATAATAGGAAACGGGCCGATTTTTAACAAGTTATTCTGTTGAATATAGTTATTCTGTCAAGGGAAAAATAAATATCCGTGGTATGCCATTAATGAATAAAATAACAACTATAAGACTTAAAAGTTTGGAAACATTATTAAATATATACCTGCATCATTGGCATCATCGAGTTTGGGAATTCCCTTGATTCTATTATGTTTTACAGCTGAACACTTCTTGTTTAACTGGACTTGGGCCTTAAACTTCACCCAGTTTAGTATGCTTTCTACAATACCACAGCCAATGGCCTGAAAACGAGAAGATTCATATTAGGGATCATATTAGGGAAGAAGGGATCTATCAGAAATCTAGAATACAAATGAGCCTTAATACAAATAAAAATGATTCAAAAATTAAAAAGATGTAGAACAATAATTTCTGGATAGAGGGTGGCACATCTTCCCATGTCAGGTTATCACCACTGAGGGAGCTGCTCCTTTTGGTTCATTCGTTCAATAAATATTTACTATATAATTATATTGTGCTAGCACTGAGCTACTTGTTGGAGATATAGTGGTTAAAACAAATTAGACCAGGCACGGTGGCTCACGCCTATAATCCCAGCACTTTAGGAGGCCAAGGTGGGCAGAACACCTGAGGTCAGGAGTTTGAGACCGGCCTGGCCAACATGGCGAAACCCCGGCTCTACTAAAAATACAAAAATTAGCTGGCGTGGTGGTGGGCACCTGTAATTCCAGCTACTCGGGAGGCTGAGGCAGGAGAATCGCTTGAACCCAGGAGGTAGAGGTTGCAGCGAGCCAAGATCGCACCATTGCACTCCAGCCTGGGTGACAAAAGTGAAACTCCGTCTCAAAAAAAAAAAAAAAAAAAAAAAAAAGGGTAGCCAGGCATGGTGGTGGTGAAATGGCTGTAATCCTAGCTGCTTGGGAGGCTGAGGCAGGAGAATTGCTTTAACCTGGGAGGCGCGGGTTGCAGTGAACTGAGATCAAGCCACGGCACTCCAGCCTGGGAAACAGTGAGAAGCTGTCTCCAAAAAAAAAAATTAAAAATAAATAAATAAAATTAGACACAAATAAAACAAATTGAGACACTTGTCCTCATCAAGTTTAAGACACAACATAGAAGACAGACATAGCTGGGTGCAGTGGCTTACGCCTGTAATCACAGCACTTTAGGAGGCCGAGGATGGTGGATCAAGTGAGGCCAGGAGTTCAAGACCAGCCTGGCCAACATGGTAAAACCCCATCTCTATTAAAAATACAAAAATTAGCTGGATGTGATGGTGCATGTCTGTAATCCCCGCTACTCAGGAGGCTGGAGAATCCCAGCTACTCAGGAGGCAAGGAGAATCGCTTGAACCTGGGAGGCAGAGATTGCAATGAGCCAGGATTACGTCACTGCACTGTAGCCTGGGCAACACAGCAAGACTCTGTCTCAAAAAAAAAAAAAAAAAAGACTGGGCACAGTGGCTCATGGCTGTAATCCCAACACTTTGGAAGGCCGAGATGGGTGGATCATTTGAGGTCAGGAGTTTGAGACCAGCCTGACCAACATGGTGAAACCCTGTCTCTACTGAAAATACAACAACAAAAAAATTAGCCAGGCATGGTGATGCATGCCTGTAATCTCAGCTACTCGGGAGGCTGAGGCAAGAGAATCACTGAAACCTAGGAGGCGGAGGTTGCAGTGAGCCGAGATCGTGCCACTGCATTCCAGCCTGGGCGACAGAGCGAGACTCTGCCTAAAAAAAAAGACAGAAATAAAATAAGTTACAGTGTTATAAGTGTTATGGATAAGCAAAAAGTTTGCTAATAAGGTATGTTCAATATTATATTGGAACCAACTTAGGTGGGGGGAAGGGTAGAAAGTAAAGGCTTTCCTGAGGAAAGGACAAGACCTAAAGTAGCCAGGTGAAAAGGATGTATTTCATGCAGAGGGATTAGCATGTGAATAAACTCTGAGGAGGGGAAGAGCACTGTGCTTTTCAGTAATTTAAAAGCAACAGGACAATATACGAAAAACTGGCACTGAGATGAGTTGGAGAAGTAGGTGTAATTAGATTACAGCAGATCTTTCTTGTTGGCCAAATTATGGAATTTGGACTTTCCCTGAGTGGAAGTCATTGAAAGATTTCAAATGAGAGTGAAGATAAAAATGGGTGTTTTAACACAAAAGTCACTCAAAAGCATTCCAAGGAAAGGACTTAACCAGTATGAAGGTTAAGAACCTATTGTAGTAAACCAAAAAAGAGATAATGGTGAGAAGCTACTGCAGCATCCAAGAGATGATTCTTATTGACCGGATTAGAGAGGAGGGGAAATAAAGGAAGGCTCCCAGCTTTCTTGTTTATACAACCTAGAGGTTGGTTGGGGCTTTTTACTAAGATAGGAAGTTGTTTTTTTGTTGGAGAGTGGGGGGCTGCTTGTATGGGCAAATCAGTGAGTATGGAGGTAACAAATTCAATTTTGGATGTGTTGACTGAAAGCAAGTCTTAGGCATTTAAGTGAGGGTGTTTGTTAAACAGCTAGATTAATTCAAAAGTGATCTAAGCTTAATGGTAAAATGTAATTGGGAAATACTGAAATATAGACGGTCATTAAGTCTTTGGTAAATCAGTTAAAGTAAAGCCCTTTTTTACTTCCTTTTCAGATTGGGAAGACTTGGAGAAGCTCACTATGAGAAGAATCATTGTTTCTGCAGAGCTAAGAAGTGCAATGGAAAATAAAGTCAGGTGTTTCTATTTTTATTTTCCTCTAAGTACTCACAGCTTTGATAAATTTTTCACTCAATTGGCATGTTGATCCAAAGCTCTTGGGTTGTAAAGTCATGTTTTCTTTTGTCTGAGAGTCAAAGGTTGGGTTTTCAATTAAGGCATTTACAAAAATCCACATGTGATTTTTCACCTGCAATAGAAGTTGATATTAAGCCACTAAAAATGTACTCATGCTTTATTTATAGCCTTTCTCTTCTTCCTTGACTTTAGAAAAAGAAAACTGCCAAAAGCACATACCTGATGTGCTTTTACTGCAACACCACCCTTGTTCTTCTTCTTCACAACATCAACAAGTTTAGTCACAATCTGATCAGCTACATAATCAACATGTCTGCCACCCTAATAAGGAAAAATACCAAACTGTAAAACTCAGTATCCTCAAAATTATAATAATCAAACATTAAAAACTAATTTAACCTCCTTTATACTAAGCTAGCCCAATATTCAAGTCCACTTTATATATTAAAAACAATAAGAACACATATATGTAAAGATAAATCATGATTAATAATTTAAGAATAAAATTACCTTGGATGTAGCAATGCTGTTGACAAAGCTAATTTGCTGAAAGCCTTTTTCACTCATAGTTAAACACACTTCCCACCTGTGGTTTACTTGTTCATGTATTACTTTCAAGGAGTTACCAGTTTCATCCAACTTGTCCTTCAAATACATGTCCACATAACTACGAAATCCTTTTACCTGTACAGGAATTAAAGGTAACAGTATTAAGAAAGTTATTAAAAAATAGGTTCAATGATAGACTATGAGGACTTTCCAAAACCAATGCAATGATGTTCACTGATAGGCATAAGGGAATGGTCATTAAAGGACACAGGCCGAGGTGGGTGGATCACTTGAGCCCAGGAGTTCAAGACCACCCTGGGCAACATAGTGAGATCCCCACCTCTATTAAAAAGAAAAAAAAAAATTAGCTGGGCATGGTGGTGCTGCCTGCATTTCCAGCTACTCCAGAAGCTGAGGTGGGATGATCGCTTGAGCCTGGGAGGTCCAGGCTGTAGTGAGCCGTGATTGCATCACTGTACTCCAGCCTGGGTGACACAGCGAGGTTATCAAGAAAAGAAAGAAAAAGGAAAATAAAAAAAGGACATGAAATATTTATTTTAGGTGTTTCTTTGAGAAAGAAATTCCTTCGGTAAGTTTAAAATGAGCTGATTAAAAAATGTGGCATACCATTCTCTTTTCAAGAACATATGTGAGAAGTGGTAAGAAAATACATATGGTTGGGCCAGGTGCAGTGGCTCATGCCTGTAATCCCAGCACTTTGGGAGGCCAAGACGGGTGGATCATGAGGTCTGGTGTTCGAGACCAGCCTGGCCAACATAGTGAAACCTGTCTCTACTAAAAATACAAAAAATTAGCCAGGTGTGGTGGCAGGCACCTGTAATCCCAGCTACTTGGGAGGCTGAGGCAGGAGAATTGCGTGAACCTGGGAGGTGGAGGTTGCGGTGAGCCGAGATCGTGCCACTGCACTCCAGCCCGGGCAACAGTGTGAGACTCTGTCTCAAACAAACAAACAAACAAACAAACAAAAACATATGGGAGGGGAAAAAATTCAATTTTGCACTTGACAATGATTACAAAATCCCTTATTATCCTTAACATCCAGGAAAATACTCACTGGCAGTTTATTTCCATTAAGAAAGACTTTGACATCTTTGGTGGATCCAGCAATATCATATGCTCTTCTGACCATTAGTGCAACAATATCTTTGTCCAGGCTTTGCATTTTAAACTTAGACAAATCAGGCTGAAAGGTGATACATGTATAATCTTCTCCATTGAAGGGCTTGAGTTCCATCTCACCAGCTCTTCCCATATTATCCATCCATGTCTATGGAAGTAAAGAATAG
Source organism: Homo sapiens (assembly GCF_000001405.40). Classification (NCBI taxonomy): domain Eukaryota; kingdom Metazoa; phylum Chordata; class Mammalia; order Primates; family Hominidae; genus Homo; species Homo sapiens. Next base: position 40,412,991 of record NC_000017.11, read on the forward strand.
GAAACATGAAAAATTCAAGTCATCTCACAAACTGGAAGTAAATAACATAAATTTATGAGTCCTAATAACCTAATATATATGCTTATAATTTTCCATACTTCAATAGCTTATAAATTATGTTAAATTAAACCAATCATTAATGCCATTATAAATGGCTATACTACTACCATTTATCATTAAGGTACAAGACACTTATTTACTTGCCTGTTTGAACATTTTCTTGTATTCTCTACTGGCTGTTTCCACAGTAAATTTGGTACTGAATATGTTACACAATTTGGCTCCATAGCCATTTCGACCACCTGGGCAAATAAATATGAAACACTATTTTATTGTTACTATCTCATTGACAGCTTTATTTCTTAATCACTGGCAGAGCTATTCAATTATAGAGATTTATTTCCATATCTTTAACCCTCATGCCACAGACAGTCATTTAAATATATATATTTTTAGCAACAAATATGTTATTTCCCCTCAATACTCTACCTGTCACTTTCTTTTCATCATCATCATAGTTACTAGAAGTTAGGAGCTGTCCAAATATGAGAGCTGGGACATACATCTTTTCAACTTTGTGTTCAACAACAGGAATACCTTTTCCATTATTCCATATACTAATTAAATTGTTTTCCCTAAGAAAAAAAGATTGAAAATTGTATTTTACAACACATTAAACGAATGCTTAACATTTAAAAATATTTAAATACTATTATTTCTAAAATATGTATATTCAGGCTGGGCGCGGTGGCCTGTGCCTGTAATCCCAGCACTTTGGGAGGCTGAGGAGGGCAGATCACTTGAGGCCAGGAGTTCTGGCCAACATGTTGAAACCGTCTCTACTAAAAATAAAAAAAATTAGCCAGGCATGGTAGCGCATGCCTGTGATTCCAGCTACTTGGGAGGCTGAAGCAGGAGAACTGCTCAAAGTGTTGGGGTTATAGATGTGAGCCACCATACCCAGCCCTCAATTTTTTTGGCACTTTTCATATATACCTTCTGAAATTCAGCAGGAACATTTCCCACCATGCTTAGTTCCTGACATTCCTGAAATAGGAGTCAAGAGGAAAAAAAAACCTTTTCCAACACCTGAATAGACACTGATAATGTTGAAAAAATACAAAATTTTAAAATGTTAGGATAAACAGAGGGAAATGATTTATGCCCAATGGAAAGAAAAGGACAATCTGGAAACATTATTATACACCACTCCCACTCCTTTTTTGAGACAGCATCTCGCTCTGTCACCCAGGCTGCAGTGTAATGGCAGGATCACAGCTTACTGCAGTCTTGACCTCCTGGGCTCAAGCAATCCTCCCACTTCAGCCTCCTGAATAGCTGGGACTACAGGTGTCCATCACCACACCTGGCTAATTTTTAAATTTTTTGTAGAGATGAGGGTCTCACTATATGGCCCAGGCTGGTCTCAAACTACTCCTGGGCTCAACTGATCCTCCCACCTTGGCCTCCCAAAGTGCTGGGATTACAGGAGTGAGTCATCATGCCTATTATACCCCTTTCAAGAGGATCATCTATACATCTCGTTCCCACTCAACAAAGTACATAAAAACAGGCTGGGCGCAGTGGCTCACGCCTGTAATCCCAGCAATCCCAGCACTTTGGGAGGCTAAGGCAGGCAGATCACTTGAGGTCAGGAGTTCGAGACCAGCCTGACCAACATGCAGAAACCCCATCTCTACTAAAAAAAATACAAAATTAGCCAGGTGTGGTGGTGTGCGCCTGTAATCCCAGCTACTCTGGAGGCTGAGGCAGGAGAATTGCTTGAACCCAGGAGGTGGATGTTGCGGTGAGCCGAGATCATGCCACTGCACTCCAGACTGGGCAATAAGAGCAAAACTCCATCAAAAAAAAAAAAAAAAAAAAGGAAAACCAATATCAATCATAAACTGCCTTGCTCTCAAATAAAATGCTGAAAACTTATTTCAGTTATTTTAAGTTAATTCTTGGATGGTACTATATTTTAGTTAATAACTCGATATACATTATGGTTCTTGTTCTACATAGTACTTATTATCTATAAAAAAAACTAATTAAAATTAGCTCAACTTTTTTTTTTTTTTTGAGACAGAGTCTTGCTGTGTCACCCAGGCTGGAGTGCAGTGGTGCAATCTCGGCTCACTGCAAGCTCCACCTCCCGGGTTCATGCCATTCTCCTGCCTCAGCCTCTCGAGTAGCTGGGACTACAGGCGCCCACCACTACACCCGGCTAATTTTTTGTATTTTTAGTGGAGACAGGGTTTCACCGTGTTAGCCAGGATGGTCTTGATCTCCTGACCTTGTGATCCGCCCGCATCGGCCTCCCAAAGTGCTGGGATCACAGGCATGAGCCACCGTGCCTGGCCCTAGCTCAACATTTTTTAAAGACTATGATATTGAGTCCTTAGGAAAATCCAGGTATACTTTGTCATAATCAATCAGACTAACAAAAAAGTGAAATAAGCACCCTGATCACCCACTAAGGGACACCCCGCATTTATAAGCAGAAATGTCAGATCAAATTATTCTCTACCACCACCTACTGGTTTACTGTTTGAATAGCATCATGAGAAAAAGTTAAAACTCCAGATGCCAGAATACTTAAAGCAATTACTGAAGGTGCTTGCTCAAATATTTAGGGATTAGGTGTCATAAGTCCTGTAATTTATTTTGAAATGATCCAGAGCAAATAGGCCGCGTGCCATGGCACACACCCATAATGCCAACACTGGAGGATTGCTTCAGGCCAGGAGTTCTAAGACCAGCCCAGGCAAAATAGCAAGACCCCTTCCTCTAAAAAAATTAACTAATTAAAAAAAAGATGGAGAAAATATGGAAAAACGTTGGCAACTGTTGGATCTAGGTGGTGGGTATCCATAGGTTTTTCATTTTAGCATTCTGCTTTTGTGTACTTTTCTCAACTTCTGTTTAGGAAAAGCCAACTTCACCAGTAATCAAAATACATGCAGCTAACAATAGCAACGAGCTACATAACAAAAACTAAGCAAAAGACGTACGGATCAATTGTGACTCTAATACAAGACATTTTTGGGTCCCTTTGTTTGTTGTCCGCAGCATTAACTGAAAGAAAATAAAATATACATTTGTAAGAAATTAGTGTTTTAAGAAACATTCTGTAACTCTAAGTAAGATATAGAAAAAAAAGTTCCCAAACAGCACAGGAGTGGCATTAACAAGGTGTTAATTTAGCAATTTTTGTCCATAGTACTGTTTCTACGAGAAGCTCAACCTCCTGGGCTCCAGGAAACCAGCTCACCTTTATCAACTGATTGAAATGACAGGAGCCCTGGCTACAGCAGGTTTGGTAGAAATGATACTTTTTGTTTTTACTTTTATCTTTTTTAAATTTTTATTTGGAATGATACTTCTTATGAAAGATTTGACCAGATCTTTATATTAAAGGATTTACTCACCTAGAATCTCATCAAAGATTTTGTACAAACCAGGAACAAAAGTGACTTCCCTATAGTTAATGCCAACATCTTCATCGTAAACCCACATTTGCTAGAAATAAGGCAAAGAAATACTGTTATTTTTATTCTATATTCATTGTTCTGTTATCATGATTACCATAAAGTGTTCATATTAAGTATTACCATATTTAGGCCAGTTCCAGTGACACTCAGTACATGAGAGATACAGAAAGGTCACACTCAGTACATGAAAGGTACAGAAAGAAGAGTATCCATTTCAACTACTAGGTTAACTGCCTTTGATGAGCTTGATTTTACCTGGGTCACTAATTCCACAGAACCAATGTAGGTGTCTGGGCGGAGCAAAATATGTTCCAATTGTGTTTTCTTTTGATAGATTCTTTCAACAGACAGTCTTTTCTTAGCATCTTCATTTTTCTTTATTTTGTTGACTTGCATATTTTCATTTACAGGCTAGCAATTAAAAAAAAAGAGAGAAAGAAGGGAATTTTTAATCATAAGTTTACCCTAAACTAGGAACAAAATGCCTACCATAGTGAGATGTCAACATGCATTGCAATCTGTTAGTAGGCAGTGGTGGAGTTGCCAGTTTTGTACAAATAGGACAATTTAAATTCGCTGCGGCCAGGTCCCCAGGTGTCAGGTTAAACAGACACATATTATCTCACCAAGTGGGTCTGTCTGGAAACCTCTTTTCTTGAGCAACATGGTAGATGTCATCAATAAAATACACCCACTTCTTTCAGTTCCTGCATACATTATTTACCGAGTGCCTATTATTATAAATTATTTACGGTGTCCCGAGCACACGACACCGTAAATAATTCTAGTTCGGCAGCAGCAGTTTGGGCGGCTATCCGTTCAATCCCTTGGCCACCTGAGCGTTGTGAACTCAGGAAGGGGGCGCTTTTGTAAGCTGGCCAGCTGCTCCAGAGAAACACTGTGCTAGGCTCTGCCCTTTCCAAGATCGGGGACATTCAAGACCGTTTTCAAGCAGCGGGCAGGAGGGGAAAGCATCTGTACGCGCGACTCAATAACGTCGCACCCGGGCCGCTGTAACATGGATCCACTACGGGACCAACGGACTCCTGCCCCTAGAAACAGGGCAACAACGCACGACACCCTGGAAGCCGGGTCATACTTCACTACTAGCACCAGAAGGGGCTTCCGCCTCTCCACGATCACCCCGGAACCGGGAATGGAGAATATGGGCTCCCAAGCCGGTCGCCGGCCTGACCGCAGCCCCAGAGCTTCACCCGTCACGGGCGGCCAGAGAGATGCCCGGGCCGCGCGGAGGCTCCACCGCCAGTCCCCCCCGCGAGCCGTACCTGCAATGGTGACACTTCCATGGTGACGGTCGTGAAGGGGCTCAAGAACCCTGAAAGCGACTAAACAGGCAGGACCCCACGAGACCACCCCCGACCAAGCCGCTTCTCCACAGACGCGCGTCGGTTAGGAGAGCTCCACTTGAACCTTCCTTTAGCCCGCCCGAAGCAGACCAGCCAATCCCTGACTCGCTCTCACCGTCTCCGTCCAGAAGAACCAATCGTAGCTTGCCTTTTATATCCACCTATGAACGGCTGAGTTGGCCGGGGTTTGTTTGAATAAACCAATCAGGTTAGGGAGGCGGGACTAGAGAGGCTTCAAAAGGCACCACTCGGCGTCATAGCGGAGAGATTGACAGGGAATCTGGCCAATGAGAAGGGCTCACTTGTTTTCTCGTGCGGAAAGCTTGGAAGAGATGGGCTTTGGAAGCGGGAAGGGGTGGCCTGAGGCAAAAGTGTGCAGGAGAAAAGCAAAGGATGTTTATTCTCCAGGAACTGCCAATCTATTTAAGATCCCTGAAATCTAAAAACTGTCCTCTGTTCTGACGTTGTTAGCGAGGGGAATGGGAGCCTTAGCTTCGTTTTCCTGAGGAAACTGAGTGCCGGCTTTCTGGACAGGCAGCCTGGCTGCTTGGTTGAAGCGAACAGATTCTGGCATCTGCCTCAACCCCGCCCCCTTTACCCTCGAATTCATTTTTCAAAGAAATAAAAGTAGGCTGTGTGCGGTGGCTGGAGTCTGTATTCGCAGCACATTGGGAGGCCGAGGCGGGAGGATCGCTGGAGCCTAGGAGTTGGAGACCAGCCTGGGCAACATAGCGAGACCCCGTCTCTACCCAAAAAGGAAAAAAAATAGCCAGGCGAGGCATCGCACACCTGTAACTCCAGCTCCGGAGGCTGAGGAGGGAGGATCGCTTGAGCCCCGGGGATCGGAGATCGAGGCGCCTTGAACCGTGATTGCTCCACTGCACTCCAGCCTGAGTGACAGAGCGAGGCCACCTCAAGAGATAAATACATAAATAAATAAATAATAAAAATAATTAAAATAAAAGTGCCACAGTTGTGGTTTGGGGGTTCCATATAGTGGAAGGATGTAGAAAGGCTTTGCAAAATGGAGGGCAGCATTCAGGTCCCCAGTAGAGCAGCGCTGGACTGCAACTGGTAAATCGAAAGGGATAACTTGTGGTGGTAGCCTCTTGAGCTGAGGGTGGGCTCAGCCGTCCGGGGCTGAAACCTTTTCCGCAGCCAGCTGGCCAGATACCCTCCGACTGGCTACTTTTGCTCACCTCCGTGAACCCTGCAGTCCAGAACAGCTGTTCCAATTTGACAAGGAAATGCCAAGACTGAAGCTTTTTTGTTTGCTTGTTTTTTTGTTGCTTTTTTTTTTTTTGAGATGGAATCTCACTCTGTCGCCCAGGCTGGAGTGCAATGGCGCGATCTAGGCTCACTGCAACCTTCACCTCGCGGGTTCAAGCGATTCTCCTGCCTCAGCCTCCCGTGTAGCTAGAATTACAGGCGCCTGCCACCACGCCTGGCTAATTTTTGTATTTTTTTAGTAGAGACAGGGTTTTGCCATGTTGACCAGGTTGGTTTCAAACTTCTGACCTCAAGTGATCTGCCCGCCTCAGCCTCTCAAAGTGCTGGGATTACAGGTGTGAGTCACTGTGCCCGGCGAAGACTGAAGTTTTAAAATTACTCTTACATATAAATGTTTGAGTGGATTAAACAAAGTTATTACCCTTACAAGAAGCCAGAAAAAAAAAAACTGCACAATTTGAGTGCCTACTAATTCCAGCTGAGCCACCTCTTTCCATTCATTGCTTCCTTCCTCTACCTGGGTTTCAGTCCCAACTCAGCAATTTGCCATTCGTGTCATTTCGATGGAGGAAGCCTCTCGGTGCTTCCGTTTCCTCTCCTAAAAAGAATAATTAACTATGATCTCAGAGTAGTGTGAGGGTTACATGAGAGAAGTGTAAGGTAAACAGTGGGCTGACAGTATTAGGTAGCAGGAATTTTCCTTAGGCTGGTGTGACAATTGTGGATGTAATTTTTTTTTTCTTCTTCTAAAAGAAACCAGAGGTCAACCATTGTTACATAACCACAGTGTGTCAAGGGAGGGCCAATGGGGAGCCGTATGATGTGGCAGGAAGCCAAGGATGGAAGTTGCCCATGGGCTAGGGGCACTCGGAAACCATAGGCATGGTGCTTCGGCATTGTTCTGCTCTCTTGACCTTTGGCTCCCTGGCCTCCAGCAGTCTCTGCGTGTTCCCAGCTCTGCTCTGCTCACCACATGTGTTAGAGAGCACAGGACCACCAGGGGCTCAGAGCAGTGGTAGGGAAGCTTGGCCAGTAGCCTCTGCTCAGCCAGAAGACTGACCAGGCCCTGGGATCCAGGGCCTGCATGCCACTCTCTGCAGGACACCCGAGGGCCCTGACAGAAACCAGCCATGCTGGCTTCTACCTCCTAGAACGCACTACCTCCAAGGTAGTGGGGATGGTGGGCATGCTTCCCCAAGGATGGCAGCTCAGTTTCTGCAGCTCCCGGCCTCTACCCTGTAGCTCATCCCAGCCTGCAGTGACCCACTGGGCAATGAGGCAACAGGAATTTAACAAGCAGCTCCAGCCCTATTTTTTAGGGGCCCAGCTTTAAATCTGTCCTGCAGTTTAGCTGGATCCTGTGTGTCTTTGTTCCAAAAACCCAGAAGAAGTACTGTGGAGTCAAAAGGACTTTGGGGACCGGGTGTGGTGGCTCACGCCTGTAATCCCAGCACTTTGGGAGGCTGAGGTGGGTGGATCACCTGAGTTCAGGGGTTTGAGACCAGCCTGGACAACTTGGTGAAACCCCATCTCTACAAAAATACAAAAAAAAAAATTAGCCATGCCTGATGGCGGGTGCCTGTAATCCCAGCTGCTCGGGAGGCTGAGGTGGGAGAATAGCTTGAATCCAGGAGGCGGAGGTTGCAGTGAGCCGAGATCGTGCCATTGCACTCCAGCCTGGGCGACAGAGCAAGACCCCGTCTCAAAAAAACAAACAACAACAACAACAAAAAACACAAAAGGACTTTGGGGCCACACACACCTAAGTTAGAATTCTTCCTGGGTCTCTTGGTTTCCCCATGCCATTATCCTTTATCAAAGACACAGAGGGCAAAATGAGATATGCAAGTGTCGGGGACAATCCTTTTCCAGCTCTGTAGCACAAGGTGGTCTTGCTCTGGCCCACCCCCCTTCTCTTCTGGGTACAAGCTATTTCTCTGCCAGTCCCTCCCTCTTCCCAGAGCCTATTGCAGGGGGTCCTGCAGGACTTGTGGGGACTATTGAAGAAAGAATAGTGGTGGGGGTCTGGGATGGGTGGGCCTGGAAGGCATTGCACACAAAGAGGGAACTGCAGGGCCGGGCACGGTGGCTCACGCCTGTAATCCCAGCACTTTGGGAGGCCGAGGCGGGTGGATCACGAGGTCAGGAGATCGAGACCACCCTGGCTAACAAGGTGAAACCCCGTCTCTACTAAAAATACAAAAAATTAGCCGGGCGCGGTGGCAGGCGCCTGTAGTCCCAGCTACTCGGGAGGCTGAGGCAGGAGAATGGCGTGAACCCGGGAAGCAGAGCTTGCAGTGAGCCGAGATTGCGCCACTGCAGTCCGCAGTCCGGCCTGGGCGACAGAGCGAGACTCCGTCTCAAAAAAAAAAAAAAAAAAAAAAAAAAGAGGGAACTGCAGGTGCCTGCCAGTCCTGGGAGGCAAGAAGGGGTTGGGGGTAGTTCCAGGGGGCTGTGGTGGGGGGAGGGGAAAGATACCATCCTCATTATCCACCCACCCTGCCCCCACTCTGCAGGGGCCCAAAGTAGCTACCTGGACATTACCCCCTCCCTCCCCCAACCTGTACTTGAATATGTGGTTGAGTACTTAAGGCAGATCCCTGACTAGGGTATTTGCTGGGTATATGACTTTGGGCAAGTCACTCAGTCTCCCTTACAAGTTCAGTTGTAGATCAAATTGACTTTTATTTGTGATTCATGAATTGGGGCAGCCCCCATTCTACAAAATAGAATGAAAGCTTCCATTGGGCAATAGCAGAATGGTGGGTTTTGTAAGGTGGGAACCAGGAAACAGCAATAGGAAAAAACCTGATTGGTTAACATCAGGTACTTCAGGTTACTTTTTTGTGGAGTTAAAGCAGAGGGGACTTCCTTATTAAACTGACTTAGGTAGATTGGACTCTCCTGTTTTCAGGAAAAAGTGGTCTGTTTTGGAATCTATCTGCTTCTTTAAAGTTTCAGTTGGATTACATGGCATTTAGCACGAATTACTCCATCTTGGTTTGGTCTAGTCTTTTGGGGCCTAGTGTAGGAGCTCAGTTGAAAACAATGGCCTCCATAATTTTTTTTTTTAGACGGAGTCTCACTCTATTGCCCAGGCTGGAGTGCAGGGGTGCGATCTCGGCTCACTGCAACCTCGGTCTCCCGAGCTCAAGCAATTCTCCTGCTTCAGCCTCTGCAGCAGCTGAGATTACTGGCGTGCACCACCACACCCAGCTAATTTTTGTAGAGGCGGGTTTCGCCATGTTGGCCAGGCTGGTCTTGAACTCCTGACCTCAAGTGATCTGCCTGCCTTGGCCTCCCAAAGCACTGAGATTACAGGAGTGAGCCCCCGCTCCCAGCCAACCTCCCATAATTTTTTTTTTTTTTTTTTGAGACGGAGTCTCGCTCTTTCGCCCAGGCTGGAGTGCAGTGGTGTGATCTTGGCTCACTGCAACCTCCACCTCCCAGGTTCAAGCAATTCTCCTGCCTCAGCCTGCTGAGTAGCTGGGATTACAGGTGTCCACCACCACGCCCAGCTAATTTTTGTATTTTTAGTAGAGATGGGGTTTCACCATGTTGGTCAGGCTATTCTCGAACCCCTGACCTCGTGATCCACCCGCCTCGGCCTCCCAAAGTGCTGGGATTATAGGCGTGAGCCACGGCGCCCGGCCTATAATTTTTAACAATCTAAAATGGGGATAATGGGAGTACCTCCTCCTGCTCTTCATAGGGTGAGCTATCCTCATTATCCACCCACCCTGCCCCACTCTGCAAAATTCTTACACCAAATTCTTAGTGCATTGTCTGGCAAGTAATAAGTGCTCAAGACATGTTAACAATGACTACCTCTGCTCCTTTCCAGGATCTTCCTTCCCTGCTAGTCCCACCAATTCCTTCTCCAAAACCAGCTCAAAATTCTCCTACCCAGGGAGCCTTCTCTGACAGTCTTTTTCATTGAACCTCCTCAAGTCTTTTGAGGTATATTTGCATATGCAGATAAGTTCCTTTTATAAGTATTCTTTGGTTGTTTTCTCCTGGGTTGTGTGCTTCCGTTCTTTCTGCTCTTTGGCAAGGGGAGGGAAGGTCCTGGAGGCATAGTGTCCCCTTCATGGATCTGGAAGGTCCCCTAGAAAGAGCAGCATTTCTTCTCTTTTGCAGGCTTTCCCAGCAGAAGGAGGCTGGACTGAAAGTGTGGCTCTGGATTTGGGGTTTGGAGCTGGCTAGGCTGGAGCCCACTGGGAATTCCTGGATGAGGCTGAGCCAGCGCCAGAGTACTCAGGTGGTTAGGGCTGGGCCAAGAAGCTCTGTTTACCTTGAGGTTGACAACTGGCGAGCCTGGTCAGTTTATTTATTTATTTATTTTTATTTGTTTATTTTTTTACCAGGGATACCAGCCTCTGGTTGGAGGAGGCCAAGAAAACCCAAAATGTCCCATACAGCCTAGCCTCTAGGTGGCCCCTGTCAAAGAAATGTGGACAAAGTTGGGAGGAGAGCAAGGGAGGTTACAGAGGGGAGCAGTTCAGGACCAGAGTTGAGTAATCCCTAAGTCTGCACAGAAGTTCCCTATCCATCAAAAATTTTAAAATGTACACACCTTGTAACTCAGCAGTTTAAATTCTAGGAATACTGAATTCAATCAATTCAATTCAGTTGTGGAATTGTGCAAAGATGTATGTACATATGTATAGGATTATTGCAATGTTGGTGGTTTTCTTTTTCTTTTCTTTTTCTTTTTCTTTTTTTTTGAGACGGATTCTTGCTGTGTCGCCCAGGCTGGAGTGCAGTGGTGCAATCTCGGCTCACTGCAACCTCCGCCTCCTGGGTTCAAGTGATTTTTCCTGGCTCAGCTTCCTGAGTAGCTGGGACTACAGGCACATGACACCACGCCCAGCTAATTTTTGTATTTTTAGAAGAGATGAGGTTTCACCATGTTGGCCAGGCTTGTCTCGAACTCCTGACCTCAAGTGATCCACCCGCCTCGGCCTCTCAAAGTGCTGGGATTACAGGTGTGAGCCACTGCACCCGGCCTATTTATTGCAATATTGTTTTTAATAGAAAATAACTGGCAGCAAGCTAATGGAATGAAATGATATGCAGCTATTAAAGAGATGGACATTGGTCTAAGTGTACTGATATGGAGGTATCTCTAAGATATACTGTTAAGTTTTTTAAAAAGTGAGGCAAATACTGTCTAGAGCATAATTCCATTTGAGTAAATAAAATTATATATATTATACATACATATATGTGTATACCCATATGTGTATATATTATATATACATATATGTGTATACACATATATGTGTATATATATGGATTGAGTATATATATATGTATATATATATGGATTGAGAATATCTGGAAGGAATTGTAAGGAGGTGGAGGGAAAGGAAGACTTCCTTTCTTCTTTCTTTTTGAGACACAGTTTCAGCTCTGTTGCCCAGGCTGGAGTGTAGTGGCACCATCATGACTCATTGCAGCCTCAAACTCCTGGGCTCAAGCGATTCTCCTGTCTCAGCCTCCCAAGTAGCTGGGACTACAGGCCTGTGCCAGCAAGCCTGGCTGATTAAAAAAAATGTTTTTTTTAGAGACGAGGTCTTGCTATGTTTCCCAGGCTGGTCTCCAACTCCTGGGCTCAAGTGGTCCTCCCAGTTCAGCCTCCCAAGGTGTTGGGATTACAGGCGTGAGCCACTGCACCCAGCCAAGAGTTGCTTTTTGTATTTTTCCTCCTATTTGAAAATTTAAAAGTAAGGTCACCCTTCTCACCCCTGTCACCTTCCCCCACCTCATTGAAGGCAGGCATACCTGTCTATACACGTTTGTGTAAGAATGTAATTTTTATAGATAAAGATAGATTATCAGTAGACTTGGGAACTCAGTGCTAAGAACTCTGCAGAAAAGTTAAATCTTTGGACCAAAGTAAGGGACACTGTGCTGTGGTGAGAAGTCCCAGACCAGCTCTGCTGTCCCTAGTTGCACGAGCTTGGGTAAATCCCCTTCTCTCTCTAGTTTTCAGTTTCCCCACCTGTAAACTGAAGTTGAGGTACCCCAGCTAGAGGATTGGGTTGCAAAATGCCTTCTTCACAGTCTCAGAGAGGTGATAGTGAGGCCGGGCATGGTGGCTCACGCCTGTAATCCCAGCACTTTGGGAGGCCGAGGCGGGCAGATCACCAGGTCAGGAGATGGAGACCATCCTGGCTAACACAGTGAAACCCTGTCTCTACTAAAAATACAAAAAAAAAAAAAAAAAAAAATTTGCCGGGCATGGTGGTGAGCACCTGTAGTCCCAGCTATGCGGGAGGCTGAGGCAGGAGAATGGTGCAAACCCGGGAGGCGGAGTTTGCAGTGAGCCGAGATCGCGCCATTGCACTCCAGCCTGGGTGACAGAGTGAGACTCCGTCTCAAAAAAAAAAAAAAAAAAAAAAAAAAAAGAGAGAGGTGATAGTGAAAGCACTTGGAGGAGGTGAGGCCCAGTTAACCAATCCAGAACAGTCCCACTTTCATCTTTTCATATTTTAGGTTCTGTGTAAAACTTCATTAAACACAGGGCTCCACTGCTTAGATTTTTAAAATTAATGGGTAAATTACTGTTAAGGGCTTTTCAAGTTCTGACACTGTAATTCCAAATATGACTTTTCATTTATTGAGTTGGTTTAAATCAGGGTATGCCTGCAGCTTTGTCTTCCTTTCCCCCCCACAGAGCCCAACCAGGGCTGCAGAGGAGCTCAAGCCCATCGGGGCTGAACCCTGGTGTATGGGGAGGCAGAGGAGGGCCACGGATCCTTTTCACTCTTTATGTGACATCCCTTCCCCCATCTCGTGGCCTAGTGGTATGGCTGGGGCTCTGCCAGCTCCCTAAGACATCCCCAATTGCCCCTCTCTGGCACCAGTGCCTGCCGATGGCAGCTGCTGGAACTGGAGCTTGGCCTTAGTTTTATGCCTGCTGGAGACTTGATCAGCAAGACCTGGGCAAACATAATGAGCCCCTTGCTGCTTCCTCACCCCTAAACTCTCCAGCTCCCTACATCCTTCCTCTGCAGCCCACAGAATGGAAGTGGTAAAGTAGCCCTCCCATCTGACAGCAGAGGCCAGGGCTGGGCCTCTCTGTTCTCTCAGCTTTTCACACCAGGAAAGGGAGGCAGAACTGGACTGAGTATCTTGATAGTCCTCAGGCTACTTGAATGATCGCCCTCAGTATGTTTTATTTGGTCACTGTGGAACATGGAAGGTCATCACCGAGGAACTTCTGCATTGGAATCCTCTACCTCGGAAGAGGAATAAAAAAGTACGTCTCTGGAGCGTCTTCCCTCCGACGTTATCCGGCAGTTGTCCCCCCCTGCTGCTATCTCCAAGGCAATCAGGGCCAGTTTATGTCTACAGGGTCCCCTTCACTGACGATCTGAGACACTAGGCAGGTTGGAAAGGGTGGAGTGGTGCTAGGAGCAAATTATTCACCTGAAGAAAATAGAAAGTTAGATCCTTCTGTTTAGGATTGAAGAAAATAATGGTGTTTCCCAAAGGCCTGGAGTTAAGTGCTGCTTATGTGGTTTTCTGTCTTCCTTCCTGATCATGAGAGAAGCTACAGGAGCAGGAAGATGGGAATCCTGACTGATACACACTCTATTTCCAACAATAGTTTTGCTGATTATAGTTTGTTGAATGCCAATTATAAGCACTGCACATAACTTTCTCCCTAATCTTTACAACAATCCTTTAAACTAAGGCAACTCAGGCTTGCAAGAGTTAGGCAGTGTCCCCAAGATTGTGAATTTCTACTGATCTTTCAAGACACAGATCCAATGTCACTTCCTTTAAAAAAAAATATTTATTTACTTATTTATGAGATGGGGTCTTCTTATGTTGCTCAAGATCACCTCAAACTCCTGGGCTCAAGGATCCTCCTGCCTCAGCCTGCAGAGTAAGCTGGGATTCTGTCACCCAACACACCCAGCTCAATATCACCTTCCTTTGAAGCTTGCTCTAACCAGCCTTGGTTTGTCTTTGTTTTCTTGGCTTCCTGTGCATTTCTCTCTATTACACAGCACTGTGTGTTTACCCACAGGTCTCCCACTTCAAACCACAAGCTCTTCTAAAGTCAGGGATTTACTTATTTCTTTGGTACCCTCACCTAGTACAATGCCCACCCACTGGAGGCCTTCTGTGAATGGTATTATTAGCACTATCATTGTCCACCTGGAGGCAGCACACCCAGCTACCAGACCCCTTGTGCAGGAAAGCCAGCTCTCTGGCCAGGTGGCTGGGCTGTCAAACCCCTAAGTGAAGGGAAATGTCCACACAAGCCTCTGCTTATGCCCCTATGGAAGCCAGGGATGACTGTACCAGCAGTTTGCTGCATCCTCTTTGGATTCAGTGGAAGGTACAGTACTCATTGCTGGCATCAGCTGGGCTGTCCTTGGGGACACTGGGGCTATGCAGGAACATCTCTACCTTGGACTCAAAGACCCAGTGCTACGGTTTGAATGTGTCCCTCAAAAAGCATGTGTGGAAAGTTAATCCCCAACACAACAGTGTTGGAAGGTGGGGCCTAACGGGAGGTTTGTAGGTCATGAACTCCGTGCTCATGAATGGATTAATGACAATTATAAAAGGACTTGAGGCTGAGGCTGCAAGTTTGATCTCTTGCTCTCTTGTCCTTTTGCCTTCTGCCATGGGATGACACAGCATGAAGGCCCTCACCAGATGCAGGCCCCTTGATCTTGGACTTCCCAGTCTTTAGAACTGTAAGAAATAAATCCATGCTTTAAATAAATTATCTAATCTCAGGTATTCTGTTATAGCAGCATGAAACAGACTAAGACACCCAGTGAGGAAGCTGCAGGAAAGAAAACCCAGAAGGGGAAAAAGGGGTCAGTTGCAAGGGTCTCAGAGAAAGCTTCTCTTGAGTAGGGCTGCATCTCATAGGTAAAAGGGGAGAGGAATTCTCCACTAGGGCTAATGAACCCTGCTCCTAGCTGGGAAGTGGATAAAATGTCAGCAGGGGTCTGATTGAGGAACCAGGTTATGTCTGTCCTCTAGAAGCGGAGGCAAAACAGTCACAGGGGACAGTCACAGAGTGTCTCTGTAGACACCTTCCTTCTTCTGTTACTGGGGGAACACCTGGAGGCAGAAGGTGCTAGGGGTAATGATGGTGGCATTAGAGGCAGTAGGGAGGAGGGAGAGCATCCACTTCTGCCAGAGAACTTTGAGAGAAGTGGAGCAGATGAAACAATGAGGGGAGTGGCAGGGTATTGCCAATGGCTTAAATTATGAGCAGATAGGTGAGAGAAGAGAGGGCAGGGGAGGCATCTGGAATTATTTATTCTGAGAAGAGAAAGACATTTTCTTCTTCTTTTATTTTTATTTTTTTGAGATGGAGTCGCTCTGTTGCCCAGGCTGGAGTGCAGTGGTGCGATCTCGGCTCACTGCAAGCTCTGCCTCCTGGGTTCACACCATTCTCCTGCCTCAGCCTCCCGAGTAGCTGGGACTACAGGCACCCGCCACCACACCTGGCTAATTTTTTGTATTTTTTAGTAGCGACGGGGTTTCACCGTGTTAGCCAGGATGGTCTTGATCTCCTGACCTCATGATCCACCCACCTCGGCCTCCCAGAGTGCTGGGATTACAGGCGTGAGCCACCGCGCCCGGCCGAGAAAGACATTTTCATAGGCTTCACTGACATATAGGAATTGACATGTGTGGCTGGGCACCGTGGCTCACGCCTGTAATCCCAGCACTTTGGGAGGCCGAGGCGGGTGGATCATGAGGTCAGGAGATGGAGACCATCCTGGCTAATGTGGTGAAACCCTGTCTCTACTAAAAATACAAAAAATTAGCCGGGCATGGTGGCGGGCGCCTGTAGTCCCAGCTACTTGGGAGGCTGAGGCAGAATGGCATGAACCCGGGAGGCAGAGCTTGCAGTGAGGTGAGATCGCACCACTGCACTCCAGCCTGGGTGACAGAGCAAGACCCCGTCTCAAAAAAAAAATTGACATGTGTAAGATCACAATTCCTGGTCTATTGGATGTTCTACTGTACACACTGCTTCCTCAAAGCCAAGGGAATTAATCCCTAATGGTAGGAGGTGATATTTGACAGGAATATTTGAGGATGTTGTTTTGAGGAGGAAGAGGAGTGTATTAGTCAGGGTTCTCTAGAGGGACAGAACTAATAGGATATTATATACATATATATATATATGAGTATATATATATGAGTTTATATATATATGAGTTTATATATATATATATGAGTTTATTAAGGAATATTAAACTCACATGATCACAAGGTCCCACAATAGTCCATCTGCAAGCTGAGGAGCAAGGAAGCCAGTTCGAATCCCAAAGGTGAAGAACTTGGAGTCTGATGTTCGAGTGCAGGAAACATCCAGCATGGGAGAAAGATGTAGGCTGGGAGGCTAAGCCAGTCTAGTATTTTCACATTCTTCTGCCTGCTTTTATCCTAGCTGTGCTGGCAGCTGATTAGATTGTGTCCAGCCAGATTAAGGGTGGGTCTGCCTTTCCCAGCCCACTGACTCAAACGTTAATCTCCTTTGGAAATACCCTCACAGACACACCCAGGATCAATACTTTGCACCTTTCAATCCAATCAAGTTGACACTCAGTACTAACCATCACAAGGAGGTAAAAGAGAAAGAGGAAAGGGCAGCCATAAAGAAAGGGAGCCTTGGCCTGAGGACACGGGCCTCTTCTGTTCTCTCAGGGAGACCCACCTGAGCATAGATCACCTTTCCAGGTGGACTAGAGGCTCCAGGAGGCCCCTCCAAGCCTCTCCCACTATGCAAGCCTTGCTCTCTCTTCTATCCTGTATTGGGAAGGGGGGTAGAATACAGGATAAGATGAGCTCTCCAGCCCCTGGGGAACCCCCCAGGGGGAGATCCTAGGGGAGTGAGGTACAGGGTTAGTGAGCCAATAGGCATGACTGAGCATCTATTAGGCGTCAGTTTCCGAACACACAGGGATGTGTAGGACACGGTGTCATCCATGTAAGCAGCATTTGTTGTAGGAAAAGATGCAGGGAAGGATGGGGGAGGGGATGCTAAAGAAAGAGAAGGAAGGAAGAGACTGAAGAAACAAGGGGAAGGGGAAGAAAGAAAGACGCAGTTGTCGATTCTCTCTCTCTCTTTTTTTTTTTTTTTGAGATGGAGTCTCGCTCTGTTGCCCAGGATGGAGTGCAGTGGCACGATCTTGGCTCACTGCAACCTTTGCCTCCCAGGTTCAAGCTATTCTCATGTCTCAGCCTCCCAAATACCTGGGACTGCAGGTACGTACCACCATGCCCAGACAGTTTTTTATATTTTTAGCAGAGATGGGGTTTCACCATGTTAGCCAGGATGAACTCGATCTCCTGACCTCGTGATCCTCCATCCTTGGCCTCCCAAAGCGGTGGGATTACAGGTGTGAGGCACTGCACCCGGCCATCAATGTCTCTTAACTCATACTCTAGTTGTGGCAATCGGATATCTAGAGAAAGGGTGGCTAAAAAGCTCAGTGATAAGTGAGCAGTCACCTAAGATAAGTTACAAGGGGGGTGTCAAGGGAGGTTTCAGGAGGGCTTGGGACAGAGGAGTGGGCTGGCAGGGTAGGTGGCTTCTTCTCACCTGTAGACCTGGCTGGCCTGGTTGTCCTTGAGGAGACCCTGGCCCAGAGGCTTCACTGGTTCTTGAGCTCCATGGATTCCCAGGAGCTTGTCTGGGCTGGGCAACCCTGAAAGGCCCAGTGTCCACAGGGTTCCTGGCAGCCCAGAAACTCCTGGGCATCTAGGGTGGTCCTGGGGCCCTTCATGGCCAGAGTAGACCTAAGGTCCTAGTGGTCATAGAGATCCTGGTCTGCCAGGAGGTCCAGAGGCCCAATTCCACCCTGCAACTGGAAGAAGAGGCTGGAGTCATGGATGTGAACCACAGAAGTAGGGGTGTGTATTCGAAGGTAGGGGTCTCTTACAGGGGCAGTCAGTGGGGCCAAGCCTGGGAACCCTGCTGGGAGTAGAGCGTGCACACGGGAAAGTGCCCACGGCCCTGAGATCACTTAGGGAAATCCAAGATGGTCCTGGGGGTGGGGCTACTGAGTTCCAGGTCCTATCCCAGCACTTGGGTGTAAATATAGAGATGGTCTCTATAGTTAGAGACAATATGGTTTCTTAGCTTGAGACTCCTGTCATCACCTTTACCCCAGACCCTTAATTCACAGGATCTTCAACCACAATTCTACCCAAATAATACCATCACCTGTCGTCCACCCACCCTACTCATTACCCACCCACCATCCATTCAGCCCCATCCACCATTCACTCTCCTCCCCACCCACTCACCATCCACCCATTTGTCTGCCTACCGTCAACTCACCACCCACTTCCTACCAACTGCATACCATCCACCCTCACCGCTGGTCTAGCTGCTCCTTCCAAAAGTAGTGCTAATCAGGAGCCACAGAGGGTGCTGGGAGGCTAGGGTCTCTGAGGAGGGTCTGGGGGTCCCCTGGGGAGTTCCTAAGGAGCAGGGAATCTTAGGATCCCTAAAGCTCCCTTTCACCAGGAAAGCCAGAGGCCCATTCTGTCCTGGGGTACTCCTCTGCCCCTGCTTTCCCTGCTGGAACAAATGGGACATGCAGTAGAGATGGAAGCAGGGAGGAGAGGGTTTTCTGTCTCACTCCAGCTCCTTAGTCTTCCTTTTGTTCACCCACCTCCCCTCCACTGCCATCCCAGAGGATCCCAAAGGCCCAGAGATTTCTCACCCAGGGTGGCACTTATCTGACATTCAGGGGGCCCAGCAGGGCAGGCACATCCAGAAGGTGAGTTGGGAGCAGGATGAGATAGGCTTGGAAGAGAGGTTAGAATCAGGCTGGCTTTTAGATTACTAAGTCCCACCTCCCCATTGTACAAATGGGAAAACTAAGGCCCAAAGAGAGGTGTAACCATAGATGACTGCAACGGGGCGGCAAGCTGACCTGGGGGATGGGGTGAGAAAGCCAGTGATGCCTCCTCATGTGGTGGGGAATAGGGTCACATGAACCTGTCACTTTCTCCCTAGCTCTGACATTCCACATAAGGTCCTTGGGAGGCAATAGGGTGGGGCCCAAGAAGAGAGGAGTAGGAGGGGGTGGAGTGCTGTGTGCCTCTACCCAGCATCCATCTGTTTCCCTGACCATCTCACCTTTTCAGGCTGTACACCTTCTCTCCCTCCCCTATCCCATGCCTGCTTACTTGTTTGCCTGTGTAGGAGCCAGGTACTGAGGAGTACAGGTCAGTGTGGCCTGAAAGAGCCTAATGAAACTCCCATTCATTAGTGGAAGTCAGGGTGGGGAGTGGGGGCAGGGGACCAGCATTCCAGGTAGCTGACCCCTGCCTCGGACTTTGGACTCAGAACCCAGGGGTCTGACTTGAGGAACAGCAGAAACCCATCCTCCAGTCCATTGCCCTCAGAGGGCTCTTGGGTGCTGCTGGGAGCAAGCCTGATGGATAGATGTGGGCTCTGAGACTTGGTCTAGCTTGACAGCTACTACCTCATTCTTTCCTCTGAAGAATGAACAAATGAATGAAGAGGGAGACTTTACCCCAGACCCTTAATTCACAGGACCTTCAACCACTCTTCTACCCAAATAATGCCATCACCTGTCATCCACCCACCACCTACTCATATCTGTTTTCTGATATCTGATTTCATATCTGTTTCTAAATCTCTCCCACCTCTGCAAGTTTTTCATTTCATCACATCTATTCACCTGTCTGTGCCTTTCCATCTCTCTGTCCTGTTCCCTCTTTCAGCCCCTCCCTCTCTTGGTTTTTCCCTTGCTAGTACTCCCTCCTCTTCTCTCTATCCTTTCACTCCAAATCATCATAGAATCTTAGCATCAGAAGAGACCCAAGAGGGTCATAATAAGGACACCATCAATTTGTAACCTGCTTTCTGGTATACAAGTCTGTCATTTTAATAGACAGCCTCATTTGATCCTCCTTAACAGCCTGCCAGAGTGAAGTAGGGAATAGCATCCCCAGTTTACAGATAAGGAAACTGAGGTTCACAGTGGTGAAGAGACAAGCCCACAGCTAATAAGGACAGAGCTGAGATCTGAACCCTTGGCTCGGACTGCAGGACCAGTGCAGACTGCCCCACAGTTTGTGCATCCCAAGCTGGGAGCAAAGCTCTTTTCCATTTCAGGCTGTCTGGCTTTCCCCTGGCTTGGGGCCCAGCTTCTGCTGCTCTTTAGATCATCATGACTGGGTGGGGGTAAGGAACAGCCCACACAGATCTCAAAGATTACTGGCTCCAAACATCAAGTCTCTGAAAATGGTGCAGACCAAGGGAGTGAATCCAGGCTTCAGGAGAGGAGACAGAGGCTCTGTGGATTAGGAGTTCCAGGTGTAATAGGCCTTGTTGCTGGGCCTACCCAGCCCTGTTCCTCTGCCGTCAAGTTCTCTCCAGCCATCAACCAGTCATCTTTACCTCTCTCAGGCCAAAGACAAAAGGAGACTGCAGTGAAAGAGGCCCCTGGCATGGAAAGCCTGCTGGGCTCTGTGGCTTCTCTCTGAGACCCTTTCTTCGCGTAGCTGAGGTTAGATCTGGGGCCCGGGATGCACCCTGACTGAGGGCACCAGAACTCTCAGGTTAGCGCTAGAGCTGGGCCAGCAGGGAAGACACAACCCCCTCTGGGCACACAGAATCTGACAACTGGAGTTGGAAAGACAAGGGCTTCTGTGGTAGCAGGGCCCACTGGGCAGGAGGAAAAGGTGCTGATTGGGTTTGGGGAAAAGTCTCCAAGGCTGTGCTGCCTCTGGAGGTGGGGAGCGGGAGGTGCAAGTTGGAGGCTGGGTGTGAATGCAACACAGGCTCTGTTGTCCCAAAAATGAGTTTGAATGACATTGAGTTGCATGTGACCTTAAGCCCATGTTTTTACTACCTGGAGCCCCATCTATAAAATGGGTTTATAGGGTTACCATGGTAATCAATGATCATAATAACAGGCATTGAGCCTTACTCCATGCCAGGCACTGTGTTTAGTGCTTTACACACATTGTCTCAGTAGGTTTCTGCACAGCCCTATCAGGCTGGGCTGGCATTATCTCTCTTACAACTGAGGGCATTTGAGGATAAGAGGGAGGATGCCACTTTGCCAAAGTCACAGAGCTAGTAAATGGCAAATCCAGGATTCAGTGCAGGCCTTTTGGCTCCAGGCTCTTAATCTCATTCACTTGGCTGGTCATGGCTAATAACTAACACTCATTGGGCGCTTAATGTTTGGCAGGCAGCATTCTCAGTGTTTTATGCAGATTCATTCATTTAGTCATCATAGCCACACTATAATGATGTTCATTTAATATGAAGGATGAGGACACTGAGGCACAGGCTAACTTATCCTGGTTTCTGCTGCCAGGAATCCAGCCCAGGCAGGCTGACTTGAGAGTCAGCACTCTTTAAAAAAATAAAAAGGAAAAGCCTTTTTTTTTTTTTTTCAGTAAAAATGGAAGTATAACATGCATACAGAAAAGTGCAGAAATGAGAAATGTCTAGCTCAATAAATGTTCACTTAGTGAGGTTGTAACTAAATAATATTACCTGTACCCCATAAGGCTACCTTCACTCCTCTCCCCACATGTAAACTTTATCCTGATTTCTAAAAATATAGATTAGTTGTCTTAGTCTGTTTTCTGCTGCTATAGCAGAATACCACACACTGGGTAATTTATAAACAATAAAAGTTTATTTGGCACATGGTTTTGGATGCTGCAAAGTCCAAGAGCATTGCACTGCACTGGGATCTGGCAAGGGTCCTCCCATGGTGGAAGGCAGAAGGGCAGAAGCAAGTGTGTGAGACACAGAAGGAGGCCAAACCTCATCCTTTTTTTTTTTTTTTTTGAGATGGAGTCTTGCTCTGTCACCCAGGCTGGAGTGCAGTGGCATGATCTCGGCTCACTGCAACCTCCATCTCTAGGATTCAAGTGATCCTCCCGCTTCAGCCTCCCGAATAGCTGGGACTACAGGTGTGTGCCACCATGCCTGCCTAATTTTTGTATTTTTAATAGAGACGGGGTTTTGCCATGTTGGCCAGGCTGGTCTCGAACTCCTGACCTCAGGTGATCCACCTGCCTCAGCCTCCCAAAGTGCTGGGATTACAGGCGTGAGCCACTGTGCCTGGCACCGTTTTTTTTTTTGTTTTTGTTTTTTTGAGACCGGGCCTTACTCTGTTGCCCAGGCTGGAGTGCAGTGGTGCAATCACAGCTCACTACAGCCTCCACCTCCTCAGGTTCAGGTGGTGATTCCCCCACCTCAGCCTCCTGAGTAGCTAGGACTACAGGTGCACGCCACCACACCCAGCTAATTTTTGTATTTTTCGTAGGGACTGGGTTTTGCCATGTTGCCCAGGATGGTCTCAAGCTCTTGAGCTCAAGTGATCCTCCTGTCTTGGCCTCCCAAAGTGCTGAGATTACGGTGTAAACTTCATCCTTTTATCAGGATCCCACTCCTATGATAACTAGCCCACTCCTGTGATAACAATGAATCCATTTATGAGAGTAGAGCCCCCACGACCTAATCATCTCTTAAAGGTCCCACTTCTTAATACTGTCACAACGGTGATTACATTTCGACATGAGTTTTGGAGAAGACATTCAAACCGTAGCATTAGTTTTGCCTGTTTTTGAGTTTATATAGAGTGATACAGCAGTAATCTTTTGCTAACATATGATTTGTCTATATCGATGGATGTATCAACAGCATATTCAAGTCGAGACTTAACCATTCTACTGTTGGTTCCATTTCTGGCTATTCTGAAGAGTGCTGCTGTGACACTCTTGAACATGTGTTTTGGAACACACACACACACACATTTCTGCTGGGTATATATCTAGGGGTGGAATTACTGGTTGCTTCTCAGTGGTTGTACAAATTTGTTTTCTTACAAGCATTATATGAGAATCCCCTTACTCCACATTCTGGTATTGTCAGTATTTTATTTTTTTACCCATCTGGTGGGTATGGAGTGGTTTCCCATTATGTTTTTCCATGTGTATGTATTAAATGAGGCATAACTGGAAGCAGGCACTCTTACCACCTACTCCGTACAGTTTCTCCTAACAATCCCATGCACTGCGTATTTCACAGATGAGGAAATGGAGGCACGCCGTTACTCCCTTTCCTCTCTTGCAGTCCCCTCACCTTTCCTGGAGGCCCTTCCCTACTTTTCCAAGTGGGATTGGGATGTCTGGTCACTACCAATCTTGAGAGGCCCCTCAGGCCAGGATGTTCTTTTGGGAAGGGAGAAGAGGAAGGTTGGGATGAAGTGGGCAGGGGTAAGGAGGAGAGAAAGGATGAGGCATAGACGCTGGCATGAAGGATCCTGGCTCTGGCTATGGAATGATGGGGCCAGAAGAGAGTCTGGGCATATGCAGAAGGCATGACTGGTGCTATCTGTAAGCTCCTACTGCTGGTGGGGAAAGGGGGAGGCATGCAGCTGGGGAGTAAGGGCCCTGTGCGCATGGGTGTTGGAGATCACTCTGAAGGTCCAGCAAACTCTGGGGGCTTACGAGTCTAAAGTCTTATGCCCCCTCTGTGGGGGCGTCTCTAAGCCTAAAGCCCTTTTGGAGGACTCCCTGGGTTCAGAGGTCCCTTGGTCTCTTTAGGATTTCCTAAGGGGAAGGTGGCACTTTTTTCCTCAGGGTTGGGGAAACAGGACTCAGGGCCTGGAGGCCCTCTAGGGAATGTGGACAGGGTGTCTGCTCTGATTCTGGGCCTCTGATCTGTCAGGCCACCTGCCCTCTGACTCAACAAGCATTAGGGGAAGCAGGGCAAACGACTTCCCAGCCCAACCTCTGGCTCTCTCTGCTCAAAGTGCCCTGTGTGTCGTCGTTTCTGCAAGTGTCCTCTGCAAGATTTTCCCAGGTTGCACTTTCTTCTTCTGCTCCTACCCCCATCTTTCTCGAGTTCTGAGCCCAAAGCTCACGGTCAAAGAAGGCTAAGATTGTAGCAGGCAATAAATGTATTTGGCACAAGTCTTGGCTCAATTACTTGCTAGCTGTATACTCTTGGGTTAGCCTCATCACTTCTCGGGGTGGTGACAGAACTCTCACAGGGCCCAACATCATTCACTTGGCTTGTCTCCTGCTTAAGCTTTGGACAATGAGAAAGCGCTCCTGTTGGTGCCAATTGGCCTGGAAGCGTTGCAGGCTCTGGAGTGTTGGAAGCCATGCCAGCATGGGGCCTTGGACCATGCAAAAGGAATCCGGAGGTCCTAGATTCCTAGATTGCCAGAGCTGGAAGGGCCTTCACAATTCAACAAGTTGCCTTCCCCCATTTTACAGATGGCCAAACTGAAGCTAAGGAACAGGAAGTGGTCACAAAGCTGGTGAGCAGCTAAGCAGGATGGCCTGGAGATATGAAACTGGATCCTGGCCAGCCCAACTGTGGATGGCTTTCCTCTCCCCTCCCCCTCTCTTGCCTGGGTGTTCACCTCTGGAACCATGTGTTCCCAGGGAAGGACCCAGGCTCCATAGTCTGGGACTGGGCTGGACCAGGCCTCCCTCTGCACTGTGTTGTCTCTATGGAGATCCTGGCTCTCTTGATCTGGTCTCTCCAAGTATGGGGCCCTGGTGGGCAGGAAGGCAGCTGTACTGATACACCATTGCTCAGCCCACATCTGCGGTGACTGTGGGGGTGCCCTGTCTGGGACCTGGATGTCAGCTGACATGGAGGGGAGCTAAGATCCTCTACTCAGTGTGGGCACAGTGGACATTCCAGGGCAATCAGGAAAGGGGCTGGGAGGCCAAAGTTATGAGGAGGCCTGGGGCCCAGTCCCCTACCAATGCCACCTCTGCCCTGATCTCCCCACCCAGCTTGTACTCTGTGTCAGACTCTTTTGCCCTTGTTGGCATTAGAGTGCTCTGACAGCTGTTTTGAAAGGCAGTAAAGCATAGGGGCTAATAGTACAGACTCTGGAGCCAGACTGCTTGGGTTCACA
Organism: Homo sapiens; assembly: GCF_000001405.40. Taxonomy (NCBI): domain Eukaryota; kingdom Metazoa; phylum Chordata; class Mammalia; order Primates; family Hominidae; genus Homo; species Homo sapiens. The sequence continues at coordinate 40,438,026 of NC_000017.11, forward strand.
TCCCTGTTCTTCCACTTACTTGCTGTGTGACTCTGAGTAAGTTACAAACCTCTCCATGCCTCTGTTTCCTTGTCTTAAAAACGGGATGGTGATAGTGCCTAGTTCACGAGGTTGCTGTGAAGTGCTCATGAGTGAAGCACTTAGATCCCTATCCTGCATGTAGTCTGTGACTACTGTGTTAACTTTTTTTTTTTTTTGAGACAGAGTTTCACTCCTGTAGCCCAGGCTGGAGTGCAATGGTGCCATCTTGGCTCACCGCAATCTCCCCCTCCCAGGTTCAAGTGATTCTCCTGCCTCAGCCTCCCCAGTAGCTGGGATTACAGGCACACGCCACCATGCCCGGCTAACTTTTTGTGTTTTTAGGAGAGACAGGGTTTCACCATGTTGGTCAGTCTGGTCTTGAATTCCTGACCTCAGGTGATCCACCTGCCTCGGCCTCCCAAAGTGCTGGGATTACAGGCGTGAGCCACCGCGTCCGTCCTGCTCTTTTTAGAAACAATTTTATTTTTTATTTTTAAGAGACCAGGTCTGTCTCTGTTACCCAGGCTGGAGTGCAGTGGCACTCATAGTTCACTGCAGCCTTGAACCCTTGGGCTCAAGGGACCCTCCTGCTTCAGCCTCCTGAATAGCTAGGACTATAGGCTCATGCTACCATAGCTGGCTAATTTTTTTTTTTTTTTTTTTTTTTGAGACAGGGTTTCACTCTGTTGCCCAAGCTGGAGTGCAGTGAGCTATCTTGGCTGACTGCAACCTCGACTTCCTGGGCTCAAGTGATTCTGCTACCTCAGCCTCCCAAGCAGCTAGGATCACAGGTGCATGCCACCATGCCTGACTAGTTTTTGTATTTTTTTTTTGCAGAGACAATGTTTTGCCAGGTTGCCCAGGCTGGTCTTGAACTCCTGCGCTCAAGCGATCCACCTGCCTTGGCCTCCCAAAGTGCTGGGATTACAGACGCGAGCCACCATGCCTGGCCCCATGCTCTTTATACAGCCTCTCCCAGACACGACACTTGCAGGCTGAAGGGGGACACTAAACCCAGTCTTCTGAGAGCCTCTAGTTCAGTGGGGGAGACACAGGTCTTGCCACCAGGGGGTCTCAGCCATGTGGAGAAGTTACAGTTCCCAGCAGGAGAGGGGTAGGAGGGAGCAAACACTTGGTGCTTACTATGTGCCAGGCAATTTGGATAGGTCTCTCTCTCTTTCTTGCTGCAAAGTCCCATTTTCCAGATAAGGCCTGAAGCTCAGAGAGCTCAAGTAACTTGTTTTAGGTTTCCTAGTGAGCCCAGTGACACGGCTGGGGTCAGAATCCAGGTCATTGTGACACTCACACTGTGCTGATTCTTGTAGCATGGAAGGCCATTGGCTCAAGGATCATCTCTCTCTTTTTATTTTTTATGGTGAAAAGATATACATATATTTAGAATTGGACAGCTGGACTCAGTTTAGACGATCCCAATTTTGTTGGCAACATCCAAAGCATCGTAATCAGGAGCCAGTCCAACATATGCCTTCTTCTCTCCATCAGGCTGAATCGGGGTGTTGACCTTGGCCACATCAATGTCATAGAGCTTCTTCACAGCCTGTTTGATCTAGTGCTTGTTGGCTTTAACATTCACAATGAACACAAGTGTGTTGTTGTCTTCTATCTTCTTCATGGCAGACTCAGTGGTCAGTGGAAACTTAGTGATAGCATAGTGGTCAAGCTTGTTTCTCCTGGGGGCGCTCTTCTGAGGATATTTGGGCTGCCTCCGGAGTCGCAGTGTCTTGGGCCGCCGGAAGGTGGGTGACCTGTGGATCTTCTTTCTTTTTGTGGCTGTGGACACCTTTCAACACTGCCTTCTTGAGTTCGGCTTTAAGAGGGGCAGGAGATTCTTTCTTTGCCTTCAGCACCGTCTTGTGAAAAAGGATCATCTCTAATGAAGACTTTCAGCCTGTATGCCCTGAATGTAAAACTGACCACCTGTGGCTCTGGATCCCCATTGTGCCCCATATGAACATCTCCCAGGGCACCTGCACACTTCTCAGATTTATTTTATTTACATACTATCGTCCCTCATTAGGCAGTGAGCTCCTTGAGGGCAGGGGGTGATCTTGGTCATCTCTGCATCCCTGGTATGTAGCATAAAGCCTGTGCATATTAGGCGTTCAGTAAATCTGTGTTACATGAATGGTAGGAGGTGCTTGGAAGGCCTCTTTCCTGTGCATCTTCCTGCCTCCTTGGAATTAACCCAATGATGAGGGGTGGAGGGACACCAGAGGATGGACTGAGGGGCTGGCGTTGAGGTGTGGGAATCTGTCTCATCTGGCAACCTTTGCAGATTCCCACACTCACCTGCACTCATGCTTCATCCCAGGCATGTTGCGTGGGTTTGTCCGGCCTCTCCTGCACTCCTGCCTCTGTGTCCTGGCACCTTTTCTCCTCTTGGGCTTGCTGAACAGGGCACATGTCTGGCATTGGGAGCAGAACTACTCTTCTCCATTCATTTTACTCTCACAAGAGCTTCAAGAGGTAGGATGGGTGGAGATGATCTACCTCCATGTTACAGCTAAGGTCAGTCAAACTCCAAGTTCACGCAAGTTGGTGGCAGAACAGGGTCCAGTGATGATCAAGGAAGGAGATGGGGTGGGGAACGTTTTCTTTTCTTTTTTTCTTTTTTTGAGACTGAATCCTGCTCTGTTGCCTAGGCTGGAGTGCAGTGGTGTGATCTCGGCTCACTACAACCTCCATCTCCTGGGTTCAAGCGATTCTCCTGCCTCAGCCTCCTGAGTAGCTGGGACTACAGGCACGTGCCACCACGCCTGACTAATTTTTTTTATTTTTAGTAGAGACGAGGTTTCCCCGTGTTAGCCACGATGGTCTCGATCTCCTGACCTCATGATCCACCCGCCTTGGCCTCCCTAAGTGCTGGAATTACAGCCGTGAGCCACCATGCCCGGCCTGGGGGCAGTTTTCTGAATCAGGCACAGGCTGGGCTTCCCCAGGGACTTGAGGAAGCTGGTTCTGTTTGCCCTTCTCCAAGGCATATGGGGCAGAAGGGTCCCCACTTCATCTATGAGATGGAATGGAGAGAACCCCAGAATCTTGGCCCCAGCCATCACTTTCCAGCCCTTCTGCAGTCTTGATGGTTGCCAGTAGGTGCCGTCAGTTTGCAACTTTTTGGTCTGTCCTGCAGGTCCGGCTGCCAGTCCCAATCTCCCTGCAATCATCTCTCAGTAAGTAGGAGGTAGCCCAATCCCCGTGAGGCTGAAAGACCCCTGTCCTGGGGGAAGAAGCAGGAAGAGGGTCTCTGAACTGCATTTCAGCTTGGCTGACCTGCAGCTTTCTAGGCCGAGACAAAAAAAAAAAAAAATCCACAGTGGGTTACTGATTATTCCTGGACAGGTACGCTTAACCTGAAACCAGCTCCAGTACAGCAGAAGCCTTTGTAGGGAAGAATGGGTGGGAATTAGCGGGGGCCTGAGAGGGAACCTAGGAGATGGATCTTTGCTCCAAATGCCACTCCAGGGCTCTTCTCAATTTGGGCAGGATTGGGCAAGGCTGGGGGAATAGGGATCAATAGGATTTTACAGAGGGTCAAGCCAGGCCCAACACTAGCCCAAGTAGCAACACTGGGTGAATTAAAAAAGCATCCCTTCCTTAAAATTCTTTTTTTTTTTTTTTTTTGAGACAGAGTCTTGCTCTGTCACCTGGACTGGAGTGCAGTGGTATGATCTTGGATCACTGTAACCTCCTCCTCCTGGGGTTCAAGCGATTCTTCTGCCTCAGCCTCCCAAGTAGCTGGGATTACAGGCATGCGCCACCACGCCCGGCTAATTTTTGTATTTTTAGTAGAGATGGGGTTTCACCGTGTTGGCCAGACTGGTCTCAAACTCCTGACCTCAGGTGATCTGCCCACCTTGGCCTCCCAAAGTGCTAGGATTACAGGCATGAGCCACTACGCCTGGCCTTCTTTTTTCTCTTTCTTTCTTTTTTTTTTTGAGATGGAGTCTCGCTCTGTCGCCCAGGTTGGAGTGCAGTGGCGCAATCTCAGCTCACTGCAAGCTCCACCTCCCGGGATCATGCCATTCTCCTGCCTCAGCCTCCCTAGTAGCTGGGACTACAGGCACCCGCCACCACGCCCGGCTAACTTTTTGTATTTTTAGTAGAGAGGGGGTTTCACCGTGCTAGCCAGGATGGTCTCGATTTCCTGACCTCGTGATCTGCCCGCCTCGGCCTCCCAAAGTGCTGGGATTACAGGCGTGAGCCACCGCGCCCGGCCTTCTTTCTTTCTTTCTTTTTTAGACAGAGTTTCCTTCTTTCACCTAGGCTGGTGTGCAGTGGTACAATTCTAGCTCACTGCAGCCTCCAACTCCTGGGCTCAAGTGATCCTCTTGCCTCAGGCTCCCGAGTACCTGGGACCACAGGTGAACGCCACCACACCTGGCTAATTTTAAAATTTTTTTGTAGAGACAAGGTCTCACTACGTTGCCCAGACTGGTCTTGAACTCCTGGGCTCAAGTGATCCTCCCGCCTCAGCCTCCAAAAGTGCTGACATTACAGGTGTGAGTCACTGCTGCAGGCCCCTCAAATCCTTCACTGCCATCTGGGAAATGATCACAACAGCTCTACAAATACACAATGATTACAAGGAATGGTGCCCCACTGGAGTTGTTCAACGCAAAACTTGCACATTGCAAGTGGCAATCTCCCAGGCCTGCCTCCCTCCACGAGTGGGTCTGAATGGGCCTGAGAGGCAAACATCCAAGAAGGAGGAAGAGGCTCGGCGGCACCTCCCTCCCCGGGAGTTCTGCTGATTCCATCTTGGGGAAGCAGGGTGGACCAGGGCCCAAATGCGCCCTGGGGAGATTGCGGGGGCGGGAGAGGTTGCAAGGGGCAAGTGGCAAGAGCCTGTTAACGTCTTAGGGCCTCCAGGCCTTTCTGTGCCCCTAGCTGTGCCTGTACGCTTTACCCCACCTCAGGAGGCTTGGTCTCCAGCGGTTGAGGCTGGAAGCACCGGGGTGCGGTGGAAAGGGCTCTGTCCAGGAAGACCGGATCCGCAGAGCCGGGAGTCCGGGCTAGGAAGTCCCTTTCTCGGTGGGAGACTGAGGCCGCCTTGGCGGGGCGGGACGAGACTCCTCCGAGGTCGGGAAAGGGGGCCCCGCAGCAGCCCCTTGGCTTCCCTTCTCCCTTGCCTCCCCTCCGGGGCTCCGGTTCAGAGGCACTCTGGGCGCCTGCTACAGCTTCCAAACTGCGCCGCTTCCTTCTTCGGCAGAAAAGGACTTTCAGATGCGGCGGCGGCGGCGGCGGCGACTCAGGACAGCGCCCCCTCCCCCTAACGGCCGCCTCTCCCTCTCCCCCTCGCCCGCCCCGGCTCCCCCACCTCTGGGAAGGCGCTGGGGGTGTGGCCAGGGACCGGTATAAAGTCCGGGGGAGCCGGTCCCGGGCAGCCGCTCAGCCCCCTGCCCCTCGCCGCCCGCCGCCTGCCTGGGCCGGGCCGAGGATGCGGCGCAGCGCCTCGGCGGCCAGGCTTGCTCCCCTCCGGCACGCCTGCTAACTTCCCCCGCTACGTCCCCGTTCGCCCGCCGGGCCGCCCCGTCTCCCCGCGCCCTCCGGGTCGGGTCCTCCAGGAGCGCCAGGCGCTGCCGCCGTGTGCCCTCCGCCGCTCGCCCGCGCGCCCGCGCTCCCCGCCTGCGCCCAGCGCCCCGCGCCCGCGCCCAGTCCTCGGGCGGTCATGCTGCCCCTCTGCCTCGTGGCCGCCCTGCTGCTGGCCGCCGGGCCCGGGCCGAGCCTGGGCGACGAAGCCATCCACTGCCCGCCCTGCTCCGAGGAGAAGCTGGCGCGCTGCCGCCCCCCCGTGGGCTGCGAGGAGCTGGTGCGAGAGCCGGGCTGCGGCTGTTGCGCCACTTGCGCCCTGGGCTTGGGGATGCCCTGCGGGGTGTACACCCCCCGTTGCGGCTCGGGCCTGCGCTGCTACCCGCCCCGAGGGGTGGAGAAGCCCCTGCACACACTGATGCACGGGCAAGGCGTGTGCATGGAGCTGGCGGAGATCGAGGCCATCCAGGAAAGCCTGCAGCCCTCTGGTAAGGTACCCCTGGCCTCCCAATTCCCTCCTGAGTGCGCTCCCTTCCCAGCGGCTTCTTCCCCATTCCAGCCGCCCTGGAAGGCCCTTAAAAATCCCCTATGAGTTGAAGAGAAGGCAGGTACGTGGCAGGGCCCGACTGGCATGGGACAGGCTCATCAAGGAAACTGCTACCGAGTCCCTAGCAGCCTGTTGCCACCACCAAGGGAGACTGTCCCATCGCTCCATCTCAAACCTCCAAGGGTTGTCTGTTTGATAAGGGGGTCCCAGTGGGAGGCCTGGCTGCTGGTGCAGGAGTGGCAGATTAAGGTCCAGTTAAGTCAGCTGTCTAGGGCCAGAGAACTGGAGGATGGTGGTGGGGTGTGTGTTGGGGAGGATGAGGGAGTGGGGAAAGCTTTCTGTTCCTGATCCAGGCCGAGGGTGAAATCCCAGTGGTCTGGGGAGCCAGGGCCTGAACTTTTTTTTTACATGGTCCAGTGGTGGAGTGGGACATACAAATTAGAGGGACTTTGGCGTTGAGGGGCATTAGACTTGCCCTTCCCCAAAGCCCAGAGCCAGGTCACCTTGTTGTTTGAGAGGCAGTGGGAAGACAGGGGTCCCTCTGCCAGGCCTGGACACCTCTGCCTGCCCTGGTATACAGGCCCCCTGTTCTTTTCTCCAGGCAGGTAGGATTTGAGGTGGTAGAAAAGTCTTGGCTCCTAGCCGAGAGCTGCAGGAGCCTCATGTGTGTGGGATAGGGAATAGAGAAGGGGCCAGGGCGCCAGGGGAGAGAAACAGAGAGAGAGAGAGAGAGAGAGAGAAACACACACACACACACACACACACACACACACACACACACACAGAGACAGAGAGAGAGAGAGAGAGAGAGAGAGAGAGAGAGAGAGAGAGAGAGAGAGAGACTCTGAGAAGGCCCTTGCCCTAACCTCATTCTTACACTTTCTTTTTTTGTTTCTCAGTTTCTCCTTAGACTCTCAGTCTCTTTTCCTTCTTTCTCTTGCTCTTTTGTTCTTCCTGATTTGTCTCTCAACCTCTAGTTTCACTAGTCATGCTCTCGAGTTCTGTTTTCCTCAGTGTCTTCTGCCCATCGTGCGTTTCTTTCTCCACCTTATTCTGTGTTTCTGTTTCAGTTGCTCTGCTTCTCTCCCTCTCTTTCTGTTGCTGTTTCTCTGTGTCTCTGTCACTGTTGGTCTTTCCCTGTTACTTTGGGAATCTCTCTGTCTGTCTTTCTGTATCTATGCCTCTGTTTCTCATTCCATCTCCGACCCTGTTTTGCTCTCCTGTGCCTCTGTCTGTCTCTGTCTCTTTTCCTGGTGCTTGAAGCTTCCATTGTTGCAGTCCGGATGCTGGGACTCCAGCCCCAAGCTTCCTGTCCTGGGACCCAAACCCTCCACTTCCTCAATCCTCTGCAGCTTGTCAGCCGAGGAGAGCAGGATGCAGGGAAAACAGGAAGGAGGTGGACTCCAGGGGTCTGGGCCTCGGGCCTCTCTGCCCTTCCTGCCCCTGGGTAGGGAGAGATGGGTCAGCAGAAAACATTCTAGGAGAAATGCCAGCCTGGCACCCAGCATATCTGGGAAGGGGGGTCCTGGGGGAGAAAGTCGCTAATCTTGGGGCAGAGATGCCAGTGGCAATGGTAGAGGAGGGGTACTGAGACTGGGAGGGAGCAAGGGCCGAGCCCTTGGGTTCGCGGGGTACAACAGAGTCACGTTCCCTTTGAATCTCCATCCTCCACCAGCCAGAGGGTATCTGGCACCAGATAAGGATGGCTGGTAGCCTCCTCCTCTCTCAGCACTTTGAATGCAAGACAGAAGAGCCCTCAAAGGGCTGGGTAGGAATACCTCATCCTCTGGTTGGGTAGGAATACTCCATCCTGTAGTGGAGGAAAATAAGATCCCCTAGGGGTTTGGGGAGGGCATGGCATGAGAATTTTGTGGTTGTCCTCTGGATATAATGCAAACTGGCCTCCAGGAATATCTAGGGGCTGGGTGTGGAGGTTCATGCTTGTAATCCCAGCACTTTGGGAGGATTGCTTGAGGCCAGGAGTTCGAGACCAGCCTGAGCAATATAGCCAGACCCCCGTCTCTACAAAAAAAAAAAAAAAAAAATAGGCAACTGCAGTGGCTCATGCCTGTAGTCCCAGGTATTTGGGAGTCTGAGATGAGAAGTTCAAGGTTACAATGAGCTATGATCACGTGATTGCACTCCAGCCTGGGCGACTCTATTTCGTAAAAAAAAAAAAAAAAAAAAGTAGGCCGGGTGCAGTGGCTCACACCTGTAATCTCAGTATTTTGGGAGGCTGAGGAGGGTGAATCACCTGAGGTCAGGAGTTTGAGACCAGCCTGGTCAACATGGTGAAACCTCGTCTCTACTAAAAATACAAAAATTAGCTGGGCATGGTGGTGCGTGCCTGTAGTCCCAGCTACTTGGGAGGCTGAGGCAGGAGAATCACTTGAACCCGGGAGGTGGAGGTTGCAGTGAACCAAGATTGTGCCACTGCGCTTTAGCCTGGGTGACAGAGCGAGACTCTGTCTAAAGAAAACAAAACAAATAAACAAAAAAAACAAAAAACGGTGTCTTGGAATGGGGTGGCTTTAGGTCCCCTTTGGATGACACAGCCAAGGTCTGTAATGCCCCTCCCCCTTTCCTCCTTGCCTTGTCCTCCAGCCTCCAGCCATGCAATGGATGCAGGTATCTGGAGAGAGACGAGGGAAGCCTGGAGGTACCTACTGAGCAAGCTATGCCCGTGCCCTCCCACACCTCCTAGTCATCATAGAAGTAATCCCTTGCTGTGACCTGGGCCACATGGCACCATGTAAAAGGCACTCTCTAGAGTTCTGCTGCAGCCCTGCAGGGTCTGTGGGTGAGATAAGACGACCAAGCCCCTACCCACCCATCTTTTTAGCCTTACACAGTCAGTAGGCCACTGTCTGCTTTAGGTCCCAAGGTTTGGGCCCACTGGCCCGCGAATAGCTTGGTCGAGGGTACCTGTCTATTTTTTCTGCCTTTTCCTTTTGGGGCTGAGTGTCAGCAGGTGGCTGGGGGAGGGTGGCCACTTGGCATGCCCCCTTCTTTGGCTGCTATGGTCCAGCTGCCTCCTGTTTGCCCCAGGGGCAGATCTCCCCTTTCCGTCTCCAGCCACCCCTGCCTGCCCTCCTGTCACAGCTTTCCATGTGCTGGCCAGGTTGTGGCTTAACACCACTGAGGCCACCAGAGATGAGGCGGGGCGTGTGCATCAAAAGTCCACACCTCTGCATCCTGGTACTGATCCTAGACTCATGGAATCTGGGGGAGTGGACAGCGGAAAGATCAGCGTTTGGACGGGGAGTTCCTAAGCTGGGCTCTCAGTCCCTTTGGGACAGGGTTAGGGAACAGGCAGGCTGGGTTAATTTTTAGTCAATGCAGCAAATTCTGCCCCCCTACTTCAGTACTGGGAATCCAGTTATGTCATGGGAACAAGGGCATTCCCAGAAATTCTGTGCCTTGTGGGGAGGGGGAGGGAGGAGCATGGCCGCTTCCCATTTTTAATTTAGTACTGGCAAAGCTAGCAGTATTGGTGCCTCGGGTATCAGGAGTCTTTCCACTTAAAGACAGAGTGCTGCAGAGCTAAGTCTCTCCTCCTCCCCTTCCACCCAGTCTACTTCATTTTCCTAATTTTTAAAGTGGGGAGGGCAACAGGACCTGCCTCACAGGGTTGGGGCGTCTGGCATCGGGTAAGAGCTCAATAAATTGAAGTGATGAGGAAGATGGTGATGAAGAAGCTGATGCTGGGACTTAGGGAAGCGGTAGGACGAGGGAGCAAATTTGGGGCAACATTCAGAGGAGTTGAGAGGGGTGGGGTGGCCTTTGGTGCATTTTGCTGCTGTCAACATGGGAAGAACAGGCCAAGTTGCCTTATCTGTTTTTTATTCTGAGGCTGGCAGCATGACACAGCTGTTGGGGGTGATACCCCTTGAGCCAGACCTCAGAGAAAGGGCCTGGTACCCAGCACCAGCGGTCTTGGCTTCTCCAGCTAGAGTCTAGGGGAAGAGGGAAAAGACCTTTCTAGCAGGACAGGTGGGTGACCCTCTGGATCACAGCTGAAACTTCTGGTCGGGATGGCTGGGCCCACTCAGTTCATAGCCTAGGTGTCTCTCGAGGGCCAGGGGCTGGCGTTGGGGAGAAATTGTGAGGGTAAAATCAGGCAACAGGAAAGAGGAAATCCTCTGGCTTTCGCCACAAACTTTGCAGCCGGTGGTGCCAAAGCCGTGTGGCCTCTTCTCTGGCGCCTTCCCTTCCTCTGCTGCTGGAGCAAAGACCGAGGTTTCCCCTATAGTCAGATGTCAACTGGCTTAGCTCCAAGCTGGGCGCTGTAGGAGGACCAAGCCTACTTGGAAGTCCCATCTCCCAAACAAGCTTTTTGGAGGTCAGACTTTTCAGGGGAATAGGTCTGACTCCACTCCTGCTCAGAGGGGAACCCACAGGCATTGGAATTTCTCCAGAGGGCACTACCAGGATGAGTAGCACCAGGTGGCTGGAACTCTTGTGTGAGCAGGGAAATAGCAAGTATTTAGCCAGTTTTGGAGATGAGAAGGTTAACGTTATCAAGAGACTCAATGCTATAACCCTTACCCCCACAAAAACCTGGTGCTTAGGGGTGGATCCTGGGGTGGCTCTTCAGTCTGCCAGTTAAGCAGGGTTGGGCAAGGAAAAGTTACAGATTACATGGAAAGTCAACAAACCACGGTGCAGAGAAGCTGTTGAAGTCAGCGTGCCCTGCCCTGGCTCTGTGTCTCTGACCAGGGCAGGGTCAGAGTGCCCAAGTGCATGTGGGTAAGGCACATGTGGATGAATGTGTGTCTGGACACGTGATTGTTTGTGTACACTTGCAGTTCTTGAGCCTGAGCCTGTCTGTGTGAGTAGGCAAATACGGATTTACCCTGTGTCCCCATGAGACTAAGGAGGGAGCTACTCTCCCTATCTGGTGGGTGCTACTCCGTGTAGACATGAACTGGGGATAAGTAGGATGGCTAGTGGGGAACCTAACAAGGGAGAAGCCAGGCAGTTTGCTGGCTTAGCTTTTCGTAGGTAACCCTCTGATGTGACATGGGGCCATACCAACCCAAGAGCATAAGCCATGCCTCTGGACTCACCCTGTGCCCCATGCAGCCCTAGGCTTCAGTGAGCATACCTAATCCTCCTTAATGGTAAACATCCCAAATATCCATTAATAATCCTCTGAGGGTTAGTTATTTGTGAACTTTGACTCGTAAAAGCTCAGCACTGTGGCTCACGCCTGTAATCCTAGCACTTTGGGAAGTCTAGGCAGGAGGATCACTTGAGGCCAGGAGTTTGAGACCAGCCTGGGAAACACAGTGACACCCTGTCTCTTAAAAAAAAAAGAAAAGGCCGGGCGCAATGGCTCATGCCTGTAATCCCAGCACTTTGAGAGGCCGAGGCAGGTGGATCACGAGGTCAGGAGATCGAGACCATCCTGGCTAACACGGTGAAACTTCATCTCTACTAAAAATACAAAAAAATTAGCTGGGCATGGTAGCGGGCGCCTGTAGTCCCAGCTACTTGGGAGGCTGAGGCAGGAGAATGGCGTGAACCTGGGAGGTGGAGCTTGCATTGAGCCGAGATCGCGCCACTGCATTCCAGCCTGGGCGACAGAGCGAGACTCCGTCTCAAAAAAAAAAAAAAGGAGAGAGAGAGAGAAAAAGAAACTCAGCATGGAAAGCATAGTTGTGGTCATGCTTCTATTCCATATCTCTTGAGATTTTTGAGGCTGCTACCACCCTAATTCTCCACACTTCCAGGGTGGGAGCTCACTACCTCCTGAAAACTCTTCCTCACTCCTTGAACTCCTGAAAAACCTTCCTCACTCCTTGAACCAAAGAATATTCTACCCATTTACTGAGAGGAATGAATCATTGTACAAAATAGTGCTTGCTTTTTTAAAATTTTGAGACAGGGTCTCACTTGTTGCACAGGCTAGAGTGCAGTGGTGTGATCACTGCTCACTGCAGCCTCGACCTCCTGGGTTCAGGTGATCCTCCCACCTCAGCCTCCCAAGTAGGTGGGACTACACCTGTGCATCACCACACCAGGCTAATTTTTTGTAGAGATAGGGTTTCACTATGTTTCCTAGGCTGGTCTTGAACTCCTGGGTTCAAGCGATCCACCTATTTCGGCCTTCCAAAGTGTTGGGATTACAGGCGTGAGCCACCCCAGCTGGCCCCTAGTACTTTCTTTTATGGTCATTAAAAGAAAGCAAACTCAGGAAAAACAAAGGCTTTCCAGGTTGGAAGGGTGCCCCCTGGTGTTAGTGTCCTGGGCTGTGGCAAACAAGTCCAGGTGATCTCCAGCCCTACTTAAGTAACAGGGTGGGGCCTTTGTCCACATCTCAGCTCAGCCTCTGTCCTTCTGACATTTGGTTCTAATTCTTTAATTCTTGAATTTTTTTTTTGTTTTTTTGTTTTTGTTTTTGTTTTAAGAGACAGGGTCTTGCTCTGTTACCCAGGCTGGAGTGCAGTGGCACAATCATAGCTCACTGTAGCCTTGATGTACTGGGGTCAAGCGATCCTCCTACCTCAGTCTTCTAAGTTAGGACCACAGGCAGGTCTGACTAATTTTTTTTTTTTTGGTAGAGACAGGGTCTTGCTATGTTGCCCAGGCTAGTCTTGAACTCCTGGCCTCAAGTGATCCTCCCACCTCGGCCTCTCAAAGCACTGGGATTACAGGCGTGAGCACCCAGCCTGGTTCTAATTCTTTGAGGTCTTCCATTTCCTTTTTCTCTCCACTCCCCAGTTCCAGCTTACACCCCTGAAACACGGTGACTCCATCCTCAAGCCTTATGGCTTTGTGCAAGGTGGGGGTGTGGAGGGAGGTGATCACTGGGGCAGCTTAGGTTTCTTTGGCTGGAGGAATTCCTTGGGAGGGTCTCAAAGGAAGGGCCTGGATCCCAGATCTTTCTCTGGTTCCTAACCGAGGGCTCAGGATCCATCTCCTTATGGTCCCCTTGGCACAGTCCTCGTCTTCTGAAGTTTATGTTTCTTCTTTTGCTGCCTACCTTGGCCAGGGGGTCTTGCTATAGTGTCTTCTCTTTGGTTGACTCTTAGGAACTTGATGTAGGACTGGAGTCCCCTCTGGACTGTCCTTCTTGGGATTTTAAATGTGCAGAAGGATGGATTATATCTGTCTACTCTATTTATTTCTTCCCTTTTATTCCTCTTTTCTAAGCCAGCTCTCCACCGTAACAAAATCTTCTTCCATCCTTGGTGAATTTTATTAATAACCTTTGGTGTGGAAGGTTATTGATAAAGACTTTCTGGTTAGATTCCTCCTTGCCTGGTTTGCCTTTATCCACATATTTCTCCCCACACCCCCCAAACCAGGAGAATGAAAAGAGAACCAACCCCCCCAGCTTTGGCTAGGCAGAAAAATACCATTTGACCCAGAGGCAGCTCTGGGATCGCTGCCACGCATGGAGGAACCTGCTAACTCCTCAGGAAAAAAAAAACCCTGACGCAAACCAGATGTAACCTCCTGTCCGGCTGCCAACATCTGGAATGCTGGCAGGGGCTTTGCACTCAGGCCGGCAGCGAGCTGCCAAGCCTGAGCATTTCAGAGGTGGCTCTGATCTGCAGAGAGGTCTTCCAACCTCTTTCTCCAGCTCAGCCCTGTATTCTGGTTTTGACTGCTTGGAGGGAGGAGCAGTGGTTACAGTTCTGGGACTCAAGCATGGGGTTTTTCTTTTTTAAAAAAATGTATTTTATTTTATTTTATTTTTTTAGAGACAGGGTCTTGCTCTGTCACCCAGGCTGGAGTGCAGTGGTGTGATCATAGCTCACTGTTAACCTCGAATTCCTGGGTTCAAGTGATGCTCCCGCCTCAGCCTCCTGAGTAGCTAGGACTACAGGCACATGCCACCATACCCGGTTAATTTTTAAATTTTTTGTGAAGATGGGGTCTTGCCATGTTGCCTAGGCTGGTCTCGAACTCCTGGCCTTAAGTAATCTTCCCTCCTCAGCCTCCCAAAGTGTTGGGATTACAGGCATGAGCCACAATGCCCCATTTGGATGGAGTTTTTCTTGAGCTCAGATAGAGCCTTCAGGAGATCCCACAGAGGGGTTGAAGGTCCAGCCTCATCACTCCCGTCTCCAGATCCCTGGTGCCCTGGTTCTGGGCAACCCCTATGGACTTTGGATGGAGTCTGAAGTCTAAGAATGGGAAACTTCGAGGTGGGGGACTGAAGGAATGTGTGAGGCTGTTCTTGTGGTCCTGGGGCCACACAGGTTGTGTTACACACACACTCACACACACACTCACTCTTCCTCATGCAGGCGGATACACTAACTCCCACTTCTCTCCCACTCAGCCAATGGGGAGAGCCTTTTGGGCTAGAGTTCTCATTGCTCATGGAAACTCTGATTCAGGCCATTTGGAAGAGGGCGAGCAGAGTCCACAGCCCTGGGGATCCCCTGGCTGGCTCAGCCAGACACCGAAAAAATCAGGAGAGGCAACAGGGAGAACGATCAGATGGAGAGGGGAATGGTGGGAGCTGAATGGAAAGGGGACAGGATCCAGCAGGGGGTCCCCCTGCCTGCCTCAGACCTCCCTGCAGGGCCCAGGGGACCCTCCTGCCATCTGGGCAGCTGCAGCTGGTGACTCATCTGAGCGCTGGCCTGAGTGGGGTGAGGGACAAGTCAAGGACTTCAAGAGGAATATTCTCCTGAGAGATCCAGGGGAGAGGGGAGGAGGTAGGGGGCTGCTCTTGTTTCTTCCCGCTCCCCAGGCCCCCTGCTCTTCTCCAGCGCCAAGCCGAAGAATCCCCAGGAAGGAGAACGTGGGTGGGAGGCTGGGTTGGTGTGACGCTCTGACCTCTTCCGGTGCTGACCTCTCCTTATCGCTACCTGAATACAGACAAGGACGAGGGTGACCACCCCAACAACAGCTTCAGCCCCTGTAGCGCCCATGACCGCAGGTGCCTGCAGAAGCACTTCGCCAAAATTCGAGACCGGAGCACCAGTGGGGGCAAGATGAAGGTCAATGGGGCGCCCCGGGAGGATGCCCGGCCTGTGGTAAGGACCTCCGATGCACAAATGTGCATGTGCATAGACACACACACACACATGCCCCCTGCCCCCCACATGCACGCACCCACACACACCATCACCACCAGATCTGGGGCGTGTTCATTCAGCACACATTCTAGGGTGACTACTGTGTGCAAGGTGCAACTAGTGTGAGTCATCAGGACCCAGAGAAAGCACTCATTCCCTTCCTTGGGATTCCTTTCCTGCCCATCAGTTATATACATCGGGGCAGCTTAAGTGATTATTAAATACTGAAAAACTTCTATACCAATTGGTAAAAAGCAGTTACCCAAAGCGCCCTGGGGTTTCTTGGCCTTTTTTGGATTCCCCACCCCAGACCTTCTCAGTAACCAAAGGGTAATGCTGGCCATAGCAGGGGGCCTGGGACCCTGCTCCAGGGTCTGGCTAATTTCCCTTCTGAAGGTCTTACAAGTTGTCAGTTGGAAGTTTTATCTGTCCCTTCTGCATAGAAATCACCCCCTCCCTGGCTTTCTGCATAGGTTCCCACAGCCCCTTTCCCCACAGTGTCCCCTCACTTCCCACCCCTCCTTTGAAGAAGCTCTTTGGCTCGAGACCCTTTCCTCCACGTCTCTACCCTCCCAGTGTGTCCTCCAGACCCAGGCCTCTCTCTTCACCTCACTGGGTCCTGCCCAGCCCCTGGGGCTCAGGCCTCCTTTCGGGGCCTTCAGTTCTCACTTAGCTCTGACCCCAGGCCTGGGCCTCCTGCCTCTCTTCCTTCTGCTGAGCAATTTTGTCTTCCCCTCCTCCAGCCCCAGGGCTCCTGCCAGAGCGAGCTGCACCGGGCGCTGGAGCGGCTGGCCGCTTCACAGAGCCGCACCCACGAGGACCTCTACATCATCCCCATCCCCAACTGCGACCGCAACGGCAACTTCCACCCCAAGCAGGTGGGTCTCTGTCTCCCGCTGGCTTGGCCCTGGACTCAGCTCTGGGGCATTTCCGGCCTCTCCGCAGGATGGTCCTGGATGGAGATCTCAGGAAGGGGAAACTCCTCAACCCCAACCCAACCCCTTGGAGCCTCCCTAAACCTACCTCAGCGTCAGAACCTCACTCATTTTGGAGATGAGGAGACTGTGATCCAGAGAGGAGTAAAAGCGCCGGGCTAGTCCAGAGTCATAGAACAAGTTAACAGCAGATCTTGCCTCCCTATCCAGGGCAATTTCCCTCACCCCTGGATTTCACCATCTGTGGTGCAGACCTAGCAACCCTGACAACCTCTGGCTCCCAACACTCTCTCATTCACTCTACTCTATTCGTATGAGTAATTCCTCCTGTCACTGAGTGAGGTTTCTTCTGGGAATGGAGGGCCAAAGTCATGAGGAGTCAGGGAGGAAACTCAGCCTACCCCTCCCTGCAAGGCGAGTAGCAAAACCACCTGGGGTACAGCAAGAGTGAAGGTAAAACCAGATTGGACGGTTGGAGACAGGCACTTTGGGTAGAAGCAGAGGAAGGAGTGGGGCAGGAGAGAAGACACAAAGGCAGCAACTTCCCTATTCCTTCCTGCCCTTGGAAGCTGGGGTCCTCTGACAAGCCTCCAGGAGGCTGGGATGGTCAGCAGGGTTGGCCTCTTCCAGTCTATCTCTGGCCCATCAGAATGGGTGGCCTGTCTGGGCAGGGCTCTGGTGTGCCTCCTGCTGGGTGTTGCCTGGGGAACCCTAGCCTGGAGCTCTTTGTCGACGTAGACAGACCCATTTCCCTGCTCCATGAGCTATAGACAAATCCACAATTTGAGCTGCCACTCTGCCAGCAGAAGTCTAGATAGAAGGACAAAGGTTGCCCTGAGTCTGTGCATCCCAGGATGGCATGAAAAGGGTATGAGTGAAGGGACAGAGAGGGCACCCCAAAACCAATGCCCAGCCTATTTCTAACCTTTATCCTAACACGAATTTTATCCTTGTCCCAATTTAAAAAACTTTTTCTCTTAATTTAAAAAAAACAATTAATAGCTTTATTTTTTAGAGTAGTTTTAGGTTTACAGAAAACTTGAGCAAGAGTACAGGGTTTCAATGTACTGTCATCCACCCCAGTTTCCTCATTATTAACATCTTACATTTGTTGCAATTGATGAACGAATATTAGTATATTATTATTAATTAGTGGTTTATATTAGGGTTCACTTTTTGTGTTGCAAAATTCTATGCATTTTCTTCTCCTGATTTTTTTTTTAAAGGCAGGATCTCAGTCTCCCAGGCTGGAGTGCAGTGATGCGATCACAGCTCCCTGCAACCTCCACATCCTGGGCTCATGTGATCCTCCTACCTCAGTCTCCTGAGTAGCTGGGACCACAGGCACACAACTATGTCAGGCTAATTTTTTTTTTTTTTGAGACAGAGTTTGTCTCTTGTTGCCGAGGCTGGAGTGCAATGGTGGGATCTCGGCTCACTGCAACCTCCATCTCCCGGGTTCAAGCGATTCTCCTGCCTTAGCTCCCGAGTAGCTGGGATTACAGTTGCCTGCCACCACACCCGGCTAATTTTTTGTATTTTTAGGAGAGATGGGGTTTTGCCATGTTGGCCAGGCTGGTCTCGAACTCCGGACCTAAGGTGATCCACCCACCTCGGCCTCCCAAAGTGCTGGGATTACAGGCTTGAGCCACTAGCTTCTTCCTCTGATTTTTATCCCATTGAAAGTTCTGACACTTGAACTTTATCCCCAGACCAGTTCTGATCCTTAAGCTATCCTTCACTCCAAGATTAATTCTCACACTGAAATATACATTTGCGCCCCCTGAACCTTCTACTATCTAATTTTGACCCAAAATTTAGCTTAACTTTAGTTATTCTGACCTTGACCTCTGTCTTTATCCCAATTGTGTTTTTACCTGGGCTTTAACCCTCACCCAACTCATCCAGCTCAACTTTTAGTCATATTTCCTCATTCAACTGCAACTCTTACCCTGGTCCTACCTTAATCCCAGCTTGGATCCACCTCATAACTATAATCCCATTCTTAAAGTCCCAACCCAATCAGAATATGTACCCAAAACATCTCCAACCTGAACCCAGCCTTTCAAATCCAGCTGTGCCTTTAAACCCGAGGGCTTTCTTAAGGTCCTGCCTTCCAGAACTCTCTGGACCTTTCCTTCTTGACCATGTTCTCCCTGCTCCAGTGAGCTCAGAAGACCCATGCTCAAAAAAGAGTCACCACCCTCAGAGGCCATCTTGAAGCAGCGACCGTCTGACTTGGGGGCTGGGCTGGGCTGGGATTGGGGTGGGTCACTTGGGGTCTCTTTTCCTGCGTCGGAACTGACCCCTCATGTCCTTCTCTTGGCAGTGTCACCCAGCTCTGGATGGGCAGCGTGGCAAGTGCTGGTGTGTGGACCGGAAGACGGGGGTGAAGCTTCCGGGGGGCCTGGAGCCAAAGGGGGAGCTGGACTGCCACCAGCTGGCTGACAGCTTTCGAGAGTGAGGCCTGCCAGCAGGCCAGGGACTCAGCGTCCCCTGCTACTCCTGTGCTCTGGAGGCTGCAGAGCTGACCCAGAGTGGAGTCTGAGTCTGAGTCCTGTCTCTGCCTGCGGCCCAGAAGTTTCCCTCAAATGCGCGTGTGCACGTGTGCGTGTGCGTGCGTGTGTGTGTGTTTGTGAGCATGGGTGTGCCCTTGGGGTAAGCCAGAGCCTGGGGTGTTCTCTTTGGTGTTACACAGCCCAAGAGGACTGAGACTGGCACTTAGCCCAAGAGGTCTGAGCCCTGGTGTGTTTCCAGATCGATCCTGGATTCACTCACTCACTCATTCCTTCACTCATCCAGCCACCTAAAAACATTTACTGACCATGTACTACGTGCCAGCTCTAGTTTTCAGCCTTGGGAGGTTTTATTCTGACTTCCTCTGATTTTGGCATGTGGAGACACTCCTATAAGGAGAGTTCAAGCCTGTGGGAGTAGAAAAATCTCATTCCCAGAGTCAGAGGAGAAGAGACATGTACCTTGACCATCGTCCTTCCTCTCAAGCTAGCCAGAGGGTGGGAGCCTAAGGAAGCGTGGGGTAGCAGATGGAGTAATGGTCACGAGGTCCAGACCCACTCCCAAAGCTCAGACTTGCCAGGCTCCCTTTCTCTTCTTCCCCAGGTCCTTCCTTTAGGTCTGGTTGTTGCACCATCTGCTTGGTTGGCTGGCAGCTGAGAGCCCTGCTGTGGGAGAGCGAAGGGGGTCAAAGGAAGACTTGAAGCACAGAGGGCTAGGGAGGTGGGGTACATTTCTCTGAGCAGTCAGGGTGGGAAGAAAGAATGCAAGAGTGGACTGAATGTGCCTAATGGAGAAGACCCACGTGCTAGGGGATGAGGGGCTTCCTGGGTCCTGTTCCCTACCCCATTTGTGGTCACAGCCATGAAGTCACCGGGATGAACCTATCCTTCCAGTGGCTCGCTCCCTGTAGCTCTGCCTCCCTCTCCATATCTCCTTCCCCTACACCTCCCTCCCCACACCTCCCTACTCCCCTGGGCATCTTCTGGCTTGACTGGATGGAAGGAGACTTAGGAACCTACCAGTTGGCCATGATGTCTTTTCTTCTTTTTCTTTTTTTTAACAAAACAGAACAAAACCAAAAAATGTCCAGATGATTGTGTTTGGTTGATTTATTCTCAGTTAGACACAGGGATGCACCAGGGGTGGAGAGACGGGGACAGATTTTGGGAGGTGAGTATTGTGTGGTCCCCAGACCTGTCTGTATGGTAAGGGACTGCAGAAGGACGGCCAATCCACCTTCCTCTTCCCTGCAACGGAAGTTTCCTAGGGAACTCCTTGGCTTCAAAGTCTGCGCTGTCTTTACTTAGACTCCTGGTGGGCAAACAATGGCTCCTGAAAGGGGGGCATGACCAAGGACAGCCCTGTGGGGGCAGAGCTGTCTCTGGGATCAGCTGGCATGTGGGGCTGGGGCATTTCCTAGGGCATCGGGCGGACTGGGCTTGCATCTGGATTTGATTTATTAATTTGTTGGGGAGGGGCAGGGACACTGCCCTGCATTTGAGGAAAGGGGGTAGATGCTTCAGCACATTCCACAGCTCTGACTGCCGAGATCTCTGACTCGGGCATTGTGCTGAGATTGGATTCTGAGGTTGGGAGGGGTTGACTTTGCTGTAGACTCAGTGCCAGCCACAGCTTCAGAGATTGTGCTCACATGGTATGCCTGGACTCTTGGCCATCCTCCAAATGCCCCTCCCCTCCCACACCTCTGTGCCTTGTGTGTGTGTGTGCACGCATGTGTGTGGCAGGGGGTGGAGGGTCCGGGAGCAGAAGCTGATCTCTCGGTGGGGGCCTTTTTCCAGGAGGTTGCAGGCAGTCTGGAGACGCTGCATTGAGCCTGCCGCCCGCTGCGCGGGCTCCCTCCTATCTAGCTGTGTCCTGGATTCTCAGCCCCCTCCCCAGCTCCAGAGGCGCTTCCAGGCTTCTGATTTCACTGGGCCCCAACTTTGTTGGCACCTGTCCCGTCTGCATCTTGAGGCTGGGTCTGCAGTTCTGTCTCTCTAGCTCTGCCCCAGCAGCAAAGTCCTGCAGCCATCTGGTCTCCCTGAGGCACCACGGCGGCTGCCAGCAGCAGGAGATAAAGAACAAAGTGGTGTTGAGGGTTGCTTCCTCAGCCCCAGCCACTCTTCACAGAGTCCCCTCCTTCTGGAGCCCAGGCCAAGGCCTGTGGGGATGGGAGGTGGTGCACGCTGAAGATTAAGTTTTAGGTTTCAAGTTTAGGGAAAGTATCTCTTTCCCTAAGGCATCTTTTTCAACCCCCTTGTCTCTAGTCCCCTTCCCGATGCTCTAGGCTTGCACCCTTGGCAGTGGTGGTAGGAGGTCCTTTTTCTTTCATGGGCCTCCCAAAAAAGCCAAATTGGCTTGGAAGTAGCTGTGTGCATGGCCTGGGTGTAACTTCGTGACATACGTGCATTTGTGGAGTATGTGTGTGTGCATGCATGTGAGTATGACGCAGTGACACCTGAAACGTGAGTGTATGGGCTTTTTGGGGGTGTGCATGCCTGTTTGATGTGTGAAGGGAAGGTGTGCCATTTGTGTGGTGTGTATATGTGGTGTGTGCATTTGTGTGGTGTGCATTTGTGTGGTGTGTATATGTGGCGTGTGCATTTGTGTGGTGTGTATATGTGGCGTGTGCATTTGTGTGGTGTGCATTTGTGTGGTGTGTATATGTGGCATGTGAACACGTGTGCGATGTGAGGAGAGAGGGAGTGAGACATTCACGGAGCACGCCTGTCTCTCCTGGCTGTGGATGACTGGACTCTCGCTCATTAGGTGATCCCACCTCAGGGTTTGTGGGGAGATGTCTGACACTAGAGAATGAACATGTGCTTTGGGGAGAGGACTTTCACATCCCACAGAAACACTGCCCTGTCCAGGCTTCATGCCCACAGGATCCTGGAGCCAGGTCCTAAGTACCAAAAAGCAAATAAAAGCAGCTTCTTGTTTGCAGCTAGGCCCTCCCACCCTTGAAACGGTGGGAATACCCAAATGGTCTCTCTAGTTGCCACAGGGGTGTCAGCACCTCTGGGAGATGTGGGAGGGAGGTACTGGTGGCACCACTAAACCTGGATGGACTTGAGAACTGAAGTCCTTGAGTGCTCTGTCCTGCCTCCTGGAGACATGTCATTCCCTCCCACTGACTTGGAGCAGGGGATGGGACATCCCGCCTGCCAACAACCCCTAGCTGATCTACATCAAGCATTTGGTTTCCATTTCCCAGCTCACTAATAGAGATCAAGCCCTGATGTTGGCTGGGGGTTGGGGGCTGGGTTTTCCACTGGCAAGAAGGTGGGGTGGGAGTAGGGAGGAAAAATGGAGACTTGAACTGATTCCAGCCTTGGATTCAGGTTGGGGAATCTCTGGAGAGCTGGCCAAGCCTCTGGGCCCTGCTTGCTCTTCAGGCCCTGAAGTTCCAGCCACTGCCATCTCCCACCTCTTTCCAGGAAAAGGCTGGTTGTCCTAACCCCGCTGTACCCTGAGCCACATTCTGCCACCAAGCTGCTCCAGGAATGTTACGAGGCATGCAGGATTTGGGATGCCTGCTCGGTCCTCTTTCCCAGTGTGGGGGGCTGTTATGTGGCTGTGTGGTAAATGGCCTGAAGTGTTACCTGACAGAGATTCCCCCTGTATTCCAGGCCTCTCTGACCTCGAAAGAGAAAGTCAAGGTGATGTGGTGGAATGGAGCTGGGAGGCAGGCTGGCCTCTGGGATGTTGGGTCAGGACCGTGGGGCAGACTTCTGGGCACACCCATGGAGGAGCAGACACTGCTGCAGCCAACCAAGGGTCTAATTAGATCCTCACTTCCAGAGTGACCTGTCCCCTCTTGTATCTGAAGCTCCAGGGTTGGGGAGGGTGGGGTCAGGGAGTGTAAGTGGAGGGAGTAGCTGCAGATAATTAGAAACATGCTCTACCGAGTGAGCAGGCGCCACCAGGACCACCCCACCCCTCACCCCCACCCCCCACCTCTTTTCCTTAGGTCCCCAGCCCCCTTCCCTTCTACCTGGACAATTCCAGCCAAACTGGGGGAGGCGCTGGTGGAGCCTGGGAGCAGCAACTCGGTGGGATTGGCTTCCTAGGCCCTTACACAGTCTCTAAAGTGCAAACAACATATTTTTGCCATGCTATAGTATTTAATTACACATAAAAACAGAGCCATTAAGCTGAAATTAAACCCTTGTTGGAGTCACTTAATTCAGGGCATGACAAATTGCTTTCAGTGGAGGCGGCAGTGCAGTCCCCCAGGGAAAGATGGAGATTAGTGGCTTCCATGGCTGGCTGGGTCCCCTCCTTCTCTTGGTCCCCTTGCCAGCTCTAAATTCTGAAATTGGGGTCAGAACCCTTTTTCTGAAGACCACCCAAGCCAAGGGGAAGCCTCTAGGTTTGTTCAGGAGGATAGGAATAGAGGGTTGGGGAATCACAGAATCACTGTCCAACCCAGTTTTAGACAACCCAGTATATTTATTGATGGGGAAGTCAAGGCCCAGACACCAAGGTTGTCCAGAGCCAGGATTAAAACTCTGGCACTAAGCCATAACTAGAGAGGCTGCTTTTTTTCCTCAGGCTTGTGTCCTTTGACCTTGGGCCTGAAGACAGAGGTTGAGGTTGGGGCCGCATGGATAAGGGGTGGGAACCAAGGCAGACCCTGGATGGGGAGGGCAGACTTCTCCAGAACTAGATTCCCACCTGGTCAAAGTCTGGAGACAGTGGGGAAGGGAAAATGACCCTGGGGTTTGGGCTGTCGAGGCGGCCATCACTTCTGGTGGGCGGCCTGGAGCCCAGACTCTGGCATCAGGCAGATCTGGCTGCTGACCAGCTGAGTGAGGTTGGGCAGGTAAGACCTTTTGCTCCCGTGAGCCTCCGTTTTCCCATCTGTCAAATGGGAGTAGTAATTCCTATCTAGAGTTGTGGAGACCATTATATGGGCATGATGCATGAACAGGCTTGGGGCTGAGCTCACTAAGTTCTGTTAGACTTCCTTCTCCGGACTTCAGTTTCCTCATTTATAACAAGATCCAGCTGGGATCTGATGGCTTTTGGAAGCTTCGCTTGCTCTTTTTATGCTGGCAGCCCTTCGTCCTCCCTCTAGCCCCTTTCTTTCCTTCCCTTTCCTTCTTTCTTCTGTGGGTTGAATGTCTAACTAGGGACAGAAGTCTGGGTCTGTGGTCAGACGATTGGGTAGGAAAGGGAGGTCTGCACCCCCTAAGGTTTCCCTGCCCCATGTGGCCCTCCTGTGGCTGTGTGTGAGGCCCATCTGGAGGGTGAAAGGAGACCAAATGGGACAGGGGCCGCGCTCGGGGAGGGGCTTGGGGGTCCTGCAGCAAGGGCGGGCTGCTCGTTGTCTGTGGCCTCCCTCCCCATGTGTCCTCTATGATCTGGGAACCTGTTCTCCTGATTGGAAACAGATGGGTCTGCTGCGGCTGGAGGCCTAAGCTTTCTACTCACTCCATGTCCTCCCCCAGGAGAGGAGGCGGGGGTAGACCAAGGGCAAGTGGTGGAGGTGTGTGTGGGGTCCCTCTTCGCAGGGGCTGCGGGGGAGAGCCCTTCTTCCCTTCTCCGTCTCTCTTGTGGCCTGGAAACCTTTCTATTAGCCTACAGAGGGTGGCTGGCTGTGGACAGCCTCTCACTGAGGCATGGGTGGGCAGTTTGCTACCTTACCTGATGCCATCCTCTAGGAGCAGTACCCGCTGCCCTCACCTCCCTACCCTGCCCCCCATTCTCAGAGCTCAGCTCAGCTGCAGATTGTCAAGTGGGGGCTGACCATGCCTGACCCCTGGTCTCCTGGAGTAGCCTTAAGGTCATTTCCTTCGCCTCGGCTTCCTTGGTTTTGGCAGACAGAGAGGTTCCTGCACTGGGGCTTGAGTGGAAGGGCTGGGGCTGGGCTGGGGCCCAGGGTTCCCATCATATCAGGCCTGGCAGCCACCTGGCTGCAAATGGCTCCCCAGCACAAATGTTTTGCAGCTGTCCCTCGGTCGGCTTGCCCTGGAGAGCCTTGAGACAGAGGTGGGGAGTCCAGGAGACAGAGGGCACAAGTAGAGAGCCAGGGTGGGTGGGGGACAAGCCCAGAGGGCCGCCCAGCAGACCCAGGCTGCTGGGAGAGTGACACTGATGAGGAATCTCCAGGTTCTTGAAACAGCCTCCGCAACTTGCAAGGGTTGGGATAGGGGCTTCCCGAGGCAGGATGACGGGGAGCAGGGGCTGCCTGGCAGGGCCAAAGCTCAGGGTCTCTGCTTCCCTCCTGGGTCCTGGTCTCTTGAGTAGAACCAGAAACTTCTAAGTTGGAGCAGTGGGGAGGGGAGCTCAGCCTCCACCCCACCCAGGGGAAATTAGACCAGACTTCCCAGGAAATAATTTCAATTTTCCAGCATCATGGAAGCCTAGTCGGACAATAGAGGATTTTTTCCCCCCAAAAAATTTTTAAAAAAGCACAAAAAAACTCCAATTGCCTTTGGCTGAGCTGTTTTCCAACTTCATTTCTCAGCCACAGTTCAAAACTTCTCATTCAAAGTGACATGTGACTGCTCTGTGACCCTGGTCCGCTCGGCCACCGGCCCTGTGAGGGGTCAGGCCAGGCCAGCACAGAACTCGAGCTCCCAGAATCTGTGACCACCCCCACTCCCAAAAGCCTTCCGAGGTCTGCTCTGGAGACAAGGCCCGCAGGACTGTCTCTGGGCAGCCCCAGCGCCTCACAATGAGGGAGGGGCTGCGGTGGAAACAAACCTGCCTCTGAAAGAGAGGAGAGTTTAGGGGCGGGTGATTCCTACAGCCCAGGCCCAGGCCCACAGGGGTTTATGTTACAATATAAACTGGGGCTTTAACAACTTTGAGACAGTTTCTTATTTTTAGGGTTGGGGCGGGGAGTGGAGGTTGTCTTAAGAATGCAAATGGGGCAGGGCACAGTGGCTCACGCCTGCAATCCCAGCACTTTGGGAGGCCGAGGTGGGTGGATCATGAAGTCAGGAGATCAAGACCATCCCGGCCAACATGGTGAAACCCCGTCTCTACTAAAAATACAAAAATTAGCTGGGTGTGGCTGTGCGTGCCTGTATTCCCAGCTACTCGGGAGGCTGAGGCAGGAGAATCGCTTGAACCTGGAAGGTGGAGGCTGCAGGGAGCCGACATTGTGCCACTGCACTCCAGCCTGGGTGACAGAGCGAGACTCCGTCCCCAAAAAAAAAAAAAAAAAAAAAGACTGCAAATGGGCCTTGTAAACCCCTCCACGGGGATGTTCTTAGGGCTCTAATGAGTGGGGAAGGCCCTGCAGGCCAGGGAAGGGCCAGCCTCCAGTTGTACTGTCTGCAGTCAGCAGCCCTGGGACACTGGCAGAGGACAGGAGGGTCGGTGCAATCCTAAGTGGCAGGTGGGCAGGGAGGGGGTAAAAGGGGGACGAGCAGAGGCTGCCAGGAGGCAGATCTCAAGGTTCTGGGGTGGGAGGTAGGAGAGGGGGCAGACCACACAGGAGGCTTTGGGGAGAGCAGGGCAGGGTCACGGCTGGAGAGGAGAGAGCAGGGTGTGTGTGTGCATGTGTGTGTGTGTGTGTGTGCGCATGTGTGCACATGTTCAGGGGAAGGGAAGAGATGGCTCTATCTTGTGGCTGAGAAAGGTCATCCCCAAGAAGAGCAGGGTTGGGACCAGCATGTTCCTCTCTGGCAGGTCCATAATGAAGATGGGAAACCGAGGCCTCGATGGGCCTGAACTGGCTTGTCGGAAGGTGTAAATGAACTGGTGGTGGAAGCAGATTAGAACTCAGGGCAGTATTCTTTCCCCCAGTGTCTCCTGGTGGGATAAAAAGGGGAACCTAAATAGGAAGGGGCACTTCGGGCACCAGAGAGGTGAAGCTAGGCCAGGGGCTTTCATTTGGGAGGAAGGAAGGAAGGGGGTGCAGTTTCTGGGCAGAAGAGCCATGATCCTACATGAGGGGGACGGAAGTGTGTGAGGTCCTGCTGGGGACCACACACTTATGTGGTGGCCTTATGTACCTGAGCTCAGGGGCAGATGAAGGCAGTGGAGAGGCATCTGGTTAGGACCCTGTGTAACACCCTCCAGAGGCCTCCTGTTGAATACCTTCCTTGGCCTGTAGAGCTCTCTCCGAGTTTCTCCAGCCCCTTTAGTGTGATGCTGCCAACCTCAGGGCCTTTGCACGTGCTGTTCCCTCTGCCGAATCACTCTCACCCCTGCTCTTCACAAGGCTGGCTCCCCTACCTCCAGCCTTCAGCCAAATGTCACCTCCCGTGAGAGTCCTTCCCTGACCATCCTAGGTAAAGAATCTCCCTCAACCTTACTTTTCTACCATCTTGTTTATTTCCTGCATAATGTTTTTCACAATTGTTTCTTGGGTTCCCCTGTTTTGCTAAAACACATGCTGGTCTTATTTAATTACACTTGAATCTCCAGAGCCGGGTGCACAGTAGGAGCTCAACGAATGCTTATTGAATGAATAAATGAATAAAAAAGGAAACAGGAAGCAGTCCTGGGTGGCTGCAGGGCTGAAGGCTTCTTATAAGGGGACCAGGGTCCTCTGCCCAGTCCTGCCTTTCTCTTCACTCTTCCTACCCTAGCCCCGTGGGGTCCCTGAGGACAGCCCAGGTGGCAGAAGCCTTCCTGGGACAGGAGAGCTCAGTGCAACAAGAAAGCTGGCACTTGAGGCCAAGCAAGGTGGCTCATGCCTGTAATCCCAGCACTTTGGGAGGCCGAGGTGAGCGAATCACCTGAGGTCGGGAGTTCGAGACCAGCCTGACCAACATGGAGAAACCCTGTCTCTACTAAAAATACAAAATTAGCTGGGCGTGGTGGCGTATGCCTGTAATCTCAGCTACTCAGGAGGCTGAGGCAGGAGAATTGCTTGAACCTGGGAGGTGGAGGTTGCGGTGAGCCGAGATCGCGCCATTGCACTCCAGCCTGGGCAACAAGAGCAAAACTCTGTCTCAAAGAAAAAAAAAAAAAAAAAGCTGGCACTTGGATAACTTTCTTTTTTTTGTTGTTGTTTTTGTTTTGAGACAGGGTTTTACTCTGTCGCCCAGGCTAGAGTGCAGTGGTGTGATTATGGCTCACTGCAGCCTCAACCTCTGGGATCAAGAGATCCTCCCACCTCTTGAATAGCTGGGACCACAGGTGTACACCACCACACCCAGCTAATTTCTGTATTTTTTTTGTAGAGACAGGGCTTCGACATGTTGCCCAGGCTGGTCTCAAACTCCTGGGCTCAAGCCATCCTCCTGCCTCGGCATCCCAAAGTTTTGGGATAACAGGCATGAGCCACCCCAGCCAGCTAGCCGTCTTTCTATCTATGCCTCTGTCTTTC
The DNA here is from genome assembly GCF_000001405.40 of Homo sapiens. Lineage (NCBI taxonomy): Eukaryota > Metazoa > Chordata > Mammalia > Primates > Hominidae > Homo > Homo sapiens. Next base: position 40,465,932 of record NC_000017.11, read on the forward strand.
TGTGGGTTCCTTTGCCTCTGGTCCTGGTTCTCTTATTTGGTTCTTATCTTTCCATTTTCTGTGTCTTGCTGTCCTGTGCTCCTGTCCCTTTTCTCCCTCTCCATCTCCCTCTCCCACTACCTCTTTTTTTGTTTGCTTGTTTGTTTGAGATGGAGTCTCACTCTGTCACCCAGGCTGGAGTACAGTGGCGTGATCTCAGCTCACTGCATCCTCCTCCTCCCTTGTTCAAGTGATTCTCCTGCCTCAGCCTCCTGAGTAGCTGAGATTACAGGCGCACGCCACCACACCTGGTTAATTTTTGTATTTTTAGTAGAGACTGAGTTTCACCATGTTGCCCAGGCTGGTCTCGATTTCCTGACCTCAGGTGATCCACCCACCTCAGCCTCCCGAAGAGCTGGGATTACAGGCATGAGCCACCACACCTGGCCTCCCCCTACCTCTTAAATCTGCCCCATCACTGGGTTTTCCTGCGTGCTGCTCCCCGACACTACTCCGTGGTCTGCCTGGAACCGAGGCATGCCCTCTCCTGCCACCACAAAAGACCCTCCGCAGTGCGAGATAGGCTCTGTCATAATGCCAAGGCTGCCTGGCTTTTGGGAGGGGAGGTGGATGGAGGAAGTGAGGGTGAGGCACCAGGGATCTCCCCACACACCTGCCCCCAAACACGTTGTCTGAGGGCTCAGGCGGCCCCCACCCTTCAGGCAGGGCAAAGTGGGTGGTTCTCTGTTCATCTTCCTCCTCTCCTCCACCATGCATTGGTTTCCATCTTGGCAACTTGGGAGAATGATTGGCTGCCCTGTCTGGGAGGATGGTCCTCATGAGGGTATCTCAGAGAGTCCTGCCTGGCTGATGGGAGGGGTGGGACGGGGCCCTGACTCAGAACTCAGGTTTTCATCCCTATCCTAAGCTGGATCCTCCTGGCCCTCCGCATTTCAGGAGAGGGTTCCATCATCATTCCTGTAGGCTGGAACCCTGGGAGTCCTTCTAGATAACCCCCTCCCCTACTTCTCACTCCTGTTCCATCTTGAAGTCCTGTGGATTTTAACTCGCAGTACCTCTCCACTCTATCCCTGCTGTCCTGCCTCCATCCAGGTCCTAGACGTAGCCTCCACCATTGCTTCCCTTGCTTATTCCACAGCCATTCTCAGCTTATTAATCGCCAGGTTTTTTTTTTTTTTGACAGAGTCTCGCTCTGTTGCCTAGGCTGGAGTGCAGTGGTGCAATTTGGCTCACTGCAACCTCCACTTCCTGGGTTCAGGCAATTCTCCTGCCTCAACCTCCCAAGTAGCTGGGATTACAGGCGTATGCCACCACACCCGGCTAATTTTTATATTTTTACTAGAGATGGGGTTTCACCATATTGGCCAGGCTGGTCTTGAACACCTGACCTCATGTGATCCACCCATCTTGGCCTCCCAAAGTGCTGAAATTACAGGCATGAGCCACCGCACCTGGCCCCCAATCAGTTCTTCCTACAATACCAGGAAATTGAGTCCTGTCAGCCTCTTGCTTCCCTGGCCTCTCAGGGAAGGGTCAAGACCAAAGCCCCCAACATGAGCTGGAGGTCCTGCTTGGCCTAGCCCCTGCTGACCTCACCAGGCCCCCTGCCCCTCACACCCCCTTGCTCTCTGGGGCCGCTAGCCAGACTGGCTGTATTGCATTCCCTTCCACCACAGGGTCTTTGCACATGCTGGTCCCTCTGCTTTCAATGCTCCCAATGCCCCCTCCTCCACACCCCCTGACAATGGATTTTTCTTCAGCTCTCATCTCAGCCATCATCACCTCCTCAGGGAAGCCCTCCCTGACTTCCCTGAGCAGGTCAATTCTCCTGAGTATTCATTTCAGAGCACCTTGAGCATCTTCTCAATGGAAGAATATTTAGTTAGGCATTCACAGTGCAGTTACTCTGTATCTTTGTCCCTCTTTTTCTTTTTCTTTCTTTATTTTTTATTTTATTTATTTATTTTTTGAGATGGAGTCTTGCTCTGTCACCCAGGCTGGAGTGCAGTGGTGCAATCTTGGCTCATTGCAAGCTCTGCCTCCCAGGTTCACGCCATTCTCCTGCCTCAGCCTCCTGAGTAGCTGGGACTACAGGCGCCTTCCACCATGCCCAGCTATTTTTTTGTATTTTCAGTAGAGACGGGGTTTCACCGTGTTAGCCAGGATGGTCTCGATCTCCTGACCTCGTGATACACCCGCCTTGGCCTCCCAAAGTGCTGGGATTACAGGTGTGAGCCACTGCGCCTGGCCTTCTTTTTATTTTTTTGAGAGGGAGCCTTGCTGTGTTGCCCAGGCTGGAGTGCAGTGGCGCAATCTTGGCTCACTGCAACCTCCACCTCCCGGGTTCAAGAGATTCTCCTGCCTCAGCCTCCTGAGTAGCTGGGATTACAGGCGCCCGCCACCACACCCGGCTAATTTTTGTATTTTTAGTAGAGGTGGGGTTTCACCATGTTGGTCAGGCTGGTTTTGAACTCCTGACCTCATGATCTGCCCGCTTCGGCCTCCCAAAGTGCTGGGATTACAGGCATGAGCCACCGCCGGCTATCCTTCATTTTTATAAGCTCCATGAGGTCAGGAACCTCATTCATCAGTGTAGTTCCAGGCTACATGTTTAGAAAATAAAAAACACAGGCCATCTAGTTCTGTGTGAATTTCAGATAAAGAACAAATAATTTTTTAGCATAAGTGTGTCCCAACCCCATCTCTAAGGGCTAAGCACAGTGCCAGATAAACAGGAGGCCTGAGGCAGATACTGAATGATTACTGAATAAATGTAGCAAGGGGCTTTCTGCCTGTCTCTTCAATGCCTACTGCCCATAGATGCTTTTCTCCTGTGCTCTGTACCCTTGGCACCTAGTAGCCCTATTTCTTCATTTTTTTTTTTTTTGAGATGGAGTCTCCGTCACTTTGTCACAAGCTGAAGCGCAGTGGTGTGACCTCAGCTCACTGCAACCTTCGCCTCCCGGGTTCGAGGGATTCTCCCGCCTCAGTCTCCCGAGTAGCTGGGATTACAGACATGTGCTACCATGTCTGGCTAATTTTTGTACTTTTTTGTGGAGATGGGGTTTCACCACGTTGGCCAGGCTGGTCTCGAACTCCTGACCTCAAATGATCCGCCTGCCTCGGCCTTCCAAAGAGCTGGGATTATAAGTGTGAGCCACTGGGCCTGACTTATTTCTCCATTTTGTAAGAGGGAATGTGTCTCTGTAGATTGCCTCGATTTGGGTCTCCTGTCTTCTGGCCCTGTTCTCTCTCTGGGTTTCCTTCTTTTCGGATGGCCCTCCTCCTGGTCTGTTTCTCCATGCCCTCTTTTATTTTTTTTTATTTTTTATTTTTTTCTGTTTCTCCATTTCTCTTTTTTTCCTGTCTTTTATTTTCTTGAAAAGGAGTTTCTCTCTGTTGTCCAGGCTGGAGGGCAGTGACGTGATCACTGCAATCTCTGCCTCCCTGATTCAACAATTCTCCTGCCTCAGCCTCCCGAGTAGCTAGGATTACAGGTGTGCACCACCACGCCAGGCTAATTTTTGTATTTTTGTAGAGATGGGGTTTCACCATGTTGGCCAGGCTGGTCTCGAATTTCTGACCTCAGGTGATCCATCCCCCTCAGCCTCCCAACGTGCTGGGATTACAGGTGTGAGCCACCGTGCCTGGCCCTGACTTTTTATTTTTGTCTCCCTCTCTCTTTGCTTGTCTTCCCTCCCTTCTCCCCATCCCATCTACTCACAAGTAGCTGGGGGTAGAGTGGTTTCCCGGGGGTCTCTGTCTTTCCCAGCCAGGATCCTTGGGTCTCATTATGGGGCGTCCACGAAGGAGACTTGCTCTGGCAGGAGTGGGTTTCAAGCACTGCAGGAGGAGGTAAATTTGCTTGGAGCATTTGGTTTGGATCCTTGGTCCTGATGGAAGATTCTGGGTGGGGGATTACAGGGGAGATGTGCTGGCTTCTAGGCAGAAAGAGAGAGGCATGACTTTTTCAATTTCCTGAGTAGCCTGGGGCTAGGGATCAGGGTGGGAGGGGGAACCTAACCCCCAATGGAAGAAGAGGCATTTGGCAGAGACACCAGGAGGGACAGACAACCCTGTCCTGGTGTGCCTGAAGGCAGGGTATTGGATTTGATGACCTTGGGCTCAATAAACTCCAAATGTCTGCTTTCATCTCCATCACCATCGTCATCATTATCATCAGCAGCCATGGGATCAGATTGCCTGGGTTCAGATCCCACTCTGCCACTTATGGTTGAACCTTGGGAAATTTACCTAATTTTTGAATCCACAGTTTCATGTCCATCAAATGAGGATAAATAATAGTACTTAGGTAGTGTTGTTGTCAAGATTAAATGAGCTAACATATGGCAAAGCTTCTAACAGATACTACAGACCTACCATGTGCCAGGCACTGTTCTAGACGCTGGGGATTCAGTGGTGAACTAGACGAGTCTCTTTCTTCATGGAGCCCTCATTCCCGTGGCCCAGCACTCAGCACACATTGAGTGCTCAGTGAGAGAGCTGCAGATATGCTGCCCTTCCCATAAGGAGCATTTATACAGCACCCCAGAGACTCTGAAGTGCATTCATGACTGGTGCATTTATAAGGCTTCCCACAAACTTCATTCTGTGAGGTGGGTATTACAGTTGAGGAAACTGAGGCTCAATGCCCAGAGAAGTGACTTGCCCCAAACTGTGCAGCTAACCAGTGGCAGAAGGGACCTGCCACCAGATCTGCCTGACACCCAGGTTTCCATTTCTTTTTTTTTTTTTCTTTTTTAAGACAGAGTCTCACTCTGTTGCCCAGGCTGGAGTAGAGTGGCATGATCTCGGCTTATTGCAGCCTCTGCCTTCTGGGTTCAAGCAATTCTCCTGCCTCAGCCTCCCGAATAGCTGAGGCATGCACCACCGCCCCTGGATAATTTTTGTATTTTTGGTAGAGATGGGGTTTTTCCTTGTTTCCCAGGCTGGTCTCGAACTCCTGACTTCAAGTGATCTGCCCGCCTCAGCCTCCCAAAGTGCTGGGATTACAGGCATGAGCCACCACACCTGGCTGGCTTCCAGTTCCTGATGCAGAAGAAGCAAGTGTGTGTGTGTGTGTGTGTGCGCGCGCACGCATGTGTGTGTGTGCATGCGTGTGTATGTGTGTGCATGCATAGATGGGAGCGGAGTGAACTAAGGATATGTCCTTGTCAGTGTTCACAGGGTGTCAAGTCTGAATTCTTGGAGGGGAGAACATTGCTTCCTGGGGCACACGTAGGCCCCTCCCCCAGCTCCTGGCCAACCCTGCCTGCCTGGCTCTGCGTAGTTCACTGGGAGTGCAGCGCATATTTGTTGAATGCGTGAATGAATGAGTGTGTGTTGCTTGCCCTCCTACCCCCTCCTCATTCTTCCTCTCTGGTTCCCTCCTTCCTGGCTTGTCTGCCTGACCCCCAGGCCTGCTCCAGCCAAGCTCTACTTGCCTTTCTTGGCTAGTCCAGATGGGGAGAGGAGAACACTGAAAAGCCTTCCAGGAAACACTTACAAAAGAAGCCCCTGGCTGGCCCTGGGAGCCTGGGAAATCGAGGGTCTCCTTTCCTGGGGCTGAGGGCTCCAGCCTGGCCAGGACTGCAGCTTGGTGGGGATGGGGAACATGACCGGGCAGGACTCTGCCTGGATGGGTGCTGTGGATTGAGCTGTGTCCCGTCAAACTCGCATGCTGAAGCTCTCACTCCCAATGTGACTATATTTGGAGATAAGGCTTTTCTGAGGTAATTAAGGTTCAGTGAGGCCACAAGGGTGAGATTCTAATCAGATAGGATGGTGGCTTTATTTTATTGTATTTTATTTATTTATGTTTTTGAGACGGAGTCTCTCTCTGTCGCCTAGGCTGGAGTGCATGATCCACCCGCCTCAGCCTCCCAAAGTGCTGGGATTACAGGCATGAGCCACCGTGCCCGGCAGGATGGTGGCTTTATAAGAAAGGGAAGAGAGGGAGAGGGATCTCTTTCTCCATGCACACACACTGAAGAAAGACCATGTGAGCACACAGGGAGAAGGCAGCCATCTGCAAACCAGGAAGAGAGTCCTTATCCAAACCTGGCCATCATGGCACCCTGATCCTGGACTTTCAGCCCCCAGAACTGTGAGAAAATAAATTTCTGTTGTGTAAGCTGCCCAGTCTATGGTATTTTGTTATGGCAGCCCGAGAAGATGAATAATACAAGGGGGAATGCAGGCCCCTGGTCCTGTTCTGTCTCACATAGTCCTCCCAAGCTCAGAGGGAACCAGGGACCCAGGCCTGGATCGAGCAGACTCCTGCACCAGCCTGTCTCAGGGTGAGAGCTCCTCTTCTTAGGCTCTCATCCCTTCCCTGGTCTGAACTCCAGGTTCTCATCCCAGCACCCTTCTCCCCAGCCTGGGCCTCAGATGCCATCTCCTGCCTCCACTGCCATATTTCTAAAGCAGAAATCTGGTCAATTACTCCTCAGCTGACATGTCTCCCTGATGCAGGGCAGGCGAGCCCCAAATTGGGGCTTAGCCTGGGAGGGTTCTTGGCTTCATTCAGGGAATAATTCAAGGGCAAGCGGTGATAGAAGAAAGCAGCTTTCTAGAGGTGGCAGTGTCACAGCCCTGTGACTGCTCCTGCAGAGCAGGGCTACCCCAGTGTGCTGAGAGCTGCAGCTCAGTAGCTTCCACACTCATATTTGCACCCACTTTTAAACACATGCAAATTAAGGGGCAGATTATGCAGAGATTTGTAGAAAAAGGGTGATAACTTCTGGGTCATTAGGTTGTTGCTGCCATGGAAAGGGGTGGTAATTTCTGGGTGTTGCCACGGCAATGGTAAACTGACATGTCACACTGGTGGGTGTGTCTTATGGAAAGCTCCTCCCACCCCATCCCTGTTTTAGCTAGTCCTCAGTTTGGACCTGTGTCCAAGCCCTGCCTCTGGAGTGCAGTCCCGCTTCCTATCTCATCCTCATTACCTATGGGATAAAGCCCAAGCAGGGTGCCATGTATGACCATGCACTGCATAGCCCACAAAATCATACACAGCAGGCCTGAGTCCCATCTCCTTCATTCAGCAAGTATTCAATCTCCAGACATTCTCAGCTGGCACCCAAGGGTCCTGAGGGTCCTGTTGCTGTCTTTTTCTTCTGCTTTCTCTCTCACCTACTCCCTTAGGTACCATGTACTTGAGCCACACCAAACTTGGTACATCTTTTCATACCTGTGTGCTTCACACACGAATGTCTCCATCTGCTTTCTGTGAATGCTGGGGCAATAGGATGGGCATGGACTTGAAATCCTGTTTCTCTGCCATTTACAGTTAGGTGAATGTGGGCAAGTTAACCCTCTGAGCCCCAGTTTTCTAATCTGTAAAATGGGATTAGGCTTATATAATGTGCCTCAGATTGTATGTAGCACATGAGAGCCCCTCCCCACTCCTAAAAGTTGGTTTCTAACTCTCTTTGCATGCCGAACTCCTATTCATCCTTGAAGACCCAACTCAAATGTTACCTTCTTGGTAACATTGCCCTCCTTCCCTTCAAGTGGGTAAAGTTTATCTTTCTCAGTTTCTACTCTTTCCACCAGCCCTGCATAGCACTTATAAACCTCTGTTGGAAACACTGTCATATTTTTCTGTTTTCCTGGTTCACATGAATAAAGCACACAGCCAGAAAACATTTGTTGCATGAATTAAGGCACTGGCCCCTGGGTTGAAAGCCTTTAACCCTACCCCTGCCCTGGGTCTAAGACCTTGCCCTGGGTCTAAGCCCTGGCACAAGAATGCAGGATCAGAGGCCAGAGATAAAACAGAGCAGTGAGCAGCCTCCGCCCTCGGTGGGGCACGGGCATGGGGCGGTGGCTGGTCAGATGGTCGGGGTAAGGGCACTTCAGCCTCCTGGAGAGGTCTCTGTAGCCTGAGAGCAGGCAGGGTTTAGAGGGTGTGGGAACCTGAGTTTTTGTTTGTTTGTTTGTTTTAGAGATAGCATGTTGCTCTGTCAACCAGGCTGGAGTGCAGTGGCACGATCACAGCTCACTGCAACTTCCGCCTCCCAGTTTCAAGGGATTCTCATGCCTCAGTCTCCCGAGTACCTGGGACTACAGGTGCGCTACCTTGCCCGGCTAATTTTTGTATTTTTTGTAGAGATGGGGTTTCACCATGTTGGCCAGGCGGGTCTCAAACTGGAACCTGAGTTTTGAGAAATGATTGGCAGTGCGAGAGTCTCCCCAGTTCCCTTCTGCTGCATGTCCAGCCACCTGGGACAACGGGGCGAGGAAATTCAACTGGAAAAGAGCAAGAAGGAGGAAAGGTTTCTCTGCAAAGGGGTGATCGAGTAGAGAAGGCATAATGAGGAGAGATGGTGAGAAAGGAGAGAGGGGAAGTGGGAGAAGAGAGGGAGGGAGGGTGGGTGGTATGAGTGTGTACGGAGATCAAGAAAGGGATGGAGAGGGATGAAAAGACTGGGGAGAGAGACACTGGAGCGAGGGCTGCGGCAGGGGTTAAGACCCAGGGCTATAAGGCCTGGAGCCTCCTGGAGAGAACACTCCTCTGGTGTCCTTGGGTGGATAAGATGGCTCCTCCCCTCCTGGTTCCTGGCTCAGTGGTTATCCTGCCTCCCCTCTGCTGTCCAGCCCTCCCACCCCTGCCGGGCTGGCTGCTTTGCCCTCAGCAGTCTTAAGTCAAGTTCTCCGCTAAACCTTCTTAGGGGAAACATGAGCTGTGGCAAATGCAGCAGAAATGATCGCCTTCCACGAACTCTGTTCCATGCTGGGCCAAGCGGGGCCACAGCAGGAGACTGAGAGGAGACTGAGAGGAGTCTCCATCTGGAACTGCACTGGGGCAGTGGAAAGGGAGGCAGAGGCTAACCAGCGGTGGTTCAAGGCCCCTGCCACTGGGTCACATAGCTCAGCCCAGAGAGAAGGAGGCGCTCTCCCATTCCCAAAACTTTTCAGGAGAACAGAAGTGCCATAGCCTCTCTTGCATCGCTTGCTGAGGCCTTCTCAGGGCATGCCAGCCTTGGCTCCCTAGTTGCAGCGAAGTCTGGAGCAGGTCTGGGAGGGAGGCATTCCTCTGGGACTGGCTTAGGGGAGGACTGCCACTGGAAGGAGCTGGGGGTAGAACTCCCCAGGCCCAGGGTGGGATCAAGAGGCCATGGTCCAGTTCTTTTTCTTTTCTTTTTTTTTTTTTGAGACAGGGTCTCACTCTGTCACTCAGGCTGGAGTACAGTGGCACAACCACAGCTCACTGCAGCCTTGACCCCCCAGGCTCAAGGGATCTTCTCACCGCAGCCTCCCAAGTAGCTGGGGCTACAGGTATGTGCCACCACGTCTGGCTAACTTTTTGTATTTTTTTTGTAGAGACAGGGTCTCCCTATGTTGCCCAGGCTGGTCTCGAACTCCTAGGTTCAATCCATCCTCCCGCTTTGGCCTCCCAAAGTGCTGGGATTACAGGTGCGAGCCACCACACCCGACCACAGTCCAGCTCTTCAGGGCGGAGCTGGCAGCTCTGGGGCCATCTGGGTTCGGGGACTCTTCCGGACTCCTCTTGAGGGGTTCATGTTTTGCCCGCCTCTCCTTGTCTCTCAGTGGGGGCTGAGTGAGACCTTGGAATCCGTCAGGGGCACCGTACACACTCACTTTGGGCCCCGGGAAATCACAATCCTTTTGTTTCCCTGGCAGAGTGGCAGGAAAGGGGCGATGAAGAAAGAAGAACAAGCGTGTTGGGCATGTGGGGGACACAGAGTGGTTTAAGCAATGGTTTACGAAGTGGAAGCCTGCTGAGCCTGTAGCGCCGTGGCCAGGGGTGCGGGAGGGAGTGTGGCACACCTGGTCTCCCCTAAGACACAGCCACGCCCTCCCAAGTCAGTCCCCCTTCTCTCTTCAGGTCTCCATTTCCAAGGGCACAGCCCTGACTGCCTCAGAACTTACTGTTTTGCAAAGACAAACATTTTATTTTTCATGATAGGAGCTGTAGCAGAGTATATGGGGGCCTCTGCCAGCCCCCAGGCTGGGACTGGGGCCTGTGACCTTGAGAACCTCATCTCACATTCTGCAGACTTTGGCGGCGGGGCAGTGCTCGACCACTGGCTGGGTGGGCTGGTCTCAGCCTCTCCTGCAGGCCCAGGGCTGAAATCATAACCGTCAGGCCCAGCCTTGGCCAAAGATAATGCAACTTTGGCAGGGCTGGCTGCTGGGAGGGGGCAGGCACTTGCTCCTCGTAGAGCAAGAGTGGGTTTCTTCCCTGACCCTCCCTTCCACCCCGGTAGGGTGGTTTCCTTAGGAACTCAGGCCTGCGGGAGAAATGGTTCCAGCTTCTGGAGGCTGGGTGGGGGTGGGGTGGGGGTGGGTGTGGGATAGAGCCCAGCTCCTCCAAGCCTCTTAGGGAAGCGGCCTCTTTGCATTCTTGACTCTCTGCTTCCCCCGTGTGGCTGTGAGGCTGGTTGAAGCCACATAGCAGTAGAGGGGCGTGTGTGTGTGTGTGTGTGTGTGTGTGTGTGTGTGTGTGTGTGTGTGTGTGTGTGTGTGTTGGAGCGTGGGTTGGGGGAGGGCTCAGCAAGACAGGAGCTGAGGCAGAATCACAGAGAGATGGCCCTTATCTCTGCCCCCGCCGCCTAATATGCAACATTAGGGCAGCTACGATACCAGCTTTGGAATACTCGCCTATCAAGGAATGGAAAGAAGCTGGGCTGGGTGGCTTGCGCCTGTAATCCCAGCACTTTGGGAGGCCGAAGCAGGTGGATTACCTGCGGTCAGGAGTTCAAGACCAGCCTGGCCAACATGGTGAAACCCTGTCTCTACTAAAAATACAAAATTAGCTGGGTGAGTTGCACATGCCTGTAATCCCAGCTACTTGGGAGCCTGAGGCAGGATAATTGCTTGAACCTGGGAGGTGGAGGTTGCAGTGAGCCTAGATCACACCACTGCAGTTCAGCCTGGGTGACAGTGAGACTCTGTCTCAAAAAAAAATAAAAATAAAAACCAAGTGGAAAGAAAAGATGGGGTGATACTCATCTGCAAGGGGGTGCAGGACAGCTGGGTCTCCTCTGACCATGGGGACAAGTTCCCCCTGCTGAGCTGCCCTAAATACCACACCCAGCTTGGCCTGCAGCATCCTGGCTGGGTGGACCCAAAAAGCCACCCAGAAAGTGGGAAAAGGAACAGAGGAACAGATATGGAAGGAAATAGAGTCTATCCATTCCTGTTTTGTAGTCAGTTCTTGACCATCACCAGCTGCAAGCCAGGAGCCCCGTGGGTCACCGCCAGGCACCTGCTGTCTGCCACGAAACAGGGGCTGCAGGTCTCTTGCTCAGACTGTTGTGTGGGCAGGGCCCAGGTCGATGGGGTCAGAGGGTCCTTGGAGGTTATTTTCATGCAGGGGTCTTCAGAGGTGTGCATGCTTCAGAATCATGGAGGAGCATGTTCAAATGCCCACCAGCATCTAAGAACAGCTGATCTTGTCTATTGGTCTTCTTCTATGATTGAGGAAACTGAGGCCCGGGGGGTCTGGATGATGGTGACTGCTGAAGGCCATAGCAGGTTCAAGGGTGTCAACTTGATGCCAATCCCCCTAGTCCCATAGATTGGTCTGTCAATATGGCCACAAGCCACACCCATTCAGGGGGTGGAGGGGGGCTCCTTAGCGAGCCCCTGGAGGTGTTGGTTAGGTGCACAGGCAGTCTCTCCCCTACATCCTTTCTGCGTCCTGCAGCAGAGCAGTCACCAGGCCGATGACCTGCGAGGCTGGCTGGACCATGTCATACTCCGCAAAGAGGTGGCATACGTTCTCCTGAGGCTCTGTCTGGCTCTTGGCCACAAACCCAAAGATCCTGGTGGGGGAGGGCAGTCTGAGTGAGGGGTGGGACCCAGGGAGGCATCAGGCTGGTGGGAATGGGGTGGTGGGGGGCCCTCAGCCTGCATCTCATTCCTCCCTGCCCCTCCCTTAGCCAATTGACTCCAGCACCTCCTTATGGTGGGGCTCCCTGGGGAAGGAGATGCCTCTCCCGTCAGACTGGGAGATTTCTGAGTTCAAGCTCTGGGTTTCCTTTGTTTTGAGTGAGGGCTCCTTGAGGACAGGACCTGTGCATTCCCCATTAGAGTGGAAGCTCCCTGAGGGCAAGGATGCATCTTGATCATCAGACTGGGACATTCCAATAGCTTGAGGCTCCCTGAAGTTAGAGCCTGTGCCTCTTGCAGAAGATTGAGGGCTCCCAGGCTCATGTCACCCCCAACAGCCCAGAGGCTCTGAGGGCAGTCAAAGTCTTTCCCATCAGATGGGAGCTCCCTGAGGACCAGGGCCTGTGCCCTCATCAACACTTTGGACTATTAAAGTCAGAATGGTGCCTCTTTCCTTCTGCAGTTCCCTCCCCATGTTGGGTTTGGGGCCCTGAGACAGGAAGGCCTTACCAGGAGGGTTTGCAGTACTTCTGCCACCTGTAGGAAAAGAACATGATACCGAGTAATGAGGCTTCGCTCCATGCCACAGGACCCTGGAGGAGCAGCAGGACTGGCCAGCTGCGTCCCCACCCCACCATGCCCCACCCTACCCTCATTCTGTCACCCTGACCCCTTGAGGTTCACAGGCTCCCTCTGGGATCCCAGGCCCAGAGTCGGCAGGACGCCTTGGTGGGCAGCGGGGCCCTGGACAGCCTTCTTAGTTTGGCCCAGCCTTGAACTTACTTCCGTTGCTCAGGGTCCATACCACAGAAGCGGAGGGTGGTGAGTGGGTAATGGCGCCGGAAAAACACCCTAGGAGGAGGCGGGGAGAGAAGGGAAGCGATGACAGCCTGTCCCAGTGTCATCCTGCCTCCAGCATCTCTCGTTCCCCCCAAGCTCAGGTGCCCTGTCCTCCAAGAAGTCTCTGGGTTAGACCTTGAAGACCGCTATGGCCTTTCCCACTGGGGGGCCCTGGCGCCCCGCTCCTGCCTCTCTCCTCTCATGGGGCTTGTCTGCCTCTGTCTTACACTCTGGGGTTTTCTATCACACCCCTACCACGCCATTTAATTTTTTTTGGCCACTAACTTTTTGAGGACACGAATTACATCTTGGTCATCTCTTGTTTCTCCCTGTGAAGTGCTCAGCCCTGGATCAGGCTCCTGTTAGACTGTGAGATCCGAGCCTGGGGAAGGAACGATCTCATTCCTCTCTGGGTCCCAGTGGTCAGCCAGTCTGGCCGAGGGAAGATGTTCCATCAATGGGTGCAGGCATAATCGGCACCCATGAATACTAGTTAACTCCATTTCCTTCCTTCCTTCCTTCCTTTTTTGAGATGGAGTTTCACTCTGTCACCCAGGTTGGAGTGCAATGGCGTGCTCTCAGCTCACTACAACCTCCGCCTCCTGGGTTCAAGCAATTCTCCTGCCTCAGCCTCCCAAGTAGCTGGGATTACAGGTGCGTGCCACCATGCCCGGCTAATTTTGTATTTTTAGTAGAGACGGGGTTTCATCATGTTGACCAGGCTGGTCTCGAACTCCTGACCTCAGGTGATCCGCCCGCCTCGGCCTCCCAAAGTGCTGGGATTACAGGCATGAGCCACCGTGCCCGGCCCCCGTTAACTCCATTTTCATCAGTCATGATGAACAGGGGCTTTGGCAGTGGAGTGAGGCCTGGAGGAGGCAGGGAAGCTGCCTGGAGTCACTCAGCACATCACTGGCCCCGCTGGGTCATCCAGAACCCTGAACTTGACCTTCATCCCTGATCTGCAGCTGTCTCAGCTATCCCCTCCAGCTCTACTCCGCCAGCCCCGGAGCCCCAGGGCAAGGGAAGGCCCTTACTTCCTCTGGACATCAGTCAGAGTGATGCCCTGCTCTGTGACTTTGAAGTGGACCACGGTGGGCGTGGGGAGGATGTCCCTCTCAAAGGTGGTGGAGATGGCTTTCTGCACGGCCAGGGCTCCAGTCAGGGTCTCCACGCTCACTGAGCTCAGGTACAGGGTGTGGCAGCCTGTGGGAGGCAGACACTGCGCTGGGGCCACTGACCCAGGGCCCAGGTTCTCCCTCTGCCCAGGGCCAGGGGAGGGGGTGAGTCTCCTGTTCAGGAATCCAGTGGAGCTCCTCTTAGAGCCGCCACCCAACAGAAAGTGGGTGTGTGGGTGATCACAGTTTGAGGCCAACCCCAGAGGGCTTTGGGATCTTCTGTGGCTTTGCATCGCCCTGGCCCCTGGCCCTCCAGCATGGGGCAGGGGAGGGGATGTTGCCCTGTGTGTAGAGGTGCCCAGGAAAACATCCTTCTGTCCACACTTAACGGCTGCTCTCCTCCCCACACCTCCATCTTCAAGGTCTTGGTTCATTGGCAACGGTAGGGACAGAAGACAAGAATGGGGAAGGAAATTGTTCGTGCTCAGGGCATAGAGCAGGAACAGTCACTGAGACAAGTGCTGATGTGTGCTGGCCTCTGGGAGTGTGGGTCAGGGACCTTTCCCCTGGTGAAGGCTCCAGGACTTAGACCTGACACCCCATAGAGGATCCCAGACCCAGAACCACCTCTAGGGCAGGTTTCTCAGACCTAGAGAGACCCTAGCACGTGTGCACATGCCCATGTGTGTGCAGGAGGGACTGTAAGTTCTGCCACTCCCCCCACCCCCCACCCTGCCCCACTTCCCTGCTGGCCTCTCATCTTCTGTTTTACAGGGGTGATGGGGAGCGGGTGTGGCACCTTGTTAAAGATGCAGAAACAAAGCTGAGATGGGAAACACGTGTGTGCCTGTGCGTGTGTGCGTGCATGCGTGCGTGTGTGCAGGGTTGGGAGGTGCCCTCTTGGGGCACAGCCAAGCTTGGCGCCTCCCTTCCTGTACCACTCACCCGCAGATTTCTTCTGGCAGGAGGCTGGGCTGTCTGTAGAGTCCGAGGCCCCATCTGCACCTCCCAGTTCTGAGCCAAGGCAAAGAAACAGGCCCCCCAAAGGGGCGGGGGTGGAGTGAATGGACCCCTCTCACAGGAACAGGCCTCATGAATCCCTTTGAAGATCTCCCACCTCCACCCCCATCTCCAGGAAGTGACTCAAACCAGGTGTGATTACCGTAATTAGGCAAACAGGCCACTTTGGGCTCCCTAAATGCTTAGTTTGCAACCCTTTTGATCTCTTCATCCCCTCCTCGCCCCCCCACCTCTTAGATGGCTGCCATGATCTTGTCCTCACAGGCCCCTGACCTCCTCACTTCTTTTGGACCCTGTCTCAACCCCTGACCTGTCTTTGCAGAAAGCGAGGAGGCTCTCACCATCGCTCCTCTGGGGCTCCCTTGCCTTGATGCCCTTCCAGAAACAGCCCTTCTCGAGCTTCTCCTGCACACCCCTGAGATGATCTATTTCATCTGAGCTGCCCCCCTACCTGGCTGTATGCTCTGGATAGGGCATGCTGATCTGGGTTCAAGGTCTGACTCTGTGGGCCTTTGGGCAAATTACGTAACATCTAGAACCCTCGTTTTCTTTTCCTTCCTTTCCTTCCTTCTTTCTCTCTTTCTCTCTTTCTTTCTTTCTTAGATGAAGTCTTGCTCTGTCGCTCTGTCACCCAGGCTAGAGTGCAGTGGTGCGATCTTAGCTCACTGCAACCTCTGCCTCCCCGGCTCAAGTGATTCTCCTGCCTCAGCCTCCTGAGTAGCTGGGATTACAGGCGCCCACCACCACGCCCAGCTAAATTTTTGTATTTTTAGTAGAGACGGGGTTTCACCATGTTGGCCAGGCTGGTTTCGAACTCCTGACCTCAAGTGATCTGCCCGCCTTGGCCTCCCGAAGTGCTGGGATTACAGGCGTGAGTCACCACGCCCAGCCCTTATTTTCTTATCTGTGAAATGGGGATGATAACAGCAAAGTCTACTTCACAAGCTTGTAGTGAAGCATGAATGGGTGAGTGAGTGCTCAACAAATGCTGGACCTGGAAAGAGAAAACCTCTCCAAACTATTTGATTTAGGCTCTTTCACCCTCTCAAAGCAGGCTGCTATTTATCCAACATCCATTCTATGCCAGGCATTGCGCTAAGAGCCTTGCCCGGGCTATCTCTTTCGGTCTGCACAGCAATCCTATAAGTAGGTATGATGAGGAAACTGAGGCTCAGAGAGGTCAACATTCTCAAATTTTCACAGCTAGGAGGTGGAGATGTTGAGCGACTCCAGTGCACACAGTTTTAACCGTGACACTAAAATAATCCACCAACAAGGTAGGAGTGAACCCCATTTCTAATGAGAACAAACAGGTCCCCCACCTTGGCATTGCCTCTTTGGGGCCCAGACCCACCTCTCTGTGGGATGGTGAGTTTGCAGGGCAGGGCCAGGGCCATGATGGAATGCTGGCACACGAAGGCAGAGAGGCTCCCTGAAAGGAAGCAAGCAGCCCTGCATGAGTAGAGCTTCCCCAACCCACCCCTCAGCTCACAACGGAGACTTCGCTGGCCCCCCATCCCGGGGGAGCCTGGAGGCTGGGGAGTCTCACCAAAGTAGGGCTCCTCATCTGCTCCTTTGAGATGCACTCCTTTGGCAGACGACTCGATGAGGAAGTGTCGGATGAGGTCATTGCTGTCCTCACCTGGACAGAGAAGAAAGAGTGCATTCGGATAGAATTCCACCTTGTGGCCGGGCGCGGTGGCTCACGCCTGTAATCCCAGCACTTTGGGAGGCCGAGGTGGGCAGATCACTTGAGGTCAGGAGTTCGAGATCAGCCTGACCCACATGGTAAAACCCTATCTCTACTAAAGACACACACACACACACACACACACACACACACAGTCACACACACAAAGCCGGGCGTGGTTCACATGCCTGTAGTCCCAGCTACCCGGGAGGCTGAGGCAGGAGAATTGCTTGAACCTGGGAGGCAGAGGTTGCAGTGAGCCGAGATTGTGCTACTGCACTCCAGCCTGGGTGACACAGTGAGACTCTGTCTCACCGGAAAAAAAAAAAATTCCACCTTGTCCATCCCCCTGCCTCTCCCTCCCACAGAGGAGGTGCCAACACATCTGCTCAATGGCTCCAGCCACACCCTCTTCAGGAAACCTTTCTCTTCTTCTTTTTTTGGGGGTGGGGTGGGGAAACCTTTCTGCTGGTCAAGAGTTATCAGGGATTTTTTTTTTTTTTTAGACAGAGTCTTGCTCTGTCTCTTAGACTGGAGTGCAGCGGCATGATCTCGGCTTACTGCAGCCTCAACCTCCTGGGCTTAAGGAATCCTCCCACCTCAGCTTCCTGAGTAGCTGGGACTACAGGCGTGCCCCACCATGTCGGGCTAATTCTTTTGTAGAGACAAGGTCTCACTATTTTGCTCAGGCTGGTCTCGAACTCCTGAGCTCAAGCAGTTCTCCTGCTTCGGCCTAGGGATTATTTTATTTTATTTTTTTTAGACAGGGTCTCATTCTTTGGTCTAGGAAGGAGTGCAGTGGTGTGATCATGGCTCACTGCAGCCTCAAAGACCTCCTGGGTTCAAGTGATTCTGCTGCCTCAGGCTCCCAAGTACCTGGGACTACAGGTGTGCTCCACCACACCTGGGTAATTTTTGTAGCGACAGGGTTTTGCCATATTGCTCAAGCTGGTCTCAGATTCCTGGGCTCAAGTGATCCTCCTGCCTCGGCCTCCCAAAGTGCTGGGATTACTGGCGTGAGCCACTGTGCCTGGCAAGGAAACTTCTTAATTATTTAGATAAATGTCGACTCTTTGGTCTGGTTTCTGTCTCCCCCTGCCCACCAGGTCATCTCTGCTGGAGCCACGCTGGCCCCGGGGGTGGGGAGGTGAACAATGACCTTCTGACTCCTTTCCACCAGTCCACAGTGTCCTCCTCAGTCTGGGCTCATTGCCTCTTGCAAGGCGTCCTTTATAAGTAACACCCTCCCCAGAGGTCACTTTCTTATTGTGACAGTGAGGCATACTGTCAAGAACACAAGGCTGGGTGTTTCATCCTCCCTTTATCACTTAATTGCTCTGGAGTCATTAAGTAACTCTGGGAGCCTCCGTTATCTCATCCGTTAAATAAGAAGGTGCAATCCTGGGGTTTGAGTGAGGCCTATGACCCAGGTACCTTGTACTGTAATCATCTGTTTTCATCTGTCTCCCTAGTGAGGTGGTGTCTGTGTCTGATTCCACTGTATCCCTGCTGCCTCACACAGTGCCTGGTGTGTGGTGATGCTCCATAGATGTTTGCTATCAAATAAGCATGGGAGACCACAGGAAAGCATATAAGCTATCACACACATGTGCGCTGAGCTAGTACACAAACCTGGTAAGCTATCACCTGTGAGATAAGCTAGCTGCGTGTGTAATCACACATTAGGTTCCCTGGAAATGAATCCAGTTTGACTCCAAGAAGAGCAGCCTAGAGGGGGCTAGGACCCTCCTCCTTCTCTCCCACCATCAGAAAAAAGCAGGGAAGTGGGGGTGGGGCTCGGGAAGGCAGAAGCACGCAGGCTTGCTGTGAAAGGCGTTTTTCAGGGTGCCTTGGGGCTGGAGGGCATCGGGGAGAACACTGGGGTGGACGCTTCTCCTAGGAGCTGTTATAAGACTGGCGCCATGTCACCCTGAAAGCTAGTGCCAGAGCCAGGACTGGAACCTACCACACCCCGCTGCCTCAGTGAGGCCTTGAGTGAGCACAGAGACAGACGCATACCTGGTCGACTCTGAGCAGACGCGGGAACCTCCTGCACCTTCAGGGCCAGGCCGAAGGAGCCTCGGTATGAAGAGCTGTCCCTTATGACAAAAGCCCCTGGCTCCTCCTTCCTCAGCAGCTCGATTGCTGGAACAATCCTTGAGTCAGAGATGGACACCGCCCCACCTGGACACCCTGTCCCCAGCCCCGTAGGGTCTTCACAGAGCAGATGTTACAGAGTCACCTTTTGTCCCCAGGAAGTCCTTTGTACTGTCAAATCTCCACCATTCTTGCTGTGGTTCCTACTTCCTCGGGAGGTCATGAGGTCAGCAGGACATCCCCCTCCCCCGCTTCCCAGGACCCACTATTTGCCATTCCTTAACTGTAACCCAGGGCCCTGCCTGATGCAAAGTGCAAGACCCAGACCCTATTCTGGGGTCACTCGTGCTTCCTTTTACCTTGCTCTCGGGTGATGTTTGGCTTAAACCAGTATTTAGATGTGTCCATCACGAACTTCATGGTGGGCTGCATGTCCCTGGCGGGACCTGGAGACAGACAGAGAAGGGGGACCCTGTAGGCTGGACAGACGGGAGCTGAGGGATGTTCACCAGAGAAGGCTGGAGACCCTTCCCTACTCTATTGCCCCAAGGTTTCATTCAACCACCATCCCAGACCCTAACCCCATTGTATCTCCAAACTGCCTACGATGAGGGAAAATCAAACAGAAGGATGCCAGGGTTTGGTGCATCTAGAACTCAGAAGTGCCCTTGTATCCTTGGTAATGAATAAGGAATGAATAGATACAACCTCAGTTTAAGGAGAAATGGTTTCTTAAATCTACTGTTGAGTCCCCTGGTGAGGACTGAAATAAGAGATAAACAAGGAATTCTCAAATGCATCATGTTTGATATTACATTCTCCTTCGTCTTCATAATCCTAAGAATTCCTTACGGGAATATTCAGCTTGGAAAAGAAAATGGCAGAAAACGTGAAGGAGAGGAAAATAGCAGATCTGGGCAGAAAAACATGCCCCTGGGAGGCGGGAGCCTGGATCTTGACTCTGATATGGGATAACTGAAGCTCAGAGGGGACCAAGTGGACTAAACAGCTTCTGAGGGTCTTTAATGTTCTAGTAGTCTATGGAATTAAAATGAATTTTGTTTTAGGAATATTTTGCAGAATTTGATAAGATCTGGGGGTATAGTTGGTGATATTATGGGACCAAAGCAGGATGGGAATATCACTAGGCTAAGTAAATGTGCGCTTTGGGATGCCAAAATGGCCATTTCCCTGGGTCCCTAAGGCAGAGAGCAGTAGCTGTCAACCTTGGCGGCTTGAAAAGGAGTGTTGTGACCACTTACTCTCAAGTAACTCATTCAAAAAAAGTACTAAAATCTGCAAATGATTTGTCCTAGGAAAGCGATCAGGGCAGATGCAAAGGCACGCCAGAAGTGTCATTTTCTCCTGCTTGCCTCCACATGGCTTCGTGAGTGGGAGTGAGCAGTGGGCTATAGTAAACATTCCACCCCCACCCCCTCTGGAGTCGCCTTGATGCCTGTGAGCGTCATGGCCAAGTGGGGGCTGAGAAGCCCCCCGATGGCCGAGGGAGGGGGAACAGGGGGTTGGCAGGGGACTCTGCTCATGGGAGAGGCATCCACAGGGTGCTAGAGCTTAGCTTCTGGGTTTACTGCTTGGGTTTGTTCTTCTTGGACGCCTGTGATCTCAGACTCCGGGAAGGAGGGTGTTTGCTGTTTTGTGGTTTTCGGCTGTCTGAACTGGAATGCATTGTCTCTATTACCCCATCCACCCCCTCTGTGTTCTCATCATCTGCGAACGTCAGAGTCAGAACTGACTCGCCCTCTTGCTCTCCTTGAGTTAGTCATCAAGCACATCCTGAGGGTCGCCTGGTTCTGTCCTCTCTCCTCCACTCCCACTGCCCTATCCCGGTTCAGGACCCTGCTATCCGTTGAGCTGCCAGGGTGATCCATTGAGCGAGCACCTCTGACCCCATCACTCTCCTGTGTGAGGAGGCTCTCTGATGGTACCCTATTGCTTAAAAGGCAAATTCCATTTTTTTTTTTTTTTTTAGCTTGGCATTTAAGGCCTTTCACAATCTGGTTTCAAATTACTCTCAATGACTTGAACCTGCACCCAACATTCCGGCATTTCCTGAACATGCCATGCGCTTCCACACCTTCATGACTGTGGACCCCCTGCTTTCTCTGCTGGGAATGCCTTTCCTCTCCTTCTCTGGCCACAAACTTCTGATCCATTTCCCAGATCCAGCTCGGATGTCGCTTCCTCTGTTCTCCAGACTGAAAGAATCATTCCTTCAGCTTTGGCCAATATGATTGAGAATATCTCTTTACCTCCGCGTTTATCCTACCCTACCGTGATGATTTGTTTTTGTCTCTTTCTAAACTGTTTCCCTCTGTGTGTCCTCACTACCTGGCATAGTGCCAGACACACAATAGTTGCTCAATAAATGTGTTGACTGGCTGTTGCAGAAACCCACTGGCACTTTGTCTATTCCCCAAATCTTACATTGCTTCAAATATTGGTTTACGACGTACCCTCTGGGCATGTGGTAAAGGGGGCATCTGACAGGGTCTGGCTGTTGCTCCTGGTGGCTGGACAGGGGTTGCTGGGAGAAGCAGCTCCAGGTTGAACGGAGTTCTGGTGTCCTGGGGTCCGCTGGGGTGGAGAAGACCCTGGTTCTGGGCAGCCGTTGATCAGCACAATGGGTATGTCCACCATGGAGTTGGTGATGGATGGGGGGCAGCTGCTGGCATGTTCTTTGGCCAGTGGTGGAGAGTGGGGTGTTCTGGGTTGGCCCATGGTTAGGGTGGGGTTTCTGGGAGCCTGGAAGTCACTGGGTCTTGTACACAGGGACACTGAGCCAAGGCTGTGGAGGCTGGAGGAAGAGTTGGCTGGACTTTCCAAGGATCTGGAAGATGACTGATGGCTGGAGTTGCTGGAGTGCAGGAGGGACTGGCTGCTGCAGCGGGAGAGAGTCAGACAGGGTGTTAGGGCAACAGGTGGCTCAGGGGCTAGAGTCAGGCTCCGGATCTGGTGATCTGGGTTCCCATGGCTTTAAAGGCCAAATAGAACACTGCATACCCCACCCCCTACAGCCCACAGCAAAGTGCATGCCCACCTAATCCTCAAGGGATGGTAAGGATACAGAAATGTCCTTGGATGGTAGGGTCTTTGGTCACTTAAAGTAGCCAATGAGCTGACCCCTGCAGGCTTTGGGCATAGGCTGGCCCACATTCCGTCTGCCTTCCCAGCCAGGCCGTTCTGACTGAGCTGTCGGATCAGGATCCCTTCAGGCCCCCATGACTCCCAGGAGCCCTGCAGATGGGCTGAACCTACGCTGGACCACACCGTGGCTGATGCAGAGGGAACTCCCCAGCTGCAGGAGAAGGCCAGCTTCACATCCAGCCAGACTTCTTCCTGAGCTCAGGGGCCTGTGCCAGTGGGCATGGCTGTGGAATCCCCAGCCTCTGTGCCAGGGACTGCCTTGGCCAGTGGCTTTGGAGGTGGAGTGGGAAGCAGAGTCCTGTGGTTCGGTCTTCCTGGGGCAGAATGGGTGCGCATGTGCCTGCAGTTCTGCTGTGAGGTCTATAGAGAACTGAGCTGGGATGATTGTGATTCCCAGGCAGGGCTGCCTCACTCCTTTGCTAGGTTTTGCCAGCAACAGAGGAAGGAACCTTTTTATTCCTAAATAGTTCATCTCAGGCCCCCCAATTCTATTTATAGCCCTGTGTTTTGGGGTTTAAAAAAACCTTCCTTGAGATGGGTTGTATGAGGGCTGGAAAGGATATAGATGAGCCTCATTAAGGCAACGGCTCTTTTACCAAAAGGTAGCTATAAGTCAAGACTTTTTATATTGAATTGTATTCTAAATGCTTGAGGACAGCTTGAGATCTGAAAGGCTGTAAAAGCAAACATTTGCTTCTGGTTTTGGTGCATGCCCAGATTTTGCTCAGACAGAGCAGGGTCCCTTTCAGTGATTTTAGGGGGTGCATGCGTGCGTGTGCCTGTGTGTGTGTGTGCAATGTTAGAAGCTACAGAACCTACCTTCCAAACATATAGCTGACATCAGACACTGGGCTGGCTGACAGCACAGAGATCCTGCTGCCCCGCTGTGGGGCCAGGCCTCCCAGCCGCTTCTCCAGTCTTGGAGAAGCCACCAGCGGGGAGCCCAAACCATGGGGGCTCGAGGCCTTGCTCCCCATGCAAGGGATTGAGATGCTGGGGGAATTTGGGGGTCGAGGGGAGAGACCCTCTGAGGGGGGCAGAGGGCGCTGGTGCCCCCTGCCCTGGTTCCCAGAGAAGATGAGGCTCTCACTGCTGCTTCGTGTCTCTCGGGGGACGTCTCTGGAAAGGAGGAGGCCACCACTGCGAAGGGAGCCGAAGGGCGGGGTGACAGAGGGGCTGGAGCAGTGCTGGGGGCCATCGTGGCACCTTGATCTGGCGGAGGTCACCTCGATGTACTTTATGTCTTTGGGGGAGAAAAGCAGAGCATTGGTGAAATGCAGGAGCCTGGACTCATAGAACAGAGAGGCTGGAAGTATCCTCAAGGTCATTCTGTCCCCCCTCTTTTATAGAGACGAGGACACTGAGGCCCAGAGAGGAGAGCCCAACTCCACCTTCAGGGCCCAGTTCCAGTCACCCTCCCTGTGACAACTTCCCTTGGGTGAGGAGATGCAGTAGGGGACCCAGGCCTTGGAATCAGACAGACCCAGGCTTCAGATCTGGCTCTGCCACTTATTTTCTGAGAGAGTTTGGCCAAAAGACTTCACCACCCAGGGCCTCAGTTTCCACACCTGTAAAGTGGGGCAACTGCATTCAGCCTTTTGGTGATACAAAAAGGATGAAGTGAAACTCATGTAGGCAGCACAGCACTGTTCCCGGCACAGACCAGGTGCTTAAAAACTGGGCAACTCTCTCCTTTGTCTGTGCCCTGTTCCTAGGTTGAAATGGCCACTTGATGGGTTGTACCAGTGACACTTTCTGATGCCTCTGCTACTCAGGATGTGTGAAAGTGGTTTCTCTGAGGCTGGGCGCGGTGGCTCACACCTGGAATCCCAGCACTTTGGGAGGCCTAGGCGGGTGGATCACCTGAGGTCAGGAGTTCAAGACCAGCCTGGCCAACATGGCAAACCCCATCTCTACCAAAAATACAAAAATTAGCCGGGCACCTGTAATCCCAGCTACTTGGGAGGCTGAGGTACAAGAATCGCTTGAACCCGGGAGGCAGAGGTTGCAGTGAGCCGAGATTGCGCCACTGCACTCCAGCCTGAGTGACAAGAGTGAAGCCCCATCTCCAAAAAAAAAAAAAAAAAGGAAGTGGTTTCTCTGTACCTGCAGTGAAAGCAGGGATTCTCAAGCTTGGTTACACACTAGACTCACCCCAGGCTGCGCCTTGTGCCAATTAGATTAAACTCTCCAGGGGGTGAACCCAGGCCTCAGTTTTGTTTGTTTTCCAGTTTTTCAGGTGAGTCCAGTAGACCATGAATGGCTCAGCAGGACCACATCACCTGGGCTCCACCCCTACAGAAACATAATCTGCATTTTAGCGAGGCCACCCAGGGCATGTGAATATGCAGTGGAGTCTGAGAACCCTGCTTTGGAGCAGGCACTCCCTGAGCACAGGGCTTGCTGCATTCTTGAGCTATGGATCTCCTGGGGATGGTAGCTGGTACACAGGGGTCACCCAACACACCCCAGGCTGCCGACGCGCTCCAGCGCTCTTTCCACTCCCTGGTCGGGGCATCCAGGACTCTTGGGATTCTGAGGCCTTGTTCCTCTCCCGAGGTCGGCCTTGCAGTGGGCTGCTCTGAGGTTCTCCCCAAGGTGAGGATGAACACCCTTCCTCCTGACCTGGGGGAAGGGAATTGTCCTTGGTGCTGTTCCAGCAAAGCTGGAGGAAGGTGGGGGTTAATGAGCCGCTCCTTTCTGAAGAGTGTGAGTCTTGCCTCTAGCTTCCTGGGATGGAGGCTGGGGAAATTGGGGAGAACGTGCACCCTCAGCTCCCACCTGCCTGGGGCCCTGGCACATGCACTGTTCCTCCCCATTATGACTGTGGAGCCCCAGCCTGCCCCAGCCCGCTCCTGGGTAGGGCCATCTGGCCCTGCTCACAGTTACTGCCTCTGTCTGAGCTTGCTTGGGCCACGGTGGGGGTGGGGAGTTACATCAGATGAGCAAGGGCTGGCAGCTGACTGGGACTTGCTGCTCAGCGGGTGGAGGAAGAGCCTAGCTTTGTAGCAAAACAAACCTGGGGTGAGTCCTGGCTTTGCTGCTTTTCAGCCAAGGGCATTGTGCAACTTTCCTAACCTCTCTGAGCCTCAGTTTCCTTATCTGCAAAGTGAGGATCTGAAACCAGTCTTCCAAGGTTGTGATGAGGATGAAATACAATAGCCGGGAGCCTGGCCCATGGTGAGGCTCGAGAGAGGAGCATTTCCTACCTGCCTGCTTTTTGGGGACAGTATTGGCCAAATGGAGCCCTTTTCTGGCTAAGGTGGGGATCTCTCTGCTTAGAAAGATGACTGCAAGAAGAGAGTGTTTGGGGCACTGCATTGTGGGCTCTGGAAGAAAAGAGATCTTGGAATGGGTTGGATTCTTCTGGAAGGCTGGAAAGCACAACTTCAATTTTTATAGGACTTTATAGTGTTTACACCCATAATCTCCTCTGAACCTTATAATAGCCCTTGAGCAGGGCAGGCATTATTTTTTACAGAGGAGGAAACTGAAGCTTGGAGAAGAGTGGGGATGGAGCTAACACTTAGTGTACAACGATGTTTCACAGAGACTGGTCTTTATTGAGTGCAATGTGCCAGGACCACTACGAACACATTGCTTGTATTAGCTCCTTTAACCCTCATGACAACTCTGTGGAAGTAGGGGATATTATTAATGCCCATATAACAGATGGGAAATCTGGAAGGCTCAGAAAGGTGAAGTGAGTTATCCAATGCTGCACAGCCAGGGAGTGTTGTTGAGCTCTGTTTAGGGACTGCTTCTTCCAGGATGAGGAGGGGCTCCTTGGGAACCTGCTCCAAGGCCTTGCCCTGTGAGAAGGTGCTTGGCTGCTTTGGGGAGGGTCTCTTGGCACAGTGAAGCTCTGGGCTCCCTACTCACTGGGCCATTGAAACATCCATCAGGGACCTTGCTGGGGTCACTGAGTAAGGAGAGCGGGAGGGGAGGGAGGAGCCCCGTGCTCACCTCAAGGTGGGTGTGGCTGGGGGGTGGGGTTGGGGCCTCTACCCATTGCAGGGGTGCAGTCGCTGTTTACTGGCCTGTGGGGCAAGTCTGAGCAGTGCTGGGTGGGTGCCGGCGCCAGCCCCAGGCAGGCGGGTGAGTGGAGGGAGGGCGT
The DNA here is from genome assembly GCF_000001405.40 of Homo sapiens. Taxonomy (NCBI): domain Eukaryota; kingdom Metazoa; phylum Chordata; class Mammalia; order Primates; family Hominidae; genus Homo; species Homo sapiens. The sequence continues at coordinate 40,491,844 of NC_000017.11, forward strand.
GTGGGTGAGGGGTGGAGAGATACTTATTAAATACCCTTCACTTGGGGCGGGTAAACAGCCTTGCCTGGCAGACATTGTTGGAAAATGAAAGTGGGGGGCCTGTTCCAAAGATGGGGTGCGGGGTGTTGGAGAGGATAAAGAAAGGGATATGGTGTTTGCTTCTAGGAACCACATTCTCTGTGGGATGGGGGCCCCCAGGGCAAGTTTAAAGGAAGGCAGGGGCAGGGAACCTGGGGAAGGTTTGTGAAGCACCCAGGAGGTCGCGCCTCAGAAGAGGAGCCTGCAGGCTGCCTCCAAACGGATGGATTCCGTGATGCCCCAGAGGGCAGAAGACTAGACTTTAGAAAGAGAGAAAGGACAGTGGCCTATGGAGCCCAGAGCCTGGGATTTGAGGCCTGACCTATCTCTCCCTGACTGTGTGACTGTGAGCCATCACGTACCCACCCCGAGCCTCAGTTTCCTCATCTGTAAAAGGAGGTTTCCACTATTTCCTTCAAAAGCCAGACACTGGGATCATGGATTACATGGAGTCTTTTTTTTTTTGAGACAGGGTCTCACTCTGTTGCCCAGGCTGGATTACAGTGGCGGGATCTTGGCTCACTGCAGACTCCACCTCCAAGGCTCAAGTGATTCTCCCACCTCAGCCTCCCAATAGTTGGGACTACAAGTTCATGCCATCACACCCAACTAATTTTTGTATTTTTAGTAGAGATGGGTTTTCGCCATGTTGGCCAGGCTGGTACATGGACTAGTTTTTTTTTTTTTTTTTTGTTTTAAGCCTGGGCTGGGTGATATGGCTCATGCCTGTAATCCCAGAACTTTGGGAGGCTGAGGAAGGAGGATTTCTTGAGGTAGCCTGGGCAACATGGTGAGACTCCATCTCTACAAAAAGTTTAAAAATTAGCCAGGTTGGCAGGGCATGGTGGCTCATACCTGTAATCCCAGCACTTTGGGAGGCCAAGGTGGGCGAATCACCGAGGTGGACGAGGTCAAGAGTTCAAGACCAGCCTGGCCAACATGGTGAAACCCCGTCTCTACTAAAAATACAAAAAAATTAGCTGGGCATAGTGGTGGGCACCTGTAATCCCTGCTACTCAGGAGTCTGAGCTATGAGAATCGCTTGAACCTGGGAGGCAAGACTCCATCACCCACCAAAGAAAAAAAAAATAAGAAATTAGCCGGGCGTGGTGACATGTGCCTGTAGTCCCAGCTACTGGGGATGCTGAGGTGGGAGGATTGCTTGAGCCCAGGCATTCAAGGCTGCAGTGAGCTATGATCACACCACTGCACTCCAGGCTGGGCAACACAACGAGACTCTGTCTCAAAAAAAATATGTATATATATTTAGGGGAAATGTCAATATAGAATTGCCAATGTTTAATTTTTAAATTCTGCCAAGTTAGGACAAAAAGGAAAAGTAAACATCTCCTAGCACGGTAATGTCAGAGTGTCTTTCCTTGAACAGCCCAAAAGTAGGAAGGATGAGATTGTAAAATGGCAGGGGATCCTCCACTCTGAATACATTTCGAGGTAAGAGAACTCACCACAACGCTCAGAGTTGTACACTGCTATAGGCCAGTGAGAGATTTGTCACCAGCAGTAGGGTCTGCGGGGAGGATTTTGGGTGCAGGTGTCTGCTGTTCTTAGTGATGGTGGAGAACTTCCCAGTGGGGAGCTGACCTGGCTGGGTTGTCTTAGGAGGTAGTGAGCTCCCAGGCATTGCAGGTGTCCAGGCAGACGTTAGAGGAAGAGATTTTTTTTCTCCATCAGAAGGGGCCAGGGCACAGAGAGGCAGCTTCCTCAGGACCCTCTGGCCACTGCCTGCCTTACATTCCCTGTTCCCCAGAGTTGGGTGGACACATGTTCACAATGGCATGTGGTGCCCAGGGCATCTGTGGATGTGGACCCATGCCATCAGCCCTAAGCTGATCATGAGCCCCTTCCGTGGAGGAAGGGCCTAGTTGTCACCAACCCCCACCCAACATTTGAGGACGTTCCACAGGGACTGGTTTTGCCCCAGCTGGCCTTGGACATGTGGAAATCCAGTCCTGGGGCATGAACGGTAAAACCCTGGGCTTGCTCCTGCCAACAGTAATTAGGCCCAAGATGCCTTTCCTGCAGTGACATGCCCATGACTGACTGGCCTGAAGAAACAGGAAGACCCTTGACGGACAGTTTCTTTAACAGGTCTGGCAGGCAATGCTTGGTGAGAGGGGACAGAGCAGGCAGGAGCCCAGGAGCCCAGGAACCCTGGGTGCCAGAGGGCCTGGGTGCTGGGCTGGCCTCCACCTCAGAGCCCAAACCTGGGGCTAGCCCAACGTGCAACCCCAATGTTTAATAAAAACAGCTACCATTTAGAATGGCATATGGTGTGCCAGGATTTGTGATAAGCAGCCAAAAAATGTAATTTCTTTCAATCCCCATAACACCCTTTGAGGTAAGAACTCTCATTATCTCCATTTCTCAGATGGGGAATCTGTGACACATAGCAGTGAAGCAAGCAGCTTGTGAAAGCTCTGCCTGACGCCAGCCATTAGGCTAGACTGGCTCCTTACTTAACCCCAGCAACCCCAGCTTTTCATTTGCAAAACAGAGATAAAATATTCGGCAGGGTGTGGTGACTCACACCTGTAATCCCAGCACTTTGGGAGGCCAAGGTGGGTGGATCACTTGAGCTCAGGAGTTCGAGACCAGCCTGGCCAACATGGTGAAACCCTATCTCTACTGAAAATACAAAAATTAGCTGGGCATGGTGGCAGGTGCCTGTAATCTCAGCTACTGGGGAGGCTGAGGCAGGAGAATTGCTTGAACCCGGGAGGTGGAGGTTGCAGTGAGCCGAGATCGTGCTGTTGCACTCCAGCCTGGGTGACAGTGAGACTCCATTGCAAAAAAAAAAAAAAAAAAAAAATTCAGCTCAGGGAGTGGATTGAGAGGATTGAAGATTCTACATAAAGTGCTCAGCACAGTGCCTGATATGTGTCCAGTAAGTGTAATATCTTATGGCTCCTATCTCTAATCCTAATCATGCACCCCTTCACCCTTGCTGGTAGTTTAAAGCCTTGGAGGCCTCAGTCTTCCAACCTGTCTGATGGCTGCTCCTTGATCCTCATCAAGAGCATACTTGAAACTCTTTGTTCAGGAAACTGAAGCCAGATGTAGGAATTTCCAGGTTCCTTTGGACTCGGTGGTGCCCTGGAATTGGCTTGTATCAGCTGGTTAAGAGCTGATTGTTAAATTTTCAGGATTTTGTCTAGCTAGTTACTAAACCCAGCCATTATGAATAATTACATTATGTACACTTACAATGAAATAACTTACATTAAAAACAAAGGTAATAAATACTTAAAATTCGTCACGTCCCAATTATTTTACGACAGTGTCTCCCCACCCTCCATACTATTATCTGTGCTCTCAGGGTTATTTACATCTATTGTGTTGGTGTGGTGGCAATGCTGTGTGACAGCCTGCTACTCCACATGTCTCCAGCTCCTCATTCAGTGACATCATGTTGGTAGTTTGAAATTGGCCACAGTGGGAGAATTCATACTGTGGAAATGGGCAGAAGCTTCAAATCAGCTCCCTCTGCCCCTGCTCCCCAACCAGAGAGCCAGGTAAACATTCACCAGCATACCACTGCTTGAACACTACCGGGTCCTTATCCTAAACAGATGCCCCAATCCTACCATTTCCAGCGTGGGCCTCTCCAGAAAGATACTCCCCTAAACAAGGACAGAGGTCCCAATAGCAATCCTACCAAAATTTCAGGGGGGCCCAGGTTAGGCTCTGAAGTGAGACACCCTAGGACAGTGGGGGTCAGGGATCCACATTTATTGAGCTCTTCTTTATGGGCACGGCACTGCACAAAACACTTTCCATAGGAGCTTATTTAAGTCCTCATAAAATCATAGAAAATCAGTATCTATCACTTTCCAAACTCAGGAACCAAATAGAATTGGCTAGTGAGGGAAGCTTGTATTTATCCCCTTTGTGTAGCACAGAAAACAGAGGGGTTAGTAACTTGGTTAGGTTTGCACAGCACCTCCCAACAGGACAGGGTCCCCTTCTCTGTACATAGGAAAATCCTTCTTCCTCATGAGGTCTGGCACCAAGCCCCCCTCCTGGTACTGTGCCCCAAATCCTTACCCAAGGCTTCAGATTCCTCCTTCTTTCTCATTGACATGGTGCTCTGGGCCAGCTCAGCCTGGGAGCCCCCAGTCCCTGGGGGAAGCAGCTGGAAGGTGGGGTCCAGTTCCAGGATCATCTGATTGAGGCTCTCCAGTGAGAAGTCAATGTAGGAGTCAAGGTCCTCTGGGGTCCCCAAGGCCTTCTCACCAGGGGACGGCAGGAAGCAGGTGGCTTTGGCCTCCACCTGTGGGGCTTGCTGGAGTCGGCCAGGGGGCCCCATGCAGGGCACGGGGGCCATCAGGGCCTGGGCTCCCCAGCCTTCCGTGGTGTAGTAAGAACACTGGGGTGGCAGGCTGGGGCTGGGTGCTGGGTGCAGGGTCCTCCTGGGCTCATCACAAGGCGCCAAGCTGACAGCATGGCCTCCTGCCAGCAGTGGGCTGGACATCACCTGGGACATGGTGGGGGTGGTGACCTCTGCAGTTTACCTCTGGTCTTCAACCAGCCTCACTGACATCCCAGAGATCTCACTTGCTAACCAGGAGCTCCCAGGATCTGAAAGAGTCCAAGAGTGGGAACGGAGTAATTTCTGTAGGTGAAGCCCCTGCCTCCCACCCTCCGTACAAAGGCTAAGTTATTCATTCATTTAAAAGCATGGATGCTGGAGCCAGACCACCTGAGTTTGCAGCCTGGCTCCACCACCTACTAGCTGTATAACCTTGGGCAAGTTAATTGACTTCTCTGTGCCTCAGTTCCCTCGTCTATAAAACAAGTTAATCATTGTAATGTGCTTAGAACAGTGCCTGGCACATAATAAGCATTATGTAAGTGATCATTAAATAAAATAACTTCAGTAGATGTTTATTGAACATCTACTACATCCCAGGTGTGTTTATTAAGTAAATACTACCTAACGTTTGCTGAGTAATTATTATCCACATAAGCTCTGGTATTTTTAGATAAAGGCTTTAAAAATCCTTATAACAACTGTATAAGGTAGGTATTATTATCCCATTTTACAGGGAGAGAACTGAGGCACAGAGAGGTAGGTAACTTGCCCAAGGGTCACACTGCCAACAAGTGTAGAGAAGGACTGGGCCCTCGGCTGCCTGATGTCTGAGCACCTGCACTTGGGCCGGTTGGTGAAACAGACAAGTAAGTGGGTGAACAACTGTAAGCAGTGTCACGAGAGAGGAGGGAAGGGACAGTGCACTTTTCTAGTTCAGTGGGGAGGTTAGGGAGGTCTTCCTGGAGGAAGGGACACGCAAAGGGAGATAAGAAGGAAAAGCAAGAGGTAGCTGCGCAAGTTGAGTAGGGATGAGGAGGCAGAGAGGAAGATTTAAGTTAGAGGGGATGAGCTGGGCGTGATGGCTCACACCTGTAATCCCAGCACTTTGGGAGTCTGAGGTGGGCTGATCCCTTGAGGTCAGGAGTTCGAGACCAGCCTGGTGAACATGGTGAAACCCCATCTCTACTAAAAATATAAAAATTAGCTGGCATGATGGCACGTGCCTGTAATTCCAGCTACTCAGGAGACTGGGGCAGGAGGATTGCTTGAAGCTGGGAGGCAGAGGTTGCAGTGAGCCGAGATCGAGCCAATGCACTGCAGCCTGGATGACAGAGCAAGACTCTGTCTCTAACTAAACAAATAAACAAATAAATAAACAAAGTAGAGGGGACCATTTGTGCAAAAGTCTGGCCAGCAGGGAAGCTCACAAGACCCTATTGAGCACCTGAGTAACAGAGCACCTGGGGTGGGTGGAGGAGATGGGGCGGGGGAGGCAGGCTGGCCAGATCCCGTAGGGCCTTGCAGGCTGGGCTCAGGACTGCCAGCTCAACCCTGAGGGCAACAGGGAGGCTCTGAAAAGTTTTGAGCTGGGGAGTGACATCATCAGATGATATTCATTTCCTTGGGGCTCATTTGGGAAAGAGATGTCTCAACCTCCTCATTTTCCTTACTGTGAAAAGTCCTTTCCATTGTCTAACCTTAATGCCACATGCTAGTTTCTTGTAGGTGGGGCTTGGTAAGGAGGTAAGAAGTTCTGGGACTGAGGCTGCCAAGAAAACTGTACAGAGCTGCAATGTGCTGGTTACACTCCCATTGCCTGCTCTGAGCTTTGCTGCTGGTCCCCAGCCCCCACCAACACCCCCCAACTCTCTTTCTTCTCGTTGCCAAAACGCCTCCTTTACGTCCTGTTTTGGAGTCAGACCTTAGCACTGGAAAAGGTATCTGAGACTAGCCTGGGAGAAGAGAAAGTGGACTCTGGGATCCGAAGGTTTAGATTTGACTTCTAGCTCAAATAGCTCCTTATGGTGTGACTCTGACCCTGAGTTTCCTCATCTGTGAGATGGTAATGAGAATTCCTGCACCCTCCCAGAGAGTGTTATGGAACCAGTGAGGTGCTCCTTGTGAAGGTAGTTAGGCAATTCTAAATAGTACTTAGAAATAAGGACTTATGGAGTATAACAGCCTCATAATAGTAGCTTCCATTTATTGAGCGCTGACCATGTGCCAAATAGTTTACATACGAATTACATTGGTAACTCAATCCTCTCACAGCTCTAGGAAGTACTGCACCCTATTGTCAGTCCTCTTGTTTTTTTTTCTTGAGACAAGGTGTCGCTCTGTTGCCCAGGCTAGAGTGCAGTGGCACAGTCATGGCTCACTGCAGCCTTGACCTCCTGGGGCTCAAGCGATTCTCCCAGCTCACCCTCCCGAGTAGCTGGGACTACAGGCTTGTGCCCTATACCCAGAGAATTTTTTGTAGAAAGAGGGTCTCACTTTGTTGCCCAGGCTGGTCTTGAACTCCTGGGCTCAAGTGCTCCTCCTTCCTCGGCCTCCCAAAGTGCTAGGATTACAGGTGTGAGCCGCTGTGCCTGGCCTTATTTATTTATTTTGAGTTGTCAGTCCATTTTACAGATGAAGATGCTGAGACTCGGAGAGGTCAAGAAACACGCTTCACATCCAGAAAGATGGTGGAGCTGGGATTCAAACCCAGGTGTGGGATTTTGGAATCTTAATTCCTTATGCTAAGGGAGGAGACCACCCCTCATATTGTCTTATGCCCAATTTCTGCCTCCAAAGAAAGAAAAAGTAAAAACTAAAAGGCAGAAATGAAATCCACAAGCAGACAGCCCAGCGCCACACCCTGGGCCTGGTAGTTAAAGATCGACCCCTGACCTAATCGGTTATGTTATCTATAGATTACAGACATTGTATAGAAATGCACTGTGAAAATCCCTTTCCTGTTTTGTTCCCACGTAATTACCGGTGCGTGCAGCCCCCAGTCACGTACCCCCTGCTTGCTCAATTGATCACGACCCTCTCACACGCACCCCCTTAGAGTTGTGAGCCCTTAAAAGGGACAGGAAATGCTCACTCGGGGAGCTCGGCTCTTGAGACAGGAGTCTTGCTGATGCCCCCGGCCGAATAAACCCCTTCCTTCTTTAACTTGGTGTCTGAGGAGTTTTGTCTGCGGCTCGTCCTGCTACAATGCCACATGGAATTCAAGTGCAGAGGGACACCTGGGATCTAGAGAGGGGGCATGATTGGCTGAAGGTCGCACAGGTTTCATGAGAAAAGCCAGGGCCCCTTCCCCTCTCCTGCCTCCCCCAACGCCCGTGGCTCCGGTAGGTCTGATGCCAGACTTTTCCTTGGCCAGGTCCTGCAGGGGGCGGGGCATCCCGGGCACGGGAAGCTTTCTATAAATGGAAGTGGAAGGGAGCCGGCCTCTGCGCTCCCGCCCTCCCGGGACAGCTGAGGACACAGAGCCGGAACCACGGCTTTTTCCACACAGGCTCCAAGTGGACTGGGTTTGTTGGGACAGGATCTGGGCGCTCCCTGCAGGGTTTTCTGGCTGTGTCCTGCAGAGGAGGCTGGGGCTGCTGACTTTGCAGAGCTCAAGGAGGGCTGGGTGTCCCCTCGCAACCAGGACCCAGTATACCTGCTTACTAATTTGGACACAGCTTTTGTGCCACGCTGGGCAAGCGTCCTTTCCTCTCTGGGCAGACCTCAGTTGTCCCATCTGTGTGATGGGGATGTGATAATAACAGACACTGAACACCTTGCATTTTCTCAACAGCTCTCTGAGGAGGGTGCTATTGCTGCAGGGCTGGAGAGGTTGAGGAATTTGCCCAAGGTCATACAACCCCAACTGTGAATTGGGGTTTAAACCCAGGTGGTCTTGCTCCACGGTCCCACACTTTTAGCCTCTGCTGCTGCTTCACATATTTAAGAACCCTGTCCACCGCTGCCCCTTCTGGGATTCTGGAACCAAGAGGGACAGACCTGGAGCTGAGCAAAGGGCAGGCAGCCCCTACGCTCCTCTTCAGCCTCCCCTCACTTTTAAGGCTCTGCGTCGCCCTTGGATGTACCAAGGCAGGGCTCCATCTTACTCCTGTATTCCTGAATGCTGCCCCCTTCGCGGCCCCGCACACTCCTCTAACTTGCTCTTTCTTGCTGTAAGTGGTGGGGAGAGTCCCTGGGCCCGGGGCTCTGTGTGGTTGGGAGGCACGGGGCGGGGGCAAGGAGGGCTCCAGCCACCTCTGCTCTATTTGTAGGTGCCCCCTACCCGCTCCCACTTCTGATTCTGACTCAGATCTCTTTCTTTGTTCCCAAGGACTCTGGGGAGTCCTGGTGCCTTGGCAAATCCCCTCTTCCGTGTCATTGCCAACCTCTTCTCCTGACTTACTCTCTCCCAATGAGCCCAGGTCAGTGAAGGGAGAGGGTGGGGCAAGGGTAAAGCCTGAGTCTCCCCCAAAGCACTTTGCCTCATTAGCCCAATCTCCACTGCACCCCCTATTTTTGAAAACTGGCTCCCGATCTTCCCATCCCTCCCACCCAGACCCGGTGACGCAGGACGTGGACCTCAGGCAGGGACCCATAGGACCAGTGAAGGCCAGCCGCCCCATCTCCCAGTCCTGTCTACCTCTGAAGTGCCCAGAGGGCTCCCAGAGCGCTGGGAGGCGAGAGGCCTGGGTTCTGTGTCCAGTCCCTTTCCATGACCTCAGGCAAGCCTCTTCTCTGTGGCCCTCAGCTCTCTCATCTATTTGCCGAGGGGCACAGGTTTAGTTCCCTTGAACTGCTGAACTCCGCGGTCTGTGATCCTGAGACCATCTCTGTCTCATCCACATCCTCCACCCCATTTCTCCCCACCTTCACTCTGAGCCCTGAGAAATGGAGAAGCTGAAGACAAAAGGTTAAATGAGGCTGGGCTCACGCCTGTAATTCCAGCACTTTGGGAGGCTAAGGTGGGAGGATCACCTGAGGTCAGGAGTTTGAGACCAGCCTGGCCAACATGGTGAAACCGCGTCTCTACTAAACATAAGAAAATTAGCCGGGCATGGTGGCAAACATCTGTAATCCCTGTTACTTGGGAGGCTGAGGCAGGAGAATCGCTTGAACCCTGGAGGCAGACGTTGGCAGTGAGCCGAGATCGCGCCACTGCACTCCAGCTTGGGTGACAGAGCAAGACTCCATCTCAAAAAAAAAAAAAAAAATGTTTAAATGAATCAGGGCCAGCAAAGGTGCTCCGTGTTCCTCTCTTCTTAAAGAATAAAGGCACCTACCTGGTGTCCACAGGTGGGCAGACTGTTGCCTTCACTACTGGCTCCTGGGACCAAGACGACTCAGAGTCCAGGTGAAGAGTCAGGAGAGGCGCCAGTTCACCTCCAGACCTGCCTTAAAAGCAGCTTGCCCGCCTTCTCTCCTCCCCTCCGGGCGGGCCCTGCACGTGGCCCTGACAGCAGTAGGCCCCACCCCTGCTGGATCCAGTGAGCTCAGGTGGGGCTGGCACAGGCAGCAGGAAGGGAAGCACTGGGTGGTGGGTTTTGGGTCTGGGTGTGTGTGAGGGGCTCCCAAGTTCCTGCTTGGGCTTCTCGTGGCACCACATGGCCAGGGAGTCCTTGCTTGGACAGGGCATAGCTAGAATCAAGGTGTGCAGTGGGCACTCCTCAGGTGCTGGCTGGGGCAGAGGCCATGGGTTGGCAGAGCTGGCAGAGAGTGAGGGCCTTGACAAAGCAGGATGCCAGTGGGCAGGAGACCCTCTGCAGTCCCCCTTTGTGCTGGGTCACACTGGGACAGGCACAGGGTAAGGGCCCACTGGAAGTAAGGCTAGGCACGAGCTTGTCTTTTCTTCTTTCTCTCCTTTTACAGTAATGACTCTAGCTTGGGATGGGGCCTCTAACTCAAGGAAAGGAGGCTGAAGTGTCTGGAGGGCTTTGAGAAGGGGCTTATAGCTGTTCCTTCACTCATGGGCTATCTCTGTCCCTCGTCTGGTCTGTGCCCCAGGGTGGAAGTTCCCTGAGGGGAGGACATTGGAGGGTGAGATCAGGAAGCCCAGAAGTCTGGTCTGGTAGCTCCTTCTCCATGGTTCCAACTCTCTCCCTGTTCTAGAGGGGCAGGGGTCCTAGAATGTTGTAAGGAGGTGTTCAGACATGGTGAGGGGAGGGTGCTGATGGCAGAGCCTGGTCTGGGAGCGGTCTGAAGTGAGGGAGCTGGCGAAGTCTCCAGCCCAGGGACTCATGGTGATCCCAGTAGGCTAATCTCAGGGGTGGGTTGCCCCATGCCCCCATTATGCCCAGTGGAAGGGCTTCTGGCCTTACAGTTTTTGATGCCCTGGGGTTTCACTGAGGCATGGTGAACTAGTGCATGGGAGGCCGGTGAGCAAAGCTATGGAAAGTTATATAAGGTGCCCCTTCCTGATGGTGACATAAAAGGTGTCCCTAGGTGTCCATGCAGCCTTGTTGGCACATGGCTTGATGAGCAATTATGTCTTTGGATGAAAAATGTGGTGCTCCTGCCCTGGAGTGGATGTCACTGCACATGGCGGCTTCCCCCATGAGGCTGTGGCTCATGATTGTGGGAGAGTGGGAGGGGCGACTCGTGAGTTTCTTGAGTGGAAGGGGCAGGTTACAGTAGGGCGAAGTGTTGGGCAGAGACTGTGGCAACTCCGGGGTAACCCTGGCCATCTCCCCTGGGGCTGGTATGGATAGCCTCTGCAGTGGTTCTTCAGGGCCAGGGGGTCCTCCAGCCTTACAGACCCATACCTGGGGGTTATGGTCTTTCTTGGCAGATTGGCTCTTTTGTTTCACACCCAGCTGCTTCCTTTAGCTTAAGATGGTCTCAGAACAGTGATTTCAGCCCCAGCTGCCTCACAAACCCTGCCCAACACCACATCACTGCCCTTTGCCGTGATCATCAAGGGATGGATGGAGTGGCATTTCTTTATACATCTATAGATATGACATTTTTTCTTTAGCCTATGGATGTGATAGATTACATTAATTTACTTTTGAATTTTGAACCCTCCTTGCATACCTGGGATGAACCCCCTGGTCATGGTATATAATTCTTTTTTTTTTTGTGATGGGGTCTTGCTATGTTGCCCAGGCTGGTCTCAACCTCCCGGACTCAAGTGATCTTCCCACTTCAGACTTTGGAGTAGCTGGGATTACAGACATGTACCACTATGCCTGGGTCTGTATAATTCTTCTAATACATTGTTGGGTTCAATTTGCTAACATTTTGTGGAGGATTTTTGCATCTATGTTCATGAGTGATATTGGTGTCTAGTTTTCTTTTGTATCTCTGGTTTCAGCAATGCTGGCCTCATAAAATGAGTTGGGAAGTGTTCCTTCTGCTTCTATCTTCTGAAAGAGGTTGTAGAGAAGTGGTCCTATTTCTTCCTCAAATGTTTGGTAGATTTCACCAGTAAAACTGTCTGGTCCTGGTGCTTTCTGTTTTGGAAGGTTATTAATTATTAATTCAATTCTTTGCTAGATATAAGCCTATTCACAGCATTTCTTTTCAACCTCAAAATACACTATTTCCCTAGTTGACGGGGGCACCTTGTCCTACATCTACTCTTCTGAAAGAAGGGATTCCAAGTAGATTAAAAAAAAAAAGTCCAGCCTATATTTTGATGTATTCTGCATGTCTCTCACTAAGGGAGAGGGAAAATCAATTAAAGAAACCAAGAAATGGCCGGGTGCAGTGGCTCACGCCTGTAATCCCAGCACTTTGGGAGGCCGAGGTGGGTGGATCACGAGGTCAGGAGATCGAGATCATCCTGGCTAACACAGTGAAACCCCGTCTCTATTAAAATACAAAAAATGAGCCGGGCGTGGTGGCGGGTGCCTGCAGTCCCAGCTACTCGGGAGGCTGAGGCAGGAGAATGGCGTGAACCCAGGAGGCAGAGCTTGCAGTGAGCCGAGATCGCACCGCTGCACTCCAGCCTGGGTGACAGAGCAAGACTCCATCTCAAAAAAAAAAGAAACTAAGAAATGTAATTTCTGACTGAGTTTTTTTCTTGTAGAGAACCCACATTACTCATTCATTCAAAATACATTTATTTGGCTGGGTGTGGTGGCTCACGCCTGTAATCCCAGCACTTTGGGAGGGCACACTGCCGAGGTGGGCAGATCGCCTGAGATCAGGAGTTTGAGACCAGCCTGGCCAACATGGTGAAATCCCGTCTCTACTAAAACCACAAAAACTAGCCAGGCATGGTGGTGGGCACCTGTAATCCCAGCTACTCGGGAGGCTGAGGCAGGAGAATCTCCTGAACCTGGGAGGTGGAGGTTGCAGTGAGCTGAGATTACGCCACTGTACTCCAGCCTGGGTGTCAGAGTGAGACTCCATCTAGAACAAACAAACAAACAAATAAACAAAAAACAACAATTTATTGAGTGCCCCTGCATTCAGATGTTAGGATATAGAGATGAATGGGACAAGGCTCCTGCCCGCAAGGAGCACACTGTTCATGGGGGAGTATGACTCATAGACAGAAAGGCCCCCAAATCTCAGCCTGGTGCAACCAAGAGGCCTACAAAAGGCTGGAGCTGAGCCATCTTCTGTCAGCGTTAGTCGTGTGTGGATACGGAGCGCCTGAAATGTGGCTAGTCTAAACAAAGATGTGCTGTGGGTGCAAAATACAATTCAGATTTTAAAGACTCAGTATGAAAAATTATATGAAATATCTCAATAGTAATTGAATAATTTTTTTTTTTTCTAGAAATGCAGTAACATTATGTTGCCCAGGCTGGTCTCAAACTCCTGGCTTCAAGCTATACTCCCACCTCGGCCTCCCAAAGGGCTGGGATTACAGGCGTGAGCCACCATGCTTGCTCAGTAATTTTTTATATTGATTGTGTGTGGAAATGATGCTGTTTTATAGATACTGGGTTAAATAAAAACATTATTAAAATTAATTTCCTCTGCTTCTTTTTACTTTTTAAGATGTGTTTTATTAGTTTCTCGAGACTATCGTAACAAATTACCACAAACCTGATGCTTTAAAACAACAAACATTTATTCTGTCACAGTCTGGAGCCTGAAATTGGACAGAGCCATGCTCCTTTCAGGGATTGAAAGGGAGAATCCATTCCTTGCCTCTTCAAATTTCTGGTGGCTGTCCTGGAATTCCTGGGCTTGTGGCCACATCACTCCAGTCTCAGTCTGTGTCTTCACATCTCCTTCTCCTCTTCTGTCTGTCTAATCTCCCTTTGCCTCCCTTTTATTTTCTTTATTTTGAGAGAGGGTCTTGCTTTGTTTCTCAGGCTGAAGTGCAGTGGTACCATCATGGCTCACTGCAGCCTTGAACTCCCAGGCTCAAGCAATCCTCTTGCTTCAGCCTCCTGAGTAGGTGGGACTATAGGCACATGCCACCACACCCAGCTAAGCTTTTAATTTTTTTGTAGAGATGGAAGTCTCACTATTTTGTCCAGGTTGGTCTCAAACTCTTGGCCTCAACTGATCCTCCCACCTCAGCCTCCCGAGTTGCTGTGATTACAGGCCTGAGTCGCCACGCCCAGCTGGACACTGGGTATATTTTTTAGCAGCTGTTTTCTAACATCCAGTGTTCAGCTTTGTGGGCATGAAGAGCTTGTTGCTGAAACAACTTCCTGAATCAGTTGTGATGATGGTTCTTGAAGTCCACAGACCCTGAGCGGCTTCTGATTCTTTTATTTTTTTCTGAGATGGAGTCTTACTCTGTTGCCCAGGCTGGAGTGCAGTGGTGCGATCTCAGCTCACACTGCAACCTCCACTTCCTGGGTTCAAGCGATTCTCCTCAAGCCTCCCGAATAGCTGGGACTACAGGTGTGCGCCACCATGCCCAGATTTTTTTTTTTTTATATTTTTAGTAGAGACGGGGTTTTGCCATGTTGCTAGGCTGGTCTGGAACTCCTGACCTCAAGTGATCCGTCTGCCTCGGCCTCCCATAGTGCTGGGATTACAAGTGTGGGCCACTGTGCCCAGCCACTCCTGATTCCTTACTCTCCTGATGGTACCAGAGGGCAAGACTCCCAGGTGGGTTGCTCGGCCCCTGTGTTCTGGGAGCTATTCCTGCAGTGCAGCTTGCTCCTCTAGCCCTCTTGATCATTTTCTAAGGACAGAATACTGCATGAAATTCCTCTCTGCTTACACTAGCTAGTGTGGCTTCTGTTTCTTGCAGGTGACTGATGAGAATGGGTGGGGCCAGGGTATAGACTGGCCTGAGCAGTGGGAATTTTCTGTGGTGGGCAGTGGAGATACACGGGGAGCCTTTAAGCAGGGCAAGGTCAGGGAGGGAATGACATGAGCATATGTGTGCCTTAGGGAGGTTCTGTTGCTTCAGGGAGGTGCTGAGCCCCCTGAGAAGGTAGCAGAGGTGCAGACTTCACTGCTTTCTGGGAGTCCCTCTTCTTTGGGGTTAAGACAGACCCAAAAGATTGGAGAGAGATGTTCTTTGCCTCAATGGGGCAGGTCATTGACTTTGAGTGTTTAGCCTCCTGAGCATTCTAGGCTTTATTTGCAACATGCAAATCTAAAATGAATAGCAGGGAGGACTTTACAGTACAGAGGATAGTGAGAATTTTGGTAACCAAAAACCAGGCTCAGGATCAAGAGAGAACAGAGCAGGTAAAAGCTCGGCACTGGCGCTCTGGGTGTCTGAATTCACACTTAGTCTCCATTGCCAATTTACTGTGATACTCCAGGAAAGAGAGTTACCCTTTTAGGGCCTCTGAAGTCCCTCTGAGAGGGAGGAAAGTTTTCCTCCTCCTGTTGTGTAGGAGGGGTGAGGGGCAGTGGCGAGAGAGGTCCTTCTTTTTCCAGGGGAGGAGATGATGTTCTTTCCAATGGGGCTGCTCTCAGGTCTTATGCTTTTGGACCTCTGACCCCCCTAGCTATAAAATGCACATGCCTGGCCGGGCGCAGTGTCTCACACCTGTAATTCCAATACTTGGGGAGGCTGAGGCAGGTGGATCTGAGCCTCAGGAGTTTGAGACCAGCCTGGGCAACATGGTGAAACCCTTGTATCTCCTTAAAAAAAAAATTAGCTGGGAACAGTGGTGCCTGTCTGTAGTCCCAGCTACTTGGGAGGCTGAGGTGGGAGGATCACCTGAGCCCAGGTAGGCTGAGGCTGCAGTGAGCCATGATGGTGCCACTGCATTCCAGCCTGGGTGACAGAGTGAGACCCTATTTCAAAATAATAATAATAATAATAATAATAATAATAACAACACATGCCTGAAGCTCTAGTCAATGGCTTGCCTCTGCAGGGCAGGTAAAGTCCAATTCAGGAACATCTTTATTATGAAGGCTTACATCCAGGTCAGGGTGACCCCATTCATTCTCCAACCCCAGAATGGAGGGCCCCTCAGGCACTGCCGCATCCTCAGACTCAAACTCTGTTGTTCACACATCCCATCGGTAAAAAATGTTGAGCAGGCAACCTAACAACTATTTGTTTATAAATTACAGATATATAGGCCAGGTGTGGTGGCTCACGCCTATAATCCCAGCACTTTGGGAAACTGAGGTGGGTGGATCACTTGAGGTTAGGAGTTCAAGACCAGTCTGGCCAATATGGTGAAACCCCATCTCTACTAAAAATATAAGAATTAGCTGGATGTGGTGGTGCACGCTTGTAATCCCAGCTACTTGGGAGACTGAGGTGGGAGGATCACTTGAACCCAGGAGGTGGAGGTTGCAGTGAGCCAAGATCATGCCACTGCACTCTAGCCTGGATGACACAGCGAGACTCCATCTCAAAAAAAAACCCAAAAACATTAGGTACGTGGAACTTTACAAATTATATACATGAGCTATATATACATAAATATATTAGTATTTACATTACAAAAATATATGTACATTATAAAATATGTTATGCTCATTATACGTATATGTGTAAACTATATTATATACATTCTAAAATTTTAAATAAAGATGAAGAAAAAATACATTGAATCTTTTTCAATGATATATTTAAAAGTAATTTTATGGCATCTCATTTAATTAAAACCCTTTTGTTCTCACAATGAGAGCAACGTGATTGAATATGCTTGTTTATTTTTGAAACTCCTGGTTTGTGAAATCTGAAAACACTTTGTGGAACAGTGATTTGAATGTCTCATTCTAAATTCAGTTTATTTCAATATTCAGTTTTAATGGTTGTCACAGCTGAAAAGAAGGCCTCACGAAGATACCTAGATCCAGACGGATGGGGTGCATTGTGGGCTCAGCTCATTAAATCATGACATTAATTTTCAATTTTCAATTTCATCCACCAATTATGCAAAGGTTTTGTTCAAAATTGGCTTGCAAATTTCCATCTTCTCTCATGTCAATCAGTTGTTCTTGCAAAGAAATTGGAATATGTTGCATTATAATACTTTCAGCAAATGGCTTTTAAACCCACTCAAACTCTTCATTTAGAAGATTTTTAAGCAAATTAAACATTTCTTTTTTAGTTCGTTGTTTGAAGGGCAGATATGAAGGATCTTGGGAACACATGAGGTTTTCAGCCACAAAATCATGTAACAATAGGAACACTTTCAAACCTTATTTTCAAATGCTCTGTCATATTCTTTTCCTTCCCCCACAGTTGCTTCCTTGATAACTTGGCTGCACTTCACCTTTATCCTGATGAAAAGAGATTTCATTTTTGGAAATCTCTACTGTAGCACTCAATAGGCAATACTTGTTCTTCCTTTGTGATATGGCAAATGAGGCGATCTTCTACTATTTTCTTGCTGTTTCTTTGCAGAAATCTTTTTAGGCCGTTTATCCTTTTTTTTTTTTTGAAGGAGGGCTAATTTAGTTTGAATCAGGCAGTATAAACTGGGATATGCAGACATCAATATGTCACAATACATTGAAAGTGAGCAACAGAGTGAGAGTATAGCCCTCAAGTTCTCTGCCTGATGGAGTGACTAATTCAGGGGACATAATTGGCCAACAAACAGACTGAGTGAGGGTGCCTAGGTCAATCTGTATGTTAAATATTAGTTGACCTGAATTTATTTATTTATTTATTTTTCTCTCTTTTCTTTTCTTTTTTTTTTTTTTTATTTTGAGACGGAGTCTCGCTCTGTCGCCCAGGCTGGAGTGCAGTGGCGTGATCTCGGCTCACTGCAAGCTCCGCCTCCCGTGTTCACGCCATTCTCCTGCCTCAGCCTCCTGAGTAGCTGGGACTACAGGTGCCCGCCACCACGCCTGGCTAATTTTTTGTATTTTTAATAGAGACGGGGTTTCACCGTGTTAGCCAGGATGGTCTCGATCTCCTGACCTCGTGATCCACCCACCTTGGCCTCCCAAAGTGTTGGGATCACAGGCATGAGCCACTGCACCCTCCCTCTTTCTTACTTTTAGATACAAATACATGTATATGAATTCTAAAATTTTCTTTCCACATTCCGCAGTACTTTTGGAGTATGTATGTGCAACCTCATTGGACTGACAGGTGAGCTGAGGCTTAGTGTGGGGGTTGCCTATGGGCTCCATTGCCAATGGGGTGATAATGCCAGACTGAAACTCAGGTCCTTGCCTTCCACGATCCTCCCTGGACCCTGACAGTGTGGATGTGGAGGTGATGCAGGGTAGCCTGTGCAAGCCCCACCCCTGCATAGGGTCCTGTGGTCCTAAGAATACCTGTCTCCCTGGACTCAGGGCCAGAACCTCAACATCTGCTCTGCTCTGTGCTCTCTGGGGAGCAGCACCGGGTGAGCCCAAGAACAGGTGTGGTTCTGATTAGAATGACCCTTTCTTTTCCCACTCCCTTCCTTCCTCACGTCAGAGCCAGGCCTCTCAGACCAAGTCTAGATCACCGTGACCAGGGGTAAGTTATGTGGGCCTCTCAGAACCAAGGAAGTTGTTCTTGGCTTTGGGACATAATTTGCTGATTTGTACACCTCAGTTAGATCTGAAAAGCAAATCAGCCATCTGTGCCCAGAAACAGATAGGCGGGGGGCTGGGCACTGCCGTCCTTGGGCTTGCCCTCCTGGACCTCTCGCTGTCCTTGGAGGAGGGGAAGTGCAGGGCTGCTCTTGGAGGCATCGGTACCTGTGCAGCAATGACCCAAGCTGCTGGACCGTCTGTCCAGACGCTGGCCAGGAGAAGGGCATCCCCGGCCAGCTCGTGTGCGATCCTGCATGGCCCTAGGCCCAAGGTGAGCTCATGGGATGAGTCAAGCCTCCTGCTGAGCCTGGCAGCTGAGTAAGAGGACATGCTGTGCTCTCACACCTCCCTGGCCCCACCGCGGCATGCCCACCTTTGTCTTCCCTTCTGGGGTTTGGCTTGTTGTCACTGACAACATGGGGCAGCCCTTTTGCACACGGCATCCCTGGAGCCACGTGTTAACTGTGAGTTAATAAATGGGTGTTGTTTTAAGCCACTAAATCTGTGGTCATTTTTTATATAGAAGTAGAAGATGAATACATACCATAAGTCTAAATATTCAAAAGTCATAAGTCAAGCTTACAAACTGTTAATAAAATATGTTCTATCCATCTACCTTGATTTTTTTTTAAAATAATGACTGTGAAGGCCAGGGTCAAAATCATAATTCTCTGACAACTAGGAGTTCTGTGCCAGGAGGTAGCTGCCTGGGGAGGGCTGGCCCCTGGATCCCAGTCCCTCGCTGGTGGTCTGGTCCTTTTACCTTCTCATTCCTGGCTTCATCCTGCACCAGAAGTTGGGGGACAGAAGAGCCTGGAGAAGCCAAATTCTAACCGCTCTCCTTCAAACAGCTATCCCTTGGGCCCAGGGTGTGACTTGCTTTGGGGAAATTAACCTGGAGAAGAGTTTCAGGGCTGTATGGGCAGGAATACCATGGTCCTCCATGGGCAATGCATGGTCTAGAAGGGAGGCTGTGGTTCTGGTGACATCCACTCGGACCCACAGATTCTTCATTCTATGGGGGTGACCAGAGCAGAATTCCTCTATAGCCGGGGACCCAGGCCAAGGGCCTTTCATTTTGTCCTTTTATTGTAGTAAAATATGTATGACATCAAATTCACCATTGTGAATTTAATACATTCACAATGTTGTGCAACCACCACCTCTATTTCGGTCCAGAACATTTTTATAGCCCCAAAAGGAAACTCTATACCTATTAAGCAGTCACTCCCATCTCCCTCTCCTCCAGGCCCTGGCAACCACTAATCTGTATTCTGTCTTTATGGCTTTACCTATTCTGGATAGTTGATATAAATGGAGTCACACACTATGCAGCCTTTTGTGTCTGGCTTTTTTCACTTAGTATAATGACTTCAGGTTCCTCCATGCTGGAGCTCATTTCAGCAGCTCATTCCTTTCTAAGGCAGAATAACATTCCATTGCACGGATAAACCGTATGTCCAGGGGCCTTTCCTGCCAGGATCAAAGATGGTATTGGGCTGGGGCTTGGGAGAGGTCAGCTGGTGACTTTACCTCTTTTTCTTTTTCTCCTCCATGCCTCTTGGGGTTTGTCACTTTAGAATATGCTGCTGAGGCTTGGGGACCCAGGGAGACAGCCTGTCTCACCATGTCCCCTAGTCTTTGCAACCTGATCCTGAATCCTGCCTGGCGGTGGCGACAACATCAGACAGAGCTGGAGCTGGTGTGACCCCATCCCAGGAGGATGCTCCTATTTCGGGGATCCCAGCTGTCTCTGGTCAGGGTGCCTCAGCAGAGTCTAGGAAAAGCCAAAGCCCATCTCTGGTGACAGCTCTGAGGTCCGACAGTGGGGAGAGGTGGTGGGTGGGGGGAAGGAGTTGGGCTTGCTCAACTGCCGTGCCTGTAGGGCGGAGGGAGTCCATCCTGGCACGGGGCACAGCAATCGGACCCAAGCCCAAAGAGATGCTTAGCTCTTCACTTGTGGAGCCTATTTTCCAGAGAAATTTAATTCCACATTGTTTTTTCTCTGCTCTGCAGACGCCTCGGAGTTCTGTGCCAGGAACCGAGCTGAGGAACTCAGCTGAGGAAACCACGGGAATCTCATTTGAAGAGGAATTTGGCCCCTGGAGCCCCCTCCCCACTCACTGGTGGGAGGGTGCCAAGACTTCAGTCGCCGCCGCCACACCAGCAAACCCCAAACCACAGGAATGCAATGGGGTCACCTGGGGACAGAGGGAGATGGATGGACAGCGAGTAGGCAGTGAGCCCTTGGGCCTGCATCGCATGGGGTCTGCTATTTTGTGACAAAAGCACTGGACTTGGTCCCCAGGCCTCGGTGTGGATTCAGGCCTCGGTGTGGATTCAGGCTTGCCACTCGGGTCATGGGGTCTTGGGTGGTCACGTCTGTGGCTAACCACGCTCACCTGGCCACTCTGGCCTTTGGACCAACTCGGGCAAGGAGCTGAGCTTGACGGGGAGGGAAGCCACGGATTGGGGTGGACGGAGGCGGTGAGTGAGAGTAGAGTGTTCTGGTCTCCAGGCTCTGCAGGCTGAGCAGGGGAGGCACCCAGCACTTGTTACCCAGGGAAAGGAAACTATGTCGATAATGATTTGTCAGCTATGGGTCAAGGACTGCTCCAGGCACTTTTTTTTTTTTGAGACGGAGTCTCGCTCTGTCACCCTGGCTGGAGTGCAGTGGCGCAATCTCGGCTCACTGCAAGCTCCGCCTCCCGGGTTTCACGCCATTCTCCTGCCTCAGCCTCCCGAGTAGCTGAGACTGCAGGTGCCCGCCACCATGCCCGGCTAATTTTTTAAATATTTTTAGTAGAGACAGGGTTTCACCGTGCTAGCCAGGATGGTCTCAATCTCCTGACCTCGTGATCCGCTCGCCTCGGCCTCCCAAAGTGCTGGGATTACAGGCGTGAGCCACCACGCCTGGCCCGCTCCAGGCACTTTATATAATACATTGCATTTCTCCTTACGGTGGTCCTCTGGTGTGGCTGGCATCATTCTCTTTTATAGACAAGGAAACCAAGAAAGGAGAAGGGGACTCCCCTAGAGTAACAGGTACCAGGGGAGGGGCTGGGCAGAGGGTGGTCATCCCCGAATGCTGAGTGCTCCACACCATGCCACTGGCCCCCGACTCAGTCCTCAGACTTGTTCCTTGGTGAGATCACAGTTGAAATAATAGTTTTCTTCCCCTTAACTCCTCCTAGTTAAGAAAGGAATCATAGTATTTTTGAGCTGGAATGGACTTGGGTACAAGTTACCATTTTACAAACGGGAAAATTGAGGCTCAGAGAGGAGAAGCAGCTTTTCCATTTGAATCTTCAAATGAGATTCCCGTGGTTTCCTCAGCGGAGTTTCTCAGCTTGGTTCCTGGCACAGAATTCCTAGGCGTCTGCAGAGCAGAGAACAAACAATGTGGAATTAAACTGCCCTGAAAAATAGGCTCCTCAAGTGAAGATCTAGAAGACCTTCCTGACTTTTATCACCCAGGAAGATAGCAGATCTAGCTCCAGATGCTCTCTGGCCATTTGGGCCACATGGGTAGAATCCAGGGTCCCTGAGGCCAAGGCTGTCTTTAGTGCCCAGTGGGACAGAATCTCCTTGCTCTGCCCAGGTTCCACACCTGTCTGTTGGTGTGACCCTGCATCCAACCTGAGAGGCCACTGATGGTTTGGTGCACCCTGTCCCCACTATTATAACCCTGCTGGGAGGGTTCAGGAGTGCCATGTTGGTAGATGAAGCACTGCTCTATTTTGTCCCTCACCTTAACAGGCACATGTCACCTGTACTTGGTGGCTCTATCCAGCAGAAGGAGAGAAGGTGGGAATGAGTGTCATCGTGGTTCAGACACTGTCCAGTGGGGTCACCTTAGCTTAGTCACTTCATATATGGAGGGATTCCTGGGAGCAGGCTCTGTGCTAAGGTGCTGGGGAAACAAAAATAAAATAATGTCCCTGTTCTCAAGGAGGAGCTCACAGTCTAGTGGAGAAGGCAGACCTGCAGTTTAACGATGGCTATTTCATGATGTCCTTGCTCTGCCGAGGAGGAGGTGAGCAGCACAGTGGGAGCACGGAGGGAATCAGGACCTCCGTGCTCCCACTTGCTAGAGGAGGCAGGGCTGAGATACAACGAGAAGGGTTATTTGCCAGGTGGACAAAAGCAGAGGTCATTGAGTTTAGAAAGTGGGTTCAGGTTGGGTGCAGTGGTGCACATCTGTAGTCCTAGCTACTTGGGAGGCTGAGGTAGGAGGATCCCTTGAGCCCAGGAATTTGAGGCTGCAATGAGCTATGATGGTGCCACTGCACTCAAGCCTGGGTGACAGAGTGAGATCCTGTCTGAATAAACAAACAAAAAGCAGCAGACTCAGCAAGTGCAAAGGAATGAACATGTGGCAGGGAAATGTGGAATAACTTGGAAGAGTTGGATAATACAAAGTGGCATGTTGGCAATGATGGTGCGGGGATGTTAGGCTGGCGAGGCATTGGGAAGCATGAAGGATTTCAAGCAGGGGATGGACACAACCAGATCTGTGTGTTGGAAAGTCTGCCTGGGCTGCCCCACAGAGGGCATGATGGGGGTGGGGAGGACACCTGGAAAGCTGATACCATGATCTGGGTGAGATAGGGTGGGGTAGGGGAGTCACCCTAAGGCTGGGCAGTGAGAGAAGTAACAGGATTGAGGGATTGTGCTTAGCTGGTTTGGGCTTGAGTGACTGGGTAATTGGGGGCACCATCCATCCCAGTAGGGAAACAGGAGGTATGTAGGTTTAATGGTGAGGATGGAGATGCATATGCATTAAGTTTGAGGACCTGATGATTTGAGGTGCTCATGGGACATCCAAAGTGAGATGTCTGAGGGAGAGCTGATATAAAGATTTGGAGGCCAAATAAAAGTTAGGGCTGTAGTTTGATATTTGGGGCTCATCATCCTACATCAAATACAGATGAGTTAAGGGGCCACAGAATGCTCTGGAAGCTGCACAGGATGACTTTGGTGCCCTGTGCATCCACCGTTGGCATTCGCTGTTCCCCTGCATGCTGAGGCTTCTGCCTGCATCCCTGCAGTTCTGCCAGAGGCCTTCTCTGCAGACAGAAGCAGGCTGTCTGTCCTGTGCATGGGACAGGTTAGGAGTGTTGTGGAGTTGATGACCCCAGGAGCAGCCTTCAGCCAGTGACAGATGCGAACTGGATGATGAAAACCATCTTTACTTCCTGTAGGTGTGTTCTGCCATCTCTCAGGGGCTTCCAGTGGGATTGCGTTTGAGTTCCCAGTTGCCCACAGGGGCTTGTCAGTCCTCCTCCATTGGCTTCCTCCCCCTTTCTGTGTCACTCTTCCATTTCCCTACAGTGCTTCCTGGGATCACCTGCCAAGTCAATGAATCTCATGCTCATCCTTGTCTCAGAGTCTGCTTCTGGGGAACCCGTTCTAAAACACTGGTTTCCTTCAGTAGGATGTGCGTCTGCATTGACTGCTTCCTGTCTTGATTGCTTCTTCATGTTTCCAGCATGTCTTGACTCTCAACTGGCCTGGAAGTGGCTTCAGGGTGTTTTCATCTCTGTGTCTCCAGCACCAGGATGCCAGGGGAAGGGATTCCTCAGCAAGCGGTTGTTGGATATATGAATGAATAAACCCACCAGTGGCTTCTCATTGCTTTTAGGATCGAGACCCAACTGTTCAATAAGCTTCACAAGGCTCCTTCCCACCTCTCCACCTCCACGTCCCGCCACCCTCCCCCACCCTCTGATGGTGCGTGTGGCACATGCCGGTCTCTGCCTGACTGCTCCTTCGCCAAGCCATCCTCTTGACACAGTACTAGTTCACACCTCCTCCCCCATCCTTCCCTTAGCACTCCTCCATTTCCCACTCCCCGCCCCCTTCTCAGAGAACTCAGGCATCCTCTCTGCAGCAAAGATGTCCCTGACCACCGTCCCCAGCCCAGACCAGTTGGGGCCCTACTGTTCTAACCTCCTGTAGCACTCTGTGTATTTCTTCATGCTCCCTATCATTGACTTCGGTTATGAATTTTTTTTTTTTTTTTTGAGACGGAGTTTCGCTCTTGTTGCCCAGGCTGGAATGCAGTGGCGCGATCTCGGCTCACTGCAACTTCCGCCTCCTGGGTTCAAGCGATTCTCCTACCTCAGCCTCCTGAGTAGCTGGGATTACCGGCATGCACCACCACGCCTGGCTAATTTTTTTTTGTATTTTTAGTAGAGATGGGGTTTCACCATGTTGGTCAGGCTTGCCTCGTACTACTGACCTCAGGTGATCCACCTGCCTCGGCCTCCCAAAGTGCTGGGATTACAGGTGTGAGCCACCATGCCCGGCCTTGGAATTATTTAAATAATGCTTAGAATGATGTTTCTCAAACTTTTCTGATTATGAACCACAGGAAGAAATACATTTTATGCCAGGACCCAGTTCACGTAATACATGTATAACTGAATGCTTATCCTCACTGCTTGGGCTACACTAATATTTTCTATCCCATTCTGTATTGCATTTAAAAAAATGCTGGCTGTGACTCACTAAATGGACTATAGGCTGGCAGTTGGGAAAAAGGTCTAGACAACAAGATAGATGCCTGCAAATTCAGGAGAGTAGGGACTTAATTCACTTGTACTCACTGCTGTCCCCCAGGGCACTGCACAGTGTCTGGCACCCAGAAAGGTGCTCAATCAATATTTGTTGAATGACCATATGATAGGAACAAATATGTATGAATGAGTGAATGAATTGCCTGCCCCACCCAGACAGGAAACTGTGGCTTCTATCAGATTTTGCTGTTACCGAAAAATACCAGCCCACTTCCTGTGGCTTTGATCTGCAGCCTTAATTCTAAACTGCCCTGCCTCAGCCAACAGCTATCTGCAGCTCATTTCCTGCTTTCTGGCCATCTTATCTCTGTCTTCAAGCATTCCTCAGCTTTCTCTTTCCAGGTAAGTATACCCAGAGCCCCAGTTCTTCCTCTTGCAACTTTGGCAGCACAGGGTGGGGCTGCCCTTTTGGGCCAAGTACTATCCCAGATCTCAGGCTCCTGGGGTGTGGGGCCTTTCTGGGTCAGGCGTGTCCTTCTGATTCCAGCCTCCTGGGGGGCAGGTGCTAGGGCTGGGCCTGGGCATCGGTCCACATCCTGTTGATGGTCTTTGGGACAGGATGGGGGATGAGGATGGAGGGTAGACATTGATGAAATAACCATGCAGATGTCTAATTATGGACTGTGAAAGAGGCTATGAAGGAAAAGTCAAGGTTGCCTTGAGAATGTGTAACAAGGGACATGCCTATAGGGGATCACGGAGAGCTGCCTCAATTAATCCAAGATCTGAATACAATAGAAGCTAGCCAGGCAAAAAGGGTAAAGGAGAGAGAAAGAACTTGCAGATGGAAGAGACTGCAGGTGCAAAGGTCCTGGGGTAGGAGTGAGTGATAGCGGTCCTGTTGAGGAGCTGAAGAAAACTCAGTGCAGCTGGTGGACAAAGACAGAAGGATTTACAACAAGGAGGCCAGAGAGGCACCTAGGGGCCAGCCCCAGTGCACCAGCTTAGAGGTTTTGGATTTACCTTGAAAACAGTGGGAAGCAACAGAACATTTGTAGAAGCGTGATGACATTGTGTTTGGTTTTTTTAATTTGTTTTTGTTTATCTATTTTTATTTTTATTTATGTATTTTTGAGACAGGGTCTCGCTCTGTCGCCCAGGCTGGAGTGCAGTGGTGCTATCTCAGCTCACTGCAATCTCCACCTCCCGGGTTCAAGAATTCTCCTGCCTCAGCCTCCTGAGTAGCTGGGACTACAGGCACATGCCACCATACCCAGCTAATTTTTTTGTATTTTTAGTAGAGACGGGGCTTCACCCTGTTAGCCAGGATCGTCTCAATCTCCTGACCTCGTGATCTGCCCATCTCGGCCTCCTAAAGTGCTGGGATTACAGCAGTGAGCCACAGTGCCCGGCCCTGTTTTGGTTTATTTTTGAGACAAGGTCTTCTCTGTCACCCATGCTGGAGTGCAGTGGCACGATCATAGCTCACTGTAGCCTTGACCTCCTGGGATCCAGCAATCCTCCCAAGACATTGTGTTTTGCAAGATCCTCTGGATGTGGTATGGCTAAAGGGTTGGGGAGCTGATCAAGTGCAGAGGGCAGGAGCCTAGGGTGGTGGTGGTGGAGATACAGGCACATGACTGGCTTTGAGAAGTACAGTACTTAGTAAGTACAGTCCAATATAGTCCAATACAGTAGAGTTGAATTTGTCCATTCAACAGTGTTAAACACCATGACTCTAAGGACCAGAGAGCCAGGCTGGGTTCTGCCTTTAGGCAGCTCTCAGTCTTCTGGGAGTGCAAGTTGGAGGCAGATTGGCCAGGCTGAAAATGCAAAGTGCTCAGGGATGTTCAAATAGCAAGCATGCCTCCTGGAGTGCATGCCCAGAGGAAGAAGGAGCACCTTCAGTGGGTGCTTTCCTGCAAATACTGTTTGAGTTCCAGGCAGAAGAGAAAACAGGGTGCTGGGAGAGGATTCATTAGGGTCTCCTTCCTGACTCCTCACCATCATTTATAGGACTTTTGGCTACAGGGATCTTCCCTGCATTTCACCGGGGCCTATAGTAGGGCTGAGAGTGTGAGAGGGAACAGGGGTCTCCCCAAGTGCCTGGGGCAGCGAGCCTTGTAGGTCAGGTGAGGGTGGCATCCAGACTGGGCTCTCACTCTCCTCTTCCTGCCTCTGACTCATTTTCCTTGGAAGTGCATTCCTCTGTAAACCTGATTACTCATGGAGTCTCCGCCCTCCACCTGCAGGCCTGCGCCCTTCCCTGAGGTGTCTCAGTGAGCAAGCCTGAGCCCCCACCCCTATCCCTGCATCCCCATCCCCAAGTAGGGCCTGGGTCTCCCCCTTGGAGTGGGAGCTCCCTGAGGGCAGGGCAGGTATGTTTCTTTGCTTGGCGATTAGGGCTCCTCCAAGGCCTTGAGGAGGGTTTCTCACCCACAGGCTTGTTGCCAACCACCCTCCCGCCACCCCTCTGCCCCTCAAAGGGCTCTGAGGGATCCTCCTGTTATATGGAGTGGCAGGTTGTGGGATGGGTTTGTGGGGCTCCTGCTGAGGACTGTCTAGAGGGCTTCACACCCTGGCTGTGGGGAGTATACATAGTCCCTGAGGGTGCTTCCCCATCAGAGCCCACTCTGTCCATTTCATCCAAAGAGCCCCAGGTCGTACTCTCTGCTGTGACTGGAAATGGGGCCGGGTTTAAGGGACTGCTGGGGGCTCATGGAGGTCAGCTTGTGCTCTCCAGCCTGGCTTTCCTGACTCCCGAGGGCACTGACAGCAGTGCTGTCTCCTGACAGCATCTGGCTCCCTCCTCTGCCCCATGCCTGGGCTCCTGGGTCTGCTTTATAGACCCGCAGCAGAACTGCACAGAGAGGGTAAGAGCTGCCTTCTAGTCAGCAGAAGTTCAGTTGGAAAGAGACTCTGCTGACCAGCACCAGGGCATCAGGGGCAGCCCCATGGTTGGTCCCCAGGGCTGGGAGCTCACAGTCACCTGCTCCAGTCCCTGCCTTCCTGCCAAGGGGAGGACCCTCTCCAATGTGAGCTGGGACCTGAAGCAGGAGCCTTTCCTTGCTCTGGTCTCACTACACTTTGGTGTCCACCCAGCCTCCTAAGATCACATCAAGGGGCTCTTGGGAGAATAGGACGCCTGCTCCCCCCACCTGCCCCCTGCATCCCAGCACTCTCAGACTTTGGATGGTGTAGCACGGAACTGTAGAGCTTTAAAGGAGGCAGCAGAGTTTAGGGGAAGAGAAAAACGGTTGATCTCTAACAGGCATTCTAAGTGGAGTCCTCGACAGCTGGGAGCAGCTCCACAGGCTTCAAGGTGTGGGTGAAGCAAAAAGACCAACTGAGACCCAGGGAAGCAGGAGGGGCTATGGGAAGATCGGAGGGCACTGGGGGCAGCCTGTGCCTTTGAGGGCCTCAGAAATATCCCATACACACTCCCTTCTGGAAGGACTGAGGAACAAGCTCTTGGGAGTCGCATCCAAACTGGTCAGAACCGGCCGGGTGTGATGGCTCACGCCTGTAATCCCAGCACTGTGGGAGGCCGAGGTGGGCAGATCACCTGAGGTCAGGAGTTCGAGACCAGCCTGGCCGACATGGCGAAAACCCGTCTCTACTAAAAATGCAAAAATTAGCCAGGTGTGGTGGCATGCACCTGTAATCCCAGCTACTTGGGAGGCTGAGGCAGGAGAATCACTTGAACCCAGGAGGCAGAGGTTGCAGTGAGCCGAGAGGGCACCACTGCACTCCAGCCTGGGCGACAGAGTGAGACTCCATATCAAAGAAAAAAACAAAAAAACAAAAAAACAAATTGGGCAGAACCACTGGGGTAAAATAGGCAACAAGCTCAGAAGGTTTACATATTTGGGGGGTGAGGGTCAGGGGAGGTGTCCCATGGAGGCGGTCTCAAAGGGAAGCCACGTGTTGAATACTTCCAGTACCAATAGCAGGGTGGGGGGATCCAGGAGTAGTGAAGCAGTGAATCCCCCAGCCCATTCCCACCCCTTACTCTGGAACCTCCTCCTAAAAGTACAGGAAAATCCTTATTTAATAACAATCAACAGAACAGGATTATGAACCGACACCATACAGAGGTATTTGTAAGAAAGAAGGTGGATGCCGGAATCCTTTCTTCAAACAGAAGCTTACCAGTAAGTGCAGACTAATACAACAGGTAGGTCAAGGCTAATCCAGTTGGAGGGGGTGCTGGTGGAGGTGGGCACTGAGGGAGGGGGTCAGCACCCTAGCCGTCCAGCCCTCTCCATCCTCCTGCACCCGCCACACCTGGGTTCTGTGCAGCCTGATGTGTCCCCACCCCCTCCTATGCAATGAAGGAGGGAGACGCAGAGATGGAGGGCGGCTTCCCCAAGACCACCCAGGGTACTGGTTTGTGGTGGAGCGGGAAGAGGTCACGACGCCTCCTGCCTAGCACTCCCTCTCTTACCCCAGCCTGTCTGTTGCCGCCTGCATCCCTCCATTCACACAGTGTCTTCTCCTGCCAGACACCAGCAGGACACAGCGGGCAGGACAGGTTCCTCTGGGTCTGCCCGAAGGACTCAAAGTCCAGGGACAAGAGTCGCTTGGTGGCCTCAGGAAGGAGAGAAGGAGGCACTGTTTCGGATGGGCCGGGGGAAGTGGAGGTGGGATGCAGGGCTGTGGAGTCCTCCTGGCAGCCTAGGCTGTGTGTGGGGCGTGGCGGGATGCCAGAGGGTCTGTGTTGAGGCCTAGCCCTGTCTCCTCTACAGTGGAGGAACTGCTTTGGGACTCAGTTTTGTTACTTGTAAAATGGGGCCACGCTCTGCCCTTCCAGCTTCATGTTGCTGAAGGGAGGCTCTAAGGAGACGGAAGCTTCCTGTTCCTGTAACAAGATGCCATGAGCGAATCATACTCTCAGCCTGGCCCCCAGGAGTCTCCTCCCTTCGGGCTTCTGGAGTTCCCTGCTCCACTCTGACCCCCAGGGAGAGTCCCCACGTATCCTCCCCGCTGTGGAGGGTGCCCTTGCAGTCCTCCCTGAGCTGCCCCAGGATGACTGGCTCCACAGGGAATGTCCTCCCACTCTGTAGGAAGTGGAGCATGGCTGAGAAGAACTCCCTGTGGTCAGGTCACCCCCATCCCCAGACGCACACAGACACAAACACATACATATCCTGAGGTATTGAAGAAGAATTCACCACACCCTGAAGATTGCTTTCCACAAAGCACTCTCTCCAAGCCCTGAGTCACCCAACTCCTTCACTCTGGACACCCTGCCAGGAACAAGGATATTTGTCCTTTCGGCAGACATGGGTTCAAGTCCCTGCTCCACTGCTAACTAATGGCATGGCCTGGGTCAAGCATTACTTGCTAATCTCAGTTTTTTCATAGGTAGAATAAGGATAATAGCATCAACCTTATATGTTGGTTGTGAGGATCAAGTGAGATAATGTGTGTGTGGCAGGAGGAAAGCCATCGGCGGGGGCGGGTGGGGGTCGAGTGTTCCATCCCAGTCTCTCCCTTCTCTCTGCTCATCAGAGAAAATCCTGACTTGGCCTATTTGAATTGTGTGTGTGTGTGTGTGTGTGTGTGTGTGTGTGTGTGTGTGTGTGTGTGCGCGCACGCCTCCCTTAACCCTCTATGAAAGGTGCTGATTTATTGGAATAGTCCTTAGGCATAGGCGATATAGAACTGGGAGGAGAGAGAGAGAGGGAAGAAGGATTAGCAGCAAGACTGAGGGAGGAGGGAGGTTTGAGCAGCTGTAATGGGTGAGGGAAGAGAGTGGGTGGGAGAAAGGAGATTTGAGAAGCATCGCTATGATCCATGAATCTTTGTAGTCAAGTTTAAGAAATTCAAGTAAACAGAGTTATTGTGAAATTATTATTTTTTGGTTGCTATTCTCTCTCTCCTCTCCCACTCTGTCTCTTTTTTTTTTTCTTTGAGATGGGATCTTGCTCTGTCGCCTAGGCTGGAGTGACGCAGTGGTGAGATCATAGCTCACTGCAGCCAATTTTTTTTTGTAGCAACAGGGTCTTGTTATATTGCCCAGGGTGGTCTCAAACTCCTGGCTTCAAGTGATCTTCCTGCCTTAGCCTCCCAAAGTGCTGGGATTACAGGCATGAGCTACTGCGCCCAGCCTGGTTGCCATCCTTGATGATAACGCAGCTTTGAGACTGGACCATTTGCATGACGGCCTTATAAGTGATACCCCTAAGTAACATGCTTAGCACACAGTAGGGACACAGTAGGCACAGTGACTGGTGCTGTATCCTCTCAATTTGGATGACACTTGTGTGCACATGTACTGTCTCCCATATTGGACTGGGTGTTTCCTGAGTGTGGGTTGGATCACATCAGCCTGGGAGCGACTTGAAGCCTGGGACTCTATTTTGTTTCCCTGCCCTCCCACCCCCCGCCATATTAGATGAGAAGCTCCTTGAGGACAGGGATTCTTCCTGTCCTGCTTTCTTCATTAGACCTGCAACTCCCAGTGTGGGTGATGCTCTTCCTCCTTTTGGCTCTGCTCGAGGACTGAGAACAGGATCCTGCTCACAGACTGTGTCTTAGACCCACCTGCCTTGGCCTCCCAGAGTGCTGGGATCACAGGCGTGAGCCACCGCACCTGGCCATGATAGCTTGGCTTTCATATCTCTGCCTGGCAGTGGGTTTGGGATCTTCATAATCCAGTTCAGCTTGCTGCAACTCAATTAGACTCCAATACTTATTGATTGCCCACTGTGTGCTAGCTATAGGACTGGGTGCAGGGGAAATATGAGGATTCCCTTTAAGGAATCCCTCTCCACCAGAGGGACAGGTGTGTGCAAAGCTCTCTTTGTTGCAGAGAGATTGGAACTACAGCAAAGGTATGAACAGGTGTCACGGGGACACAGAAGAAAGAGCAGTTACTCTTCCGGAAGGTTGGAGAAGATTTTGTGAAGGTGGGGATGTTTGATTTGAACCTTGAAGAACAAGCAGAGACCCAAGAAGTACAGAAGAGGGGAGGTGGAAATAGCATGAACGAGGTGGGGCATGGTGAGTAGTCTAGTATGGAGTGGGAAGGAGGAATAGCAATGAGCATTTATTGAGCACCTACTAATCACTGGATTCTGTGCTAGGTGCTCTGCATATATATTATCTCACTTAATCCTCACAGCAATCTGAGAAGGTAGGTACTGATGTGGGAACTAACATTTGGAGAGAACAGATGGTTGAACCAGGATTTGAATCAGGTTTGTTTGACTCCAAACTCCATGCTCTTTTTTTTTTAATCATGCCAGTGGTTTTCCCAGTATATTCTACAAAATTTTTAGGGTTCTGAGGAGGTGCTTTAGGGACACGTATAATTTTAGTTTCGTATTTAAAATATATTATAATCAACAGACACTGAAATGTGTTATGTAACAAAAAAAAGCTTTCCTTCCATCTCTGTGCATATTTTTGAGTTTCTTGTAAATGTGTCATTGATTAGAAGGACTGCACAGTCTGCTCAGGTCTGTCTATGTAAAAGCACACACCCATGCCCACCAGCCTTCATTACAAGGTCAGTGGGACTTCCAATCCAAGAGGGTTGACTAAATGCACATGGGCTTATCTTTACCTCTTCCAGAAATGTCTTTGTAATAAATAATAAACATATCAATGCTTCCAAAGGAGAATTTGAATTGGGAGGGGGCACCTGTGGACAAGAGAAATCCCAACAAATTTCTGGAGAAGTGGTTCGATGGGGAAGGATGACTGAGTAAGCAGGACAGAGGAAGCTGCTGTGTGGAATGCACATGGCTGGGTTTGCAGCCAAAGAGGGAGCTGACCCACCAGCAGAGGCACAGAGAAGCTCAGGACTTGGATGTGCTAGGTGCAATGGAGGGTGGGAAAGGGATATGTGGCTGAAAAGGGGGAGCTTAATTGGAAGTCTAAAAATGGAACAGTTAAATCCCTGACTCTTATATGCAAACTGTTCAGCCAGCAGATGTTTGCTTTGTCCCCCATTTTGCTCCTTCCCCTAATTTCTTCTTTAAAGAAATTAAATTGCCTGAGGAAGACTAGGATAGCTGGGTTTTAAGGTGGCATCTGAGAACAAAGCACATTGCAGGCTGACATTTAGAAATCTCAAGGCATAAAGATCAGTTTACGTGGAAACAAAGCCTGCCATTCATCTCCTCTTATCCATGTACACAGAGCTTCCAGGAAAGTTTTCTACTGCTTCATTCTTAAATATGAATGGACAACCATAAGCCAGAAGCTATTTGAGGAAGCCTGAAATATGAAATAGAGAGACTAAGATAAGCAAAGTGAAAATAAGACCTCTGAGGAAACAAAGACAATTCATACGTAGAATAGAACTTAAAAAAAGAATTCAAGAAGACACTGAATCTATAAAACATGAGTAGTGATATGAAAAGAGAAACAATTAGAGAACACAAAAGCCCCAGACATAGAAAAATGTAATTAAAATTCATTGGAAATGTTGAAAGTTAAGGTCAAGGTAATCTCTCAGAAAATAAAGCAAAAGGTTAAAGAAACAGAATTTTATTAGATAATATATGAGACATAAAAAATTAATACAGGAGGTCCATGTTTGATTTATAAAGATTTCAGAGAGAAGGGAGAAATCAAGGGAGAGAATTTTCAAATAAATGACTGAACAGAATTTTTTAGACAAAACACTCCAGTCTTCAGAATAACAGGATTCATCAGGCAAGCCCCCAGCAAAAAAAAAAAAACACACAAGATTTAGAAATTTCAGAATACTTGGGAAAATAAGAAGATGCTAAAAGTTTCCAGAGAGAAAAAAATCACCTATAAAGGAATGAAAATCGGAAAGTCACCAGACTTCTCACTAGCAGCATTGGATGACAAAAGACAATGATGCAATCTCTTCCAAGTTCTGAGAGAGAGATTTTCAACTTAGAATTCAATACCTAGCTAAACTGTCTACTGGTTAAGAGGGCAAATCAAAGACACTTTAAGATACATGAGGACTGAGGAAGTTTACTTCCTATAGACTCCTTGTGGTAATGCTCCTAGAAAAAAAGACAGCAATAGAGGATGTGCAGCAGTAAAACAAAGGAGAAACCAAGAATGAGAAAAGCATGGAATTTTTGTCAGCTTATAAGTTAGCTTGGTATGTAGTTTTAATTAATTTGTTTATTTAGTGTGTGTTTTCTGTTATTGGGTTTAGGTATCAGGGTTATGCTAGCTTTGTAAGATGAACTGAGTTTTCTACGTTTTTATTCTCTGAAAGTGTTTGCACAGGGAATAATCTCCTTCTTGAATGTTTGCAAAAACAATTGTCCACATCTTTTTTTAAAAAACACTTTTTGGACAATATTTTCTATTTTCTTTCACCATTTTGTGCCTTTTGTGGAGGTCATTCTGCTACCCAATATTCAGTCTTCTTCCTTTATTGAAAAGAATCCAATTTTGCCAAGTTCAAAGTTCAATTTCATGGACTCCCTTTCAGAGAGTGGGGCAAGTGACACAGTTTTGGCCCATGAGATGAAAACACACATTTACTGAATAGAGTTTCTGGAAAAGCTATCAGTTTCCTGATAAAAAGGGACAGACTTAGCTGTCCCTTTGTCCTCCCTGCCTTGTCTGGAATGTAGACAGGATGCCTAGACGTGGAGGAGCAATCTTAAAAGTGTGAAGACAAAAGCCACTTTCTAAGGATGGTGGAGCAGAAAGGCAGGAGTCCTGCTCCCTGGCACCATCATGGAGCATGCCCAGCCCAGATCTGCCCCCCTCTGAATTTCCTGTTGCATTAGAAAAATATGTCCCTTTTTAGTTTAAGTTACTGATCTCAATTTTCTGTTATTTGCAGCAAATTCACTTTCAATTGATACAATCTTTCACGTCAGAGCTGCTTCTTGTAACACAGAAGTTTTCAGATTCTATGAAAAGGTATTGAATGAATTGAAGGCTCTGTTAAGGGGGCAACTATCTCCCCTCCCCATTCTCCTATCAGCCCATAAAACAGGAACTGACAACCTCTTGGAAGAATTGGGAAGGAACTTTTCGATTTTCTCTGTACAATCTTCACTGGTTCCTCTCTGTGAGAGGAGGAGGGACCTCTTGGATTGGTGTCGTTGGGAAAAGGGTATCAAGTGTGCATGGCTCAGCCTGTTCCTGGCTCTCTCTCTGGGACTGACCTGACTGCAAGCAGCATGTTCTCTGTCTGCTCCTGCCTCCTCCAGGCAATGAGCACCAGGGCGGGTCCAGCCCTTGCTTGGGAGGACTTCAATAGTCCAGCTGCTCTGCCGCGAGTGGGTGAGTGAGTTCAAGTCAGAGGAGAAGACACAGAAAGCTCATTTGGGCCTTGGGTCTTAGCCACATCCTCCAGTCCATCTGGACTAGCAATAAAGCTGACATTTTAATCCCTACTTGTCTCCTGTGACTATTTCTCAATTGGATCAGACCTCGGAGAAGTGAGGGATGTGATTAACTAGCACCCGCAAACCCCAACATCTGTTGAATATTTAGCCCCAGCGGGAAAAGCCAAAGTTAGATGAAAACACTGGTTTAAAATTCTGATAATTATTAGACAATACTTCTCTATCCTTGTTTGTATGTCTTTTGATCTTACTATAAAATGTGTATCATGTGGGTTTAAAAAAATTTTTTTAAATTTTCTTTTTGAAGGTAAGAGCCTGGATTGAGAGTGATAAGGCTCTTCTGAGTCTTGGCTACCACTTACTCACTCTGTCCCTTGACTTCTCTGGGCTTCAATTTTACCAATTATATAAAATGAGGAGGTTAGACTAGATGATCCATGAGGGCCATCCCAAGCTTCGGTGTTCTTTCATTCATTTGACCCCTTTTTATTGAGTATGTGTTGAGTGTGTGCTGGCAGCTGGCTCTGTGATGTACAAAACAAACCTGGCCCCTGCCATTTGGGGTTTAGAGTCTCATAGAAAAGACAGACATCAAACACACCACAAATAAGTGGACAATTACAAATATTTCACTTGTTTAGCCATTAAATGTTCCTAAGTGGTCATTTGGATTGTGAAGATTCCTACTTCTTCTCAGTTATCCACACTCAGGGCAAACCTTGCAGGGTCCAGCAGTCACACACAGTGGTGCCACTACTGCAGCTGTGTCCCAGCCATCGCTCTCGGGAAGACAACAAAGAGGCTTCCAAAGGGCTGGCCTTTTGGATTAAAAAAAAAGTTAAGCATTTTTTAAAAAGTCACAAATGAGTAACATGCTTGTTATAAAAATTTAAGCAATAAAGAAAAAAAAATTGAAAGGAAAAAATCTTTCTCTTGTCCCCTCCAAGCCCACTTGGAAAAAGAAATAATGGGTAGATGTGTGTCCTTCCATTAAGCTGCATATTTAACTGCAGGCTCTAGGAGGGCAGGGATGGCGTCTGCCTTACCCACTGCTGTATCCCTGGTGGGTGCCCAGGAAATACTTGCTGATTGAACTAGTGCATAAGTAGTAATCACACATAAAGGCTCATAGATAGCTATTTTTTTAAAGATTGAAAAGGAAATCATGCCACATATGTTTTTTTTCTTGCACCTTCCTTGTTTTTTTTTTTTTTTCACTCAAAAATCTGTCATGGAATCCCTCCATGTATTGGTTCCTAATTTACCCATTCCTCTTGTGCTGGGTTGAATTGTATCGCCCTCAAAAGCTACACTGAAGTCCTAATCCCAGGTCAGGCACTGTGGCTCACACCTGTCATCCCCAGCACCCTGGGAGGCTGAGGCAGGTGGATGACCTGAGGTCAGGAGATCGAGAACAGCCTGGCCGACATGGTGAAACCCTGTCTCTACTAAAAATACAAAAATTAGTTGGGCATGGTGGTGGGTGCCTATAATCCTAGCTACTCAGGAGGCTAAGGCAGGAGAATCACTTGAACCAGTGAGCTGAGATCATGCCACTGCATTCCAGCCTGGGCGACAGAGTGAGATCCTGTTTCAAAAAAAAAAAAAAAGAAGTCATAGGTACCTAATCCCTGGTACCTATGAATGTTACCTTATTTGGAAATAGGGTATTTGCAGACATGATCAAGTTAAGATGAGGCCATGCTCGATTAGGGTGGGTCCTAATCCAATATAGCTGGTGCCTTTATAAAAAGAGACAGAGACTGCAGCCATAAAAAAGAATGGGTTTATGTCTTTTGCAGGGACATGGATGAAGCTGGAAGCCATCATTCTCAGCAAACTAACACAGGAACAGAAAACCAAACACCGCATGTTCTCACTCGTAAGTGGGAGTTGAACAATGAGAACACATGGACACAGGGAGGGGAACATCACACACCAGGGCTTGACAGGGGTTGAAGGGCAAGGGGATTGAGAGCATTAGGACAAATACCTAATGCATGTGGGGCTTCAAACCTACGTGACAGGTTCATAGATGCAGCAAACCACCATGGCACATATATACCTATGTAACAAACTTGCACGTTCTGCACATGTATCTTAAAGTAAAAAAAAAAAAAAACTTAAAGTAAAAAAAAAAAAAAGAGTGAGCGTGAGACAGAAACAGAGACACAGGGAGGATGTCACACAATGACAGAGGAAAGATTGGTGTGATGCAGCTGCAAGCCAAGAAGCGCTGAGGGCGGATAGTCGCCCGTCAGAATCTAGAAGAGGCAAGGAAGGAGTTTTCCCAGAGCCTTGGAGGGAACAGAACCCTGCCGACACCTTGATTTGGGACTTCTGGTCTCCAGATTGCAAGACAATCCATTTCTGTTGTTTTAAGCCACTCAGTTTGTGGCAGTTGATTACAGCAGCCCTAGGAAATGAATCCCTGCCTCTTCAGGTGTATTTAGGTTGCTTCCAGTGTTGAACTATCATAACAATGAAAACTGCTTCCATGGACTGTTTGGAGAGGGGAGCCCTAGGAGGTTTTTTTTTTTTTTGAGAAAGGGTCTCACTCTGTTGCCCAGGCTGGAATGCAGTGGCGTAATCTTGGCTCACTGCAACCTCTGCCTCCTGGGTTCGAGCAATTCTTGTGCCTTAGCCACCTAAGTAGCTGAGACTAACAGGCGTGTGCCACCATGCCCAGCTAATTTTTGTATGTTTAGTAAAGTTGGGGTTCTGCCATGTTGGCCAGGCTGGTCTTGAACTCCTGACCTCAAGTGATCTGCCTGCCTCAGCCTCCCAAAGTGCTGGGATTACAGGCGTGAGTCACTGTGTCCAGTCCCCCCTTTTTTTTTGAG
Organism: Homo sapiens; assembly: GCF_000001405.40. Classification (NCBI taxonomy): domain Eukaryota; kingdom Metazoa; phylum Chordata; class Mammalia; order Primates; family Hominidae; genus Homo; species Homo sapiens. The sequence goes on from NC_000017.11 coordinate 40,529,798, forward strand.
ATTGGGTCTCACTCTGTTGCCCAGGCTGGGGTGCAGTGGTGTGATCATGACTCACTGCAGCCTCAACCTCCCAAACTCAAGGGTTCCTCCTACCTCAGCCTTCTGAGTAACTGGGACTACAGGTGTGTACCACCATGCCTGGCTAACTTTTTTTTTTTTTTTGTAAAGACAGGGTTTTGCCATGTTGCCCAGGCTGGTTTCGAACTCCTAGCCTCAAGTGATCCTCCCACCTTGGCCTTCCAAAGTGCTGGGATTATAGGTGTGAGCCACTGTGCCTGGCCCTGAGTTTATTCTTGTCTCCAGGAAACCCTTGGAATAATCATAGACCCTAGCCTTGGGGCCTTAGCATCAACTCATAACCTTGGCAGGATTGCCAGCTAAAATATGGGACACCTGAGTCATATTTGGGACATACTTATGTTACAAAAGTATTTGTTTTTTATTTGAAATTCCAGTTTAACAGGGCTTCTGTGTTTTTCTTTGGTAAACCTGACAACCCTAAACCTCAATCTCCGCCATTGTAATCCTGAGCAGTTGGGCTGTGAGCAGCCTACACTATCCCAGAAAGAGCCTGAGGGTCATGGTTTTCTGCCTGGTGACTGTAGGAGCACTGGAAGATCTCCCCTCGTCCTGGATCTCTGACTGTCTTTTAGCATCCTGAGTGTTCTCAGTGGGACCTGGATGTCCTGTGGCACCTGCCTCCCCCAACAGTGCCCAGCTAAGCTTCTCTTCTGCCCATCTCAGCAGCAAAGTGCTCATTCGCTCCACCCCACCTTTGCCTTGGCAGTGCCTGTCCATCTCCCTCCAGCCTGCTCTCCCCCTACCTACTCACCCCTACTGGGCTTAGGCAAGACACATGTGGGCCTGGCCCGCAGGGGTCCACAGGGCAGAACTAACTCATCAGCTCTAGGTGTGCTGAGTGGAACTGGAGAGGGAAGGGTGCCATGTGAGCTTGTGAAGACGGTGGGCAGTGCCTCCCAAACTTGCCCTATTGTAAAAATTGCCTAAGGGCTGGTTGGAAATGCTATTCCTGGTTGGAATCAGAGATCTCCTGGGAGGGGAATCACAGTAGCTCAGGGACCTGGCCGAGACTGGAGGCTTGGGGGTGGCCCCCTGCAAGGAAGCGCTGTCCAAGCAGAGGTCTGAAGGCTCAGTAGGAGTCAGGCAGGTGAGGCTTTGGGGGGCAGGGTGGGGATCCAGGAGAGGAAAGAGCATAGCAAATGCCTTGATGGGAGAAGAAGAGCCTGGCCTGTCTGAGGCCAGAGAAGAGGCCACTGTGGTTAGCGTGTGGAGAGCGAACAGAAAGGCGAGTTGAGCTTGGAGAAAGCAGGCGGAGCCACATCTGGCCAGGCCTTGTTGGGCTGGTTAAGAATTCAGCCTAAAGCAATGGTAATGGCCTGGGGCAGGCACCAACTGAACCTTTTTCAAAGGCGAGTCCTGAGTTGCCTCCCTCCTCTGATGTTTGATCTCTGAAGGTGCCCATGTTGCCTCCATCCTGCCACCCACCCCACCCCCAATCTGGCAAAAAGCCACTCACTCACCCAGCAGGGACTTTCCACTAAGTCTGGTGGGGGCGGGGGACCAGGGGGACCAGGGGGCTGTTGCTTGAGAGAAATGGGTGTGGGCATTTACCAACGGATTTAGAAAGTTTCCATATTAGACAAGTAACTTGAGAAAATACTGTTTTTGTTATTGAGAAGATGCTATAAATGTTCAAGTATGTGGTAGGCATACCACGCGTCCTTGTGTAATCCCCTCCCCTGAGTGTAGGCTGGACCTGGTGACTTGCTCCTAATGAGTAAAATATGGTAAAAGTGGGGGAATGTCACTTTTGAGATTAGACTATACAAAACTGGGACTCCCCTCCTGCTCACACTCTTCGAGACTTCTTTCTTATGTGTTCTGATGAAGCAGCTGCCATGTTGGAGGCTGCCCCATGGAACGGCCAACGTGCTGAGGAACAGAGGGCACAGGCAGTGAAGGGCATCGGGGCCTTGAATCCAGTGGTCCACGAGGAACTGAATCCTGCCAGCAACCACTCGAGTAAGCTTGGTATTGGGTCCCCAATTGAGCCTTGAGATGACTCCAGCTCAGCTGACAGCTTGACTGCAGCCTGCAGAGGTGCTGAAGTGGAGGACTCAGCTAAGCTGCACCTGGATCTGTGACCCACAGAAACTGTGAGATGATAAAAGTTGTTGTTTCAAGACACTGAGCTTTAGGGTACTTTATTATGCATCAAGAGGCAACTAGTACAAAGTATAATTTGGAGGAGACCAGCCATACCTGTACCCTCCTTAAGTATACATTTGTATAAGTTGAAATCATGGTGGGTGCACTAATTTTGAAGTCTTAAAAAATCACTTATCATTATGGGGGAGATATCATTCATCAGGGTCCATGGTCTGTGTATGTATCAGAGTCTGGCCAGAAAACAGAAACCACACCAGGTATCTTAACAAAATTTAATATGATGAATTAGATGGCTTAATAACAAGTACAGTGTGAAAGGTGAAAATCATCAATAACCAATCATCAAAATCACTCTCAGAAAATGTCATACATCATCAGGACCTGTGGCCTTGGAAACTCAAAAGCCAAGAATTATTGAGCTTATTGTGTTTGTTGCATTTAAGCTTCTCTTCTGTTCCTTTGTGGTGTCAGAGGCTGAGTTTATTTTGAACATGAACAGAGAGACTTCTCTCTCCTTGACAAGCGTGATTTGTTGAATTAGCTAGTTAGGTGGGAGTGTAGTGGTGATACACTGTGTAGTAGAAGCATTCTCCATGTTTCCATTCCCCATCACAGTCACACAGCTGTGGATTTCCAGGCCTGATTGTCCATTGTGTTGATGTCCCAGTTTATTAAACCACTTCCTTATTGTGGTTCCCAGTTTTTGACCTTTAAAGAAAGACTTCAATGCACACATGTATGCAGATAACACTTGGCTTCGTTTGGATAATTTCCTTGGAATAATTTCCCAGGGAAAGAGATTACTGGGTCAAAGGGGGAGGAAGAGCTTCATGCCTTTTGCTGGTAATTGCTTTACTGCTTTCCAAAGGCACTATACCAACCCAGCATCGACAGTTTATAGTGGATGAGGGGTCAGCTTCAGGGCACCAAGTTATTCACTCTTAGGAAATCAGCTTCCAGGTCCTTCATCAACCACCCAAAAGGGCCTGTAGATGTGAGAAGTGGAGTCCAGCACAGAGAATCCCGGGCTGAGAAGTAGGATGTCTGAAAGTCCAGCCTCGAGGCAGCAGAGTGAGCAGTTAACAGTATGACCTATGGACAACAGATCCTGAGTTCGAATTCTGCCTTCACCACTAAGTGACCCTGGGCAAGTTACTTAATTTTTCTAAGTCATTAGTTTTTTCATCTATAAAGCAGGAATTATAGCAACACTAAGCCTTGAGGAGGTGAGAGGAAGATTAAACGAGTCATGACATGTGAAGTGCTTAGACCAGGGACTAGCACTTGGTAAATATGTAGAGTGAGTGGTATTACCATTTCTATTATTCAGACGGAGACTCCATCTCCATCAGCCCTGCTTCTGTAGTGGCTGACCACCTCCTCTTCTGGGTTTCCACGTGAGACCCCACCCTGGTTCTTCAGTTTTTCCTGGGATCTCGTCTCTCTGAGACCAAGAAGCAGTCTTAGCTTTGAGATATTGAGTTGGATGGTCCTTGAATGCCCCCTTGTGGACAGCTGGCTTTCTTTCACTCTTTCAGCTGAAGAGGAAAACTGGCTGTGTGTGTGTGTGTGTGTGTGTGTGTGTGTGTGTGTGTGTGTGTGTCTCGGGGTGGGGAAGAAGGTGGGGGAGGCCTCCATGTTTGCAGACAAAACAGGAAATAGCACGTCATGGCATCTTTCTTGCCGGCTAGGAAGGCATGGGTGTATGGGTCTCTGTACACTTACATAAACATGGAGGGGAGCTGCATGTGCTGGTGTGCAGGTGTGTATGTGGGCATACACTTGATACCACTCTCCTTGTTACTGGGGTCTCTCACTGGGTTCTACTGAGACGATGTGATTAATGTGATTTGAAAAATGAAAGCCCTGTGCACACACGAGGACATTGTTATGTAGAATAGCTTGTATAACCATTCGGTTGATCCTTTCACTGATTTGGACATTCAGTCCCACAGTTGTTTATTGAGTACTTACTATGTACCGGGTCTCCTGAGGTCTGGGGAGGCTACAGTGACCAAGACAGAATCTGTTTCCATCCTCTCACAATCCAGTGGGTGAGACAGACAGGTGAGTAAACCTGTGGCGTGCTAGTCCAGCACTTGGTAAATATTCAGTAAATATGAAGAGTGAGTGTTTTTACCATATTCCCAGAGGAGGGGCAGAGCGGCTGTGGAGGGGGAAGGAAGGCTGCCTGGAGGAGGTGACATCTGAGCTGAGCTATGAACTGTGAGTGATCTATCCTCTCCCTGGCTTTGGGGCAGAGGGCTTGGTACAAAAAGCATTAGTGGGGTTTTGGAAGTGCAGGCTGTAACCCCAACTCCCTGAGCAAGTCCTTTTTTTTGGGCCGGAGTTTCCTCCTGGACTAAGTCAGGGGATTTGGCCATGAAAGCCACAGTTTCCATCAACTTTGATGTTTTCTGACCTTTTATTCCCTCAGCCTGAGGAATTCCCATTTCTTCCACTGGTCTTTCATGCCCCATCCTCTTCCCTAAAGAAATGAAAACCAGACTGAGTGATAAAAAGCAGTGAGACATTGGTATACACATGTAGGACACACACACACACTCTCACACACACACACTTTCTCACACTCTCTCTCACACACACACACACACTCACACACACACACACACAGACACACACACTCCTCTATTCCCGCCCTACCCCTGCTCTGCTGGAAACCTCGAGCTGCCTCCCAGGTCAGAGTGGTCTGACAAGGGAGGGGTGGAGTGCAGAGGCAGAGTGGAGGTGAGAGCTCAGCAGACCCAGTTTCTTTTATGCTTGGCCACTCAGGCAGGTCACCTTGGGGAGGTTACTGAGCTTCCCAGAGCCTGCTTCCAGCTCAGCAAAGTACATACCCACCTGGCAGGGCTTCCGTGATGATTAGAGCTGCTATATGCGAAATGCGCCCCCCGGACTCTGTGTAGGACCTAGCAGGCTCTCGGAAAATGGGAGCTGAAAAGTAATGATATTACAAAATATCTAGTGTGGTGGCTCACACCTGTAATGCCAGTACTTTGGGCAGCTAAGGCGGGCAGATCACTTCAGGTCAGGAGTTCAAGACCAGCCTGGTCAACATGGTGAAACCCCATCTCTACTAAAAATACAAAAAAATTAGCCAGGCGTGGTGGCGGGGGCCTGTAATCCCAGCTATTTGGGAGGCTGAAGCAGGAGAATTGTTTGAATCCGGGAGGCTGAGGTTCGCAGTGAGTTGAGATCGTGCCACTGCACTCCGGCCTGGGCGACAGAATGAGACTTCGTCTAGAAAAAAAAAAAAAATCTAGTGTGGGTCAGACTCTTGTGTCTGCAGGAGGGAAAGGTGTGATCTTTCTTCCACTCTGATCTTCACAGTGAGAATGGTCTGGGGAGGATAGCAGACATGTGCCAAGCTCACTGTAGGTGGTGAGGCACTCTGGTTCCAGTTTAGAATGCAATTTATTACTTGGGTCACTTTGGCCGAGTTATTTAACCTTTCTAAGCCTCAGTTTTCTCATCTATAAAGCAGGTACTTTAAAATAGCTCCCTTGTGGAAGTACTGTGAGGATTAAGTGAGATAATAAATGTAAAAACACTTCATGTAGTTCCTGGTATATAGTAAGTGCTCCATAAATTGATAGCTACCTGTATTGGTCAGGATATGCTAACTGGTGTAACAAATAGACCCAAGAATGTGTGATGGCTTAGAGACAATGGAATCTTGTTTCTTGCCCCTCTAATGGTCTAAGAAAATACCAGGTTAGCAGTGAGGCTCAACTAGAGACCAGGTTTCTGACAGCTCTGCCGTTTTTTTTTTTATTTTGAGACGGAGTTTTGCTCTGTTGCCCAGGCTGGAGTGCCGTGGTGCAATCTCGGCTCATTGCAACCTCCACCTCCCGGGTTCAAATGGTTCTCCTGCCTCAGCCTCTCGAGTAGCTGAGACTACAGGTGTGTGCCTGGCTAATTAGCTCTGCCATCTTTAACAGGTATCTTCTGAAATCACTTTGGCCATCGGCTTCTAGCTAGTGGGTGGGGAAGAGAGAGTGGAGAAGGCACATCAGCTTCTTAACTGCTTTGGCCCAGAAGTGCCACTTCAGCTCACATTCCATGGGTGAGAACTAAGTCACATGGCCCCATCTTAATGCCACGGGGGCTGGGAAATACAGTCACTGACTGGGCAGTGTCAGATCTCAGTGTCAACTCCATATACTTCTCAATGTCAACCCCACGCACTAGGCAAGGGGAAGCAGGAGTCTTTGGTGACAGAAATGTCTATTCCCATGATTGTTGTTGCTATTTCCATCCAGGACAGAGTGATAAGCCCTGGATGGGGGGGTGAAAGCATAGTAGGAGTTTAAAAAGTGGGGTGATCGGGGATTGAGCTGATTGGGGATCCAGCAGTGCTGCCCAGGGAAGACAGCGTCCAGGGGGCTTGGAGAGAGGCAGGAGTTCCACAGGGTGGGATGGAGAGAGCAGGGAGGGAAGGTCACTGTGAGCTGAGGGAGTCACATGAACGGTCAAGAGGCAGGAAAATCCAGGCCAAGAGAGAGTCCAAGGCGGGAAGGGGTGGAGAGGTGTGCTGGCAGCCCACCCGGAAGGCCTGGAACGTCAAGATAAGGGTGTGGAGACGCGGAGTCACGCATGGTCTCTCTGCAGCATAGTCCAGGGGAGTGGGTGGTTGTGGGATAAGAGTGCCAGGTGGGGAGGAGGAGGTGAGGAGGGAGAAAGAGAAAGCAGTTAGGGGAGGAAAGTCTGGGGTTCACAGAGGAGAGGCTGGAAGGTGTAGGAGGAAAGGGGGCTTGCCTGACCCCATGCTCATCCTTCTCCCTGAGGCTCTCCAGCTCCTCTGGGGCCCCAGTTGTCACCTGGCAGCCTCCTTCCTGGAGGTCCACCCCCTTGGGCCCCATTGCTCCATCCACAGGCAGAGGCTTGATCTCCTCTTTCTGCTTTGTTCTCCTTCCAGGAAGGAAGTGGCTCCAGATGCCGTGGGTGGGACATTCCTTGGCTCTGCTCGCTGTTCCCAGATTTCTCATGATTCCCGGCGACAGAGCTGGCATCTCTAATCAGCCTCAGAGAGGGGCAGAGTCTTGCTCAAGAACACCTTGCACCTCAGGAAGCCAGAGGCTCTTTTTGAGCTGTCTCAGCCCTCTGAGTGCAAGACCCACCTCCAGAGAGATGCTTTGGCAAGGTGATTCCCCCCCAGGTCTGCTGGGCACCTACCGTGTACCCTGCACCGTGACGGGCACCAGGAGACAAGACGGCTTCTACACTCAGGAGCTTATCATAGATTGGGGGAATGAGATATTACTTAGAGAACTATAAACCCTGGGAAGTACCACAAAAGAGGCACAGACCTATGGGGAACCAAAGAAAGGAGGATTCATGTTAAAATATTACTGGGGGCGGGGCCTGGTGGCTCACACCTGTAATCCCAGCTCTTTGGGAGGCTGAGGCGGGCGGATCACCTGAGGCCAGGAGTTCGAGACCAGCCTGGCCAACATGGTGAAACCCTGTCTGTACTAAAAGTACAAGAATTAGCCGGACGTGGTGGCAGGTGCCTGTAATCCCAGCTACTCAGGAGGCTGAGGCAGGAGAATCGCTTGAATGGGAGGCGGAGGTGGCAGTGAGCTAAGATCGTGCCACTGCACTCCAGCCTGGGTGACAAGAGTGAGACTGCATCTCAAAAAAAAAAAAATTACTAGGAGGAAGTGACATTTGTGATGGTTCATGAAGAAGGCATAAGATCTGACAGGTGAAGATGGCTGGGAGGTTATTTCAGGGAGAAGGGAGAGCCCACGCAAAGGTGGAGGAAAGAAGTCGGGTGTGGGGGCTACGCCTGTAATCCCAGCACTTTTGGAGGCTCAGGCAGGCGGATCACCTGACGTCAGGAGTTCGAGACCAGCCTGACCAATGTGGTGAAACTCTGTCTTTATTAAATACAAAAATTTAGCTAGGCATGGTGGCATATGCCTGTTAATTCCAGTTACTTGGGAGGCTGAGGCAGGAGAATCGGGAGGCGGAGGTTGCAGTGAGCCGAGATTGCGCCACTGCACTCTAGCCTGGTCAATAAGAACGAAATTCCATCTCAAAAAAAAAAAAAAAGAATCAAATCAGGTTCACCTTTAAAGGGAAGTATCAGGCCAGAGTTGAGGGAGAGCCACAAGCCTGGGCTTGCCTCTCAGCTTCTGACTGTGGGTCCTGGGCACATTGGTAAACCGTTCTGGGCCTTGGTTTCCTCAACGTGACGTGGAATAGCAGCACCCACCGCTCATGGTAAATGGAATAGCTGCTCTGGCTTATTTATAGTTGTGTTTAACAAATAGTTTTTCACTTGGAGTGGGTGGGGGCAGGGGGAGAGGATCAGTGAATCGGTGCCACTGGTGGTTCAGCCTGGAGGGTGGCTGTGGCTGCCTGTCCCTTTTCATCTTGTGCCTGAAATGTTTGGGGGAAGAAGGTCAGTGGTGGCTGGAAGCACTACCGCCTTCTCAGGCCTAGCTGGCTCCATCCCCTGCCCTCATGCTCACCTGGAGGGACGGTTATGGGACTGAGGTCTGTGTCATTCTGGCCACTGTCATGTCATAAGCTGCTCCAATCAGGCTGGCAGGAGCTCTGCAGCACTAGAGGCTGTGGGCTCCTGGGAGTGGAATGTGAATGCCTGGGAGGCCGGCAGCCTTGGGCCCCATGCCCACACTGGCACAGCCACTCGGTCCAGAAGAGGGGCAGGAATCCAGGTCACCAGCCGCTGCGACACAGGCTGGCTTGCCGTCCCCTTTCCTTTGGTTAATCTTCCCTATGAGGAGAGACAGAGAGGAAGAGTCTACAGGATACAGCTCATTTTGCCAGTTTTTTCCCAAAGTCCATCAGGAGGGACGTGTCTGAGCTGCCCACTTCCTTCGGCCAGCCTTGGAATGAGAGCACATGACTCATGGCCTCACTTCTCTAGACCTGGAAGGTAGTGGGAGAATCAGACAGATCTTGGTTCTAATCCTGGCTCTGCCACTTATTAACTAGGTAACCTTGTGCACGTTATTAACCTCTTCCAGCCTCAGTTTCCTTGATTGTAAAATGGGAATAATAACACCAACTCACAGTGTTATGAGAACTGGATGAGCTAATGGTTAGAGTTAACATAGTGACCAACACATATTGGGAGCCCTTAAATATCAGTTTCCTCCCTCCCTTCCTTCCTTCCTTCCTTCCTTCCTTCCTTCCTTCCTTCCTTCCTTCCTTCCTTCCCTCCTTCCTTCCTTCCTTCCTTCCTTCCCTCCTTCCTTCCTTCCTTCCCTCCTTCCCTCCTTCTCTCCTTCCTTCCTTCTATCTGGGGAATATGATGGCTGCCTTGAGGGCAGAGATCTGAGTTGAGAGAGCTGTACGTACTTAGAGGTGGCCTCCTTCATCATAGAACCCCTCAGAATCCCAGGCCAGAAGACTGGAGAACAACAGGAAATAGGTGATCTCCAAGCTTCCCACGCTGGCTGTACCCAATAGCTGATGAGATTTATCTGAGGCACCACTATTGTTAAAAGGAATGTAGTGATCTGAGCCCCAGGTGCAGAACCCTAGCATAGCGATGGGAGCGATTACAGCACTCACCACCTCTGGGGAGAGTCTGCTCTGGCACCCCTTGCTTTAGGGCCCAGGTGAGGCTGAGACAAGCAAGTGTGGCTACGTAGGGTAGCATGGGAGAGGTGGAAATAGCTGGACTGGGCTTTTCCCCTCTGGAGGACCAGTATCTCCTATCAAAACTTAACAGTATGGATGCCCCAGCCACTCTCTGCCAGCCAATTGACAAACAGCCAGCAGCTAATTCACACTAAAATGTTAATAGCAATAAAGGAATCAATGGTATTCACACCCTGGGGGTGTTGATAGCTGTTAATGGCTGTCAGGTTCTACACATGGCCTTCTCAGCAGCACCACTCTCCTCTCTGAAGCGCCTGTGGCTCAGCTGGAGAGCTGACTGCTGCAGAGTATAGAGGCCCACGTTTTGGCTCTAGTCTGTGGCTGGGAATCTAACCCAGGGGACACAAGCCAAAGTACAGGAGGCAGGCAGAACTGGAGTACAGGGTCACCTTGGTGACCACCGTCAGCTCCTAGAGCGCAGGTGAGCCAGTTGGCCTTATAAGCTTAGGTCAGATAAGATGAGACCAAGCGTGTGGCCCACCACCGCCCCTTGCTTCAAGAAAGGCAAGGTCTGGAAGGTGGAGGAGAGGTGGCATCTGGGGCAGAGTAGAGCATGGAGGTCCTCCGTGCACAGAGGAGCAAAGCTGTTGCCCCCTGCTCTTCTTCAACGTGGGCAGCTAGGACCTAAGCTCAGCACCACATCAACCTCATCTGACACGTGGCTGGAGGAACAGGGCAGTGGTGGCTGTGGTGGGTTGGCCACAGCCTCTCTTGGGCATGGCTGACCAGCTCTTTGGGCATAATGTAGCTCTTAGGAGGCCTAGGCCCAGGCTGAGCCCAGCGTGGGGGAGTAGGGAGTCTCAAACCTATTGGGCTAAAAATCAGCTGAGGGCATTGTTAAGATGCAGGTTCAGATTCCTTAGGTCTGGGGCCTGAGGCTCTGGTTTTTCACAAGCTCCTGGGTGGTGCTGAGGCTGCGGGTTCAGGTCATACTCTGAGCAGTGAGTGTGGATGCCTGGGAGTGAGAGGCTGAGCAAAACACTTTCCTGGCTGTGACCTTCGTGTCCCTTCCGGCTGTGACACTTTGTACATCGCCAAGACCACAAGTTGAGTGGGTGGTTGGGGCGCGGAGCTCCTGCACTCAGTTGCCCCACTGGCGGAGGAAGGTGGCTGCCCTTTGATGTGATGAAAAATAAGAACAGTCGCCAACCATTGAGAACTTACTCTGAGGACACCTCATCACTTGTATGTGGCAGAACATGGCCCTGAGATGTTTTTGAGGCTTGGAGGACCCTGAGTTATGAGAAAGTTTAGGGAGGGGAAGCACTGGTTTATTTGGGAATTATTCCCATCCCAGGTCTCTCTGGCTCTTTTGAGGGTCAAGGGTCTTATCAATCCCTTTCTCAGTGCCCAGCACAATGCCAAGAGTTCAGGGAGAAAGCAGATACCCCACAGAGACCTAGACAGGCCAGAGGCACTGTCCCTGGGCAGGGGAGGCAGGTCAGGCCGGCGGTGCTCACCCAGGGAGGCTCCAGGAACTCAACTCGGGCCTCTGATCAACCGCAGATAAACACTGAACTTTCTACCTGAGGAAGCTCCCTGGCAGGGCTGGGTTCCTGTCAAGGAGACAGAGAAAGTTTCCATTGAGTGGGGGTGTGTGCATGCGTGCGTGTGTGTGTGTGTGCATGTGTGCGAGTGTACGCGTGTGAATGCATGAGTGTGTGCGTGCATGTCTGTGTGCATGCATGTATGTGTGTGCATGTGTGTGTGTGTCTGTGTTTGTGTGTGTGTGCATGCGAACATGCACCGAGGTGCCCTATTATCTTTTCCTCTCTGCAGAAAATCAGGTCAGTGGTTTGACTGTTGTTGTTAACCGCAAGGTGGAGTGGGGAGGTGGCCTGAGATGCTGAGGCTGGGCTAGAGTATGAGGGCCAGGGTATGGGGCCACCAGGCTACAGGGCCCCCAGGAAGCAGTGGCAATGGATGCCAGTCTGGGGAGAGGGTGCTGCCTGCCATGTCCTGTTTCCCTCCTAGCATTACTCTCCCTTTCTTTAGGGCCTTGGCTGCCTGTCCTGGTAGCCGCTGTTGAATAACCCAGGGACTGTGGCTGAAGAGAGGCAGTCACTCTGCCTTGTGGCTCGGGACACGGTGGAGGGGTGGGAGGTGCGGGCAGGGCCCCCCCATGGGTAGTAGTAACAACAGCCAGGCTCTGGCAGTCGCACTTTCACACCGGAGTCCTCACCTCGCCCACAGTGCCCTGGAAGCATGAGAGCAGGTGTTATTGTTGAGGGCACTGAGAAAGAGAGAGAGAGGGGCCAAAGAGCTAGTTCAAAGGCATCCCGGTTCTCACTCTGGCCTCAGACTCCCCTTCTGGGGTCCTTGAGGGCCCCTAGGCCACCCCGAGGGGTTGGAGGAACACTTTGTCCATTCCCCGTGGCAGATGGAAGGACTCCGGAGCATGTCAGCTGCAGCCTGGGCCTCTGTTGGGTCCTCGGCTCTGGGTCTCTCACAGGCGGCCATCAAGGTGTTGGCTGGGGCCTTGGTCATCTCAAGGCTGGAGCAGGAAAGGACCTGCCTCCCCAGGCCCTAAGCTTGAATGGTGCTGGGGACAGGGGGCAGCACTCTTCTGGCACGGCAGCCCCTCCTCCGTCCTCTTGGCATCTTGTCCTTAAAGTTCATCGTTGCCTCGTCCGCTAACCTCCTCCCCCTCCTTTCCGCCTCCATCTCCCCAAGTCCTTCTCGCCTCTGCTTTTGCTTCCACGGCTGTTTCCTCACGGAGGCTCAGACAATAGAGGCTAATGATCCAACTGCTGAGAGCACACCCTCCTCTAGCAGCCAGAAATCATCTGTTACCCATCGCCCGCCCTCCCTGGGGCCCAGGCTTCCAGACTGAGACCTTTTCCTTCCCTCCCACTTCTTACTGGAAATGAGCCCCCGTCCTTCCACTCCCCCCTAACCCCCCAGGCCTCCCTTAGGGAGGTTCAAGGACTCGTCTCTGACTCCACCTATCTACTGGGTACCCCTCTGCAGGGGGGAGGCAGGGGCTGGTGCCCACGAACTCTGGAGGCCCTTCTGGGAGCACAGTCTTGCCATGACCTCTCTAGGTCAGCTCAGCTCCCTGTGCTGGACACAGACCCGGAGAACAGCTCAGCACGAGGTTACCAGGCTGACGTTGCACAGACTGTGCTGGAAATTACAGAGTGCCTTGGAGGGAAAAACAAACTGGGGTTTCAGTTCCCATGGAAACGACATCTATTTGCAGAGGTGCTTGCGTCAGAGCCCGGGACCCTGTGCTTGGCAGGGATGGGGTGGATGTTAAAAGGCAGGGTCATCTGTTGACTGTCTGGGACTCTTCCAGGACAGTGTCTGAAATGGGGCCCTTACCTTTAGCCATGACAAACAGCTCTTTCCACAGAGGGGCCTGTCTGCCTGGGCATGTCTCTGCAATGCTGGGGTTTTTGGGTAGATTTTAAACTTATGAGTCAAGGGTGTGGGAAGACCCCACATTCGCCATTCATGAGCATTTATTCCACGAGCATGTTTTGACCTATGATGTGCCAGGCACTGGGCTAGGCCAGCCAATCAGGAGTTGGTCTGGACCTGCTAAGTTTGGGGCCTAAAGTCTCCCTTCCTGGGAGGAGCTTTGGTCAGACAGGGGCAAAGTGGGGACCTGCCAGGGACCACGTGACGTGGGAGCACACAGGCTCAGCAATGCCAGTCCCCTCACTCTGTAACCAAAGCAAATGCCTTCTGTCCTCGTGTGTCACAGGGGAGTAATTCCTCATCTCACGGGGAAAGATGACCCCTAAACTAGCCACTGAGGTCCCCACAGCAGAGGCGATTATTCCAGCTATTGTTATGGAAGAGTGTCTATTGTTACCCTCTCTATCACTTTACACTTTACGAAGAGCTGTACATCCACTACCTCGTTTAATGTAACACTCCAGGGAGGTTTTAACAACATCACACCTGTTTTCAAACGGGGAAACTGCATCGAGGGAGGAGAAGGCACTTGTCAAGGTCACACGGATGATAAACGGTGAGACCAGTATGGGAATCTGAATGCCGGACCCCCTGCTTTGCCCCCTCCTCCCTGTCCTGGGGCACCTGGTGACCAGACCTCCCACCCTGGCAGGCCTCCAACCAGCCCGGCTGTTTCCCACGCCTGGGGAATGGGAACCAGCTGTGTGCTAGTGCGGTGGGGCATGGATTGTTCTGGATCTGGTCTCATGGAGACTGCACATCAGAAAGACCACAACCCTCAACTCTGCTGCTCACCCAAGTCACTTCACTCTTCCTTGACTCAGTTTCCCTCTCAGTAAGTTGACAGAAAGCCTGTGAGGGGATCTGAGTGACTTATGTCCTATAAGAAATCTGAAGAAATAGGCCGGGCGCAGTGGCTCACGCCTGTAATCTCAGCACCTTGGGAGGCTGAGGTGGGCGGATCATGAGGTCAGGAGTTTGACAGCAGCCTGGGCAACATGGTGAAACCCTGTATCTACTAAAAATACAAAAATTAGCTGGATGTGGTGGTGCGTGCCTGTAGTCCCAGCTACTTGGGAGGCTGAGGCAAGAGAATCACTTGAATCCGGGAGGCAGAGGTTGCAGTGAGCCGAGATCGCGCCACTGCACTCCAGCCTGGGTGACGGGGTGAGACTCCGTCTCAAACAGACAAACAAAAAAGAAATCTGATGAAATAGTTTCTTGTTGGTGGCCACTTGGACGACCTTTCCTCTCTCCTGTGGGTGACTGTAATTGGAATGGGGCACACTGGCATGCCCCTTAGGGCCCATTCGTTTTTCCCGAATCACTCTTTAAGAATCTGGTATCACCTAACAGAATGATGGGGTTTTCAGGGAAGGGACAGAGGCTGGGACAATTTTAAATAGGGATGCCTGTAATCCCAGCACTTTGGGAGGCCGAGGTGAGCGGATCACTAGAGGTCAGGAGTTCGAGACCAGCCTGGCTAACACAGTGAAACCCCGTCTCTACTAAAAATACAAAAAATTAGCTGGGCATATTGGCGGGCGCCTGTAGTCCCAGCTACTCGGGCGCCTGAGGCAGGAGAATGGCGTGAACCCGGGTGGCGGAGCTTGCAGTGAGCCGAGATCGTGCCACTGCACTCCAGCCTGGGCGACTGAGCGAGACTCTGTCAAAAAAAAGAAAAAAAAAAAAGCAAAGATTAGCTGGGCGTGATGGCGCATGCCTGTAATCCCAGCTACTCGGGAGGCTGAGGCAGGAGAGTCACTTGAACCTGGGAGGCAGAGGTTGCAGTGAGCCAGTGCACTCCAGCCTTAGCGACAGAGCAAGACTCTGTCTCTAAATAAATAAATAAATAAATAAATAAATAAATAAATTAGGAAGGTTAGGGTTGGGGGTGGAGAATACAGGTTGGGGGTAAAGAATAGAGGAGGAGGCCAGGCGCGGTGGCTCACACCTGTAATCCCAGCACTTTGGGAGGCCGAGGCGGGCAGATCATGAGGTCAGGAGATCGAGACCATCCTGGCTAACGCGGTGAAACCCTGTCTCTACTTAAAATACAAAAAATTAGCCGGGCATGGTGGTGGGTGCCTGTAGTCCCAGCTACTCAGGAGGCTGAGCCAGGATAATGGCATGAACCCTGGAGGCGGAGGTTGTGGTGAGCCGAGATCGCGCCATTGCCCAGCCTGGGCAACAAGAGTGAAACTCCGTCTCAAAAAAAAAAAAAAAAAAAAAAAAAAGAATAGAGGAGGAAGAAAAATTTCCAGGCCTTGGAGTCCTGCTTGGTTTGGGTAGGGGGTGGGGCAGGATGGGGCTGCAGGATCCTGAAGGTCCCTGAAGTGATGGTGGCCATGAGGCCATGAATTACATCCACCTCTGTGCTTGTACCTGGCTGTGAGGTGTGAAGTGAGACCAGGAGAAGATGGGAAATAAACGCGTTCCAAATGTCTGCTGTAATGAGGGGGTCTGGAGTTCCTGTGCCAAGAATCAGATTGCAGGCCTGATCACGAGACGAGCTGTTGATTGCTGCAGGAATCCAGGAGGTGTTGTGTCTGTGTGTGCCTTGCCACCCTGCAATGTAGAATTGGCTATCCCATTCCACAAAGGAGGAAGCTGAGGCCCGGAGTTACACGGCGTGCCCAAGGCTGTGTAGCTAGTAAGAAGGGAGGTGGGCATCCTCTGACTGACTCTGAGGGCGGGACCGCCCTGTGCTTGCGGGGAGCACAGGGGCATTGTTCTTACTGCTTTGGGTCCAAGACCTTCTGAGCTCTTATGAGACCACTGCTGGGGCCAGCTCACCTGGGGACTCAGTTCCTGCCCCCACTCCCCACCCGTTCTTTCTTGCCCTCTCTCTCTCCCTCTCCACCTCCATCCCTGTCCCCTTTCCGTCCATGCGCCCACCTCCCTGGCTCTCCCTTTCTTCTGGTCCCAGCCGCTGAGTGGGGTGGGTGAGCCCAGGGCCGAAGAGAGAGGTGGGAGATGTTTGCAGGTGGAGGACATGAACCTGTTTTCTCTCCAAGCCCCTTCCCTTCACATTGTTCTGCTGCCCCCAATGTTAAGTCAATTGAATTGTGTCAGCAGGCTGCAGGGCATAGGCTGCATGTTGTAGCGTTGCTTGTGAGCGTCTGGACCCCTTCTGGGTATCAATGTGTGTGCTTTGGCGCGTGAACATGGGGGGCTATTGCTGTTTGTGTGGGTGTTGCATTTGTGGCATGCATGTGTTTGTGCATCTGTGTGTATGTGTGTAGCGGATGCACTCTTGTCTATATAGGTAGGATTTTTTTTTTTTTAATTTTACTTTAAGGTCCAGGATACATGTGCGGAATGTGCAGGTTTGTAACATAGGTATACATGTGTCATGGTGGTTTGCTGTACCTATCAACCTATCATCTAAGTTTTAAGTCCCTCGTGCATTAGGTATTTGTCCTAATGCTCTCCCTTCCCTTGCCCCCTACTACCCGCTGACAGGCCCCAGTGTGTGATGTTCCCCTCCCTGTGTCCATGTGTTCTCATTGTTCAACTCCCACTTATGAGTGAGAACATGTGGTGTTTGGTTTTCTGTTCCTGTGTTATTTTGCTGAGAATGATGGTTTCCAGCTTCATCCATGTCCTTGTAAAGGACACGATCTCATTCCTTTTTGTGGCTGCATAGTATTCCATGGTGTATATGTGCCACATTTTCTTTATCCAGTCTATCATTGATGGGCATTTGGGTTCGTTCCAAGTCTTTACTATTGTAAATAGTGCTGCAATAAATATACGTGTGGATATGTCTTTATAGTAGAATGACTTGTAATCCTTTGGGTATATACCCAGTAATGAGATTGCTGGGTTAAATGGTATTTCTGGTTCTAGATCCTTGAGGAATCACCACACTGTCTTCCACAATGGTTGAACTAATTTGCACTCCCATCAACAGTGTAAAAGTGTTAAAAGGTATGCTTAAGCAGGTAGTGAACGCTCTCATGAGTGCACACCCACAGGAGCAACTGCAGAACCTGTAGGGCCCATTGCAAAATGTAAATGCTGCGCCCCTTGTTTAAAAATAATTAAGAATTTCAAAGTGCAGGCAGCAAAGCATTATACCCAGCATGGGCCTTAGTGCAGGGCCTTAGTGCAGGGCCCAGAGTGACTGTGCAGGTCGCGGCCCATGAAGCTGGTCTTGTATGGGGGCAAGTTTTCTATTTGTATGTGTATATGTGTATGCTGATTGTGTGACTGCTGTGTTGGTGTGTGTGTGTGTGATGTGTGCGGTGGTGTTTCTTGTGTGAATATTGAGCATCTGTATGTGTGGGCTGTTTGTGAGGTGGGACAGCTCTTGTGAGTGTGAGTGTTCTTGGGCACGAAATCTGAACCCTTTCCTCACCACCCCAAGGACAGACTCCCTTAGCAGCTGCCTATGCCTGCCACCGATGCCTATCAAAGGAGAAGTGTGTTTTATTTTTGGCGCCCTTGCCGCCTATTCCCATGGTGCCCTGGGAGGCTTTTGTTTGACTGCCTTTGTTGGAAGGGTGACAAACACTTCCCTCCACCTGCTGCCATGGTGGCCCCACCAGAAACCACAGCTGGGGGTGGAGCAGCTTCCTCAGCCCCTCACACACTTGCCCTGCACCTCGTGCAAGCATCAACATGCCCAGAGCCCTACCCCGCTGAGCACTGGCCTCCCAGACTCTGCCCAGACAAGGCACCCATAGCAAGTCAGAGCTGGAGGCGATGGGTAGAAATGATTTGGTCCAGCAACCTCATTGTACAGCTGGGGAGCTGGAGGCCCAGAAAAGGGAGGTGACCTGCCCATATTGCCCAGTGACTAGTCTGTGGCAAAGCCATCTCAGCCCTCTCAGTCATCTGCAGGGCTAGCCCATGGAGGAAGCCTAGGTAAGAAGCAGGGCCTAGAGGGGAGAAGCAGGGACAAGGTACTGTGGAGCAGCAAAGACCTGGTTATTGCCCAGCTGTGGGGGTCACAGCCCCTGGCAGGTGGGGGCTGTGTCTTTGTTATTTGATTCTCCCTTCTCCCAGGTCAGAGCTCTGTGTCTGGCAGGGTTTGAAAGATGTTGGCTGGACACAGCACAGTGCCTGGCACTCAGTAGGGGCTCCAGAAATATTTGGTATTAAACAGCTGTTTAGTTGAACGGTGAAGTAGGGTGACTAAAGCAAGAAATTTGGAGGCAGCTAGAACTGGTTGAAATCACTTAGTAGCTGTGTGACATTGATAAAGTTACTTAACCTCTCTGAGCCTAAGTTTCCTCATTTATTAAATGAGACTCTAGTAGAGTTGTTGTGGGGATTAAATGAGATAAGATACTGATGCTTAATACAGTGTATAGTACGTAACAAAATCTTAATAAAGTTGCTAGCTGTGTCACCACAGGTAAGTTACATGAGCTCTCTAAACCTGTTTCCTTCTCTGTTGTCATAAGAATTCAATGAAAGGTTGTATAGCTAGCCTAGTCCTTGGTGCATCACGGGCACTTAGTAAATGTTAGCCTGTCTCCCGCCTAGGTTCATTACCCCTCCACCTCTTCAACGTCTCTTTCCTCTGCCCCCCAGCCTCTGTGATCGCTGCCATCCCTTCCATGGCATCTCATCTCTCATACCTTCTGTCTCCCAGCCTCTGACACTCCCAGCAACAAAAGCTCACAAGGTCTTTCGGTCCATGGTTTCCTCAGGGTTCGGCTCTGATGAGCATGGGTGGGAGGGGGGCAACTGAGAAGGAGGCTGAGGACAGGACAGGTGTAGTCCTTGGACGAAAATCCCAGTTCTGCTTTTGACAAAGGATTTAAGGATTCCGGCGTGTCTAGCCCTGTGTCTTGCCCTGGAGAACAAAGGCAGAGGGATGTCTTCCTGAACAGCCCAGGCACAAAGCTGCCACCATTCTTCCCATTCCCTTCCTCCTGATTTCCAAGTCCAGAGGTTGTCAATAGCACTCTCAGCAGCTGAGCTTCCCTGAAATCGGGGTGTGTGGAGGAGGGCAGGTGGCAGGTAAGAGATACTAGTGCAAGCAAGAGGGCGTGTCCAGAGAGTCAGTTGTAGGAGAAGTCTCTGGAGCTTCGGGGCAGGAGGCAGAGCTGGCTCCCACATAGGTGACCCCCTAGCACCGGCTTCACCATAGGCCTGGGCCAGGCCACAGAAAACACCCTCTGGGCCTGGGAAGCAGATTGAGCCATTCAGTCTTTACACGTGGTCAGGTTTCTGCTTCAGTCACTTGAGTGCAGTTTCATAAACCAAATGAGATCAATGAGCTTGTCCTTTCCAGGCCTCTTTTTAAACATTGGGAAATGGTTTGGGGGCATCTCATCTGCTGCATCTGCTGTGCTTCCCAATGTCAGATATTATTTACTTGGAGCAAATATAAACTATTCTGTCCTAAATAAACTCTGACACAGGAACAAGAGGACTTCAGGGCAAGAACCATCTCCTTACCTTCCCTCTTGCTAGTGGGCACGGATATGTGACCTGGAGACCTATTGCATCATGCAGGAACTGAGCCAGTCCAGAGCTGGCCAAGCCTGTGCGGAGATGTTTATTTACCCAGAGATGAGAACCTGGAGGCCACACTATGTGGTGGTTACTGTACCACGTAGGACAGCCCAGCTAGCGAAGTCCCTGGGGTTAGTGAACAACACACAAAAATAAGGTTATATCCATCCTCAAAGTGAATATGGGCAGGAGAGAATCTGACAGCGGCAGAGGAGTCTGAATTGGGTCATGCACAGACACAAAGAGAGGAGCCCGTGGGGAATACACATCCTGGCGTTTCTGATTTCGCACGAGATCAGCTGAGATTCGCTTAGTCTGGAGCAGCTCTCCACAGAAAAGGGCCTGGGGAGCTTTTTCTGCACACAGACTCCTGTCTGTGTCTCTGCCTGGGCCCAAGAGAAGTGAAGGAACAGAGGGGGTGGCTGCTGGAGGAGTTGGGACTTCTCAGACAGCTGCTCCCGTGGGTTGGAGTGCTAGGAGGGCTTGCTTTTCTGAAGCCTGATAGGGTTGCTCTTTTGAGTTGAGGGAGAGGCCCCCCCCCAACCTTTTTTATTCTCCTTGGAGTTTCTCTAGGGTCTCAGACCAGAGACACATGACCGATTCTAACCATCTTCTCTGCAAAGAAGGCCATGGGCCCACCTGTCTCTAAGACTAATAGAGCCCCCTTCTCCTCACCTGAGATTGGGAGACCTGGGGAGGCTCTATGTGTGTGTGTGTGTGTGTGTGTGTGTGTGTGTGTGTGTGTGTGCACATGCATGTGTGTGCATGCAGGATGGGACATCTAACTACCCACTGAAGATTTGCTTCAAGTCCCGCCCCCAGTGTATATTCCCTAAAACCCATTCCTGCCCCATCTTCCCCCTGCCTTTCCCCCATCTCCTTTGCCTTAATTCCCCCCACAATCCCTTTAGGTCTGTTTCTTTTCCTCCAACTGTTCACCCTCAACAAAGACATGTAACTGAGAACCATTCCCAGAGAAGACGGCCCATCTTCCTTTCTTAAAAAGATCAGTTGCCTGATTTCCTTTGGGACCGCTGCCATATTTCTTTTATATTTCATTCATTCTCCAGACTCAGTGATAAGGACAGGAACTATTTAAAGGGGAGAAGGGAGGTTCTCCTTAAGGACCTAATCAAAGGACAAGATGAACGGTGCCTGCCGGAGAGAACGAGACAGCGTGGGATGAGGGCGGGTGCCACGGTGGATGTGCAGGGATGTTCCCGTGAGCCCAGCAGGGTCTGGTGGGAAGAGCTCTGGTTAGGAGCCCAGGGAACTAGGTTAAAGTTCCAGCATTGCAAAGACCTCCCAAGAGACCTCAGGCTAGTTGCTTCCCTCTCAGAGCACGAGTTGACTCACCATGCAATGGATGGAAAGGCCAGATTCACTCATCTCTAAATTGCCTTCCAGCTTGAATTATAAATTCTGTGGGGATGGAAATGGGCTAAGGAATTGAATTTGGTTTCCTTGTGGTTAGCAACTTTTTTTTTTAAGTTACCGTTTCTTAAACATCTCCTAAAGATTACCAACAACACATATGTAAGTTTTTCTAAGCATTTTACATATATGGATTCGTTGCCTTCCACAACAATCCTAGGACATAGGTACCATTAGTATCCCCATTATACAGATTAAGAAACTGAGGTACAGGGAGGCTAAGTAACCAGCCCAGGCAGTGGAGCCGGGGTTCAAACCAGGCAGTCTGGCTGCAAAGTCCCTCTTCCTCACCACCACACTCAACATTCCAGGCACTGTGCTAACTGTTTACACAAATCCTCTCCATTTTGCAGTTGAGAAACCCAAGACTCAGACCAGTTGGGCAACAGCTGAAGGTCACATAGCTGGGAAGCAGTAGAGATGAGATTCAAAGTCGGCAGAGCTCCAGAGTCTCTGCTCTCCCCCACACCCTCCTGCAACCCTGCCAGACGCTCAGGCTTCCAAAGCAAGTTTAACCAATATCCCTGCATTGCCACGCCTCTTCAGGCAAGTCAGCTTCTCCCCGCTGGGCCTCAGTTTCACCATCTAGAAAATGACTGGGGGATTGGCCCAGCTGATCTTTGAGGTCCCTTGGAGCTCTGTGAGTCTGTGATGAGAAAGGTGTGGTGCTTCTAGCTGAAAGGGAAGACCTGTGGCCTGGGAATACCTTGGGCTTGGCTTGGGGTTGCAGCCAGCAAGGATGAGGGAGATGAGGGCCTGGGGATGAAATGAAAAGGAAATTTCAGGTGACTGGAGAAGGCTTATTGGCTGTGAACCTGGGAAGAGGGTTCAGATGTATGAAGCAGGTAAGAAAAGAAGAGAGAAGCCCTGGGTGGGCCTCCCAGGGGGCCTTTTCCTTCTTCCCAGGGGTCACCCCAAGCTCAAGATGGGCACATGAGAGCCTCGGGCAAGGGAGCAGGGATCAGGCCAGCACTGAACCGAGGTCAGAACTTCTGAGACACAGCAGTTCGAGGGAATTGACATTGCTGGGGGTTTTGTTTTCTCTGTAAATATTTGGAGATGTCCAGTTATTCTAGAAAAATGTATCTGCAGCTGAGGGGGCGCATTTGTGCGGCTGGCCTGGCTGCCTTTTGCATGACTGCTCTGTTACATTCTTCCCCTTCAGGAACCGAGGGTTGTTTTCCCATCTGTAACCTCATTAGGATGTCCACACCAGCGGGCTCCACACGCACATGCGCTCCGGCAGGTTCCCCTCGGGGACACACACGCACACTGGCATTGCCCCCTGGCCACACGCTCACGCACACAGTCGCAGCTGTGCCTTTTAATATTTAATGCCATTGCTGCAAACGCCGCTCCACGCTGACTGCATCCGTGCCAGGCTCATTCCTCTCAGGGCGCCAATTCCCGGCTTGGAGACCAGCTGACAAATCTTGTTAAAAACCTTCCAGCCCAGTGCATCTCTCGGAGGAGGGTAATGTCACGTGCTTGCGAGATGAGCGAATGGGTGTCATTACCAGGCAGCTCCATTTTCAACGAGGCTCTTTCCACTTGGGGAAATGGATGGAATCACCTATTGCGTGAGTGCCTCAGCCCTCCCTCTAGCTCCCCACGGCCCAGAGCTATTGCAGCTCTGGGTCCTTCAGACCCCTCTTGACGCATTGTAGGTTGGACTGACCTGCTCTCTGGCTTGCAGAAGTCACGGCTCTGGGTGGCACCAAGGCACGAAATGACACGGACACCTGGCCTGTGTGGGGGCCTTTGTCTGTCCCTCTCTCCCTGCTCCTCCACAGTCAGTATCCACACTATGGTTTGAATGTATGTATCTTTCCGACATTCATATGGTTGGAACATAAACCCCAAGGCAATGGTATGAGAAGTTGGGGGGGGCCTTTGGGAGTTGATTAGGTCATGAAGGCTCCACCCTTGTGAACGGGATTAATGCCCTTATAGCAATAAAAGAGCAGGAGGGAACTAGTTAGGCTCATTGTGATCTTCCACTCTTCTACCACATGAGGACACAGTGTTTGTCCCCTCCAGAGGGCATGGCAAGGCCCCATCTCGGAAGCAGAGAGAGTCCACACCAGACACTGAATCTGTTGGCGTCTTGATCTTGGACTTCCAATCCTCTAAAACTGTGAGAAATACATTTCTATGGTTTGTAAATTACTCCATCGGTGGCATTTTGTTGTACCAGCAGGAAGGGACTATGACATACACCACGGAGGCCACTGCTGCTACAGTGGCTAGCAGAGAGGATCATGGGTGGTTCCAGCTCTCATGCCAGCAAAGGGTCTCATCCCTGACCCCTAGTCCAGTATGCTGTGGTCTCCAAGCCCACAGAAAGGCCCTCCCTCCAAACCCCAGCTTTCAGAGTCTAAGGGGCTGACAAAAGGTTAAGGGCTCTAGTTCTGGTCTGAGCTGGGACAGGTGAGCAGGCTACTGTGCAAGAGCTGCTAAATGCAGAGTCCCCAGGTATCGAGGTTACCCGGAAAAGTTGGCCTTCCCAAAGCTGCAGTAGGATCAGCATGTCCGGTTCAGTGCTGACTGTGCAGGCTTGGGGCCTATCCCTTGAACTCTGGAAGGGTATTTGCAAGATGGACCTCCTGTCCTCATCTTCCTTCTACCTTTCAGCCTCTTGGTCCTGTGTCACCAGACGGGCTCAGAGCATTCCTGAGCAACTTTGTGGTTCTGAGCGTCTCTAAGAAACGAGGCCTGGGAGAGGGCAGGGAGGAGGGGAGAGGGGACGGTCAGGTGGGGTGTGGGGGATTGCAAAACAAAGACACGCTCATTTGCCATTTACCAAAGACTTTTTTTTTCTTTTTCTTTTAAAGCTGTTGTTTCCTCAAGGGAAAACTTTATCTGTGTGTGGGTAAAATGTTGCTCTCTTAACGAATCGAAAGCAGAACATGAGGAGAGGTTTTCAGTCCCTGTGACAAAGAACAAAGAACAAGCTCGTGGGCCTTGGGCGGCCACTGTCACCCTCCCCGCCCCTGACATTTCCCTTGTCCTCTCCTCCCATCCCAGTGGAGCCAAGAGCTGAGTGCATGTCATCCCCACTCTGGAGCCCAGAGTGTGGCTTTGATCACGCGGAGGCAGCTGGCCTGGCCTGCAGGAAACACCACACTCTCCCCTGTTGAGAGCCTGGGAGGGCGACGCGGCAAGTGAGGGGATGAGTGTGCTTTTAGGGCGGCGTGGCAGCTGCCATTCCCGCTGGCTTGGAGGACAGTGAAGAAAACGATGGAGGGAGGGGTTCAGAGAGTTTGTTTGACCAGCTGATGTCCGCTTTTCCTCACCAAGCCAAGAAGTCTCCCCACTATCTCTGGTCTTGGAGATAAGGCCTGGTTTTCGGAAGAGCTGGTCTGAGCATTTGAGTCTGTGGGAGGCCAGAAGGTTCATTCAGAGGACTCTTCAGGCCACTCCCACGCCCCTTGCACTCACCCTCCTTGGCCCCTTCACTCCAGCAGGTGGGAACAGTTTCTGGACTTTCACTTTCAGTTTTTGGTTTAGGGGACAATAGCCTCTGTTTCCCAGTGTTGTCTGTCTGGTGTTAGCTTATCAGCCCTGTCTTTTTTTGGCATTGGTTGAGGTAGCTGGGATTGGGGTGAAGCTATCTTCTGGAGCAGGGGCTTGCACTCTGAGGGGAGAGCTGCTTTTCCCTGAGCAGCTTTTGGCGGGGGGATGTCCTGAGTCATTGCATCTGCTCCCTATCCCCACCCCAGGGACCCTGGGAGAGGTCCCTCTAGTCCAGGCAGAAGAGTCGCCTATGGGGAGAAGGTGGTGGTGGTCTCGGCCTCCACACTCATGGAGGAGCGCCGGATGTGCCGACAGGAAGACCACTGCCGGAGCTGCTCCTGGCTGAGGCAGCCCAGGTCCTTGAAGAGCTTGAAGAGATCGTTGCGGAACTTGACGCCGATGAAGGCGTACAAGAAAGGGTTGACGCAGCAGCGGACGCAGGCCAGGCTGTAGGTGACGTCGTAGGCGATGTTGAGTTGCTTACTGAGCTCACAGGTGCTACTGGTGATGTTGAAGTTGGCCACCGTCTGGGCCAGGACCACCCCATTGTAGGGCAGCTGGAAGACTATGAAGACCACGACCACAGCGATGATCACCTTGATGGCCTTGTTGCGCTCAAAGTTGCGTGCCTGGAGCAGGGTGCGGATGATGACAAGGTAACAGAAGCTCATGGCCAGCAGGGGGACCAGAAAGCCGATCACCATCTGGGCCACCTGGATGGTGATAAAGGCCTCCACATGCTCTGTGATGAGAGAGCATCGCATCGCTTGCTCACTGCTGCTCCTCTGGAGGTCACTGTACAGGAGCTCTGGGATGGAGAGCACTGTGGCTAGTATCCAGATGCCCACACAGGACAGCTTGCTGATGAGAAGGACGCGGGCACGGTGGCGGTGAGCTGAGACAGCCTGGACGATGGCCACGTAGCGGTCAATGCTGATGCAAAGAAGTAGGAGCATGCCACTGAAGAAGCTCATCTTGTAGATGGCAAAGATGAGCTTGCAAAAGTGGACACCGAAGACCCAGGACTTGGCCGCGCTGTAGGCCCAGAAGGGAAGGGTCAGGAGGAAGAGGATGTCTGCCACCGCCAGGTTGAGCAGGTAGGTATCGGTCATGGTCTTGAGCCTCTTGAAATAGATATAGGTCAACACGACCAGCCCATTGCCCAGTAGGCCCACGAAACAAATGATGGAGTACATGATAGGGAGGAACCAGGCTTTAAAGTTCCGCACGTCCTTCTTGGAGCACAAAGACTCGAACAAAGTGTAGTCCACTGTGGTGTTGTCTCCGATGTAATCGTCCGTGACCTCATCTTGACACAGGCATACCTTCGGGGAAGGAAATGAGGGAAAACAGGCCAGTTTAGCTGGGTGGCTCCAACTCTGGCTGGGATTTAGCCTAGAGCAGTGGTTTCTTTCTTTTTTTTTTTTCTTGAGACATGGTCTCACTCTGTTGCCCAGGCTGGAGTGCAGTGGTGCAATCATGGCTCCCTGCAGCCTCGGCCTCTCCAGGCTCAGGTGATCCTTCCACTTCAGCCTCCTGAGTAGCTGGGACCACAGCCTTATGCCACCACACCCAGCGAATTTTTGTATTTTTAGTAGAGATGGGATTCTGCCATGTTGCCCAGGCGGGAGGAATAGTGGTTTCATCGTGAGGTCCGCATCATCAGTATCATAGCATCACCTGGGAACTTGTTAGGAATGCAAATTCTCAGGCCCCACCTGAGAATTCTGAACCAGAATCTCAAGTGATGGGTCTAGGAATCTGTGTTTTCCTAAAGTCTCCAGGTGATTCTTTGGTTTTAAATCAGTGCTTCTCAAATTTTAACTCCAATACGCATCACCTGATTAATCCTGTGAACATGTCTATCCTGAATCAGTAGGCTAAGGTGGGGCCTGAGATTCTACAGTTCTGCTAGTAAGTAGCAAGTGGCTGATTTTGCCAAGTCTGAGAGACTCTACATGTGCTGACAGGGGACTGGAAATCAGCTGGGCTCTGGGGCCAGATGAGCCTTGAGCTGGTTAAACTCTTTCTGTCTCTCTCTCTCTCTCTCAGAGCCTCAGTTTTCTCTTCTGTGAAATGGAGATGAATCCTATTTGCTTCCCATGGTTGCTGTGAGGTACCTAGCCCAGGCTCCAGCACCATTTCCTCTCCATGGAGCTTTAATTTTGCCCCCTGGAAGCTCCGTGAGAGAGGGAACATGTGTCTTTCTTCTTGACCCTCCTTTAGAACTTGGTGGAGTTTTCCAGGGGGCTTACAAAAGACCTCAGCTTTAGGGGGAAAATCCACCTGGGGGTCAAGGTTGAGGAGGGCCTGGAGTAAGAAGAGAGGAAGGCAAATGCTCCCATTTTGAGGCCATGAAGCCTTGGGTTTGGGGCAAACTGCTGTGATCATGGGTGGTGGGTGACCTGGAGAGACTCTAGATCCTGGGTCCCCTCTTAGCACCCAGCAGGAGCTCAGGCAACGTGAGCCCAAGTGCCATAAACTCCGTGAATGGATGATGGGCCATGGGGGTGGGGGCGAGGACTCCTCAGCAGCTGTGTCCCTGGAAGGAAGCGCAGCTCTCATCTCCCACTCTCCCTCTGTGCTCCCGCCCTCTCCCCCCACCTCTCTGCCTCTCTCTTCCTCGCATCTCTTCCGGCAGATCCCAATCAGCAGGACTCAGCTGCTGGAGCTTTTTTTAGCCGTCTGCAGGGTCGGGTGAAGGTTCAGCAGCCTGCTGTGATTTTATCAATGAAGGAGGGGGTCCATGCCTGCCCCTGCCTCTGCGCACAGCGATGGACGGGTTTGTGCAGGGCAGGGAGCTGGGCTGGAGGACCTGCCTCACGAGGCTCATGGTTCTATCACCAGGAACCAGATTCAGCAGCTCAGCGACGGTGGGTTTCTATCCATTTATGCTGGAGGGATTCACCGCATCTTGTCTCTATCTCTTTTTCACACCCAGGTTCTGGATTCATCACTGTCCTGCTTGGGAACATGGTGAGGACAAAATGATGTCCAGGAGCCTTTTCTTTGGCCATTGCTAGCCTGAGACGAAAAGTCAGTGGCAACCCCTCTTCCCTTTCCTGGGCATGGCTGCAGCCTGGGAGCCCTGAAGGAGGCTGCTGCCTTTGGCCCAGCCATGGTTACGGCCCAAGGCCTTAGACCCGGGGTCCCTGGACATGAGGGGGTCTCAGCCTTCCTGGAGGGCAGTACTCCCGGCCTCTATGAAGTGCACTCTGCATCATCCAGTCCTGCCTTCCCTTCTCCCCTTGAACCTTGTTCCTGTTTTATAATTCTCCCTCCCCTAGCCTCACTGCCTCTGCAGCCCACAGCCCCACCACATCCTGCCCTATCTGAGCACCCCCTCCCCAAGTGAAAGGGAAGAATGAGCCTCAGCTGTCCTCCTCCCCTTCCCACCCTTCCAGCCTCCACTGCCAGCAATACAGCCCCCCAGAGTCCTGGAGACAGGGGAGAGAGAGGAGGGAGTGGTGATGGGGAAGGGGGCCAGGCTATGGGCTGCAGCCCAGGCTCCGGGGGGCCTCTGGGATGGGGTTTTGGGAACAGTGCCCAGCTTGGGGCCTGCCTCTGGCCTGAGCTTCTGGAAAGCTGCCCCTCTGGCCTCCAGACCTGGGGATGAGCCGAATTCTGAAGCACTGCCTCTCTAGCTCTGGCCTCAGTTGGACTCCCCTACCCCTACTCTGAGCTCCCACCTCTAACAAATGGGAGAAAGTTGACTCTGCGAGTTACAGTTTCTTCTAACTTTGGCACTTGGTGAGGCACACTTTCTGTCTGTTTCTGGATGGAGAAACAGAACTTTGTAAAGTGAGGGTCTTTGTTCCTGCCGAGTTCAGGCCTGCTATAAAGTGTGTGCTCATCCACCCCTCTCCCCATCCCTAGGGCCCCATCCTCTCTTCCCTCCCCTGCCAGGGAGGCCGGATGGGTCTCTATTTCACCAAAGAAAACGGGGGCTGCGAGGGAAGCCTTTGGGTGAAGGTTGGAAAGAGACAACTTTGGGGCGATAGGATAGTAACAAGATCGCCAGATCCAGGGTGATTTTCTCAGCACACGTGCACAAAACCCAGTAACATTTTTTGCTTTTTGCAGCTCTTCTCTCTCTAAGAACTCAGAGTCCATATTTCTGTCTCCTGGGCAGGGAGATTGGAGGTGGGATAGGGAAGGTGGTAAGTTATTTTCCCCCATGTTTTAACCTAAATGGAGTAAAGGAAGTCCAGAGAACATCTGTGGCTCTCCAGGGTCACTCAGCAGATGGTGAGGGGGCAGCCATTAGCTTAATGAGTGGCAGGCGGGCTTATGTCTGGGTCTTGTATCTTCTAGCAAATGCCCAGCTCCTCCACTAAACCCCTGACTTGGGAGGCCGTGTGGAGAAGGGAACAGAGCTTTCCTTGGCAGAGAACCTCACCTGGAAAATGACAAGGAGAGCCACCACCAGCACGCTTTTCATTGGTTTCCCTGTAGGAGACAAGGCGAGAAAGTTATTGCTTGGCAGGGACAAGTCTTTGTTATTAAAGAAAGCAGTGGAGGGGGAGACGCTGTTGGGAACTTTCCTCCCAAGCTCCAGGCACTGTGTTTGCTGAAAGAGAACATCAGAACCAGATTGTGCCTTTGAACACCTGGCCTGCTGCCCGGCATCACTGTCCTCACCTCCTTCTTGTCCTCCTCCACTCCCAGGTCCTGGAAAGAAGCAGCATCAGAATGCAGGGCAGCCCCTCCCACCCCCTGTCTTGGCCCATCTGGGCTGCTTCTTGGAGCTGGGAAGTCTTCTCTAGCCCAGACCACCCCTCAAGACTGAGCTTGGTTGGTGGGTCTGAGTGCCCCCTCCCACTCCACCTGATGTGGGATGAGGCGGCAAAGCTATGAGGTCGTGGGGTAGGTGCACACGTTTCCAGCCCTGCTTTGGTGCTGGTAGCCACTGGCCCAGGAGCATTTTCCTGGCATCCAGGTGAGTGCGCAGCCACACGTGCATGAAGCCAAGCCTGAGTGTCTCCTGAGGGAGGTGGGCTGAGGAAGGAGGATGACCTCACAGGCTGGGTAGAGGGATGAGGTTCCTTACTGGTCCACAGCGATGGAGACTGCCTCAGGGCTCCACCAGCTCCACAACACCCCCTCACTGAAATGACATTCATTCAGCACTGACTGTTGGTCCACTGGGCGCACACCCTTGGCCTGCCTTTGGGACAGAGATCCCTTCCCTTTTATCTTGTGCAGGCCCAGAATTGAGGAGGTGCCCCACAATTGTGTGCTGATGAATATATGAATGATAAATACATGAATGATGAATAAATACATGAATGACAAGTAAACGAATGCCTGTCCTTTTTCCAAGGGAGAGGGCATCAAGATGGCCCGAGAGGACACAGAAGGGATGCTGTCCTGTTGCAGTGTGGGGGAAGGACGCTCTTTCCTGATGTCACGACTTCTTTATTTTTTTGCTTAACTGAAGTGCCTGCACACACTTTCTCTCCTTTAACTTGTTTTCTAACTTAGGCTTGGGGGGCAGGTGAAAGGGGGAACAGGGTCAGCTTTGGGAAGCGACGTGTTCTGGAAGTCAGGAGGCTTCCTGGGGTCTGAGCAGCTGATGGGGACCCCGGTGTAGCACAAGGCCCAGATGTGCTCAGTCTGGTTTTGTGGCTGAGCCTGGGGCCCAGCAGGAACTTATTTCTTCCTGAGGCTGAGCAGGGAGGACAGTTGACAGAGTAATTTGCCTAGATGTTTTAGCTTACCTACAAGTCAGGGCGGCAGTAGCCCTCTTCCCGTATCCTGACCCTCAGGTCCCAGCTAGGTAGGGCCTGGCCCACTGGAGAGTCAGTAACTGCGATGCCACAAGTGAAGGCAGGCCCTTGGCAGCTCCAAGCTCAATAGCGCCAGGAAATGCGTGGGAACCTGTTTAAGGCACCTTCTCCTGGAGGCTGGGGAAGCAGTGAGAGCCCAGCGCTTCCGTGTCCTTGGCCACAGCACCACCTGCTGGAAGCCTCCCTGCATGGCACCCAGGTTGCAGTTGGTTAATGTGTTCCCCGGAAATTGTGTAAAGCCAGGGATTCTGGGCTTGGGAGTTCCTCCGGGAAGGAGAGACTGCATCGGGCTACATAAATAAATAGGTATTTCTCCCGCCTTGAGCAAATAGTCCTGCACACTACTGCTAGACACATCTGCCTAAAGCTTAGCTCTGATGGCAGTCCCCACCTCACCTTCCTCCTAAATCCTCAGGGGCTCTAACCGGCCCTGAGGATGAAGCCCCTGATGCTTGGCCTGGCAGTCCAGTCCTCCGCTGTCCACTCAAAGAGGGCTTCCTAGCTGCATTTTCTATTCTGGGGACAGGCAGCCGCTGTCCCCTCGTTCCCAGCCTGCGCTCGGGCATTTGTAGTCCTGCTGCGATTGGACCCTGTTGCAACAGAGCTCCCCACCGCTCATTCCCCTTTTTCACTGAATTACCCCTTAGCTCCTGAGTTTAAGTCCACGTTTACGCCCAACCACACTCTTCACGGTTCAACGCTCCACCCGCCCTCCACTGACTCATCTAGAGGTCGAGTCTCGAGGTTTCTTTAAAACACGTAAGTGTCTTTCGGTTACTCTAGAGAAAGCCCGCTCTGACTGTCAGGGAGAAATGAGAAACCTCAAAGTTTTGATAAGTCACAACGGGTGAGATCTGAGGAGCAAGAACTGTGTTTCTGTTGAACTCTGTTGATAACCCCTTCTCCCGGACGCTGTCCCACTCCTGCTGTTCCCGTCAGGGGAGGGGAGTTGGGGGAGTGCTGGCGTGTGTGCCTGTGATTTCTCATTCCAGGTGTTTTGGAGGAGGTGGATGAGCAAGGGTCTTGTAGGTCCAAAACAGGTGGCTTTCAAGAAACATCACAGGGAAACTTAGGGGAACTCTTGTATGTGGCAAAAGGGAGCCTGGTCAGTGGCCTTGAGTCAGATCATCCCTGTCTGTTACAAAGTCATAAAGAAACTGGTCTTGGGCAGCAGCTTCAGTGAGACCAATGAAGTTGGGAATCTCTGGGGCTAAGGAGTGGTTGACCTAGATGTTGGGTGTTTTCTGAGTTCTTGAGTTTTCAGTAATGATCATCATGAAAATTCCCTAGAACTCCAACCGGAGCCCCCAACATGAGAGACTGCCCATCCAGGAAAGAAAATTATTGGCTGGCTGCCCCCATCTCCAAACCATGAACTTCCATCCCCACATTTTTCCAGGTCCTCCAGACTGCCCAGGAAATCACAGTTGCCCAATCAGCTCGCCCCAAGAGCGACCCCAAGCTTTTTCCTCTTTGAACTTCCTCACCTGCCAACACAACTTTTCTCTCTCTCTCTTTTTTTTTGGATAAGGGAGGCAGAGGAGAAGCAGGGAGGTGGTGAGAGGTCTAGAGATCTGGGGAATCCACTTTCAGACAGTAGGCAGGGATGGGTGAGAGCCTGGTAGACCTTGCATTTTCTATGTTATCAACTGCTGTATCCAATGAGATAATTCATATTCACTGAGCTCTCACTGCGTGCCACACTGTCTGCATGTATGGTCTCATTTCATCCTCTCAAAAGCCCCATGAGGTAGGCGCTACTATTATCCCCATTTACCAATGAGAAACTGAAACACAGCAAGTAACTTTCTCAGAGTCACACAATGGCCAGCAGGGGAGCAGGCTTTGAAACCCTCCAACTCCAGCAACCACACTCCTAACCATCCTTCTGTGCGGCCACTGGGTCTGTATGTGTCTCTCCCTCATAACATCTCATGAGCTACCCTGGTGATCCTCATCTTAGATTCCAGAAAATAGAGGCCCAGAGAGATTAAGCCAAATGCCTGGGGCCACACAGCTGCTAAGAGAGGGACCTGAGATTTGAACAGGATAGCAAGGTTTGGGCTCTGGCTACTGCATCAGGCTGTGTTTCTGATGAGCCTGCTGCATCTAGGACGCTCCACGGAGCATGAGGGGAATCTTTGCTCCCCATGCCCCACTGGCCACCAGTGCTTCCTGCTTCCATCCCCCAACATCCCGGCCCCCAAAAGAGCCGGCCCCACCTCTGTTCTGACACGGGCTTTGCTGCCTCTTTGCTGCCACAGAACTCCTTCCAAAACACAAATCTCATCCTTTAATTCACCTACTTGAAAAATAAAAATCTTTGATGGGTCCCCATTGTTTTCAGGATAAAGTTCAAATTCCTTAGGGATGCCGTACCACGTTTTAAGGATTGGGTCTCCTGTGCCTGCGTCCTTCCTCCTCATCTTCCTCCTTGGCATGGCCAGCTACTCCACCCTCCCCTCCGCTTGCTTCTTTCTTGTCTCTGTTACTGTTGTCTCAGCTGACCATCTACACGGCTGCAGCCTTAGTCCCCAGGACACTCTGCTTGTCAGCATGGAGTTTTTGAAATAATAGATTTGAATGCCTTTAGGTGGGGCATGCACCCTCTGGGTCACTCTACTCCCCTCCACTTCCTGCACCTTATGCCCATTCCCTCTATTACCTTGTCGGCCTCTGATGGCAATGGAGTTTGCCATTCCTGCCACATCCTGGGCCCATTGCAGCTCCTTGTTGGGCTTGACAACTCCTACACACCCTTGAAAACCCACCTTAAATACCTCTCTGACCCAGGTTCACTATTCCCTTCTTGTCTTGCCCTTGCCCTGGTCAATGCTGTATCTTATTCTGTTGCAGTGGCTTTGTGACATATGTGTCACTCTCCCCACCAGACTGGTCATCCCTGAATCCCTCAAACAATGAGAGTTGCCTGAATGTCCGAAGCAAAGAGGAGAGATTTTTTCCAACAGCGACCCCAGGCTGCAGCGTTCCTCTCCTCCCCAGCCAAGTTTCTGGCAGGCAAGAAACTGGCCCTGAATTAGCTTCAGCATCCCCCTTTGCCACCATTTATGTCCGAGCTGTGAGGCACACATCTCTCATGGGTTCATTTTTTCCTTGCTTTGCTTTTGAGAATTATGAAAGATCTTCGGTCTCATTGCTCGAAGGTGGGGAGGGTGCCTCAGAGCTGCTCATTCAAACCGTGAAAAAGGCCAGCTCAGCCCTGCTTGGGAGTTTTCATTTTGTGTAACAGAAACCCTCCCTCCTCACCCACCTCTTGCTCCTTGCTGGGCAGATGAAGAGCAGAACAACAGATCCTCCAAGGCCCACCCACCCCATCAACGGCCCAGAGAGCCCGTTTTGAGTAAAGCTTGTCAGCGGCTTCCCCTCCTACCAGTATTTCGGGTTTGACCGTTGGGGCTCTCTCAAGTTGAGTGAAGTGGCAAGAATATCCCTTCTTCCTGGACCAGAGATTACCCTCTCTCCCTGCATCAAAGCCTAGGAGTCTAGCACCCCTAAACCTAGTCTGGGGTAAGACACTCTGCACATCTTCCCAACCCCCTGTTCAGTCATGTAGATGGCTTGAAATCAATCAGCCAGGGTGGGAGAATTTACACCATGGAAATTGGCAAGCACTACAAATTCAGGACTTTCCCTCCACCCTGGAGTCAGCTACCAGTGCTCCACCCCGGGGAGCTGCTTTTCAAATGCCCAGTAGCACACCACTGGGCACTGCTTGGTTTCCTTCCTGGAGGCCAGTATGAAAGGCTGGAGCAGGGTCTTCTGTGGGTGACGTCTGTACTGTGGGATTGTGATGGGGGGTGGTGGAGGGGGTGCAGGGGAGTGGGATTTAAGGGTAGATTGGCTGGGAAATGAGGCATTTGGAAGAGATTTTCAAAAACTAAACTCTACGGAGTTCTTGATACGGTGTATTCATTCATTCCGCAGACATTTTCTCCTCACATCCTCAAAGCACCTGAACCTGCCTTTCAGGAGTTCACAGTCAGTGGGTGGGGTGACCACTTTAACCCTTTCACAGCTGTTTGCTGGGTCCAGATCCAGCGTTCAGGGCAGGCGGGAAAGTAAGAGATGAAATCAAGGAGGCTGTGGTGTGGCGAGGAGGGGTGTGAGGACAGCACCAGGGAACCTTCACTTTTTAAAGCCAACCCTTTGCGGCTTTGAGGCCGCCGTGGTGCATTGTTTGCTGGTGAGACAAGCCATCTAGGAACCTGGTCTTCTTAGCCTCAGCCTGGTCTGACTCCACAGCTGAGATTTATAAAGGGGGCGTCTGGAGCTGGATGAACCACTCAGAACACCCTCAGTGCTTCCCCTTGACCCCTTCTAGGTTAGACCTGAGAAAGGGCTTTCTAAAGAGTAGAGTTATCTGCCGGGGCAGAGTGCGTGAGGTTTGCTCAGGGGCAGGGGCTGTGCTGAAGGCCTGGCTATGATTTCTCCAAGCTGAGTGCCCCTTGCCATCCCATTCCATGTTGCCTGCCCGTTCCTTAACTTGCAAGAGGCAACAGCAAAGCCAGATCAAAGCAGGTGGGATGTGCAGCAGAGAGAAAGCAACCAGAGCTTGCATTTGCAATGCACCGCACCATTCTCACAACCCAGTCACGTTTCATTTGCATCTCCTCATGACCCCAAGTGGACAGGTATATGAATAT
Source organism: Homo sapiens (assembly GCF_000001405.40). Classification (NCBI taxonomy): domain Eukaryota; kingdom Metazoa; phylum Chordata; class Mammalia; order Primates; family Hominidae; genus Homo; species Homo sapiens. The sequence continues at coordinate 40,564,947 of NC_000017.11, forward strand.
TTGGCAGGGGAGAAAGGTGGGAATCAGAGAGTGGGTAAAAGGTCCTAAGCTCTCTAGGGAGAATTTCTCTGTTGAAACCTGTCCCCAGAGGTCCCAGAGGGCCTAACCTATCACCCTCATGATGAGAACAGGTTCTGCCAGACCACCAAGCCCAGCCCCGCCACTCTCTTATGTCCCTGCTGTTTTAGAAAGACATGATCTCGGCCCCTCCCTTGTCCCCACTGGCACCAAAGGCTGACCCCTTCTCCAGGTCTGAAAGGGCAGGTGCACCCCTCCTGGGACAGCAGGGGGCATTCTCTGGAAGTAGCTTCCAATGCCCACCAAATCAGAACTGATTTCTCCAGGAAGCACCCCTATGCGCTCCACCCGCATCCTCCACCCCCATTCCACAGGGTCAGTCTGGGTGTCCAAGACCCTGGTACTGTTCCTTCTCACATGAAGAGGCTCACTCACCCAGGTCCATGACGCTCTCTGGGCGGTAAAACCACACAGGAAGGCTGTGCCCGGCCTCGCACTACCCCTGTCTGGGGAGGAAGTGGTTCAAGCCCCTTTTAAGTTGTCGGAGAAGCCACCCTCTTCCCTGCCCCTCCCACCCTTGCTCCTCCCCCCAGCCCTCCCTGACTCATGCAGGGCCCCTTCAATGCCTTCAGAGATAAAGGGGCAGAAGAAAGGTGACAGAGGGTGACAGTCGCTGGTCATAGGATCCTGAATCATTAGGTCATTTACATTCAAAAAGCCCCCTGCGCTGCCTGGCAGAATCTAGATGAGGGGCCATTTACTGATTCAACAAATATTTATAGCATGAATATCACATGCCAGGCCATGGGTTAGATGTTGGGGAGTCAGAGATGTGTGAGAGAAGTGTCCCCATCCTTCCCTTGCTCTGCTCAGTGTCACAGTGGAATATAGTCCCAAATGGCTTTCCCTCTGGCTTCTGGGTAGTTTAGGCCAATGGGAGGCACTGACACATAATGACAGGTAAAAGGGAAGAGATATGCCACGATGTATCTTTTTTCTCCCCCCTTCCCCTCCCCTCCCCTCCCTCCCCTTTCCCTCTTCTCCCCTCCCTTCCTTTTCCTTTCTTAATGACAGCTTTATTGAGCTATAATCCACATCCCATAAAATTTACCTTTTTAAAGTATAGAATTCAATGGTTTTTGTATGTTCACAGAGTTATGCAACCATCACCACAATACATTTTAGAACATTTTTTCTCACTCCCTCTCAAGAACCCTGTAATCACTAGCAATGACTGCTCCCCTCCCCTCCTGTCATCGAAAGCCCCTGGCAACCACAAATCTACTTTCTGGCTCTATAGATTTTCCTATTCTGAACATTTCACATAAATAGAAGTATCAATATGTGACCTTCACATCTGGCTTCTTTCAGTTAGTGTTTTCAAGGTTACCTATGTGGTGGTATGGATCCATTCCCCATTCCTTTTTATGGCTGAATAACATTCCATTGTATGGATATGCCACATTTTGTTTGTCTGTCATCAGTTGGATGTTTGGGCTGTTTTCCCTTTTAGCTATTATGAATGATGCTGCTATAAATATTTATGTGCAAGTGTTTGTGTGGACATATGCTTTATTTCTCTTGGGTATATACCTAGAAGTGAAATTGTTGAGTCATATGGTAATTATATATTTAACATTTTGACGAACTATCAAACTGTTTTCCAAAGTGACTACACCATTTTGTTCCCATCAACAATGCGTGAGGGTTCCACATTGTCAACAAAACTTACTATTGTCCATTCTTTTGATTCTAGCCATCCTAGTGGCTGTAAAGTGGTATCTCATTGTGTTTTTTTTCTTTTTTCTTTTTTTTTTTTGGAGATGGAGTCTTACTCTGTTGCACAGGCTGGAGTGCAGTGGCACGATCTTGGCTTACTGCAGTCTCCACCTCCTGGGTTCAAGTGATTCTCCTGCCTCAGCCTCCCAAGTAGCTGGGACTACAGGCACGTGCCACCATGCCTGGCTAATTTTTGTATTTTTAGTAGAAACGGGGTTTCACCATGTTGGCCAAGCTGGTCTCAAACTCCTAACCTAAGGTGATCTGCCAGCCTCGGCCTCCCAAAGTGCTGGGATTGCAGGCATGAGCCACCATGCCCGGCCTCTTTGTAGTTTTGATATGCGTTTTCCTAATGACTACCTATGCTGAGCATCTTTTCATGCTCTTATTGACCATTTGTATTATTTTTTGAGAAATTTCTATTCAAATCCTTTGCCCATTTAAAAAATTGGGTTATTTATTTTTTATTATTGAGTTGTAAGACTTCTTTATATATTCTGGTTACAATCCCTTATCTGATACATATCTGTAAATATTTTCTCCCTTACTATGGATCATCTTTTCACTTTCTTGATAGCGTCCTTTGAAGCACAAAGGCTTTTTGTTTTTTAAAACCTGAATCTCTGGCAAAAGAAGCGCAAAGTTTTAAATGTGGAGGTTCAATTGATTTATTTTTCTTTTGTCAATTGTGTCTTTGGTGCCATATCTAAGAAACCATTGCATAATTCAAGTATACAAAGATTTATTCGTATATGTTCTTTTAAGACTTTTATAGTTTTAGCTGCAACATTTAGATCTGATCCATTTTGAGCTAATTGTTGCATATGGTGTGAGGTAGGGATCCAGCTTCATTTTTTATATGGATATCTAGTTTTCCCAGCATCATTTGTTGAAAAGACTATTTTTTCCACCATTGAACTGTCTTAGCACCTCTGTTGGAAATCAATTCATCATAAATGTAATGGTTTATTTCTAGACTATCAATTCTATTTTATCAATCTCTGTGTCTGTCCTATGACAGTACCACACTGTCTCGATTACTGTAGCTTTATAGCAAATTTTGAAATTGGGAGTTGTGACTGCTCCAACTTTATCTGTCTTTTTAAACATTGTTTGACTAATCTGCATCTCTCTCTTTTCCATATGAATTTTAGGTTATCAATTTCTGCAATGAAACCAGCTGGGATTCTAATAGGAATTTCATTGAATCTGTAAATCAATTTAGGGAGTATTGCCATTCTAACAAAGTCTTTTGGTCCATGAACATGGGATTTTTTTCATTTATTTAGGTCTTCCTTAATTTCTTTATACTTTTTAGGCTGCAAGTCTTTCACTTCTTTGTTAAATTTTTTCTTAAGTATTTTACTCTTTTTGATGTGCTTGTAAATGAAATTGTTTTCTTAATTTTATTTTCAAAGATGGCCAACTAGAAGCAGGTATGGGGCATGGCTCTCTCAGAGAGGAACAAAGGGGTGGGTACTTCAAAACCTTTATCTGAAACATCCAGATACTTGCATTGGGACTGATTAAGGAATCAGCTCGACCCACAGAGGATAGAGGAAAGCAGGGCAGGGCAATGGCCTACATAGGAGCAACACAGACCCAAAGGAAACCCCCTCCCCTCCCCCCACCAGGGAAGTGGTGAGTGAATGTGCAAACCTGGGGAATGATGCTTCTCCCACCGATCTTTGCAACCTTTGGATCGGGAGATCCCCTGTGAACCCACTCCACCAGGCCTTTGGGTCTTACACACAGAGCTGCATTGGATTATTGGCAGAGCAGCTGCTCAGGCATGCACAGACACCCAGGAGCTTTACATACTCAGGCTCCGGAACCCCAGCAAAGGTGACCGCCATTCAGGCAAGGCAGGAGGTCTGTACATACCCCTAGGAAGGAGGCTGAATCCAGGGAGCTGAGCAGCATTGGTCTGTGGGCCTCACTTCCACAGCACCTCACCAGATAAGACCAACTGGCTTGGAATTCCAGCCAGCCACGGGCAACAGTGTAGCACCTACCTGAGACAAGGTGGAGTTCTGGGGGTGGCTGGGGTGGGGGTGAGGGGCACCACCTTTGCTGTTTGGACGACTCAGCTGTTCCAGCCTGTAGACTTTGGAGAGTCCAAACCCACCAGGTGTGGAAAGGATCCCCCAGCACAGCACAGCTGCTCTGCCAAAACGTGGCCAGACTGTTTTTTTAAGCAGGACTCCTATCCATTCCTCCTCACTGGGTGGGTCTTCCCAAACAAGGCCTTCAGCCACCTCTGCCCATTTTCTACAGCCCATAAAATTTTGATCTCTCCCTGGGACAGGGTGCCTGGATGGTGGAGAGGGCTGCCACCTTTGCTGTTTGGGCATCCCAGCCATTCCAGCCTTTCAGCTTTGGGGAGCTCAAACCAACTGGGGGCTGAAAGGATCTCCCAACGTGGCACAGCTGCTTTACCAAAATATGGCCAGACTGCTTCTTTAAGAGGGTCCCTAATCCATTCCTTCTCACTGGGCAGGACCTCCCAACTGTGGCCTCCAGCCACTCCTGTCGATGTTCTCTGGCTGACAGAGATTTGAAGACTTCCTGGGACAGAGCTCCTCGGGGGAGGGGCAGGCTGCCATCTTTGCTGTTTTGGCGACTTAGCCACACCAGTCTCCAGGCTTTGGAGATCCCAAGCCAACTGGGGATGCAAGTGGTGCCCAGCATAGCATAGTTTCTCTTCGGAAGTGTGGTTAGATTGCTTCTTTCAGTGGCTCCCCAATCCTGTTCCTCCTGACTGGGTGAGACCTCCCAAATGGGGTCTCCGGCCATCTCCTACAGGTGTGTTTAGGCCAGCAATAGGTTCATACCTCCCTGGGATGGAGCTCCCAGGGGAAGGGGCAGGTTGCCATTTTTGCTGTTTCACAGCCTTCACTGGTGATACCTCCAGGTACTGGAAAATCCAAAGTGACTAGAGTCTGGAGGGGACCCTCAGCAAGCCACAGCAGCTTTATGGAAAAGTGGCCAGATTGTTAAAAGAAAAACAAAAGAAACCCCAAAACCCCATCCAAAGGTCAGCAACCTCAAAAATCAAAGGTAGATAAGCCCACAAAGATGAGAAAGAATCAGCATAAAAACACTAAAAACTCAAAAAGCCAAAGTGCCTTCTTCCTTCCAAATGACTGCAGCATCTCTCCAGCAAGGGTTTGGAACTGGGGTAAGGCTAAGATCACTGCAATGAAAGAAGTAGACTTCAGAATGTGGATAAAAATGAACGTCGCTGAGCTAAAGAAGCAAGTTGTAACCCAATGCAAGGAAGCTAAAAATCATGATAAAACAATGCAGGAGCTGACAGCCAAAATAGATATTATAGAGAAGAACATAACTGACCTGATCGAGCTGAAAAACACACTACAAGAACTTCACAATGCAATCAGAAGTATTCATAGAAGAATAGGCCAAGTTCTGCTTAGTCTTCCTCTGAAAGATTCTTCCTCTGAAAGAATCTCAGAGCTTGAAGACTGTCTTTATGAAATAATACGGGCAGATAAGAATAGAGAAAAAGAATGATAAGGAATGAATAAAACCTCCAAGAAATATGGGATTATGTAAAGAGACGGAATCTATGACTGATTGGGGTATCTGAAAGAGATGGGGAGAGTGGAAACAATTTGGAAAACATATTTCAGGATATTTTCCAGGAGAACTTCCCCAACCTAGCTAGACAAGCAAACATTCAAATTCAGGAAATGCAGAGAACCCCAGTGAGATACTCCATGAGAAGATCATTCCCAGGACACATGATCATCAGATTCTCCAAGGTAGAAATGAAAGAAAAAATGTTAAGGGCAGCCAGAGAGAAAGGCTAGGTCACCTACAAAGGGAAGCCCATCAGACTAACAGCAGACCTCTCAGTGGAAACCCTACAAGCCAGAGGAGATTGGGGGCCAATATTCAACATTCTTAAAGGAAAGAAATTCCAATACAGAATTTCATATCCAGCCAAACTAAGCTTCATAAGCGAAGGAGAAATAAGATCCTTTCAGGACAAGCAAATGTTGAGGGAATTCATTACCACCAGACCTGCCTTACAAGAACTCCTGAAGGAAGCACTAAATATGGAAAAGAAAAACTGTTATCAGCCACTACAAGAATACACTGAAGTACACAGACCAGTGACACTATGAAGCAACCGCATAAACAAGTCTGCAAAATAACCAGCTAGCATCATGATGACAGGATTGAATCCACACATAACAATACTAATCTTAAGTGTAAATGGGCTAAATGCCCCAATTAAAAGACACAGAGTGGCAAGCTGGATAAAAAACCAAGACCCATTGGTATGCTATCTGCAAGAGATCCATCTCACATGCAAAGACAGACATAGGCTCAAAAAGACCTTCAAATAGACTTAGACTCCCACACAATAATAGTGGGAGGTTTTAACACCCCATTAGACAGATCATTGAGAGAGAAAATTAACAAAGATATTCAGGACCTGAACTCAGCTCTGGAATATATGGACCTGATAGATCTCTATAGAACTCTCCATTCCCAAACAACAGAATATACATTCTTCTAATCACCACACGGCACTTACTCTAAAATTGATCACATAATCGGAAGTAAAATACTCCTCAGCAAATACAAAGGAACTGAAATCATAACAAACAGTCTCTTGGGCAACAACACAATCAAATTAGAACTCAAGACTAAGAAATTCACTCAAAACAACACAACTACATGGAAATTGAACAACCTGCTCCTGAAGGACTTTTGGGTAAATCATGAAATTAAGGGAGAAATCAAGCAGTTCTTTGAAACTAATGAGAACAAAGATACAACATACCAGAATCTCTGGGACACAGCTAAGGCAGTATTAAGGAGTAAATTTATAGCACTAAATGCCCACATCAAAAAGCTAGAAAGATCTCAAGTTAACAACCTAACATCACAACTAAAAGAACTAGAGAACCAAGGGCAAAGAAGTCCCAAAGCTAGCAGAAGACAAGAAATGACCAAAATCAGAGCTGAATCAAAGGAGATAGAGACATAAAAAAAAAACCATTCAAAATATCAATGAATCCAGGCTGGTTTTTCAAAAAAGTTAATAAAATAGATAGACTGTTAGTTAGACTAATAAAGAAGAAGAAGAGACAACTCAAATAAATACAATCAGAAATGATAAGGGAGATATTACCACTGACCTCACAGAAATACAAACAACCACCAGAGAATATCATAAACACCTCTATGTGCATAGAAAATCTAGAAGAAATGGATACATTTCTGGACACATACACCCTCCCAAGACCAAACCAAGAAGAAATTGAATCCCAGAACAGACTGAAAACGAGTTCTGAAACTGAGGCAGTAATAAACAGCCTACCAACCAAAAAAAGTCCAGGACCAGATGGATTCACAGCTGAATTCCACCAGATGTACAGAAAAGAGTACCATTCCTACGGAAACTACTCAAAAAAATTGAAAAGGAGAGACTCCTTCCTAACTCATTCTGTGAGGCCAGCATCATCCTGATACCAAAACCTGGCAGAAATATAACAAAAAAAGAAAACTTCAGGCCATTATCCTTGATGAACATTGAGCAAAAATCCTCAACAAAATACTGGCAAACCGAATCCAGCAGCACATCAAAAAGTTTATCCACCATGATCAAATTTGGCTTCATCATCCCCTGGGATGCAAGGTTGGTTCAACATATGCAAATCAATAAATGTGACTCATCACATAAACAGAACTAAAGACAAAAACCACATGATTATCTCCATAGATGCAGAAAAGGCCTTTGATAAAATTCAATACCCCTTCATGTTAAAAACTCTTAATAAAGTAGGTGTTGAAGGAATATACCTCAAAATAATAAGAGCCATATATGACAGACTCACAGACAATATTATACTGAATGGGCAAAAGCTGGAAGTAAGCCCCTTGAAAATCAGGACAAGACAAGGTTGCTCTCTCTCATCACTCCTATTCAACACAGTATTGGAAGTTCTGGCCAGGGCAGTCATATTCAGGGAAGAGAAAGGAATAAAGTGTACTCAAATAGGAAGAGAGGAAGTGAAACTATTCCTGTTTGCAGATGACATGATCCTATATCTAGAAAACCCCACTGTCTCAGCCGAAAAGTTTCTTCAGCTGATAAGCAAGTTCAGCAAATTCTCAGGATACAAAATCAGTGTGCAAAAATTGCTAGCATTCCTATACACCAAAAACAGGCAAGCAGAGAGCCAAAGCACGCATGAACTCCAATTCACAATTGCCACAAAAAGAATAAAATACCTAGGAATACAGCTAACAAGGGAAGTGAAGGACATCTACAAGGAGAACTACAAACCACTGCTCAAAGAAATTAGAAATAATGGAAACAAATGGAAAAACATTCCGTGTTCATGGATAGGAAGAATCAGTATTGTGGAAATGACAATACTGCCCAAAGCAATTTATAGATTCAATGCTATTCCCATTAAACTACCATTGACATTCTTCACAGAACTAGAAAAAACTATTTAAAAATTCACATGGAACCAAAAAAGAGCCCAAATAGCCAAGCCAACCCTAAGCAAAAAGAACAAAGCTGGAGGCCTCATGCTACCTGACTTCAACCTATACTGCATGGCTACAGTAACCAAAACAGCATGGTACTGATACAAAAACAGACAGACTTATGGAACAGAATAGAGAACCCAGAAATAAGACTGCACTCCTACAACTACGTGATCTTCAACAAACGTGACAAAAACAAGCAATAGCGAAAGGATTCCTTATTTAATAAATGGTGCTGGGATAACTGGCTAGCCATATGTAGAAAATTGGAACTGGACCCCTTCCTTACAGCATATACAAAAATCAACTCAAGATGGATTAAAGACTTAAATGTAAAACTAAAAACTATAAAAACCCTAGAAGAAAACCTAGGCAATACCATTCAGGACCAAGGCACGGGCCAAGATTTCATGACAAAGATGCCAAAAGCAGTTGTAACAAAAACAAAAATTGACAAATAAGTAAATTAAGGGATCTACTTAAACTAAAGAGCTTCTGTACAGCAAAAGAAACTATCAACAGAGTGAACAGACAACCTACGCAGTGGGAAAAAAAGTTTTGCAAACCATGCATCTGACGAAAGTCTAACATCCAGCATCTATAAAAACTTAAACAAATTTACAAGAAAAAAAAATTAAAAAGTGGGCCAAGGACATGAAAAGACACTTCACAAAAGAAGACATACATGTGACCCAGAATCATATTTTGAAAAGCTCAACACACTGATCATTAGAGAAATGCAAATCAAAACCATAGTGAGAGACCCTCTTATACCAGTCAGAATGGCTATTATCAAAAATTCAAAAAATAACAGATGCTGGTGATGTGGAGAAAAAGGAATGCTTTTACACTGTTGGTGGGAGTGTAAATTAGTTCAACCATTGTGGAAGATAGTATAGAATTCCTCAAAGACCTAGAGACAGAAATACCATTTGACCCAGCAATCCCATTCCTGGGTATATACCCAAAGGAATATAAATTGTTCTATTATAAAGACACATGCACGTGTATGTTTATTGCAGCACCATTCACAATAGTAAAGACATGGTATCAACCTAAATGCCCATCAATGATAGATTGGTTAAAGAAAATGTGCTACATATACATCATGGAATATTATGCAGCCATAAAAAGGAATGAGATAATGTCCTTTGGAGGGACATGGAGGGAGTTGGAGGCCTTTCCTGTGTCCACTGAGACAATTGAGTGTTTTTGCCCTTTATTCTATTAAATATGGTGTATTATATGAATTGATTTTTTTATATTAAACCAACCTTGAATTCCTGGAATAAATCACTTGGTCATGGTATACAATTTTTTTTGTAATGTTTCTGGATTTGGCATGTTAATATTTTGTTAAGAAATTGTGCATCTATCTTATATGTGTCTTATGAGAGATATTGGTCTGTACTTTTCTTGTGATATCTGTATGTGGTTTTGATATTAGGGTAAGTCTAGTTAAATGTTTATCAAACTTATCAATCTTTTTGATATAACAACTTTTGGGTTTGTTAATTTTTCTCTAGTTTTTCCAATTCCATATTTCATTTTTTTCCATTCTAATCTTTATTATTTCCTTCCTTCTGCTTGATTTGGGCTTGGTTCACTATTCTTTTTCTTAAAGTGAAAAGTTTTTTTTTAATTTGGTATCTTTCTTCTTTTAAAAAATACAGGCATTAATAGCTATTAATTTCTCTGTAAGCACTATTTTAGCTGCATCTCATAAGTTTTGGTATGCTGTGTTTTCATTTTCATTCATTTCAAAGTATTTTCTAATTTCCCTTGAGTTCCTTGATTCATTTCCACATACTTATGGATTCTTCAAATTTCCTTCTGTTACTGGTTGTGGTCAGAGAACAGACTTTGTCTGATCTCAATTCTTTTACATTTTTTGAGACTTGTTTTATGTCCTAACAGATGGCCTATCCTGGAGAATGTTCTATGTATATCTGAGAAGAATATGTATTCTGCTGTTGTTGGGTGGTGTTTTATAGATAGACGTTAGGTCTAGTTGGTTCATAGCATTGTTCAAATCTTCTGTTTTCTTGTTGATCAACTGCTTAGTTGTTGTATCTATTATTGAAAGGAGGATATTTAAGTTTCTATTATTGTTGAATTATGTGTTTCTCTTATTTCTTGCTTTATGTGTTTCTCTTATTTCTTTGACAATTCTGTCAATATTTGTTTCATATATTTTTAGGCTCTGTTATTTAGGTGCATATATATTTATAGTTGTTATGTCTTCCTGATGGATTGACTCTTTTTGAAAAATTTTCATCCTTTTTCTTAGAGACAGGGTCTTGTTCTGTCACACAGGCTGGAGTGCAGTGGCACAATCATACTTTACTGCAACCCCAAACGCCTGGCCTCATGCAGCCCTCCTACCTCAGCCTCCCGAGTAGCTGGGACTACAGGTGCATGACACCATGGTTGGCTAATTTATTTAAACAATTTTTTTTTTGTAGAGATGAGGTCTTGCTATGTTGTCCAGGCTGGTCTCAAACTCCTGGCTTCAAATGATCCTCCTGCCTCAGCTTCCAAAAATGCTGAGATTACAGGCATGAGCCACCACACCCAGCCTGGATTGACCCATTTATCATTATAAAATGTCCTTCTTTGTCTTTATAAACAAATTTTGTCTGAAAGTCTATTTTGTTTGATATTAGTCTAGCATTTTTGAATGACATATCTAATATACATACTACTACTTTTTGGGTGTTATATCTTTTTCCATTATTAGAATGTTTCTTTTCTCTATGCTTTCATTGGCATCCCAGCAGCAGCTACAAGTCTTTGATTCCAGAGTCCATCAGCCAGCCCCTACCACTGTGGTACCAGCACTTGATAAGTAACCCCCATCATGGTTCCAGCTCCTGCCCCAGTTTCTGGGTTTTGGTAACATAACCTTCTCCCTGTGTCCCTCCAGCTCTAGGGGTGGTGGCAACTTCCTGCGGTTATTAATCTCTGGGTGGCCTTGCCCTCCCTTGTTTGGCTTCAGCTCTTCCATCACCTGTATAACTGGTTCTCTATGTTAAATTTCTTCTGTTTGGAATACCTAGAGTGGCTCTTGTTTGCTTTGACTCTGATTGATACAAGGTGATTACTGTCCCCAAGGAGTTTAAGTTATAGAAGAAGTTAAGGTTAGATCATACCCCTGTTGTCAACGGTTATTATGGTCAAGAGCAAGTCTGACATGGCACTCGACTTCAAACAAGGGAAGGAAACCGAAGATTGCACGGGGCTGATAGCAAGACAGACAAGCAGGTAGAATAGCTTTCATTCTCTCTAAACTTATAAAAAACATTCCATTGGGGTGTAATGCATGAGCCTAGCTCTTTGGCAGCTGCCAGTGTAGTTTTGGGTAAGTTTCTTGCTCTCTCTAGGCTTCATTGTTCTCAAGTGTAAAGTGAGGTGATTAGACAGCCTAGAAGGACCTAAGCTTTGGCCTTCTGAGACTGAAGTCTGGGACCTTCCCCTGGCACCCAGCCCCTTGCTTAGCCATTCTCCATTATTCCCAATTGCCCAAATGAAGGCATGAGAAATTCTTGCCAAAATTTTGCTTCAGCCCAAAGGTTTTGGTTGCCCTTATCACCGGCTTTTGGAGCAGATTCACTTTTAGGGATATCAGCAATCTCTGGAACTAGGTGGAAGGACTCTAAGAGGTTATACATTGGCAGGTGTGTTGGTAAGAAAGGTCAGGGCAACTTCAGTTTGGAACTATTTCAGAAGCTTTCTGCTGGAGTCCTTTTCCATGTGCCAGATGCACCTTAAAAAATGAGTTTAGGCTGGTGGCTCACACCTTTAATCCTAGTACTTTGGGAGGCCCAGAAGGGAGGATCATTTGAGGCCAGGAGTTTGAGATCAACCTGGCCAGCAGAGTGAGACCCTGTCTCTACTAAAATATAAACAACTTAGCTGGGTGTGGTGGTGAGCACCTACAGTCCTAGTTACTTGGGAGGCTGAGGTGGGAGGATTGCTTGAACCCAGGAGTTTGAGGCTGCAGCAAGCTATGATTGTGCTACTACACTCCAGCCTGGGTGACAGAGTGAGACTCTGTCTAAAAGAATAAAAATAAAAATAAAAATGAGCTTAATGCCAGACCTGTCTGTATTTCAGTCCTGCCTCTCCTATAACTTCTAGGTGACCTTGGGCAAGTCACTTCTCTCTGGTTCTTGGATGCCCATCCGAAAAGCAATAGGATTAGACCCTACAAACTCTAGGCTTCTTTCTCAGGATAATCTTTTTTATCCATGAGAATTTTCTTGGTTCTTTAGCTAGCATAGACTCCCCACAGAAGGTCCCAGAGGAATAAGAGTTTATGAACAGACTAGAACTGGAGAGTTCGTGGCAGATGTGCCAGGTTGTCAGGGGGATAAAGGGCCGCTCCTTGGTTCTGATTTCCTCAGCAGCCTGTGCTTGATGCCAAGTGGTGTTGTCCAACCCAGACCTGATTCCTCCCTTGACTGTCCTCCGACCTTCCAATTCTAGCTGCATGGACATTGCACACTTGGTCTCAGGAGACTCCAGTTTCAGTTTCTTAGCTGGTTCTCTGAGTGAGGTGATGGGGAATCCCTAGCATTTCTTAGTACTGATTGTGAGCTTCCCCTCTGCATGTTAGCATGCAGTTCGTGACGATTCACTACAAATCTGCTCTTTATGGAGGGAGAGTATAGGGGGAGCCCAGTATCACTTTCCAAATCCTACCCATCCTTTGAGGCCCAGGCAGGCCCTACCTATACCACAGTTTGTCCTCTGAACTCTGAGAGCACTTAACTTCAGGGACACCCAAATTGACATTTACATCAAGGGCATGTGAATTATTTTCTATTTTAGAATAGAGTTTGTACTTCTTGAAAATAATATTGTACCATGTAGCTCTTTTTGGTAATCTTTGCATTGCCTTGAATAGTGCTGATTTTAAAACTAGATTTTAAAATATAATTTGGCATAGTTCAATAAGTCTGGGTTTCATGTGCTGTCTTCTCTATCCCAGGAGATTCTGTCTCATGTTATTGTTAAGAGCATGTGTGGCATGCCTAGCAAGAAACCTGAAGCCAGCTCCTTGAGATTGCTCCCTCTTTCACTCTGGAGATTCCTAAAAGTCAATGCAAGAATTCTAGAAAGGAGCCCCTGATGGATGCCAAGGGTGTCATTTGAATGGGCACCATTGTTGCTGGAGAGGATGTGGAGAAATAGGAACACTTTTACACTGTTGGTGGGACTGTAAACTAGTTCAACCATTGTGGAAGACAGTGTGGCGATTCCTCAAGGATCTAGAACTAGAAATACCATTTGACCCAGCAATCCCATTACTGGGTATATACCCAAAGGATTATAAATCATGCTGCTATAAAGACACATAAACACATATGTTTATTGCGGCACTATTCACAAGAGCAAAGACTTGGAACCAACCCAAATGTCCATCAATGACAGACTGGATTAAGAAAATGTGGCACATATACACCATGGAATACTATGCAGCCATAAAAAAAGATGAGTTCATGTCCTTTGTAGGGACATGGATGAAGCTGGAAACCATCATTCTGAGCAAACTATCGCAAGGACAGGAAACCAAACACCGCATATTCTCACGCATAGGTGGGAATTGAACAATGAGAACACTTGGACACAGGGTGGGGAATATCACACACCGGGGCCTGTAGTGGGGTTGGGGGAGGGGGAGGGATAGCATTAGGAGATATACGTAATGTAAATGATGAGTTAATGGGTGCAGCACAGCAACATGGCACGTATACATATGTAACAAACCTGCATGTTGTGCACATGTACCTTAGAACTTAAAGTATAAAAAAAAAAAAAAGAATGGGCACCATTGTGTCCAAGGTGTGCTGTGGATATAGTTTGTGTCATAAGTGAAGGAGAGCTCTCTGAGTTCATGTTCTCCAATTGGAGTGCCATGGACACTTCAAAGTATCTGTCCAAAGAACATGTTCATAAGAGATGCCAAAAAGCACTGTGCTTGTTTATATCCGGGGCATCTTTGGGCCACTTGGTCTTTAGTCTTCCAAAGACTGATTGCCTTATGGAAGTAGAGACTGTTCAACATGGAATACTTAATAAGCAGGTGCTTAATAAACATTTGATTGATTGATGAAGGGACTTTAAACTTTTCCAAAGATGCTACCGCTCCCTTTACCCCTGTCTGGAGAATGCCTTTCTTCCTTACTTTCAAATTTCCTTTGTTGGACACTGACTGCAGATCCTGGTATCGGCAGTAGCTTGAGTATCATGGCAGAGCAGAGAACATCTTGCTCCTAAGGAATGGACTCTAGGGTACCTGTTTTCACCTGCAGTGTTGTCATTTATTCATTCAACAAATATTTAGTGAACACTATGTGCCAGGCGTGGTGCTGGACTCTACAAATACAAAGATGAACACACATGGTCCCTGGCCTTGCCAAGTTTACATAAAGCACTGTGGGTGTATTACTGTGCTCCGGATGCTGTACCAAAATACCACAGGCTGAATGGCTTAAGGTCCAGCAGGGTTGGCTTCTGGTGAGGGCCCTCTTCCTGGTTTGCAGATGGCCACCTTCTCCTTCTTGCTATGCCCTCACATAGCCTTTCCTTGGTGCATGTGTGAGGGGAGAGGGAGGGTGTTCTCTGGGGTCTCTTCTTATAAGAACACATCTTATTGGATCAGAACCCCACCTTTATGCCCTCATTTAACACTAATTATATCCTTAGAGGTCCTATCTCCAACTGCAGCCATATTGGGGGTTAGGGCTTTAACATATGCATTTAGGGGGGACATAAACATTCAGTTCATAAAAATGAGGCACATGAACAAATGAAAAAGCAATTACCTGTAAGCAGTAAAAGCATAAAAACAAGCAGGAGGTAGTATACACTAAATTTAGGATGGGGAGGGAAGGGGATGCAAAGAGAGAGAGGTATGCAGGGGCTTAAACTGGTATTTGCTATATCTACTGGTAATGATTTGTCTTCATTCAAGACCTACAAAAGTCTTCATTGTATTATTCTTTACACCTTTAAGTATTAATTATTTCACAATATTTAAAAAATAATAGAAGACACTATTATTGTGCAATGTAGTAAGAGGTAACTAGGGGGGCATGCTCAACATGCTGTAGGAGCACATAGAAGGGGAATCAGGAAGGGTATAAAAAAGATGGCATCTACAGAGGAGTAGAAGGGGCCCAGGTGCAGGGGGAAGGCAGTGGTGAGTGGTCAGTAGAAGGACCAAGGCCAGGCTGGGAGTGGTGGTCCATGCCTGTAATCCCAGCATTCTGGGAGGCCAAGGTGGGAGGACTGCTTGAGCCCAGGAGTTTGAGTGTAGTCTGGGCAACATGGTGAAACCTCATCTCTCCAAAAAAATCCAAAAATTAGCCGGGTGTGGTGGCGTAGGCCTGTAGTGCCCTCTACTTGGAAGGCTGAGAGGCAGGAGGATTGCTTGAGCCTGGGAAGTCAAGACTGCAGTGAGCTGTGATCAAGCCACTGCACTCCAGCCTGGGCAACAGAGCAAGGCCCTGTCTCAAAAAAAAAAAAAAAAAAAAAAAAATTACCAAGGCCAGAAGTCTTGCCGGGCTGACCTCAGCAAGCTTACTTTCTCTGAGTTGCTTAATTTGGGAATTCAGAAGACAGGGTGAGCTATACTGTTTAACTTGGCTTTTGGGGTGATGTGGCCTGTGGGGCCAATGTCTGGCCTTTTTTGCCTGCTCAGTGGTGTGGCTGTGTTTGGCACGTGAATTATGTTTGACTTTGGCCATGTCTTTGAAGGCAATCTCTCTTTGCTGCTGTGGCATCTAGAACAGGTGGTGTTTACAGCGTTTCCCAGAATTGCCTGCTTCCTAGGACTTTACCTATCCATTTGTCCCTCTATTCATTCATCCAGCATCCATTCACTGAGCACCTACTCTGCCAGGTATTAGGCCAGGTGCTAGGGCTTGAAGGCCCATCAACCTAGTCCTGGGCCTTGAGGAGCTTGACAAGCAATGGAAAATAGCATGGGCATCCACATCTCCAAGCACATCCTTATACCTCATCTCATTTAGCCCTCGGGCTGCCCTGTGTGGCAGGTTTCCATTCTATGATTGAGGAAGCTGAGACTTGAAAGGAAAGTGACTTGATATTTGACTCTAAGCTAAGGGGCTTTTCCCACTATGCCAGGCTGCCTTTACTGATGTTGGGCATGGTCGGAAGAGCTCAGACCACGGCTGCCCCCTCTCTTCCTGGGAAAGACACCCTCAGACAGGTCTTTACATCCCATCCTGTTTTACGAAGGTTTCTGAGAATGAGCAGGGAGAAGGACCTACAAGTAACCTTTATAGTCATTCAGTCCAACCACCTCACTGATGACTTGGTTACCCAGAGGATAAAGAAAAGCTTAGCTTACCAGAAACTCCAGCCCCTGTTATTATGAAAAAGAACAGGACAAGTCTTGAGACCCCTAGAGGAGGCCTCTGATCTGGAGAGAATCGACAGAGGAGCCAGACCCAGAGTCCCCTGGAGGGAGCCAGGTCTGCAGAAGCTCAGAAACTCAGTCCTGCCTTTCTTGCATATGGAGTCCATGGTCATAGTAGCAGTGTCCTGGCTCTACCCAGAGTGTCCAATGGCTTCCTGTCCCTCTGGACTTGTCATTTAGTGGGCAAAGTCCAAGATCACACCTCTCACTCCTGCCCCCACCTCTTGCCCCTGTTTTATCTCACTTGGGAATAATCTGTTCCCATGTGAAGCCAACGAAAATGAGCCTCCACCAGTGTGGGGTAACCCAACAGGCAGATTTGGTATGGACACAGGGCCCCAGCCAGATGAAGACATCCCAAAGTTGAGAAGAGTTCAGTAATCAGAAAATCTAAAAAGATGCTCTTTTAATTTCAGCACACATGTACATTTTGTGTTGTCTGGTGAGTATTAGGAATTATATTTGGAGAGAGACTGCAATCTTTATAGGGTTCAGGGCCTTTTAAGGTCTTACTCGGACCTTGGACAACCAAGAGGGAAAGGGCCAACAGGTGTGAGGAAAATAAGTTGTGAGGCTGCAGGGAGGAAGAGGATGGCTCACCAGGATGAAGAAAAGGGAAGGAGAGGAGCTCTCAGTGGTGCAATTGGTTAGCGTGTGGCACTTACATGAAAAGGGAAGGAGGGCTTGGCACAGGCTAGCGGGAAGCCTCAGGTCACCCTGACACCTGTTGCCATGGCCCGGCGGCGGTTTCCTGACTTGTCAGGACGTGTGCACAGAGAGAACAATGGGTTTGCCTTGACAGGAAGATGCTTCCTGTTTTGCTGCATGGGTTCATTGTTGGGCATTAAGAGGGAGGGGTCTATGTGTCTGTGTTTTTCGTGTTGCCAAAAGCTCTCTGAGGGGAGAAGTGGGGGTGAGTGAGGACGGGGGTCTGAGGAAAGGTGAAAGGGAAAGGAAGGGAGCAGTTATTCTTCCAGAATTGCTCAGCCAAACCTCACGCCATTCTAGTTTCAGCCAACCAGAGAGGGTGGGGCTGGCCCTGCTGTCCTACTGTCCCCAAGAGCTCTAAGCCCAGAGCTTTTGTGCATGACTGAGGGCTGCCCAGAATCCCTCCTTTTGTTCCCCAGTGAGACCCGGTGGTGACCTTTATCTTGGCAAGGTGGCAAGGGCGACAGGAAACTTGGACTGAAATAACCTCTGTGGTGAAAGCAGGGGTGGGAAATGTTGAGGCTGGTCTCATGGCGAGTGATAAATTAGACATCCAAGATGCCCACTCCCCACCTCCAGCCTGCCCATTGCTGGGCCAACCCTGCACATTCACAACCGAAATTGTACATTTTTAAAATTTATTTTTTATTCTTTTTAAAAAATTTTCCATACGTTATTGGGGTACAGGTGATATTTGGTTACATGAGTAAGTTATTTAGTGGTGATTTGTGAGATCCTGGTGCACCCATCACCCGAGCAGTATACACTGCACCATATTTGTTGTCTTTTATCCCTTGCCCCTTCCTGCTCTTCTCCCCAAGTCCCCGAAGTCCATTGTATCATTCTTATGCCTTTGCGTCCTCATAGCTTAGCTCCCACATGTCAGTGAGAACATACAATGTTTGGTTTTCCATTCCTGAGTTACTTCACCTAGAATAATAGTCTCCAATCTCATCCAGGTCATTGCAAATGCTGTTAATTCATCTCTTTATGGCTGAGACTAATCAGATGGAATACTATTCCATTATACATATATATACTACAGTTTCTTTATCCACTCGTTGATTGATGGGCATTTGGATTGGTTCCATGATTTTGCAACTGTGAATTGTGCTGCTATAAACATGTGTGTGCAAGTATCTTTTTCGAATAATGACTTCTTTTCCTCTGGGTATACCCAGTAGTGGGATTGCTGGATCAAATGGTAGTTCTACTTTTAGTTCTTTAAGGAATCTCCACACTGTTTTCCTTAGTGGCGTACTAGTTTACATTCCTACCAGCAGTATAGAAGTGTTCCCTGATCACTGCATCTCTGTCAACATCTACTGTTTTTTGATTCTTTGATTATGGCCATTCTTGCAGGAGTAAGGTGGTATCGCATTGTGGTTTTGATTTGAATTTCCCTGATCATTAGTGATGTTGAGCATTTTTTCATGTTTGTTGGCCATTTGTATATCTTCTTTTGAGAATTGTCTATTCATGTCCTTAGCCCACTTTTTGATGGGATTGTTTGTTTTTTTCTTACTGATTTGAGTTTGTTGTAGATTCTGGATATTAGTCCTTTGTCAGATGTATAGATTGTGAAGATTTTCTCCCACTCTGTGGGTTACCTGTTTACTCTGCTGACTGTTCCTTTTGCCATGCAAAAGCTCTTTAGTTTAATTAGGTCCCAGCTATTTATCTTTGTTTTTATTGCAATTGCTTTTGGGGTTTTGGTCATGAAATCCTTGCCTAAGCCAATGTCTAAAATAGTTTTTCCAATGTTATCTTCTAGGACTTTTACAGTTTCAGGTCTTAGGTTTAAGTCCTTAATCCATCTTGAGTTGATTTTTGTATAAGGTGAGAGATGAGGATCCAATTTCATTCTCCTACATGTGGCTAGCCAATTATCCCAGCACCATTTGTTGAAAAGGGTGTCCTTTCCCCACTTTATGTTTTTGTTTGCTTTGTTGAAGACCAGTTGGCTGTAAGTATTTGGGTTTATTTCTGGGTTCTCTATTCTGTTCCATTGGTCTATGTGCCTATTTTTATACCAGTACCATGCTGTTTTGGTGACTATGGCCTTATAATATAGTTTGAAATCAGGTAGTGTGATGCCTCCAGATTTGTTCTTTTTGCTTAGCCTTGCTTTGGCTATGTGGGCTCTTTTTTGGTTCCATATGAATTTTAGAATTGTTTTTTCTAACTCTGTGAAGAATGGTGGCAGTATTTTGATGGGGATTACATTGAATTTGTAGATTGCTTTTGGCAGTGTGGTCATTTTCACAATATTGAGTCTACCTATCCATGAGCATGGCATGTGTTTCCATTTGTTTGTGTTGTCTGATTTCTTTCAGTAGTGTTTTGTAGTTTTCCTCGTAGAGGTCTTTTGACTCCTTTGTTAGGTTATTCCTAAGTATTTTATTTTTCTTGGAGCTATTGTAAAGCTATTTATTTTTCTTGGAGCTATTCTTGAGTTCTTGATTTGATCTCTGCTTGGTCATTGTTGGTGTATAGAAGAGCTACTAATTTGTGTATATTAATCTTATAATTGGAAACTTTGCTGAATTCTTTTATCAGTTCTGGAGGAGTCCTTAGGGTTTTCAAGGTAAACTATCATATCATCAGCAAACAGGGACAGTTTGACTTCCTCTTTGCTGATTTGGATGCCCTTTATTTCTTTCTCTTGTCTGATTGCTTTGGCTAGGACTTCCAGTACTATGTTGAAGAGGAGTGGTGACAGTGGGCGTCCTTATCTTGTTCCTGTTCTCAGAGGGAATGCTTTCAACTTTTCCCCATTCAGCATTATGTTGGCTGTGTGTTTGTCATAGATGGTTTTTATTACATTAAGGTATGTCCCTTGTGTGCTGATTTTGCTGAGGGTTTTAATCATAAAGCGATGCTGGATTTTGTCAAATGCTTTTTCTACATCTATTGAGATGATCATGTGATTTTTGTTTTAAATTCTGTTTATGTGGTGTACCACATTTATTGACTTGCATATGTTAAACCATCCCTGCATCCCTTGTATGAAACCCACTTGATCATGGTGGATTATCTTTTTGATAGGTTGTTGGATTCGGTTAGCTAATATTTTGTTAAGGATTTTAGCATCTGTGTTCATCAAGAATATTGGTCTTAGTTTTCTTTTGTGGTTGTGTCCTCTACTGGTTTTGGTATTAGGGTGAGGCTGGCTTCATAGAATGAATTAGAGAGGGTTCCTTCTTTCTCTATCTTGTGGAATAGTGTCAAGAGGATTGGTACCAATTCCTCTTTGAATGTCTGGTAGAATTCTGCTGTGAATCCATCTGGTCCTGGACTATTTTTTGTTGGTAATTTTTATTTATTTATTTATTTTTGAGACAGAGTCTCCCTATGTTGCCCAGGCTGGAGTGCAGTGGCATGATCTCAGCTCACTGCAAGCTCTGCCTCCTGGGTTCACGCCATTCTCCTGCCTCAGCCTCTCCGAGTAGCTGGGACTACAGGTGCCTGCCACCACGCCCAGCTAATTTTTTGTATTTTTAGTAGAGACAGGGTTTCACTGTGGTCTCGATCTCCTGACTTCATGATCTGCCCGCCTTGGCCTCCGAAAGTGCTGGGATTACAGGCATGAGCCATCACGCCTGGCCTTTGTCAGTAATTTTTAAAGTAACATTTCAATCTTGCTGCTTGTTATTGGTCTGTTCAGGGTGTCTAATTCTTCCTGATTTAAGCTAGGAAGGTTGTATTTTTCCAGGAATTTATCCATCTCTTCTAGATTTTCTAGTTTCTGTGCATAAAGGCATTTACAGTAGCCTTGAATGATCTTTTGTATTTCAGGGTGTCAGTTGTAATATCTCCTGTTTTGTTTCTCAGTGAGGTTATTTGGATTTTCTCTCTTCTTTTCTTGGTTAATCTTGCCATGGTCTATCAATTTTATTTATCTTTTCAAAGAACTAGGTTCTTGTTTCATTTATTTTTGTATTCTTTTGTTTCAATTTCATTTAGTTCTGGTCTGATCTTGGTTTTTTCCTTTCTTCTGCTGGGTTGGGGTTTGGTTTGTTCTTGTTTCTCTAGTTCCTTGAGGCATGACCTTAGATTGTCTGTTTGTGCTCTTTCAGACTTTTTGATGTAGGCGTTTGGGGCCATGAACTTTCCTCTTAGCACCGCCTTAGCCATATCCCAGAGGTTTTGATAGGTTGTATCATTATTGTCACTCAGTTCGAGGAATTTTTAAATTTCCATCTTGATTTCATTTTTCATGCAATGCTTATTCAGGAGCAGGTTATTTAATTTCCATGTATTTGCATAGTTTTGAAGGTTCCTTTTGGAGTTGACTTCCGGTTTTATTGCATTATGGTCTGAGACAGTGCTTGATACAATTTAAATTTTCTTAAATTTATTGAGGCTCATTTTATGACCTATCTTATGGTCTATCTTGGAGAAAGTTCCATGAGCTATTGAATAGAATGTGTGTTCTGTGGTTGTTGGATGAAGCATTCTGTATATATCTGTTAAGTCCATTTGTTCTAGGATATAGTTTAAATCCATTGTTTCTTTGTTGACTTTCTGTCTTGATGACTTGTCTAGTGCTGTCAGTGGAGTATTAAAGTCCCCCACTATTATTGTGTTGCTGTCTATCTCATTTCTTAGACTATTAGTAATTGTTTTATAAATTTGGGAGCTCCAGTGTTAGGTGCATATATGTTTAGAATGTGATATTTTCCTGTTGGACAAGGACTTTTACCATTATATAATATCCCTTTTTGTCTCTTTTAACTGCTGTTGCTTTAAAGTTTGTTTTGTCTGATATAAGAATAGCTACCCCTGAACACTTTTGGTGTCCATTTGTGGTCACCAGTGGTGAGAAATACCTTTTCCCACCACTTTAAGTTTATGTGAGTCCTTATGTGTTGGTGAGTCTCCTGAGGGCAGCAGATAGTTGGTTGGTGAGTTCTTATCCATTCTATGGTTCTGTATCTTTTAAGTGGAGCACTTAGGGTATTTGCATTCAATGTTAGTATTGAAATGTGAGGTACCATTGCATTCCTCATGCTCTTTGTTGCTTGCGTACTTTGTTTTCTGTTTATTTTTGCTTTTTAACTTGTATTTTTGTTTTATATGTCCTGTGTGATTTGTGCTTTAAAGAGATTCTGTTTTGATGTGTTTCCAGGATTTGTTTCAAGATGTAGAGCTTCTTTTAGCAGTTCTTGTAGTGGTGGCTTGGTAATGATGAATTCTCTTAGCATGTGTTTGTCTGACAACAACTGTATCTTTCCTTCATATATGATGCTGGGTTTTGCTGGATACAAAATTCTTGGCTGATAATTGTTTTGTTTGAGGAGGCTGAAGATAGAGTCCCAGTCCCTTCTAGCTTGTAGGATTTCTGCTGAGAAATCTGCTGTTAATCTGATAGGTTTGTTTTGTTTTGTTTTTTAATAGGTTACCTAGTGCTTCTGTCTCATAGCTCTTAAGATTCTTTCCTTTGTCTTCACTTTGGATAACCTGATGACAATGTGCCTAGGTGAAGATCTTTTTGTGATGAATTTCCCAGGTGTTCTTTGTGCTTCATGTATTTGTATGTCTAGGTCTCTAGAAGGCCAGGAAACTTTTCCTTGATTATTCCCCCAAAACATGTTTTCCAAGCTTTTAGAATTGCCTTCTTCCGCAGGAACACCGATTATTCTTAGGTTTGGTCATTTAACATAATCCCAAACTTCTTGGAGTCTTTATTCATATTTTCTTATTCTTTTTTTTTGTCTTTGTTGGATTGGGTTAATTTGAAGAACTCGTCTTCGAGCTCTGAATTTCTTTCTTCAACTTGTTCAATTCTATCGCTGAGACTTTCCAGAGCTTTTGCATTTCTAAAAGTATGTCCAAAGTTTCCTGAATTTTTGCTTGTTTTTTCTTTAAGGTGTCTATTTCCTCTAATATTTCTCCCTTCACTTCTTGTATCATTATTTGGATTTCCTTGCATTGGACTTCGCCTTTCTCTGGTCCCTTCCTGATTAGCTTAATGACTAACCTCCTGAATTCTTTTTCAGGCAAATCAGGGATTTCTTCTTGGCTTGGACCCATTGCTGGTGGACTAGTGTGATTTTTGGGGGGTGTCGATGAACCTTGTTTTGTCGCATTACTGGGGTTGGTTGTCTGGTTCCTTCTCATTTGGGTAGCCTCTATCAGAGGGAAGGTCTAGGGCTGTTGAAGGCTGTTGTTCAGATTTTTTTGTCCCACAGGGTGTTCCCTTGATGTAGTACTTTCCCCCTTTTCCTGTGGATGTGGCTTCCTGTAAGCCAAACTGCAGTGATTGTCTCTCTTCCGGGTCTAGCCACTCAGCAAGTCTACCTGGCTCTGGGCTGGTACTGGGGATTTCTGCACAGAGTCCTGTGATGTGAACTGTCTCTGGGTCTCTCAGCCGTGGATACCAGTACCTGTTCTGGTGGAGGTGGCAGGCTGTGCAATGGACTCCATGAGGGTTCTTAGCTTTGGTGGTTTAATGCTCTATTTTTGTGCTGGTTGGCCTCCTGCTAGGAGGTGGCACTTTCCAGAAAGCATCAACTGTAGTAGTGTGGAGAGGGACTGGCGGTAGGCGGGGCCCTATAACTTCCAAGATTATATGTCTTTTGTCTTCCATTAACTACCAGGGTGGACAGGGAAGAACCATTGGGTGGGGGAGAGGCTAGGCATGTCTGAGCTCAGACTCTCCTTGGGTGGGTCTTGCTGTGGCTGCTGTAGGGGATGAGGGTGACATTCCCAGGTCACTAGAGTTATGTACCTAGGAGGATTATGGCTGCCTCTGCTGAGTCATGCAGGTTGTCAGGGAAGTGGGGGAAAGCCAGCAGTCACAGGCCTCACCCAGGTCCCATGCAAACCCAAGTGCTCACTCCCACCGTGCCTCCCCCTACAGCACCGAGTCTGTTTCCAGGTGAAGGGCGAGATGGGCTTGAAAACTTGCCTGAGGCTTTTTACCTCCCAGAGTATTTGGGTTGTCTCCTGGGTCTTGCAGGAGCAGTCCGCTTCCTTCAGAGGGTTTGTGGGTCCTCTCAGGGTGGCTGGTTTGTTCTTGCAGTTGATCTGGAGCTAAAATTCACAATGCAAACCTCCACATGGCTGCTCTGTCCAGAGCTGCAATCTAGTCCTGCCTCCCATCCGCCATGATTCCCACTTGGATTGAAATTGTCCATTTTAAACATGATTAGAAAGCCCAGGTATCTTGATGCTCATTGATCCTGAGACCATCTGTTGCAGTGAAAACGTGTGTGGGGTTCCAGTCTTGGCTCTGCCAGCCAAATTTCCATGAGGCCCTTTTCTCCTGGTTCCTTATCTGGGGATTGAACCAGATGATCTTGTCTGTCCTCTCTGGTCTCACATTTGGGGATTCCATTGATCATCTCCTAGTGGGACTGTGGCCTCAGAGAAGCTTAGGTTATGCACATTTAGGAAATCCCAGTAGAGCTTTGGTCAGAAAGAAAAGATGGGTGAAAGGTGGAGTCCTGAAACCCTCCTGTTCCTCCCCATACAACTGTTTAAGGAGACCATATCTATTTCATCCTCCTCTTGTGCTTTTAATGGCATTCAAAGCCCTTCTCTATCTGGCCCAGTTGACATCACTGACCTCAATCTCTCTACTCCCCCACTGTAGCTACTTTGTGCTCCAGCCATTCCGAGTGACCTGTGGGTTCCCTAAAAGCATTGTGCACTTTCATTTTTCTGGGATTTTCCACATGCTCTTCTGTCAGGCTAAGGTGGCTCCAGCTCCTTCTCTCCCGTGTCACACTCTAACTCATTATTCAAGACCCAGCTCAAATACTCTCACCTCCTGAAGAATTCTTGAAGTCCCTGAACCCACAAATGCTGTTCACACTGCTAGGATAGCACCTCTTAGTCAAATTTGTATCATGGGCATGCATGCATTTTTCTCCCTCTATCAGCTTACCATTACGTGGCATCTTATTTATTTCTTACATATTTAACACAGTACCTGGCATATTCTTGGTGCTCAGCCAAAGAGTGCTAAGTTAAAATGAAGGATATTTCTGTTGATTTGACCCCAAACAGGCTACACTCAGAGTGCATAAAATAGTGGCCACTCTTTGAGTTGAGTTGGATCTGATAATTAATTGGTTTAGATCCAGTTAGAGGCCTTTTATGTCTGCCTGGGTTAGACAGAAACTGATAGTAAATGGAAATATTGCAAGGGGTGTAAATTTCAGCTTTTGGAAATTTGCAAGGATTTTTATATTCTACCTTCTTTATTTCTTTTTCCCTTGTGTGCTTAGGTAGGGAAAAATCATTGGCTAGGTTGATCAAGGGGATCCTCAAATTTCAGTATCAGTCTTAGCTTTCATGTAATGCTCATGAGGTCCTTGCTGTGGGGAAGTTCTCAGGCTGCGCAAGGCACCACAGCCCAGGATTCAGGGAGCTCCCAGAGTGATAGGCAGGCCACCAATGTCAACGCTCTTACATACTGTTTGAGGATTAACTGGAGCTAATACTTATTCAGCACCTACTGTATACCAGACCCTGAATCACCTCATTTAATCTCACAACAACCCTGCAAGTTAAGCAGCTGTGATGTCCATTCTACAGATAAGAAAATGGAGACTCAGAGAAGTTAAGAACTTCCCCAAAGGACGCTCATAGCTAGTTGCAGCAAACCAGGAATGGAACTCCCCCATCCATCCTCTTTCCCCCATACCACACTAGTTGATAAGCAGGAATGCAACTTCACAACCACTGAAAGCCCTGTTAAATTAAGCTTAGCCTAAATCTGCCTTCTTACATATTCTAAGTCCAGCCTAAAGGTTTCTCCATACATAGTGAACTACAACTTAACTGGATGTGTGAACAGACTGTAACCTACTCCTGTGCAAGTCACTGAGTTTTGGCCAACCAAGGTTGCCAACTGTACAGACTATGTTCAAATAAGGCAATGCTAAGATAAACAATCCTGCTGTTTCTATGCCTCACTTCCATTTTCTGTAGGTCACTTTCCATTTTCTGTCCATAAACCTTCTTCTACCCCATGGCCATGCTAGAGTCTCTCTGAGCCTACTCTGGCTCAAGAGGCTTCCTGATTTGCAAACCGTTCATTGCTCAAACTGTTAAATTTAATTTGTCTAAGGTTTTTCTTTCTTCTTCTTCTTTTTTTTTTAGATGGAGTTTCACTCTTGTTGCCCAGGCTGGAGTGCAATGGCACGACCTCAGCTCACTGCAGCCTCCGCCTCCCGGGTTCAAGTGATTCTCCTGCCTCAGCATCCCAAGTAGCTGGGATTACAGGCATATGCCACCATGCCTGGCTAATTTTTGTATTTTTAGTAGAGATGGGCTTTCACCATGTTGGCCAGGCTGGTCTCGAACTCCTGACCTCAGGTGATCCACCCGCCTCGGCCCCCCAAAGTGTTGGGATTACACTTTGAGCCACTGCGCCCGGCCAGTTTCTCTTTTAACAGATGCTGTCAGAAGTAGGATCCAAGGCCGGGCGCGGTGGCTCATGCCTGTAATCCCAGCACTTTGGGAGGCCGAAGTGGGTGGATCACTTGAGGTCAGGAGTTCGAGACCAGCTTGGCCGACATAGTGAAATCCCGTCTCTACTAAAAACACAAAAATTAGCCAGGCATGGTGGCATATGCCTGTAATCCCAGCTACTTGGGAGGTTGAGGCAGGATAATCACTTGAACCTGAGAGGCGGAGGTTGCAGTGAGCTGAGATCACGCCATTGCACTCCAGCCTGGGTGGGTAACAAGAGTGAAACCCCGTCTCAAAAAAAAAAAAAAAAGATTGAGTCTCCTCTCTTATCAAAGAGTAAAGGTTTTTGCTTTTAAAAATCTCTTATCACTTTGGCTAAATGAATGATTTTTTTTTATGGTGACCTGTGATCCTATTTTGGTCAATTGTCTGAATCTTTTGACATACTTGACAGGCTTCCTGAAAATCAAATTTCAACTTCAAAATTAAGTGGTTTGTTTTTTTTTGTTGTTTACCTGTACATTTGGAATGCTACAGAGGGCTCCTGCAGCATCCAAAAGAGAGATAAGTAAGATTACGTGATATATTAAATTACAGGAAGCACTGTCAAATAAGAAATAATGTTTAATCTTCTTCAAGTTGTATTTTTATAAATATTTTATTAATATATGTTCCAAAATTGTATGGGATTCCTAAAATTCTGATATGTCTGGATATATGCTATCAATTATAACTATGGTTATGTTACATAATTTTAGGCCACAAAAATAACCAAATGTCCTTGTCAATTGTATCTTTATGACCATTTTAAATCATTTCCACAGTTAATTCCTGCATTTAGATGCAGTTTCTGAAAACTCTTCACAAGCAAGCAAAATCCTAGAGTAATGTGTCTTCAAAGAGGTTCATACAATGATGGAAAGGACTCTGACAAGCACTCTTGAATACAGGTTTAGGATCCTATCATTTGGACTGGCTAAGAATTCCCAGAACTCTAATAAAAGGACTGACTGATTTATAAAACTGCTAACCCAAGTAGGGCAAGAATTAATTGACAACCAAAAAAATACTTTGACAGATTTTCATGCTAAAATCAGCTAGCACTAAAATTATTTAGATATATAATTTAAATGAACTCCCTGGTCCAAGTCAAATTACCCATGAAAACCATCTAATAAACAGTGCTATGCACCTAAATTGGAGAAACAAAATTGGTATTTAAGATGTAAGTCCAGTATAAGCATAGACTCATGGAGAACCTGGAAGGCTTCCTGGTCCTTCCTGAGTCCTTCAAGTTCCCATTATTAGAAGCTCTGAATTTCAAGACTTATCATAAAACAGATAAAATGATCCAAATTAAAAATATATATATATTGGTGTGGTGACTGTTATGAATTGCTAAAATAGTTTATGATCAATATTTGATTTGTCAAACCCATAATTCTTGGAAGACAATAAAAACTTCAGGTACATTTCTGTTATCTGATGGGCCATTTAAACACTTATAGGGGGATTTGGCTGGGCTCAGTGGCTCATGCTTGTAATCCCAGCACTTTGGGAGCCCAAGGAGGGCGATCACTCAAAGTCAAGATTTCGAGACCAGCCTGGCCAACATGGTGAAACCCAGTCTCTACTAAAAATACAAAAATTAGCCAGGCGTGTGATGTGTGCCTGTAAACCCAGCTACTCAGGAGGCTGAGGCAGGAGAATCACTTGAACTGGGAGGCAGAGGCTGCAGTGAGCCGAGATCATACCACTGCACTCCAGCCTGGGTGACAGAGCAAGACTCTGTCTAAACAAAACAAAACAACACAACATTTATAGAGGGATTTAATTCAATTGTCATTTTTGATACATGCTTTCTGGTTCTATAAAAGCTTTCCCATACAAGAGGGCTAATATTACAACAATAGCTAAAAGGTTATTAGGAAATGTGTTTTCCTCGTGGGACATTCCCAGAGAAATCTCCAGTGATAGAGATACTTGTTTCACTGGACAAGTTGTAATATAGTTAAATACGGTATTACATATATGACAGCATTAGGCAAAGCTAACTGAACTGACTTGATTGCTTTGGTCAAAGGTATTAGAGATTGATGACAATCAGACCCACTTCCAGTGGAAAACATAAGCTGATCCCTTATGAAATAGTCACTGAAATGCCTATGCACTAAATAATGGAAGCTCATATATCTTCTGCTACTAAACTCTGATACGACTAAATGCTGCAAGTCTTTAGTGCGTTGTGCCATGGTGTATTTTCACCGGTAAAGAAAGCGTTTCATGGTTCACTGACTAATCAAACCCTTCATGATCTAAAACCCAGAGACTGGGTCTTCTGAGAACAACATCAGAAAAAGATTGCCCTTGTTACCCACACTGCAGAAAACTTTGGGAACTTGAACCTTGTTCGTATCTCATAACTCAGAAGGGCACCTCCAGACTCTTAATTGTACAGCCACTGGAGACCTAAAGATAGAGATAACCAAGGAAGTTTCTCCCCAGAAACAGATGGCATCCCAGATATGAACAACTTTTTCCCAAGATCATGGATCAAGACTTCTCTGCTACCGTGAGACTTGTATCTCTCAGTTTTTCCTTGCTTTTGCCTTGATATGGTTTGGATCTGTGTCTCCACCCAAATCTCATGTCTAATTATAATCCCAAATTTGGAGGTGGGGCCTGGTGGGAGGTGATTGGATGGTGGGGGTGGTTTCTTAGGTTAACGTAAGAAACCCCTTGGTGGTGTCATTGCAAAAGTGAGTTCTCATGAGATCTGGTTTAAACAAAAGTGTGTGGCACCTCCCCACTCTCTCTCTCTTGCTCCTGCTCTGATGATGTAAGATGTGGCCTGCTGCCCCTTTGCCTTCTGCCATGATTGTAAATTTCCTGAGGCCTCCCCAGAAGCCCATCGGAGGCCAGCATTATGCTTTCTGTACAGCTTGCAGAACTGTGAGCCAGTTAAACCCCTTTTCTTTATAAATTACCCAGTCTCAGGTATTTCTTTATAGCGGTGCGAGAATGGACTAATACAGGCCTCTATGAAAAATAGAACTGAAAATAAGGTCTCTTTTGTACACTCATGGAGTATACTTTTATTAGTGGAGGATTTCGAAGCAAACCTTTTATATGGACACCCTTACGTCTTGACAGATGAAGGATAAAGGGCCAATGTGGATGAAAAATTTTATTGGTATCTTTGTTGCTTCATAATCACTCAGAAACAGAACACTGGTCCACTCCTCTTAACCTATGTCATAGGTTAAAACATTGCCAAGAGGCCTTCACTCTTCTAGATAGGCATCATTTATTAGATCTTTTTTTCTTGGTTTAGAGTAAATGAGGCAATGATTAAAAATTTATCCCTCATAATAGGCTAGATAACAGATTCTACTACAGAGACTCTGGTTACACAACAGATTTTAAATTCTCTTGCTAAAGTTGCACTAACTAATAGAATTGCTCTGGTTTACTTACTGGCTAAACAAAGTAGTGTCTGCAGTTGCTGACACATCTAATTACACACGGAGGAATACATAGGGTATTATAGAGACTCAGTTGTAGGGGATTAATGGACAGGCTGCTTGGTTGAAATGAGTAAACTCTTTATCGAGTTTATTGTTTGATCTATTTGATTTTAGTTGGTTTGGTTCATGCGGAACCTGGATACAGAGCATACTCCAAACTCCTGGTGTTATCCTTCTGATAGTCATAATTGTAATCTCCCTGGTGTGCTGTATTCTCTCAAAAGTTCTAAATGTTTGTACGTAGCCATCTCCAGAATGTCAGATGGTCTCTCCTAGATTGGAATGACAATAACTCAAAGAATTGTGTGGCCATAAGGACACCGTAACCTATGAACTATGTGCTGAGACTGAAAACCCAAAATGATGGTAAGCGAGAGTGGAGCTCATGGCCTAAGTTTTGGTCACACTCTCACCTAAGTGAGAACCTGACCAGAAGGGGGAAAATTTTAAACAAAATTATAGGAGGCAATTGTTTTGGACTGAGATTGTGCATTAGACCCCAGCAGACCAGACCAAACCAAAACAGAGTCACTCAAATGTGACATGATCGATCTGAAACTTTAAGAAAACAGACCAAAAGTTTTGCTTTTCTCTTAAAAACAGGAGACTGCAGTACAAAGAGGTCCCTGCTACTCTAATCCTTAAAAAAAAAATAACCTGAAGTCCTTGTTTCCACCTCACAAACCCACTGTTCTGCTATTTCCCAATGGGATTTAGGACCAAATAGGTACCTTTATCATGGTGACAGAGTGACATCAGTGCCTAAAGTTTTGGTCTATCTCTCAAAATTAAGAGGATGACCAAAAGGGGGGAATTATCAAATTAAGTTTAGCTTAAAGCTGCTTCCTTACATATTCTAAGTTCTGTCTAAAGGTTTCTCCTACACTGTAAACTGCAACCTAACTGGATGTGTAAACAGACTGTAACCTACTATTGTGCCACTCATTGAATTTCAGCCAGTCAAGGGCAGTCAACTGTTCAAAGCGTGTTTAAATAAGGCAAATGCCAACTATAACCAATCCAGCCGTTTCTGTACCTCACTTCCTTTTTCTGTCTGTAAATCTCCCACCAAGTGGCTGTGCTAGTGTCTCTCTGAGCCTACTGTGGCTCAGGCGAATACCTGACTCACACATTGGTTTTTGCTCCACTAAATTCTGTTAAATTTAATTTGCCTAAGGTTTTTCTTTTAAAAGCCCCAAAGTTAAATGCCTCTGTTGTCTGCACACCAGCAAAATAGAAGCCTCATGCAGCCCTCGTGTCAATACAGTACTCATTTGTGAATTAGCAGTTACCTGAGTGCTTCTGATTGGTGGAGGGTAGGTCACATGAATCAATTCCTACATGACTGCTTCTGATTGGTGGAGAGTAGGTCACATGAATCGGCACCTACATGACTGCTTCTGACTGCTGGAGGGTAGGTCACATGAATCAATGCCTACATGAGTGCTTCTGATTGGTGGAGGGTAGGTCACATGCCTGTGTCCTAACTGCAGGGGATACCGGGAGTTTGAGTTCTTGACTTCTATTTCGGGAGGCAGGACAATAATAAAGGAATTTCCTCCAGAAAGAAAAGCTGTCCGTAAGATGATGAGCCGCCATCATGAATGTGACAGGTGTCCATTACACTGACTCACCCTGAATGTCACACCATAGGAAGTGAAGTTAGATGTCCGAACACATTCCCCTTTTAAAATCCTGCTCCTTTCTTAAAATATGGTTTAGAGCAAAGAGTTTTTATTACATAGTTTTTTGAGGTATAATTTTACACGCAGTAAAAATTACCCATTCTAGCGTACAGGTCTAGAATTTTTTAAAAAATAAATTCATACAATTATGTACTACCACCAACAACATACGGTATATAATAGTTTCATCACACACCACTGTTCCCTCACGTGTCTTTGTAGCCAACCCCTTCCTCTACCCTCAGCTCCTCACAACCACTGAACTGGTTTCTGTCTGTAGTTTTTGGAACAAAGACTTTCTAAGCAAAGAACAAAAATGGAGCAGAAGAGAGTCTGTGTGTAAATACCAATGTATGCATGTTGGAATCTCCCCCTCCTTGGCTCCTGTCCTGGGGGTGAAGAAAGATAAAGATTATTGAAAACAAATTGAAATGATCAAAAGTATAATTTCTTTTCAATGTCAGATTTAGGGCTTAACTCAGGAAGATGGATGAGCTCACTATTGTGGCTCCGGCTCACTGCATGAATTCCTGTTTAGAGTGATAGGTAAATAGCACCTGAACAAATGCAGCCTGCCCTCAGATTCAGGTGGAGGAACCCACACCTTAGAGGTCTTTCTCTGGCCTTCCTCAGACGGTACCCTTGTCAGGTGAAGGACTGGTCCATGTCCCCCCTTCTATGTCACACTCCAGGTCTCAGGACCCAGTATTCCCGGCCCAAAGAGTCCTCAGCCACTTTCAGGCTTGCATGGGCCTCTTCCCAGGGAAAATCCTCCACAGGGTAGACTGCACAGCTTGGTATGCACCCCTAGACTCTGTTGATGACCACGTCCTGGCTGTTTATGGTGGCTGTAGATGACGCTTAGGTATCCAGGCTGGGGAGTAGAGAAGGGGAGCTGAGGGGAGAGTCTGAGAGTTCTCGAAGGAGTCTGAGAATTCTAAATTTAAACATGACCCTTTAGGTCGTTATGAAAATGTATAGTTTCATTATGAAATGGAACCTATTTTATAAGTCTGTTAGCTCTATTTATAATGTAACTATCTGGGCAGGTAGTGCGTAGGCCTCTGTTTGTACTCTTGCCTGGGCCCTGCAAATATTTGAGACAGGCCGAAATGAATCTAACTGTGCTTCCTCAGAGAGTTACCAAAGCTCTCTGCAGGCCAGGCTCCCTGGTGGCAGCCCTGAACCCCTTTCCTGAGGATGTGGGAGAGGAAAAGAGGGAGACATTTCTTGGATGTCTGCTATGTGCTGGAATCTGACCTGGGCTGTTTCCCTCACATCATCTCATTTGGGTCTCCCAGCTACTTGCCAGATAGGTATGTCATTGCCAATGTATAGATGAAGAAATGGAGGCCTAGCAGCATTTAAGAGCCTTAAGTGCCCAAGCTGGGATTCCAGCGCAGATCTGCGTGGCTTCAAGTCTGGCCGTCTTCCATGCTGCCATTAGAGTTCTGTCCACCTTGGCTCTCCTCCCCGACAGGATTCCCAGAGGGCCCGAAGTCAGTTACTTAAATGGGTTGAAATCAGACATGTACTATGCTTTGGGGAGAAACGAAACCAAACCATAAATTTCCCGAACCTTCTCTGGTTGGCCCTGTTTTTGTTCCAAAGCAGAAAAGGGCAAAGTACAGGAGGGGGCTGGGGCAGAGAGAGTGCAAACACATGGGTACAGAAGGCACGTGATAATTCGCTGTGGAAGCAAGAGAGCGGGTGGGTGCGGACGTGGGTGGGAGTGAGGGCTGAGACCAAGAAGTTTGGCTTTTGAGTCAGTCCTGGTTTTAAATCTAGGTCCCACCACTTACAAATTGTTCAACTTAGACCAAGTTGCTTAACTACATAGAATCTCGGTTTCACTATCTTCAAAAGATAATTGATAATAGGGTTTCTTCTAAGAGTCTTTGTAAGGAGGAAACGAAATCGCATCAGTAAGGCCCCAGCCCGCAGCAGGTTCTCGACAACATTCATTCCCTTCCACCCTCTCCTTCCTCCTATTGACAGAGTTGCTTCAGCCCATTTTGGCATTCTGTAGATTTCTACAGCTGAGAAATCCAAAAATAAACTTGAATTATGGTGGGTTTAGCACCGAGGCACTTCTGTGTAAATAGCAGAAGTGAAAAGAAAAAAAAGGCCATCTCATTTCTAGTATTTGAAACCAAGCACCCTCATCGTGTGGGCGACTCATAGTAGAGGGGGCAGGGGGAGCGAGGTTTGGCATTTTTTCTCTGCTGTTTTTGTTTTTGTTCTGTGATGATGTGGGGGACTCTCCAGGGACATCATGCGTCACAGAGCAGGGGAGAAAGGGGAGGTGAAGACAGAGCAAGTAGGGAAATTTGATCCGGTCTCTGACGTTGTAGGGCAGAATTGGGGAAAGAGGGAGTGTCGGTCAATGGGTGGAAAAGGTCCCGTGGCTGTCATGCCCTTCTTACCTCCTGCCCCGAGACACAGTTGGGCAAGTCCCTTAATTCATTTTTCAGTGAGTTTCCCAAGAAAGGCCGTCTTCCGGAACATGTGTTATTCCTGAAATACATGGCAGACTCGGTTGAAAGGGTGTGTGTTTGTGGGTCACAGAGACTCACAAAAAGAGAAGGCAAGGGGCTGGCCCGCTTGACGTGAGCCCACATGGATGGGAGTCACAGGTGATTATTATTATTATTAACAAAAGGCTTCCCTTACCTCCCCAAACCTAACTTTTCACTATTCATACCATCCATGTCTTATAGGCCCAGGGAGATGAAAAAGTGAGTTTACCCAAGGGAATTCACAAGGGCCTAAGTAGAAGAGCCAGGATTTGAACTGGCTGCCCCTTTCTCTCTATGGGGCTGGCATTGGCCATCCTAATAATGGGGGAAAAGTTGGGTTAACGACCAGCGGCCTGGGGAATTCAGGTCACCTTGATGTTTGCCCTATGGTCTTGAGTTTTGCAACTTAAAAAAACAAAAAACAAAAAACTATACACACACACACACACACACACACATTATCTATCTACCTCTATTTTTTTAAGACAAGGTCTTGCTTTGTCACCTAGGCTGGAGTGCAGTGGCACGAGCACAGCTCACTGCAGCCCTGACTTCCCATGTTCAATTGATCCTCCCACCTCAGCCTCCCAAGTAGCTGGGACTACCAGCACATGCCACCACACCTGGCTAATTTTTTTATTTTTTGTAGAGGCAGGGTTTCATTATATTGCCCAGGCTGGTAAATGGACATATTGACATTACAAGTCGATGTTGTTTTTATAGAAGGAGCAAATAATGCAAAAGGGACCAACTCATCAGTGAAAACATATCATACCATGCTTGGTGTTTGCCTTGGCTAGAAGTCTCTGGAGGTGAATTTATGGAGAATGCATTCAAGCTGCCTCCCATTCCCACTATATAGATAACGAGAGGAAGGGGTTTAAGCTGCAATAGGAGGCTGTTGGAGAGACTCAAGGAGAAGCTTCCTGACCGTAGACGGTTGATAAATATAGGAGCCACTGGAGGGTGGAAGCAATAACTTTCCAATCCCCCGAGCCTTCCAGCATTTTTTGGTGTTTGCCAAATATCATCACCTCCTACCTCTCACCAGCGCCTGGACTCAACCTTTCTAGAGCCAGCTCAAATGCCACCCCTTCAGACTTCCCAGCATTGCTGTGAGGAATCGTGGGCTTTTCTTTCCTGCTCCCAGTGTGACTTTGGTACCTTTATTTAGCATCTATATTGTCCTCCCTTGACTTAAAGCCAAGTTGTTAATTCTCCCCTTTCTTGAGTTCTTAGAGGGCAGGGATGCATTCCATTCATCTTTATCACCAACACCTAAGGTGACACCTGGCACATAGTCAGTGCTCGTTAAAGGTGTGCTGAACTTTGAAACGAAGGGTTGCCTGTTGGTGGTTGAAAACATTTTTTTTTCGAACCTTGTTAAGTTTGAAAAGTTCAATCCCCAGTGCCAACATGCATATAAATATAGGTGCTTTCATGCTCTGTTGATGGGAATGTGAACTGGTTCAACTTTTCTGGAGAGTCATTTGGTAAACATTTAGGAGAAGTCTTAGAATTTTCTATGCCTTTTGACTGAATTCTTTTTTTTTTCTTTTCTCCTAAGGAGTTAGTGAATGGCTTTTCATAAAGACATTGTATTTTTTCATAGCAATGTTTTTAAAAATTATAGCAAAAATGGGGCCAATATTAATATGAATTTGGATAAATAGTGGTTTATATGCAATAGAATGTCATGTAGCCATTACAATTGATGATATATTTGTTAATCAAATAAGTAAAGTGACAAAAACATTACAAAATAGGAAGCATAGTAGGATTTCAATTTTGAAGGAAAATAAGGCTCTATCCATGGAAAAATGCCTTGAAGGATATACGTCTAAGTGTTTCAACCCTTTTTCTCTAGGTGGTGGGATTTTAGGGGATTTTGACTTTCTTCTGTTCATTTCTCTGAGTTTTCTCAATTTTCTCCCATGTGTTACAACGAACATGCATTACATTTAGAACATAGAAAAACATTTTCCAGCATCTTGAGTTGATTCTCTAAGTAAATTCCTTGCTCCTTAAATTCTGAAAACTGTAGAGACCAGATCAACGTGTAGGATGTCAGAGGTGGAAAAGCTGTGGGAAGTCCTTTGGGCCAGAGTTTTGCAAAACTGGCTGTGCGTGAGAATCACACGTGGGGCTTTCAGAACTCTGGCTCTGCCCATACCCAGTGGCAATAAATCAAAGTCACCAGGGATGGCTGCAGGCGTCAGAGTGGTTTAAAGCTCCCAGGTGATTCTAATATGCAGCCTAGTTTGAGAACCCTGCTTTTGAGTTGTGCTGTCTAACAGTAGCCACTAGCCACACGTGGCTATTTAAATTATGCAACACTAAATAAAAAATTCAGTTCCTTAGTCAAAGTAGCCACTTTTTTCTTTCTTTTTTTTCTTTTTTTTTTCTTGAGACAGAGTGTCACTCTGTCACTCAGGCTGGAGTGCAATGGTGCGATCTTGGCTCACTGCAACCTCTGTCTCCCGGGTTCAAACAATTCTCCTGCCTCAGCCTCCCAAGTAGCTGGGACTACAGGCACCCGCCACCATGCTCGCAAAGTAGCCACATTTTAAGCACTCAGTAGTCACATGTGTGGTTAGTGGCACTATATTGGGCAGTGCAAGTTAAGATCTACCTCTCACATTTCAGGAGAGGGCTGGGCATGGTGGCTCATGCCTGCAGTCCCATCACTTTGGGAGGCTGAGGCAGGAGGGTTGCTTGAGCACAGGCATTTGAGACCAGCCTGAGCAACATGGTGAGACCCCTATCTCTACAAAAAAAAAAAAAAATTAGTCAGGCATGGTGGCACGCACCTGTAGTCCCAGCTACTTGGTAGGCTAGGGTGAGAGGATCGCTTGAGCTGGGGAGGTCAGGGCCGTAGTGAACCATGATCATGCCGCTTGCGCTTCAGCCTGGGCAACCAAGTGAGATTCTGTTTCAAAAAAATTTTTTTCTTTTTTTTTCAGGAAAGGCTTTTGCAGGTGGGTGCCCTCCTTCTAGCAGGCCTGAGGCTCAGGGAAGGGGCAGGCCTCTGTTCTTGCCTGTTTTAGGGCGGTGGAAAAGACCTCACTCGGCCGTCAGGAGAGTAATCTTGTGCCTAGAAAGTTCTTTCTGCTTTCTCGTGTCTACCCCATCCTCCTCCCTGAGCATGGTGAAGCTCAGTGCAGCATGTTTATTTTCAAAGGCTTGACAGGCCCAGGCCCTTCCTATCTGTTCAGCCTGGTCCAGGCCACCAGGCAAGCTGTTTACAAGGGATCCAAGTGCTCGGTGGAGAGCAGAACAGGCCGAGAGTGTTTTCCACGGCTGCCGAGAAAGATGAGCGAGTGGAGGCAGAATAACAAAAAGCCACTTCAAAAACACACCAGAAAAAGTCACAAAGCAGAGACAATCAGAGGTTTGAGACACACACACCCCCAAAACCCTGACAAGAGAGCGAAAACAAGTCATGAGGGAGCCTCTGATGGTTTCAAGACAGTCGCGGTTGCTGATTGAGAACAGGCCTGTCCCAGCAGTTCTCAGAGGAGTCGGGAGCTGCGGCTGTGGGGGGTCAGAAACTTCACCTGAGTTCTGAGAATTGTGGTGGGACAGTCCCTGAGGGCTCCGTCTCTCTGGGAAGATGGTGGGGGGCGGGTGAGAATGGCAGGCCCATGCTGGCTGGGTGAGAGTGTGAGGCTGTTCCAGCCTAGAGACTGGCCACCGGTCAGGAAGCAGAGTCCCACCTGGCCCCAGGCTTCTGGCACCTACTGCCTGAGAGCGTGAGGCCTCTATGGCCATAGTCCACCTGGGAATTCAAAGGCGTAAGGCCACCTGCATCTAGGAAGCTCCTTCTTTGGGATCTGAGCTGAGGACCCAACAGTGAAGAAGCCAAGCCAGAAGGGAAACGCTGGTGCTCCGCTCCACCTTGCCCCATTTTGCAGTGAAGTCCAGTGAAGAGAGCCCTGGGGGTGGAGCACTGGAGCTCAGGTCCCAGGCACTATCACTCCCTTGCTGTGTGACCTTGGGCAGGTCAGTTTACCCCTTTGGACTTTAGTTTCTTGACCTGCAAATTGGAGGGTTGGTCTAGATGAATGGCTTTCAACCCTGGCTGAATATTGGAATCACCTGGTGAGCTACAAAAATCAACATGATGCCAGTTGTTCTGGGATACACCCTGGGCATCAGCATTTTTAAAAGCTCTTCAGATGATCCCAGGCCAGGTGTGGTGGCTCACGCCTGTAATCCCAGCATTTTGGGAGGCTGAGGCGGGCGGATCATCTGAGGTCAGTTCGAGACCAGCCTGGCCAACATGGTGAAACCCTGTCTCTACTAAAAATACTAAAATTAGCCGGGTTTGGTGGCATATGCCTGTGCACGAGAATCACTTGAACCCAGGAAGCAGAGGTTGCAGTGAGCGGAGACCGTGCCACTGCACTCCAGCCTGGGTGACAGAGTGAGACCCCGTCTCAAAAAACAAAACAAAACAAAAAAAGAACCATTAGTCTGCCTAATGCTTATCAAAATTTAGAGTGCACAGGAGTCTTGTAAAAATTCGAGTGGAATTCAGAAAGTCTAGCATAGAGTCTGAGATTCCACATTTCCAACAAGCTCCCAGGCGATGTCCATGGACCACACCTTGAGTAGCAGCAAGTCTGTGTTGAATGTCCCCTTCCCTTGAACTTGCAAGTTGGATCCAAGCTCCAATCTACTCAGTCTGCTACTGTTCTTGTTTTGGTAGCTGGCTGTAGTTGCCTATTTCTGCCAATCTGCCAATAACATCATTGTTTCTAAGTTCTTTCTTTCCCCCCACCCTCTCTCACAAGAATTGTTTAAATCCTCACTCATCATTTGAATTCTAATGAGATGCTGTGGATTGAATCAAATAGGGATCTTCCCTTCAAGGGCAGTAAATAAGAGACAGAGCCAGGCTGTGATGTGAGTTCAAAATGGGGCAGAGGTCATTTTTAGCTGAGAGGATTGGAAGGGATCTACGTGGCTGATAATAACAGTGTACCACTGTCCAAGTGCTTTGTACTAGTTGTCTCATTTTATCCTCAAAACAACCCTACAGGTAAGCACTGGGAACGTTCCCCAGTTTACACACGAGGAAGCTAAAGCTTAAAGAGAAGCAGAGGTTTTTTGAAGGGGGCATAGCAAGCAAGGTGCAGCGCTGTAGCTTGAACTCAGGTGCCTGTGCTGACTTTTAGTCCACTTAGGGCATGGGTGGTATTTAAGCTGCATGCCTGACTAGACCCAACCAGACCCGATCAGACTCAGCCTTTTAGCACCAAGTCGTTTGGGCTAGGATGCGGTTTGTATGAGTTTAGTCTACCCCTCACTCACCTTCCATACCCCGACAGCCAGAAAAAGACAGGTGGTAACAGTTTCCACCTCTGGTTTCTGGGCCCAGACCTCCAGGCCTGTACACAGAGCCTGGGGCCTGGACTCACACTTTTCCCCAGTTGGCTGCCTGTCCCAGCATGGGTCTCTGCTGCCTACATCTTT
Organism: Homo sapiens; assembly: GCF_000001405.40. NCBI lineage: Eukaryota > Metazoa > Chordata > Mammalia > Primates > Hominidae > Homo > Homo sapiens. The sequence goes on from NC_000017.11 coordinate 40,605,070, forward strand.
GTCTGTTTGTATCATTTTATTTCCTTGGCGGGGAGCAGGCTGTGTGTCCAGGCTTTTGTAGGCTTGTCCCTTCTTAGGCACATAACCCCAAATAGTGCTTCATAGAAGGTTGCCCGAAACTACCATGATGACTGCAGATCCTAAACTCCTCAGATTCTGCTGGGTTCTTAGCTAAAATGGTATCCAACAGCCCAGCCCCATGGTTTTTCCAAGTTGACGAAACCCAGCTTGTCTCACCTTTTGATATCAGGGTTACAGGGTTGGGGTGGAGGTGAAGGGTGAGAAGGATCGGAGACCTCTGTGTTCCCCCACTAGAACTTGAGTTCCTAGAGACACGAACTTTGTCTTCTCATTTTTGAACTCCCAGTGAAGAATACAGTGCTGGGCAGAGAGATGTGTCACCGCCTTGTCAGACGAGTGCATGACAGAGACTTGGGTGCATTTTCTTTGTGCGTGGGGTGAATGGCAGTGTTGGTAGTGTGTTTGGCTTGGCTCTCACACAGGAGATTCACCTGCTATAGGTTTCAGCTTGTAGGCCCCGGAACCCTGTGGGTGCAGCTACTGGGAAATCTGTCTTTCACCACATCTTTTTGGGTTCTGTAGCTGCTCAGGAAGATGAGGTTTTCTTATATAGCCCCAGCCCCTGGAGATGCTGGGTGAGTTGTAGAATGCCAACTTCGAGAGCATTAAGAGAGACCCTGTAATGATTAGGCAGCCCTGGGATTGTAGAATGGGGAACCCATGGAAGGAGGAGACCCCCCCACTTTCTTACCTTTCAGAGAAGGGAATCATCTTATTGTAGCAGAAGTTTCTTAAAATTTTGCTTGGACATCTAACCTTGAAAACTGAGGTTAAGAAAGTGAAGGGCTTAGTCCATAGAAGGAATTTTCCTCTGCATGTAGTTTTTCTCCTATCACTACAAAAAAATATGAAGAAAAGAAACCAAATTCGTACCAAGGTGCTAAATGTGCCCTAGAATGTAAAGCAACTTTGCATTGGTCAACCGGACCCAGTCAGGGAAATATTTCCATTTATTCAACTTGTGTACCTAAGAGAGGTTTTTTTTTTCTTTTTTGAGACAGGGTCTCTCTCTGCTGGCCAGGCTGGAGTACAGTGTCACAGTCATGGGTCACTGCAGCCTCAATTTCCCAGGCTCAAGTGATCTTCCCATCTCAGCCTCCCTAGTAGCAGGGACTACAGGTGTGCACCAGCACACCTGGCTAATTTTTGTGTTTGTAGTAGAGATGGGGTTTCACCACATTGCCTAGGCTGGTCTCAAACTCCTGGGCCCAAGCAATCCATCTGCCTCGGCCTCTGAAAGTGCTAGTGTTACAGAAAAGGGGTCCTGATCCAGACCCCAAAAGAGGATTCTTGGATCTCACGCAAGAAAAAATTCAGGGCGAGTCCGCAGTGCAAAGCAAAAGCAAGTTTATTAAGAAAGTACAGTGGCGAAAGGACAGCTACTGCATAGACAGAGTAGGATGTTCCCAAAAGTTAGAGGAGGAACGCATCCACCCTAGGTACAATGCTTGTCTATATGAGGAGGTGTACTCTGCTATAAGGGTTTGTGATAAAGGATTAATTTTCTTAATTACTATATTTTGCAAGAGTCGATATTATTATCTTTAAAGTAAAACTAGGAATGCCTTTGTTCTCCAGATATCAGGACATCTGGACACTCCCAAGTCTGGGTCTGTTTTAGTAAACATTATTAGTTTGTTCCCTTAATCGTAAACATCTAGAGGCTAGGAATGCCTAACTTTCTGGGAATGCAGCCCAGCAAGTCTCAGCCTTATTTTCCTAGCCCTCACTCAAAATGGAGTTGCTCTGATTTGAACACCTCTGACACTAAGATTTTAGGCGTGAGCCACTGTTTCCCGCCTTAAGTGAGAAAATCTTGTTGAGCCAATTCTTTAAGACTCCCTCTTGTCTCTTTGAGTCTTACAAGAAATAAGCCAATGAGAGGTTTTCCCCGGCCTCTTAGGAACCTTTTCTAGGAGGAGAGTGTTCAAGAAGAGGAGCCAAAGCTAGGAGAGGCCCACAGAGCGCTGGCACTGAATTCAGAGGGGTGGTGCTCTCCTGGAGCCCGTGTGGCTAATCCATTTACACCATCTCCTCCGAGAACTTCATCCAGCCCAGGAGGGTGTGCTGTGGCCTTGCTGGGTCTTTTACCCTGGGGCCAAGGATGGCTTGGGGTGTAAGCTGGCGATCAGTGCTATTTCCACCCCCTTCTTCAAGACATAGGCTGCTTTAAAAAATTTTAATTGTCAGGGTTAGAGGTTTTGATGGTGTGGAACTGGGAGGTGGGCCTGGGAGAATGGAAATTGGATGTAAATGATTGAAGCTGGCCCACAGAAGTCATTCTGCAGTACATATTCAGTGACTCCATTTCCAGGTAGGGAAGTTGAAGCCACAAGATGGGCTGTGATTTGCCTAAAGTCTCCTAGCAAATAGTGGCAGAATTGGGACCAGAGCTTTTCCCTCGAAGCCCTGGATAGAACATTAAAGTAATGGCAGTGTAATTGATTCATGTCTGCTTAGGTCTTGAATCAATCATTATGCACCCACCTGCCCTCCCTAGGAGATGGCTCCTGAGAGGCAGAGACCTTCTCTTAATCCTCTCTGTGTCCCTGCACCTCCCAGTGCAGTGGCCAGTACATGCTGGGGGGTCCTGTGGGGTGTGGGGAGTTGGATTGGGTGGTTAAACCTGATTGGCGAGACTCTTTGCTGCAAAGAGCACTCGGAGCGGGGGGTTGGGGGAGGGCAGGCTGGCCCCACCGCATCCTCTCTACTCAGCTGTGTCAACTCTCACCTTGTTGTCAGAAGTCTTTCCAGACCAACTCAGCCTCTGAGTTTTGGAGCAATATCTGTTTATGCCCCACATTTAGCCCCCTCTATAAACTTATTTATGTGGGAAGAGGACGGCATGCATTGTGATTCAGTGTGGGCTGTGGATCTATCAGCCTGAGTTTCAGTCTCAGCTCTATCCTTTCTGAGCTGTGTGATCCAGGCAACCCCTCTGAGCCTCAATTTCCTTATCTGTGAAATATTCCTTTTCCACGGGCTGGTCATGAGGATGAATGGGGACAAGGCATGCAGCCATTCGGTGTGGCACCAGGACCTCAGCACATTCCCGCCCTTATCGTTGTGAAGTTTTCATCATTAAATGTGTTGTTCTGCACCTACTCTGAGGATGGTTACCTCACCCATGAGCAGGAGGAAATGATATGTAACGTTGGCAGATTGTTATGGCAACCAAATGAGAGAATATACATGAGAATGCTTTGTAAACTCCTAAGGCTTGGGTGTGAAGTATGACTGACCCCAAAAATCACACAATTGGTAAGAGGTGGCATTTTCCTGCAATGACCACACCCTCCCCCAAAACACATACACACATGTACACACTCACATATGCACACACATATACACATATATACATACATATATATACTTGCACAGGCACACACACCACCACCAGCATCAGCACCACGAAACATCTCCATAGTCTGACCCCGCCCACCCCCCACCCCAACCCCTGGCATCCCAGGGAAGTTGTCCTCTCATTTTTTCAACAGCCTCTAATGAGCCCTCCCAGACATCCAGACAAGCAGTGGTGGAATTAAAAAAGACAAATGAGACCCAGACCTCACTCTTAGGAAGCTTAGCAGGGGAGAAGGGTGAGCAAAGGTTACTCTAAACAAGGCCAAATGACACAAAAGCCATAGCCACAAAAGCCTGGGTGGAGGGGAAGTTTGGGAATGGGCGGTTTCGTGGCAGGCCTGGCATTGGAGCTGGTCTTTGAAAGATGGGTGGTATCTTAGTTTCCTAGGGTTGCTGTAAACAATACCACAGACTCAGTGGCTTAAACAACAGACATTTATTTTCTTATAGTTCTAGAGGCCAGAAGTCCAAGATCAAGGGGTTTCCAGCATTGTTTCTTCTGGTTTCTTCTGAGGACACTCTCTGTGGCTTGCAGATGGCCACCTTCTTGCTATGTCCTCATGTGGTGGTCTGTGTTGTCTGGGTCCTGATCTCCTCTTCCTTTTTTTTTTTTTTCCCCAAGATCGAGTCTTGTTCTATCATCCAGGCTGGAGTGCAATGGCGAGATCTTGGCTCACTGCAACCTCTGCCTCCTGGGTTCAAGCGATTCTCCTGCCTCAGCCTCCCTAGTAGCTGGGATTTCAGGCATGTGCCACCACGCCCCGCTAATTTTTTGTATTTTTAGTAGAGATGGGGTTTCACCCTGTTGGCCAGGCTGGTCTCAAACTCCTGACCTCAGGTGATCCACCCACCTTGGCCTCCCAAAGTGCTGGGATTACAGGCATGAGCCACCACACCCGGCCCCGATCTCCTCTTCCTATAAGGATGCCAGTCATATTGGATGAGAGCCCACCATTGACTTCATTAAGGTAAAATGAGGTCATATCCATGGGCCCCAATCCAATATGACTGGTGTTCTTTATCTCCAGGAAGGCCTTGTCTCCAAATACAGTCCCATTATGAGGTACTGGGGGTTAGGAATTCAATGTATGAATTTGAGTGGGGAGACACAATGAAGCCTGTAACAGATAGGATGTTTTCTTTTCACATTTGTTCCATTACAAAACTACTCACTGTGGCCAGGTGCAGTGGTTCATGCCTGTAATCCCAACATTTTGGGAGGCAGAGGCAGGAGGATTGCTTGAGCCCAGGAATTTGAGACCAGCTTGGGCAACATAGGAAGACCCAGTCTGTACAAAAATTAATACATAAATTAACCAGGCATAGTAGTGCATGCCTGTGGTCTCAGCTACTTGGGAGACTGATGTGGGAGGATTGCTTGAGCAACCCAGAAGGTTGAGGCTACAGTGAGCTGTAATCGTGCCACTGCACTCCAGACTGGACAACAGAGTGAGACCCTGTCTGTCTCAAAAAATAAAACATAAAAACACCCAAAAGTACTCATTGTAAAATGTTGTGAAATGTTGAAAAGCACAAGAGGGAAAATAAAAACCCTTTAGAGATGACCATATCTGTCCATGAAAAAAACAGTTTAAAATGGGTTTATACTTATAACACCTGTTGTTTGGTAAACTATTTTTATAGTATAAATATGTCATGAACTATTAAATTTTCTACCACAACATCACTTTTAATGCCTGCCTCATGGTCCATGATAAGGGTGTATTGAATGTGTTTAACCAGTGGAGAGTGGGGTTTTGATTAGCCAAGACTGGGATGGAGAAGTAGCAGCCTCATGGAAGGGAATGATGTGAGCTCCAAGGGCACAGTAGTTGGTTACACTTCAGCAAACTGCAACCAATGAGAACAGTTCTCAGAATCAGGTCGATTACACTTATAAGAAGATGTAATTTTTTGTGTGTGTTGGGGGTGGTCAGGGAAATAGACTGTGGACATGAGAGTGCTGCTGCTTCTGAGAAGTCCTGAAGGGTCCTGAGAATGAGCCAGCTCCATGATTTATGTCTGACTAATCAGTCTCAACTAGACCTGATGGGGGCAACTGAAAGTCAAAATTTGACTCTGCAGGGTGAGACTGAACTCGATGAACATAGTTTCATAGTTTTAATTGAGATGCTGCTTTTTAATGAGTGACTGTTAGTGATGAGTGATTATTGCTTTTCCCATCACTCACTTCCCTCACTCCCCTCTTTCCTTCCCCACCCTTTATCCCAGATGAGGAAAAATCATTGGTAAAACAAAACAAAGAGAAAGGGATTTAGTGATAAAGACTCACCTTGTTTCACACTGAAGACTGAAGGATCTAAAGGAGAAGTTCAGGTTGGACCAGGAGGGCTTCTAGGGGAGAGAAGAGGCAGAGAGAGCAGGGAGAGAGCACAAGTCCCCAGCTGGAGTGCAGTGGTGCAATCTCGGCTCACTGCAGCCTCGACCTCCTGGGCTCAAGCGATCCTCCCACCTCAGCCTCCCAAGTAGCTGGGAATATAGGCTCTCACCACCATGCCCAGCTAATCCTTTTTTTTTTTTTTTTTTTGTAGAGATAGGGTCTCACTATTTTGCCCAGGCTTATCTCAAACTCCTGGGCTCAAGTGATCTCCAGCCTTGGCCTCCTTAAATGCTGAGATTACAGGCATGAGCCACTGTGCCTGGCCCCACTGTGAATTTTGAATGATCCAATAGGTGATTCAATAGGGAAAAAATGCTTATTCCTGTTAATTTCAACAACTGAGCCTTTCAAGTTGTGTTTATATAGCCAGCATGGACTTAGGTTTCATTTGCCCTACTGTGCAAGTGGAAGAAGAGGAATGTGGCAGTGACTCCTGATTTCATAGAGAAAGCCCACAAAACAGTTTAGAAATACAGAGATGTCAGCTGCAATGCTCCTTCCAAGACAACCATTCCCAAGTGAGAAAACCAGTCAGAATTACAGCTCTCTTTGGGGGTTTCTTATTAGAGGACAAGGCAACTATTTCTAAAGCCTTAGGAGTCTTGGCTGGGTGTGGTGGCTCACACCTGTAATTCCAGCGCTTTGGGAGGCTGAGGCAGGAGGGTCACTTGAGGCCAGGAGTTTGAGGCCAGCCTGAGCAACATGGTGAGACCCCCATCTGTACAAAAAATTAAAAAGAAAATAGCCAGGCATGGTGGTGCGTGCCTGTAATACTGGGTACTCGGAAGGCTAAGGCAGGAGGATCGCTTGAGTCCAAGAGTTGGAGGCTGCAGTGAGCTATGATCGAGCCAGTGCACTCCAGCCTGGGCAACAGAGTGAAATCCTAACTCTAACTAACTAACTAGGAGAAACGAAAAATAAAGTCTTAGGAGCCTTGCGAGATCCCTTTTGTTGAACGAAATGAGTCCAGGGACAGATTTATTCAACCCAAGACTTACCAGGAACAGTGATGAATATTCACATGAGTCTGCTTGTTGCCCCGAAGAGCAAGATTTATGTTCTTGTGAAAGTTTTCAACCTAACACTTTATCATATCTGATTCTTTGAACTGGCTTTTTAATGTAGAGTGGCAGCTGTCTCTCCCCAGCTGGAGGGGAAGGAGGCCATCTTCTGCATCTCCTTCTGAGACACTTGTGTTAATGACGATGGCTTGCATTTGGGAGGCAATTTCATCAGTTGGCATTATAAGGAAAATAGCAGGCCTGCCAAGCTCAATTTACTGGCAGAAAAAGAAAAGGAGTGAAGAGGATATTACTTATTAACTATGAAATGCGGACCGTACAGCACAACACTATCTTTTGAATTCCCCATGATTGCAGAATCATAAGGCTTTCTTCTGGTGTGGGAGCATACTGACACCCCTCCCTTGTGCTGTGGTTGTGAAAAGGATTATGTAAAGATGATTGCTACTTTCAGGAGCCACCAGCCTCTCAACTTTATCGAGGATGCAGGAAAAGGTAATTCAGGAAGGATGCAATTCACTTCAAACCTTTAACAAATCCATGTCATGAAAACCTAATTCAGAGAAGGTCATTTGCTGGAAGGTATATTATTAAATAAAAAGAAACAAATTTTTTTAAAAAAAGATCATTTGCTATAATATTGTTTTGCAACCATTCACCACATGACAACTTAGACAGTTGTTCTCAGGCATTTTGTATCTTTTTTTTTTTTTTTTTTCAAATTAATGAGTCTTTATTGAGAGTGTGCTGGGTGCCTTTCTTTGTGGGAAAACCATATTGGCCAAGTCTCTAAAGCTGATGCACACCCCCTCATTCTGTGCAAGTGAGTCTCTCAGAGCCTTTCAGCACCCGCCTCCAGTGCCTAGTGAGGTAGTCATGCCACCCGGGAAAGTGGGCAATGCTGCCTAAGAACAGTGCCCACATTCCAGCAAACTGTCATCCCAGAGCCTTGCAACCTCCTCTCCAAACGCTTGCAAAAAAACAAGTGTGAGCGCTAACAGACTCCTTGCCGGAAACCAGGTAGCCAGAGAAGCTAGTGACGCACCTGAGGAGGAAACCAGGGATCAGGACACTTCAAAGACCCAGTGCTGGCAAGGTGCCCCGGGCGAGGGTGACTGTCAGGACATTTCTGCATCATCCAGTTATGAAAGCTGATTCTATTTAATTCAGTTTAATTAAAACAGGGGGGCCAGTTCCACCCAAAGGCAGAAGACGCTGTCAGCGGATGCAGAGTGAGATCTGAGGACCAGGAAGCAAAAGTAGCACCTCCCTCGAATCTGCCACTGATGACTGCCATCACCCCATTACTCCCTTCCAGTTACCCTTCGCGACTCACTCATCCCTTACCCCTCGGGAAGACACTGTCCAGGGCAGAGTCTCCCAGTCCAGGGCCCTCGGCTCTGGTGACCACATGCTCTGCACTAAAAATCAGCAACACATGATCAGGCAAATGTGAAGGTCCAAGGCACTAGGGGGCCAGCATATTTGAAATCGAGATGCCCAAAGGGCAATGAGACCAGGAATTCAGGTCCCTGTTCCCATTGCCTTTTGGGAAAGGCAGTAGTGTGGCTTAGTTGAACTGAGGACAGACAGGGACTTGCTGGGAAGGGGAAATCAAGGTGCAGGTTCTCTTGGAAGGAGGCAGGATCACAAGCGGGTCCTGGGGTGGAGAGGGGGAAGGTGTGAGTGGAAAGAGCAAGTGTGCGTGACACAACCGGCACAGTCGGCCTCTTTCTCCACTGGATGGGAACTCCCTAAGGCAGAGGGCTTTGTGTTTTGTACATTGTTGTGTCCCCAGCACCTAGAACAGAGCCTGATACATTGTAGGAGCTCAGTAAATATTTATTGGATGAGTTGTAATATTTATTGTAAATATTAGTAAATATTTATTGAGTTGAGTTGGTCTTTCCAGTGAAGTGGTTGCTTCTCTGTGAAGCTCTGTGGGAAACATAAATGGTGGGAGATAGGTTACCTGTCGTTAGGGCTGGCCATATGTGAGCCCTATAACCATTTGGTATTCATTCATTCATTCATTCATTCATTCATTCATGGAATATTTGCCCAGCTTCTATTCTGTAATATATTGTATTAGTCACTTGGGGCACAAATATGAAAGCCAACACATATTTCTTCAGGACAGGTGCAGTGGCTCACACCTGTAGTCCCAGCACTTTGGGAGGCTGAGGCAGGAGGATCCCTTGAGGTCAGGAGTTCAAGACTAGCCTGGGTGACATAGCGAGACCTTGTCTCTACAAAAAATTAAAAAATAAATCCAGACAGAGCAGTGTACCTGTAGTCTTAGCTACTTGGGAGGCTGAGGTGGGAGGATCGCTTGAGCCCAAGACTTGGAGGCTGCAGTGAGCTATGATTGTGCCACTGCACTCCAGCCTGGGTGACAGAGTGAGACCCTATTGTTAAAAAATTAATTAATTAATTAAAAATATTTCTTTAATACCCATCATGAGCCAGGCTCTGGGGGATACCATGGTGCCTCAGGCTGGAAACACCTTCTTTGGTAGAAGACACAGACTGTCTAAGCCACAGACGGGGGCGCGTCGGTCTCTCTCTGGAAGTGGAGATGCTGGGAAAGGCTTTGCAGAGGAAGGCACATTTGGGCTGCATCCTGACAGCAGGGCAGGCGTTCGTCAGGCTGGGGAGGTGTGGGGCAGCACCGGAGCAGAGTGTCAGTGTGTGTCATGGCTTGGTTTCCCTCAGAGGCCTGCTGGGGCCACCTTTTAGCTACACTCTTCACACCTCATTTTCCCACTTCCCAGACCCTCTGAACATGTCCTTCTCTCTTACTGGTTGCTCCCAGTTTTGCTCATCCCAGGGCCTTGCACCATGTGTAGCACAAAGATTCATTACGATCAATACCAGTTAGTCTAGGAACTGTTCTCAGAGCTCGGTGACATCCCTGGTGTGGGTGCAGCTGGGGACAGCAGCGGGACTTTGACTCCCATTTCCTCTCATGAGCTCCTTGGCCTGGCTCCCCCGGGAACTTGTTGTGAGAGGAGGATCACAACAAGGCTGGGCAGGATGAGGGCATCCCTGGGTTCTCTGTGCCATTGAAATACAACACGGCCCCTGCCGCAGGTGAGTGGATAGTGGGCCCATGTGGTTTAGCATAACCCAGAGCCAATGTCCTCAACAGGGCTGCCGATATGGTAGTGCTCACCCTTCACCTGGAGGCGGCTATGCTCCAGGGCACAATTTGACACACTTTAACAGGACAGCGTGTTGGTGCATTGGACTAGAGGGCCTTTAAGATCTCTTCCAACTGCACGCTTCATTCTGATCCAGTGATTCTTTCTGGCCTTGAGCTGGGAACATCAGAACCCAGTCCCGTGGTGGCTGCCAGAAGATACTGTTAAAATGCAACTAGAAGAATGTTGTTTTGGTTCTTTCACACATCAGCTGCTAATCTTTGTAGGATTTTCCCCTTCCCAGGGTTAAGAGAGAGAAGAGGAAGTGAAAACAGGAGGGGAGAATTTTCTTAAAGCACCTCTTGCCTTGTAGACAACAACCAAAAACCCCCTAGGGTTTGAACAGTGCTGTGTACTTTTTTTTTTTTTTGTAGCTTGTTCCCATCTACAGCCTGCCTCATTTGGTTCTCAGAGCTCCCCCAGGTGGGAGGCAGAATTCTGAACTGCCCCAATTCCACTCTTATTTGCAGACAGGGGGCATTCCTGGGGCTGGAGGGAAGGGCTGAGGACTGGCTCTTCTGGCAGAAGGAGGTATTTTACAGTCATTCTGGAGAGGCACTGGGGGTTTCTGAGTTTCTTCATGAAAGCTGGGCAGAGCCTTCTCTACACCTGGTGGAGAAAGGTCTGTGTGAACAGGGATTAAGCTGACTGTCCTCTGGGTGGAGCCCTTCGGCCATGGAAGGCGGAGGAGCTGGACTTCCGAGCACCGATTCAGCATCTGCTGATCTCTCCCAACCACCAGCCTCTCCTGGCTATTGGAGATCTCCGACTCCAAGGCCCAAGCCCTCCCAGTTGAGAGCTCCCAAGTGCAGTATCTACTGCCAAGACAGGGGTATCTTCCCCAGAGTCCAGTAGGCATGTTTCCAAATTTTCTTGTTGTTTAACAGATTTCATTGACAACTCAAAACATGCAGCTGGCTAGTGGGAAGCAGGGAGAATCTGGAGGCAAATGAGATGGAGCCCTCGTTCTCCAAGAGGTGGCTGTTCTCCTGATGCAGACAGACATGGACACAAACACAGTGTGAGGATGGAATGGAAGCGTGGTGGGGAGGGGAGGAGAGGGAGCGCTACACAGGACCAAGGCAGCCTCACCATTGCACGTTGGAGCCCTGATGCCCAGTCCCAGGGCATAGTCTCCCAATCCAGGGCCCCCTGCTCTGGTGACCTCATGCTCTGCACTAAAAATCAGCAACACACAACCGGGCAAGTGTGAAGGTCCAAGGCGCCAGGGGGCCAGTGTATTTGAAATAGAGATGGTCCCAGAAATTCAGGTCCCTGTTCCCATCGCCCTTTGGGAAAGGCGGTAGTGTGGCTCAGTTGAACTGAGAACAGAAAGGGGACTTGCTGGGAAGGGAGATTAGGTGGTCCTCTCCTGCCTCCTGGGAGTTTTGGCTGGGGATTGGGAAACTGGGACTGGAAGAGAAGCTGGGGATCAGGGATGTCAGGAGAGAAGGGGCAGTCTTCACTTTGTTTGGCAGAGATCAAGCGCAGGGCCATTTGGCATGCCAGCAGGGCTGAAAATGAGCCACTGTAGGACCTGGGTACACAGGGCCCCTCTCCCCCTCATGCACTCCGAGGCCCATTCTTATGCCTCTCAGACAAGTATGGTGAGTTGATCCTAGATTCAGTCTGGGTTGGGGATCAGAGCCCTGAGCCTCTCCCAGCCTGCACTGGCCAGCCCCTCCTGTCCTTCTGGCTAGTCTCTGCTCCTTCCCATCTCTGCCCTGGACTTTCCCCATAGAGCCTTCACTCCCTCATGCAATCCCCTTCTCTCCACTTCCGCTGCCCTCTCCCAACTGCTCAGAAGCTGTGCTTCCATGAGGCCTTCCCTTAGGAGTGCCTGTCTTCCCTTTCTGAGCTCCCCTGGTTCAGGGGGCCATGCATATGACAACTGCCAGAGGGTTTTGGTTCATTTCTTTGTTCTGTCTCCAAGGTTCTGACTCCTTGGGGCTGAACCCAGGTCTCCTTCACCTCTGAGTTTCCCCCATCACTTGGCTCTTCATTAAGCCATCAGTAAGTACTGCATGAGCAAAAGGACAAGATTTATCATTGGATCTCAGAGGATGGCCTCTGTCTACCATCTTATTTTCTGAAGAAGTGGCTGTTTGCTTTCCAGGAAGAGGCCGGGGAGAGAGCTGGAAGGAGGGTCCATAGCAGATTTCTCCCAGGAATCTGGAAGAGCTGAAGTCTCATGAGGATCAGGACTGTGGGCTCAGGGGGCACCTAGCCGGGCGCTTGGGAACGACAGACCAGTTTGCTGGTTTAGGCAGGAGAAAGGGGGTAGAAATCTTGTTAATTTCTGGCAGTGTAGAAATCTACCCAGTCTACCAGTTTGGGAGAGGGTTGGTTTTCAGGGTGAGGCCAGAAGAAATTCCACACAGATGTATTCCAGCTCCTTCTTTCTGGGGGTACAGAGTAGGGTGAGCTATAAAGAGTGAAGGGATGGGACCACCTCCAAGAGCAGCCACCTCTGACCCAAGAACCATGTTTCCAAATGGACAGAGTTGATTTAACAACGACTCAAATATCCTACAAGTTAATACCTACTTCTTTCTCCTCAATCAAGGCCCAGTCATCCCTGGGGAGAAGCCTTGAGTGCTGGGCTGGGCCCTGGGTGGGGAATTTAATGTGCTGTCATTTTACTGACATCTGTAGAGGTTTGAAACTGGACAAACAGGAAGTGTCCTGTCTTTAACACTTGCACAATCTCAAGCCTTTTGTGAAATATCAAGGAGTGGAGGTCGCAGGGGCCCGTGGTGTGAGGTGCTGTGAGGTAGCCCTGGACCTGTCTCTGATCCTGAGAGCTGGGCCCTCTGCAGCTGAGAACGTGCCCTGCAGCCGCTTTCCCTCCTTAGCCGTCGTGCACAACCTGTGCTGTGAGACGCTGCTGCTTGCCTGGCACTGCTGTTGAATCAGTCTCCATCTCCTCATTTTGATGGCAGCCTGGGTTTGTTATCCTTCAAAGATCGTCTCTTGGAAGGACACCAGCCTCTGATTACATTTCCGAGCCTGCCTGGAGGCAGCTAAGCTAATCCGACACGATTTGGGTGGATTCCCTTCTGGCCTCATGTTCTGACACAACCTCTGGCAGCAGTAGGGTGGGAAGATGGACAAAATAATTACGCCCTATGAGTTGAAAGGAGAATTAAAATTAATTCCCTCGTGCAACTTTTTTTTTTTTTTTTTTTTTGCGCCAGGTGTGGTGGCTCACGCCTGTAATCCCAGCACTTTCGGAGGCTGAGACGGGTGGATCACTTGAGGCCAGGAGTTCGAGACCAGCCTGGCCAACATGGCAAAACACTCTCTCTACTAAAAAATACAAAAATTAGCTGGGTATGGTGGGACATGCGTGTAATCCCAGTTACTAGGGAGAATGAGGCAGGAGAATTGCTTGAACCCGGGAGGTGGAGGTTCAGGGAGCCGAGATCACGCCACTGCACTCAAGCCTGGGCAACAGAGACTCTCAAAAAAAAAATTTCTTTATGAGTACCTAGTAGCAGATAATTCAGGGCTGTTCTCTATTCCTTTTGTAACAGGTCTAATTTATGGCAGTAATTTTTTTAAAAAACTATTTTTTTCAGTAGAATTTTGTACATATGACTTCTATAACATTTAGGACATTTATCCTTGCTTATTATAAAAATGATTTAATTGTAGTAAACCCGGTTTTGAAAAGAGAAGAATAAGAGATCGCCCATAATCTTAACACTGAACACACCGGATCCAGTTTGTTTTCCCAACCAGTCTTCATCTGATAGCGTGTTTAATTGCATGATCCTAATATACATTTACTTTTTGAAGAAACCTAGTTTGCACGGTCCCATGTGGCTACATAATCTTTCTCATCATCGTTAAGGCACAAAATACCTTTAGGATCATAATTTACTCAGCCAACTTCCTGCAGCTGAAAATTTAATTATTTCTTTTACCTTTCAAACCAATGTGTTTGCTTGTCTTTTCTGGACTCTGCCCTGGGGCCCCGGCAGAGAGGAGGTGGAGCCGTGGAACAGGGTTAGACCCAACTCATCTTCACGTCCTGCCCCTCAGCCCGGCCCTTGGCCCGACCCCTGCCAAATGGCTCCGGCTGTGTTCAGGTGCCTGCGGAAAGGCGCTCCTACCTGTCAGCAGTGTAAGGGCATTTCCAGGTCACATCTGTCAAGGACTTTCATTCATGGAGCACTTGCCCACTGGACACTTGCCACTTGTGTAGACACCTCCTCTAGCAGGGACCATGCCATACTGCATCTTTTATTACTGGTGCCAAGGAGGGTTCCTGGCATATAAAAAGTGCTCAGCAGTTGTTTGTTGAGTGAATGAAAGTTAAGAGTGATTGACAACTCACGAGGAATCCTGTAAGTCACCAGGCTCTTGCCCAGCTTGGGCTGCAGAATCGGACACTGTGCTGCTTCACAGGCCTTGGGGACTTTGACTAAGATACCTTCCCCATCCCCCAACTTCAACCATACATTTATGAAGGTTTAATAGCGCAGGGTCCCCACCAGACCCTCCAGCGTAGGTCTATTTTTTTTTTTTTGAGATGGAGTCTCACTCTGCCTCCCAGGCTGGAGTGCAGTGGCGTAATCTCGGCTCACTGCACCCTCTGCCGCCCAGGTTCAAGCAATTCTCCTGCCTCAGCCTCCCGAGTAGCTGAGATTACAGGCACCTGCCACCGCATCTGGCTGATTTTTGTAGTTTTAGTAGAGACGGGGTTTCACCATCTTGGTCAGGCTGGTCTTGAACTCCTGACCTCGTGATCCGCCCGCCTTGGCCTCCCAAAGTGCTGGGATTACAGGCGTGAACTACCGCGTCCGGCCCCCTTTTTTATTTATTAGGGTGATCAGCTTGTTTCCGTTTTCCCGGGACTTGCCTGGTTTTATCACTGAATGTCCTTCCTCAGTCCCAGGTAAGCGGGGACAGAGTTCTCCTAGTTCTCGGCATCCAGTGCTTAACAAGCTCCTGTAGAGGGCGCTGGAGGAAAAGCTCAGGAGGCAGGTGCCGGATGGATTGAGCAGTTGCTGTCCCAGGTGGAAGATATCATGTCACCCGGACACCATCGCCCGGAAAATATCACGTCACCTGGACACCATCAGACTCAGGAGCGGGTTAGAAAACAACCGATCTCCTTAACCCTCCCCCAGGAAACGCTTGTGTCAGGAAACTGATGCTTATTGGCCAAGAGGGAGTGACCGTGTCAGACAAGTCTCTGTTTCTTCATCCTGAGAAAGCAAATCATGTATAAATGAATTGTGGTTGTTTCAGGCTGTCAAACTCCAAATGTGTTCTGGCTGCAACTACCCTGACAGCAGGATGCTCCAGTTGCATTGACCTAGAACAATCTAGGACAGAGAAAAAAAAAATCGCTTTGATTTTGTTGGGGAGGACACATTTTTTAATTCTGTCTTTCCAGGTTCTTGGCAGGATCTCTGTAACAAAAGTCAGGCTAGAAAGAGAGAAGCATATATATTTATTTAATACACGTTTTATGTGATACAGGGGCTTTTGTAAGGAAATGAAGACCCAAAGAAATGTTTAAACCTGAGTGTTTTTATACGGGGTTTGATGAAGAGTGGAAAGTCATGGAAGAATATGATAGGACAGAGGGGATGAGCTGAGGGTGGGAAAGCGGGGGGAAGCTCAGCAAGGCCTGTTTGCCCAGTTTCTCTTCTTCGCAGATAAAAATGCGCTCTTCCCCTGAGTATAGGGAGGGCACCTGTCACCTGAGGTTCTTATGACCTGCTTCAAGGGAAGTTCAGAAATTGGTTCAGCTTAAAACATCCACTATTTTCAAGGTGCCATATTTTGGGCCTGAATCCCATCCATTTTTTTTCAAGTGTGTCTATCCTGACACACATTTTTTTTCAAGTGTGTCTAAAACTGTCCATTTTCCCCTGGTTTATGTAGACCTATCCAATTCCCTTGGGAAACTCAGTGGGAAACATGAAATTTACTTTCGAAGTGGGTGGTGATAATGAAAAATTAATCTTGCTACGATTCTGGTAAGAGACCAGACCCACACAGACCCTACTTTGGGCATTACCTGGCTGAAGCCAGCAGCAAGGCAGCGCACCCTTCTGACACGCACAGGTTGCCAGGGGCTCCACATGCATCAGCCCCCTGCTTTGGTGCATCACATATATTGCTGTTGATGTGTTCAACTCTGTTGCAAAGTGTTTGGAACAGATAACATCACAGTCGGATCATTTATCAATTCTTTCACTCGCCCACCTTTTGTTGTTGAACCACATACTTTGGGTAATAACTACAGTTTATTAGGTATGCTGTGAACACTGTTTTTAAGGAGTGCCTGGCTGAAAACACCCACAAAATGATTTAAAAACACAAAGCTAGGCCAGGCAGAGTGGCTTACGCCTGTAATCCAAGCACTTTGGGAGGCCGAGGAGGGCGGATCACTTGAGGCCAGGAGTTGGAGACCAGCCTGGCCATCATGGCAAAATCCCGTCTCTACCAAAAATACAAGAATTAGCTGTGCATGATGACGTGTGCTGTAGTCCCAGCTACTCGGGAGGCTGAGTTAGGAGAATTGCTTGAACCCAGGAGGCGGAGGTTGCAGTGAGCTGAGATCACTCCATTGCACTCCAGCCTGGGCAACAGAACGAAACTATCTCAAACAGAACAAAACAAAACAAACCCTCCGAAACCCACAGAGCTAGTATTTACAAGTTGGAATGTCATCATTGTGAATGTTTCCATCTGCACAAATATCTGGAAAACGACTATTAGGATACCAGCCTTTATTACTGCTCTATTAAGAGAAGCCATTTGCTCCTAAGCCCTTCGCTCTCTTAAAAAAATCATTTTAAGAACTGGAGTGGTTATGAGAAAAGCACCGGTGCTTTTAAAGATTTGCAGAAGGGGGAAAGGTCACTTGGCTGTCAGTTTGAGTTTTTATCTCATAGATGGGGTACCTATCACTCACAGAACTGGAGTCGGATAGACCTGAGTGGGAATCCTGTCTCCATCATAAATTAACTGTGTGATCTTGGACAAGTTATTTAACTTTTCTAAACCTCAGTTTCTCCATCTTTAAAACAGAGATGATATTCATAATATGTCATTAAAAAGTATAACATTAGAATGTGTCGCACACTGAAGAACGTCCAACTCTTGGCAAAGTTCAGTCCAACTAGGCTTGAACATGTTTTTAAAAATATCCTGAGGCTCTGCTCTCCCCGGAAGAAGCTGTAAAGAACAATTCCAGCCCTGGCACTGAGACAATTGGATCTTAGATGAGTCATTCACTTCTCTTTTTTGGGGCCTCAGTTTCCCCTTTGGTAAAATGAAGAGATTAAACCAAATCAGTGATTCTCCAAACTTTGCTAGTCTGCTAGGCTTCTCCTTAGTAGCCTCTAATTCAGTAGTCTTGGGTGGGGTTCAGACAGCTTCCCTAGGAGATTCTGTGCTCAATCTGAGAGCCACCCACCTAAGAACCACAACCACAGCCACCTAGACTCTGACTGACATTTGATGGCTTCAAGGAGGTATTTTAAAGCTATTGTCCCAGAATACGTGGTGTGTTTTTTGAGGAGGAGGAAGATCTATCCACGGCACACATCAGGAAGAGGTGGTTAAAGGTCAGAGAGTTATTCTGCAGAAAATCCATCTGATTTGGTACTTCCTGAAATTTTTGACACCCAACCAGGGATGTCTTTTAAAAGGTTCCCCACTGCTCACAGATTGACAGGAAACCACAACAGGGGTAAAATGCACGCATAACACAGCATACATCAGACATGAGGGTAGTTCTCTATATAGCACAGTATTTTTTATTATTGTAGGCTTACAAATGATTTAAGTCTGTGTGTTTGTGTGTGTGTGTGTACTTTTTCATTTTGGTGGTATGGAAAGCTTTGGAGGGAAGAAGGAAAGGATTCCACAAGGAATAGTTTTTCCATATACATCTCCCATTGCAAGAACACTGATCTCCGAGTGGATTCTTTTGTCTTGAGTCTTTTGAATTATTGATCCACAATGATGAAATCCCTAGCACAGATGTTCAATCTTGATGTCATTTAATATCTCGTACAACAGCCTGAGGCTAATTTTCCTCTCTCCAGGAAAAATGGTTTGTAAGAGTTGATTGATCAACTCAAGCCCAAGATCACAAATATAAACTTCATTGGTAAAGTGATCTACTCTAATATTATCTTCAGGGATTAGAAAATAAAAAGTATAAAAAGTGCATGAGCATACAGTAAGTGCTCAACAAATGTTGGCTTTTATTATTATTAGGTGATCATGGAATTAACTTTCACTAATTTGCCCTTGAGTTATAAGCCGCTGTTGACCCGGGGATAGTTTCTAAAAAGACAAATCTCCTGCAACTGCAGGTAGCAGAAGATAGACCTTCCCATTAGTGCTGTCTTCTCCTAAGCGTGTTATCCAGACCACCATGTGGGATCCTTGGGATGATTTTGGGTAGTACACAGACCATTTAAATAATGTTCTTTGAAAAAAAAAAACTTTATTTAAAAAATAGAGACAGGGTCTTGCTATGTTGCCCAGGCTGGTCTTGAACTTCTGAACACAAGCGATCCTCCTGCCTTGGCCTCCCAAAGTGCTGAGACTTGGCCTTAAATAATACTCTTTTAAATAGTACGTATTTAGGCCTAAAGAGAACTACTAAAATATTTGCGTTAAGGTTATTTTCTTTTTTGACAAAAGACAATGGTTTTAACATTTATGCTGATATACAGTTTCCCTTTAAAATAAATCATTCAAGTGGAAGAAGCTGATTCAAAGAAAGCTGCTAAGTAATAATAGCACAAGTTGTACCCAGAAATGGTAAAAATTGTGATGGTGGCATGCAAATGACCGAGTTTGAGAAGTACTAGATCAGTGAACTGAACCTGTGTGCTCCCCGTTGGGCTACATCTGAAAACATTCGTCAACACTCATTTCATGGAGCTTGAATCCGTAGTACAGTTACAAAACTTCTGTGCTGTACAGGACCTTGAGGTCATCGTGGGACCACCCCTGTATTTTAGGCAGATGGTTTCCATGATCTGGAGA
The DNA here is from genome assembly GCF_000001405.40 of Homo sapiens. NCBI lineage: Eukaryota > Metazoa > Chordata > Mammalia > Primates > Hominidae > Homo > Homo sapiens. Next base: position 40,624,170 of record NC_000017.11, read on the forward strand.
TGTTGTGTCTCAAGTGCAATACACTGGGGAGGAAACACGACTTTACCAGATTAGAGAAAACCATGTTTGAAAAGAGACAGTCCTTCTATCCCAGGAGAGACACATTGGAGGGGAGACGACAGGACAATGAGAATGTAAACTATCTACGTTCCAAATTTTTCTGTACATTAAAAAAATTAAAAATTCTAAAAAAGAAAACGGAAATTGTCTTCTGAAAGGATCTCAAGGAGCACATGTCTTGAAATACCTGAAGATCTTTTACTTGGAAGGTGATGACATGTACTCTAATTGACTTCAAGTTGTGTAAGAGGGAGGCTGAAATTATAGGAAGACAGATTTTTAGTTCAGTGAGAGGAAATACCTTTAGTGAACTAAAGAAGGAATGAGCTATCTTAAGACATGATGGGCTCCCCAAGACTAGAAGTATTTATTTAAACAGAACCATGACGACCTTAGGGGACCTGGGACCAAGTGCTAGACGGGTGTGGAGGTGGCTGACCGAGGGTCCTTGCTGCCCCTTAAAGTCAAGGAGTTTAAGGCAGCCTTTCCTTTCTTTCAAGTGGCTCCTCAAAGGGAGCCATTATCTGCAGCTACTGTCTCAGTTTTATGTAAAGAGTATTTATCATTTGGGAATTTCCCCTCCCCATATAATACTTTTGACTCCTGAATGCATGCAAAAGAGCTGTAAGAAACTTTCTGGTGCTAAATGAGAAAATGTGTGAACATAAATGAGCTAGTTTAACTAAAAGTTCACCAAAATGTATTTTAAACATCAGGCTCTTAAAAACTCAATAGTTTGAAATTTGCATTTTAATCAGCGTTTGGCTAACAATATGAGATAAACTATTAGAGAAGTGTAGGTCATTCTGGCAAATAGAAAGTTCCATCATTTCACACTTAGAAAGCTGCCACGAAGAGCTTATTCTTGGAGTATAAAATGCAGAATTTAGGTTAAGCCAGTCATTTTGTAGATGAAATTGTACACTGGCAATTTCTTATGGTTCAACCTAATAGTAAAACATTTATAAACAATTGTATCATTACAAATACATTTAGACATCGTTTTCTGCTAAACTCAGTATTTTCCTTTCCATCCTGATCAAAGAAACATTATTGCAGTAAGCCACATTATAATTCAGCACGATTTCTTCTAAAAAGGCTCCGAGTTCCTTTGAGCTTGTTATTGTACAGTGGATTTTTCATTTGCAAAGACGTTAAGCCCTCCAAATGTGCAAATCATGAAGTCAGTTGTTGTTCCAGCAAGGTTTGCCCAGCGGTAAAAAACAAGATAAAACTAATGCACTAGCTGAAACCAGGTGGGGAGACCATGTGTGGTAGTGCTTGGGGGTGGAGGGAAACTATTTCTGAAATGAGGACTTAAAGTATAATACCAGCTTCACTGCCTGTTCACGAGAAACCAAAGCTTCAATTTAACTGCAGGCAATAGGAGTTTCACACTGTCAGCACCAACTGTCTAAAATCCAAAACTAGTATCTAAATGTGTAGGATCAAAACCAAAAATCTGGAGGGATCTAGTTAAACTTCAATATGCATGACCCCAGATTCCCCTTTAAAATATAGTCCAAGTATTTTATCTTTTCCATAGGGCATTGACATTATTGTGTTAATGTGAAATAGCTATTTACCTCTCCAAACCTCGGCTTTATAGAATAGATAATTATCACATCCTGTAGGAGAGCCATTTGAAAAGACAGCCTTGTTTACAGACAGGAGAAGTTACAGAATTTAAAACTGTTAGAAAATTGGGGGACTATGGGGCTGGGCGCGGTGGCTCACGCCTGTAATCCCAGCACTTTGGGAGGCAGAGGAGGGTGGATCAGGAGGTCAAGAGTTCGAGACCAGGCTGGCAAACATGGCAAAATCCTGTCTCTACTAAAAATACAAAAATTAGCCGGGCGTGGTGGCGGGCGCCTGTAATCCCAGCTACTCAGGAGGCTGAGGCAGGAGAATTGCTGAAACCCAGGAGCTGGATGTTGCAGTGAGCCGAGATGGCGCCATTACACTCCAGCCTGGGCAACAGTCAGACTGTCTCAAAAAAAAAGGAAAATTGGGTGACTATCGAGGATTCCCCTCTCCCATTTGTTAAAAAAAATTAACAAAATTTAGGCCCTCAGACTTTATGCATTCATACTCAAAATAAATGCACTAAAAATCAAGGAGCAGTAAGGGCACCAAGAAAGAGCAGTTTGATCTATTTTATAATTAAAACAGGCTCGAGTTCAAGCTACTTGCCCAGCACCTTTTGGGACATGGGAAAAAAACAAAGACCTCTACCATATCCCACATTCTCTAAACTGAGAACCATCTCAAACATCAAGTCTACATATATCACTCTGACCAAGTGGATTTTTACATCAATCTTCCCCTGCTGAGGTTCAGAGCTGTCAAATCCCAACTGAGGCCGGGCACAGTGGCTCACGCCTGTAATCCCAGCACTTTGGGAGACTGAGGCAGGCGGATCACCTGAGGTCACGAGTTCAAGATCAGCCTGGCTAACATGGTGAAACCCCATCTCTACTAAAAAATACAAAAATTAACCGGGCATGGTGGCGAGAGCCTGTAATCCCAGCTGCTCTAGAGGCTGAGGCAGAGAGAATTGCTTGAACCTGGGAGGTGGAGGTTGCAGTGAGCTGAGATCGCCACCACTGCACTCCAACCTGGGCGACAGATTGAGACGTCTCCCATCTGACTTAATTCCCTCATCAACTGATTGCCAGTGTTGTATGGACAGGCTTGGTCTGGATAGACTTGTCTTCCCACTGCTATTTCCAGCCGGGCAAAAGAACCACTTCCATTCTCTTAGAGCTTTCGATACCACAGTAAATAACCTGGTATCTTGCTGGGGCAGTTTTCCACCCATATTAAACTACATCTGCCCCATTTTGACTACTAGAAAATGTATCAAAGAGGCTGTCCAATTTGTCTGAGATGAGATGGCTGAAGTTCTTAGCCAAATAATGGCCAAAGCTCAAAACAGATCTATTTGATACAAATTCGTTCTTTGACACACAAGGAAACAGATGTCAAGAGTTGTTTCCACCCAGTATCAAGCTTCCTCCCCTCCTCTCTCAGGAGGCTGAACACACATTCCTAGTCACTAATGTGCTATGAACTGAATAGCAGTGAATCCACTTAAATTAACTCATGCTGGTACAGAGTCCTCTCCATATAGGCACAGGACTTAACATTTATCATTTAGCCATTCTTTCAAAGATAATTCAAACGTTACAGATTTCTCCATATTCCTGTTAATGTAGAAACATATTCCCTTTACTTTTGGAATCAAAGACCAACTTCCATATGTGACAATGACTATAATGTAAGAAAACTGATTTTCACAAGTGTCTTGTACAAATAAGCTACTGCAGCAGTTTATAGAGATAGTTGGGTGAGACAAGGGCCCTGAGTACACAAATTTATAATGGCTGAGTGGTCATTCCACACTGTCACTGCATTACAGAAAAAAACTGGATGCTTGTCTTGCATACAAATATGTAGTGCATTAAAAACACTGAGACCTTTTTTTCATTTTTTTTTTTATTACATTTGGACCTTTAAGAAACATATACCATCAGATATACCACTATTCAGTAAAAATCTATTCTAGTTTTTGGGAAGCTTATGTGTCACAAACTATCTTGCTTCTAGTCTCCAAGACTTTACTAAGTTTATCAAAAAGGTGGGCTCTGGTCTATGGGATCCTGAGCCTTGAGGTTTGGATGTTCTGATTATTGTAAAACAATTTCAAGTGGATTAACTTAATTCCCAGCTGTTTTTCTTCTGGAATGGGCTAATCAGTTTGAATTATCTAGTCCATTACAAGAATATTAAATTCCTTGAGCTTTGTGATCTATTCTGTCTTTGGAAAACCTGGTAAAAAAGTAATTTTTTTTCTATACAATAAGGATGGATTTACCAGAACATACCCAGTATTAATCATAACAAAAAGCAGTATAGATAATGTATATGTGCTGTGTTCACTTTAATAACCACTTCATAAGTAACTACTCTAACTATGGGGACTATTTCTGGATCAGTAAGATCCAAGTGTAGTTAGTTACACACTACACTCAGCTTAACACAACTCTTGGTATCTGACATTGATTAAAAGTAAAAAAGGGTAAGTGAACAAATACATACTCATACATGATCACGTTTTTAAGAAGCTACCCTTTGCAGAAGTAAACAAGAGAGGAGACTTTCAGGAAGCTACTGATGGGGACTGGGAAGGTTTAAAGCTATGGCTTTGGTAAGCACCCCAGTGAGCTGTAGGAAGGCATTGTAAGAGTAGATTCTGCAGCATCAAAGGATAATTCTCTAAAAGAGGTGGGTGTTTTCTCAATTAATCTAAATTCTGAGGCTTTCAGCAGTTGAGGGCTAGAAACAAGATCCAAAGAAAAGAGCCATCTTCACAACACTTAAGAAAGGTGACTGACTGAGCCATTAGGCTCATGATGCTAAATGGTCCAAAAGCCTTTGGTGGTGTGATATGGACAAGAAAAAAAATTAATACACAAACCACGTAACACCATTAAAACCAAAAAACATTTTTTCATTAAAAAAAGTATTTAGAACACACAAAACAAGGCAACACTTATTCTTTTTTCTCATCTTCTGGTATGGGATCTGTTGGTGGCTCCTCCACTGTTGCACTGTTGCTCTCCGAGCCAGTGTTACTATCACTGGTTCCTTCCTCTGCCATACTGTCGACCCCCTCCTGCCCACTCTCCTTGTCCTCAGGAGTAGACGTGCCTTCTTCACCATTCTGTTGGCTCTCTGTTGTTTCTTCAAGGTGTGTCTCCTCTGTAATCACACATTTGTCACTGTCAGTTCCAAGATGAAATTTTACTCTAGTTATGCTGACAGTATACAGCTGTGCTGTCCAATATAGAAGCCACTAGCCACATGTGGTTATTAAACCCCTGAAATGAACCAGTGTGACTAAAGAACTTTTAAGAATGTTGGAACAATTTGGGTATGAAAATCTACTTTTTAGCTGTAAATGAATGAAATTTATTAAATAAATGCAGATCAAATACTTCCGATGAAAATTTAGCTTCTGAATTGAGATGTGTATAAAGACTGTTTAAAAAAAGGAAAGCTGATTTTAAAAATGTTCCTTCTGTGTTGAAATAATTTTATTTAGGATATGTTGAATTAAATAAAACATATTGTTAAAACACTTGTTTTGCTTAACTTTTAAAAATATGTCACTAGTAGAAAATATAAAATTTCACGTGACTTGCATTTTATTTCTGTTGGACAGTGAATGAGAGTTAGTCTGTAGTGCTATGGATTAAACGAGGAGAAAGCAGTTGTAGAAATAATATAAGGTTGGTCTTTTAGACACTTTGTTTAAAGTCATGCTGGGCTGTTTCCTGTAAGAAATTAAAAGCATGAGGTTTTAGCTCTAATAGTCTCAAACGATTTTCTTCAGGTTTTTTCCTTGAACTAGGACAGAATCTGAGTAAAGACCTGCAAACCTTAAGCATAAGACATGCCCCATTCATAGATGCCAAAACAGAGGCAAAGGACTGAGTGTTTGTCTAGTTGCAAAATTAGCAAAAATCAGTTATTTTAATTTTCAAGCTCGTTTTAACCACAAAAATGTGCTCATGCTCCAAATTCATTACAATAAAAAACACATTCATACAAAACAGAAAGAGACTCAGATACTGAAACTTAAAATATGACCATTTCAAATGTTAATCTGCTGGATTAAATTTTGCAGAAATACCTGGTAAAGATATCTATATTCCATTACATGTTTTCCAGATGGTTGTCATCTGAGTACCAAGTATGACTACTGTCCCTCCCACTTCTTGCAACGATGCTCCAGGAAGCCTTTGGTTTTGTTTTCCATAACTACTTTTAGCTTAGTCCTGTTTACACAGTGTACTAGGCAGTGTTAAAACAGTGCCATGAGGTAAGGTGATCTCAAAATTACAAGTGACGATCAATGTAATCAGTACTTTATGTAAGTTTTATTTATACAAGTTATTATTATTATTTTTTACCTTGAGGGATGCTTTTAATCAGGAAAATCAGTATACCTAGAAGTAAGGGTTTTTCTAGGACAGAGCTGGCAATTTTTTTCTGTAAAGAGCCAGATAGAAAATATTTTAGACTTCGCAGGCCAGGCAGTTGTTGTTGCAACTACTCAACTATACTGTTTTATCCCCAAAGCAGCCACAGACAGTATGTAAACAAACAAGTGTGGCTGTGTTCCAGTTTTATTTACAAAAACAAGTGGTGGGCAGGATTGGCTTACAGGTATTACTTTGCAGAATGCTGTCCTAGGACACCAAAGACAATTAATCTTAACGGTAATAACCACATCTTGATAAATAATGTAAGCATTTAAAGGTTAAAATACTGAATGTCAATATCATGTCAAATTTAGTACTGGGAATCACCCTCAGTGGCAGGTACCAGAATACTTGCACTTAGAAAGAAAAACCTAAATTAAAGACAGCCGTACAAAGTCTTGGCACTGCCTCTGCGTTTGTTGCTAGTGGGTTACCTGTCTCCATCGGAATGTTCTCGTCGTCTTTCTTCTCCTCGCCTTTGTTAGCTGCTTGTTCTTCCTCAGGAACGATGCTGCTCTGACTGCGCTCAGCTTGCTCTGCGGCCTCCTTCTCCCTTTCCTCCTGCCTTTTGCGGGCCTGTTCCTCTGCCTGTGCAATCTCAGCTGCAATTTTCTCCATATCCACTTCTACTTTCAGACCGCACAACTAATCAGAAAAAAACAGAACTCCGTAATGTTTTTTCCTTATAATTTTTGAGCCAGATATATTCTTTCAAAAGTTGGTTTTCTTGCCTATAAACTATATATATATATCTATACACCTGTATGTGTGTGTGTGTGTGCCAAAAAAATGTGGTTCTAGGTCTTCTCTGAAACTCTTGGGTCTACAAGAAAAAACAGCAGCTCTAGCAGTTGTATAATATAGGATATTCCAGAGCAGCTGGTGAGGCAAAATAGTGAAAGTTCTGGGGTATACATAAGGCTTCCGTTTTACATTTTGGGCTACCAACTAGATTTCCTTGTCTGAATGCAAAGTGCAAATTATAAATTACATTTAATGACGACATTTGATGAATAAATCACAATAAAATGAAAGTAATTAATGACTGTATGGGAGTTTAACATATCAGAGGGCTCTAGCATTTACAGGCCTAGAAGATATGTGTATACTCTATGATATTTCAAATTTATTGCAATTTTGCCAGAGAATGGGAACAATCTTATAAAAAAAGGATCCTACAGGTTTATAATAAAGTTAGCCCTGTTTCAAAGTGAACAACATTCAATAAAAACACTATTTTGGAAAAAAGAATGAGGAAAAATAAAGTAACAGGTATAGTGATAAAAGTATAGTTAACATATTAAACAGATACCCTTTTAAGTTCATTGTTAAATGAATCTGTGCTTTCCAGGAATTTCCTCTTCTTCTCCTGGTGTCGTTCCTCTATTTGAAGAAGTTCAGCTTCTAGTTTTCGCTGCAAGACAGGATCAGGCTTCATAATTGTGTCTCATTTTTTAATGGTCCATACTTTCAAACAGTGTACCAAATAATGTTTTGAACTTTAGATCATTTATCACATGAGTCTAGCTAAGATTTAAAAAATACAAAATGCAGCACAAAGAAATGATTATGATCAATAGGTAAATGTTAAAGAATACTGTTTCAGGCCTGAGCAATTCCTTGGGAAAAAATATTTAGCATAGCAGTAAAGATTGATAGGATGCCTCAAAATTCTTAAGTTCACACGTATTTCTTAACGAATATACTTTCCATTACAAGGTTCTATATTATAGTTTTTAATGACAAACTTATTAAACATCTGGGAAAGGTCCACTTCCTTAAACCTCTTCTCCAAATCAGGAACAGGTTAGATTGACATATTTAACAGGTAGATTTAGGCATGGTGTAGGAATCATATCACCTGGGATTTGTGGTATAGGCACATCTTATTGAAATGAATGTTTTATGACTTTACCTGATGAACCATTAAGGACTGGACCTGCCGTTTGAGGACCTGCATTCTAGCTGTTGTGACAACTGACCGAACGTCTGGCACCACACTCTCACTAAGAATTTCACTGATGAGGCGGTGGTTTCTCTGGAAACGGGCGGTGGCTGTATGCTTCATTGAAAAGCCATCATCATAATCTGGAGTGAACAAATTGTTCTGGAAATCAGGTCACCAGTAACCATAAAAAGGAGTGTAACAATGTTAACACTTAATTACCAACGAACTATGGCCCTCACTGGCCTAACAAGTGGACCTGCCCAGCGTCATGGGAGCACTGGGGCAGTTACTTGATAAAAACCATACAGAGGACGTAATGTGTTCATTGGCCAAGGTAGTAATTTATCTCACAGTCTTTAAGTGATAATGTTGTGTCTGAGAAGGATTTGGCTAAAACATAAACGAGATACAACATGTCTCTTCTGGCTTCGGAATCAATGTGAAGGCTGTATGTGATGGCAGTAATTGAAATTCTGCCCAATGTTTCACTCTCTTGGTAGTAACTTAAGGCATTTAACAACTAATGAACAACATATGAACTGGGCAGTGACTTTGTCACTTGTAGCACTTTAAAAATGAATGAAAATGCCCATTTGTAAAATTATGACAGCAGAGAATACATCACCTCTAACAATATTCAGTTTCCCAGGCCCTCAAGTAATTTTATAGAAGAAAAATAAATGTCTGATTCCAAATTTAATTTTTGTCAGTTTACACTTAGCCAGCTGTTGTCAGTGTGTAATGGTATGACCCAAGTTCATACAGTATGGGTCTGGTTTATATGCTTCTGTTTCGTTTTGAGACAGAATCTCCCTCTTGTTACCCAGGCTGGAGTACAGTGGCCCAGTCTCAGCTCACTGCAACCTCCACCTGCCAGGTTCAAGTGATTCTTGTGCCTCGGCCTCCCAAGTAGCAGGAATTACAGGCGCATGACACCACGCCCGGCCAATTTTTGTATTTTTAGTAGAGATGGGATTTCACCATGTTGGCTAGGGTGGTCTTGAACTCCTGACCCCATGTGATCTGCCCATCCTGGCCTCCCAAAGCGCTGGGATTACAGGTGTGAGCCACTGCACACACACTACAGGCTTATTTTTAATAGCTATCTAGTGTTTCCTTAATCTCAGTCTTTGCTCTATCACCTTCATAGTTTTTCATATATCTACTAACAGCCTGTACTATCGTTTACTTAATATTTTTCTTTAAACTAACTCACTTAAAAAAAAAAAGAGCTTTCTCTTTAGTAATACATATTAAAACAAACGCTCCTCTCTGAACCACTTAATCACCTCAGTGACCCACCAGACAGGGAGGAACCACACTTAAGAAAACCTTGTTACAGGGGAAACCCTGTTACAGAGGCCTATGTTGCGCTGCTATGTCAGTTTAGCACCTCCCTTATTGTCTGGCACTTAAGTAGTTCCTAAAATTCTCATTATTATAAATACTACAGCTAAAAACTGTTGTTTTTGTAAAAAGTTAAAAAAATTACTTTTGTTTCCTTTTGAGTAATTTCTTTAGGAAATAAACTTCTGAAATTAAAACTACTGGGTAAGATACAGTTTTTTTAAAACTCTGTAACCTTTCTACTTTTTAAGAGTTTTTCACCTTTAGGGTTATATATGGTACATCTGTGCTACATCTGTCTAAGTTATCTGTTTTTGTTGTTAGCTTTTGTTTTCTTCTTTCATTTATATGGCCCCAGTGTTGACCACAGATGGGGACATAAGGTCTAAGCAATTTGGGCTTGTTCTTCTTTGCATGTTAGTCGTCTGCTTCCTTTTTTGGGGGAATGGCTTCTCTGGTTATGATCTAATTGAACAGCTATTTATCCTATGATGAAGAGGCTCTCACTGAATAAAAGCCTTCATTGTCTTGTGTGGATAATTGCACATGCCCTCTTTTTTTTTTCTTTTTTTTGAGACTGGTTATTGCCCTGTCATCCAGGATGGAGGACAGTGGCATGATCATAGCTCACTGCAGCCTTGAACTCCTGGGCTCAACTGATCCTCCTACCTCAGCCTCAGCTGGAGTAGCTGGGACTACAGGCACAAGCCGCCATGCCCAGCTAATTTTTAAGTATCCTGTAGAGATAAGGTCTTGCTGTGTTGCCCAGGCTGGTCTCAAACTCTTGGCCACAAACGATCCTCCTGCTTCAGTTTCCCAAAGTATTGGGATTACAGGCGTGAGCCATGGCGCCTGGCAATGTCTATCTTTTGATAGTCCTCTGTTAAAGAAGTCAGTAGCTGTTGTACTTCATGCAGATGCCACCTTTCTGTTATGTACATTTGACATACATTTCCACCTCCCAAGTATTCCTCTTTCTAATCATTTTCGTACTGGTATGCTAAAGACATTCTCATATTGGCATCTTAATTGCTACCTGAATTTACTAGCAACTTTAAGACCCAATCTGAAAGTTAAAAACATCATAGGCCCAAGTTTCAGACTGTTTCTGAGTGAATCTCTTTAGTCCTTCTCAGTGTTCATGGTGTTAATGAAAGCTTTAGTTATTTTCTACTTACGTTGCTAGCCTTTGTTTCCTCTTGTACTGACCTCCATCCTCCCAATATCTGTAGACTGGATTGTCTTCTGATTTTTAGTTCTGTATGTTTCTCTTGCATTAATCACCCCATTTGAGTAATTAAAGTGTGAGGATGCTAGTGTGTCTTTAGCACTGCTGATTCTGCTTAACATTCAATACTGTTTCTATTCCATATTCTATTCTCTATAGTATTACATTCCACTGTCTGTATTTATGAGAACATTTGACAATATTCCAGTACATTATTTTTAAAAATGACTTCTGTTTTTCCCCACTTTTATCAACTTATTCTTGTCTTCAGGTACTATTATTGCTTCCTCCCTCATTGATATTGTCTTTAAAGTTCTTATAGCCTTCCTCTTTGTTACTGCTACTTTAAGATGGGATCTTAAATCATTTTCCTGATGTTCTTGTCGCTTGCAGCTAAAGCTTCTAACCTTTTGCACATCATAGCAGTATACAGAGAAACTATTAATGTTTATACAGCACACTAGATATGTGGTTGAGTGTGTTCACACTGCAGGTGGCTATCTCTGGGTCTCCTCGCAGCTTCAGACCCTGCCTGGCTGCACAAGACCAGAACAATCAGAACACCTGCTAACTACTCATACAGAATGGCAATTAGGAAGCTCTGCCATTCGTGTGCATGTATACAATTTGTATGGGTATACCCTCATGTACACCCATACAAATAGTAGCATGAGCTATATTTATACATTCTTATTGGATTTCTGAATTAAATGGAAAGGAAACTTCATGTTTCCACATACTCATTAGCTTCTCCCTTAAGAGCCTTTAATTCAGCGAATTTAGTGAACCAATAAGAAAACAAGATATAATTAGAATGCATTTAGCTTTTTAAAAGCAGATGAGGCAAAATCCTGATTGTGATTTAAAAACCTTTCGTGCATTTTGAGTACAAAGATTTTGATAAACAATCAATAATTTTTGCTATTTTCTGCACTGAAAAGGATATTTCTTTTTCTTGTGGGAAATTCACATACAAATCTTACTCAATATAACCAAAATACTAAGACGATACTTAAATTATACTTTCTTTTCCATTTAGGATAAGAAATAAAAACTTATACTTAAGAGATTTCTCATATCTTAACTCACAGAGAAAGCATAAACAAAACCCCACTTTTTTTCTTTTACCATCTGGATCTTCAGCAGGCTGAATGCTCATGTACGGTTCTCCTTTCTCCATGCGAGATTGTCTCTGTCGACTTTCTTCCTCTAAAGCAGCTTCTGCACGACTTTTTGCATTTATGTAAGCAAGGTACGCGGGGGAATTATGATAGGCCTTCATAGATTCATTGTACTCTATCTGAAATTCAAATGTTTTTTGGTTTTATAATTAACATTTTGCAGGTTATAATGCAGACCTATGTTATCTCACTTGAATATCAAAAGATATGATGTAAACAGGGTGTTGGGATAATTATCTCCTTTTTACAGGCAAGAAATCTGAGGCCTTGAGAAACTGACTTGACTCAGGTAGACAGAGCCTCAGTACTGCATCAGTGTTCTGACCAAATCTTATGTTACTTTTATAAATAGTAAGCCAATGTTTTATGTACTTTACACATTATCTATCCCACTGTGAGCCCCTACCCTACCTTTTCTGCTTCGTATTCGTTTAAATATTCTTGTTTTTCTTCATCAGTGAGATCTCGCCACATGCCACCAATAATCTTGCCAATCTCCCACAACTTTAGGTCAGGGTTGGAAGCCTTTACTTGGTCCCAGACCTTAAAAAGAAAACAGATGAAATGTTAATACTGATGTCTAAACGTATAGACCTTTAAAAATAGTTTTTAATGTGGAAACTTTTCAACATACAAAGCAGAGAAAACAGTATCAAATTTCTAGGTACTCATCAGCCTACTTCAAAAATTATCAAGAACTGGCCAATCTCAAGTTATCTTTGCCCTACTGGATTACTTTAAGATAGATCTCAGACATCACGTCACTCACTTATAAATACTTCAATTTGATAAGCAAGAATATCTCCAATCACTACAGACACTTAGGATGAGTTACTTCAATAACATAGTCTACGTCTCTAAAAGTTCATGTGAATTTAGAAGAAAAGTGCTTAATTTGCATAACACGGTACATCATATTATCAAATACAAATATAATAGTCAAGATCAAAAGGTTTAACATTTCTAGATAGTGGTTATAATGCTCTGCCTTTTAATAAAGATATTGGCTACTTTTTTTATTTTAAGAGTAATGTAGGCTCATCACCAAAAAAAAAAAAAAAAAAAGGAAAACTTGAGGAAAAGAAAATAAAAACTACCATAAGCTTACTGCTTAGAGATAATTATTGTCTTCTGTGTTTTCCCCCTTCAAACTAACATGTGGTTGCTATTATTTTTATAAAAATGAGATATTAATTCATGTAGTCTTGCAGTCCTCCTTCACTTAACATTTTCCTCACGTCATTAAATATTCTCCAAAAGAAATGACTTTAATGGCTATAGAACATTCTATCTTAAGGATTTTAACAGTTTATTTAATCACGCTCCTCTTGTTGGATTTTAGTTCTGGAATTTTGAAATCAGAACTAATTGCTTTAAAAACCGTATTTTTTTGGACCTTTCCTCTGAATATGCACAGAAAAGCTGGCTAAGCCGATCTAAAGTTGGATGTTAAGCAAAGAAGCAGCAAAGACAGTGTCCTCACTCCTTACCAGGTCCTAAGCACCTACCTTTCTGCTGTACCTCATGTAGGGCATCAGCGGCTTATCTGGTGGCTTTGGGGGTTTTGGAATCGTGATACCAGAGGATGCCTACGAAAGAGTTAAATACATTCATTATTCAACTGTAAGGAGTTCACTGGCAAACTGAAAAGAGAGTCCCTTAAAAAATTCTAATGCGCCTTTCTTCTATTCGTCCAAATATTTTCTTCACTGAAAATAGCTATCACTGCAAATTCAGAAATGTTCAAAAGAAAATGACTTTAAGCACATAATTTTTAAATGTTTTACTTAGCAGTTTATTGCCAATGCTTTGACAACCTGGCTGCAAGAACAAATAAAATATTACACAGTAACCCATACATTGAAAATATATGGTTATATATCAACCGTCTCAAGTTCAGGACATTACCTGGTACCCTCTTATTCTGCTCAATTACCATTACACATACAGTCAACACTTGATTATCTGCAGCAGGATCTGAACCCTTAACACTTACCATTCTCACACTGTCTACAGGGGCCTTAACCTATTAGCACTAGGAATGTACTCCCAACACCACCACAAAAACAACTTCCCAGGTTCAAAAACAAAAACAATTAGTGAAATAACAAACCACCTTACCTCCTTTGCCAGGCTAGAGATTTTATTTCTCTTAAGGTTCTGTCTGTTACCTAGTGGTTTTCTTGTAAAGGGGAATGAGAAGTGTGAATTAAAAGTCACACATTGTTTTGTCCTGAGTCCTAATCACAGTGTAAAAGCAAACAAGTTTATCAGGAACAGAGAAGTGGCAGATATCGGGCCTGATTACGTTATTTTTGAGGTCTTATATCAAGAAGCTCCATTCCATTAAAAATGTTCAGTTTTATGGGAAAGACAGAGGAAAAGGAAAGATGTGATGTACAGGAAAAGAGAGACAGAAGAAAAGGAGGCGGAGGGAAGACTGAAAAATATTTTTTAAAAAGGTAAAGCAAAAATAGGTGAAAGAAAAAATAAAAAAAGAAGGAAAGAGAAAGATAAAGTGATCAGTTTTTCCTGTGGCTTAAAGTCTAGGTGAGATTCCAGACAGCCTCTGGTAGACCACCCAGATAACACCCATCTAAAAGTATCTATTTCTGAACTTTTTAGTCTCCTGTTAATATACATGACTGCATTTGATTAAAGACCCAGAATAAGAAAAATCATTGCTATTTCAGACAATTTGCAAATTTTCAGGAGATCTCTGATATTGACTCTCCCTGCTAGGCTGGAGAAATGAAGTGTTGGCTTTATTTTAATTATCGAAAGACAGGATTGGCAAATCCTTATAGGAAAACTAAAGTAACATTTTGTTCGCTTCCCCTTCTGTTGTTGCTATGATAAAACCCCAGAGATACTCCTCCACTCTGGGCTGGGACCCCAATCATAACCTTATTTTTCATTTGAGGGCTCAGGGATTAGCATGTTTGTGTCCTTTTCCACTATGATCAAGAAATGTTTCCTCTTCCTACAAGGGTCTCTCTCCATCCCTATAACTCTACTTCTTCAAAGCATTTCGCCTTGGAAGCAGTATTTCCTCTCTTTCCATTCCTCCCATGCATTCTTGTCACACCTCATGCTAGTGCCCAGGTAGACAGACACTGTTTTTGGCCAGCAGTGGGTAAGAGAGTGAGATGGCCAGGGGCATGGAAACTGTCAAAAGTGGTAGGATGGGCAGCCAATACAGGGAAACCTGTATCAGGGTCTATAGTTCTTTCAAGGGGAAAGAGAATTCCTATAAGACTAACCTTATGGATTCAGAGGAACAGACACACACAAGTCTGCTTCTTCACACATAAAGTTACTAGAAAGTATTTCCAACTCATATCCAACACAAACCTTCAGAATTCCATGAAATGGATTACAAATAAAGTTGGAATTGTGCCCATAACTGAGGTGGTAAGACCACTGTCAAAATTTTTTGAAATTAAAGAGGTAAAGAATTCTAAAATGCCTATGCTTCCGAGCTTTAATATGAATTAAAACACTTTAAAAACACAGTAGTATTTGCTCTTTGATATTTTTCAAAGAATCACATTTTATATTAATGGAATTGCTATTTCCCCTCCTTTCTCCCAAAGAAAGGTACACAAATCATCTGTATATTGAGACCAGTCAACTTACAACAACAACAACAAAAACCCAAACTAAAAAAACACCCCAAAACAATAATAAAGTTAAATTCCAGATGGTTTTCAGGATAGTAAAGATTTATATCATTACACACCTCCAATTTATTTAACGTCTCAGACAGACATCTTTCTACAATGTCTTAAACATTTCTTTAAAAAAAGCTGAACATACTTTAGACCCTTTCTGGATAAGATTCAATTAGAAACAACCACTGTTTTGCTGTGCTGTAACCCTCTGTCAGATGTCAAAATCTGTTGTTGACTCTTTCAACGGCCTAGGGGCTATGCTTTTGGAGAATGTGTTTCCATTTTTGAACTGTTTCTTTCCTTGCTACTATCAGGAAACCCACCTCTAGCAGCAACTCTCTTTCCAATTTTCTGCTTTCAATTTCCAATGGGGAGGCGGGTAGAACTGTGCTTACAGAAGAGCAAGGTCCTAGGAAATCTCCTATGAATAAAGTTCATGGTTTTGTGAAATTTATCTTGGTTACTCAGTTTTTTGTTGTTGTTTCTTTTGCAATTCTCAGCTGTTTCTCTAGCAAGAACTTATTTAAGAGCTTTCTTCTGGGGCAGAATTTCTATTAATGTACAGAAATAGGCTGTTTTTAAAGACATTTTTGTCTCAATGTGTTTTCACACCTGTACTTAAGAGAATGTTAATCATCATCTGAATGAAGAACTGACTAGGAGTGAATTCCATCTTGTAGCTATCATAAGCACTCCAAAAGGTCTCGACATGCTATACAAAGTATTTACTGTCTGAGAACTACCCAAGTATACTGGAGTCATCAGGGAAACCCAATGTTCTCTACAGCCTACCACAAGCTACTGGACAGGGCTTCACAGATTCGTTCCTTGAAAACCACTAATGCAATCTGCGCACAACAATACCATACAGGAGCTTCCCCTCACCCCCAAAAGTAATGCATAACTAGGGTCATAGTAAAATCAAAATGCTTTTATTATGGTCAAAATCAGAGCCATTGAGTCCTAACAGCTTAAACTAGATATAGAAAGCAGGGCAAGTAGTGTAAAACCTCCACATTTTCTAGGCCCTTCTTCATATAGCAGTTTGATTATACTTCAATTTGGTGTTAAGAGGACAATAATACAAAGTAAATGTCCACAAAGGACCAAAACACCAAATTTTCCATGTCCAACAACTCTCTATAATTAATCTACTATGTAGCTAGTGTCCACGCCAAATGTTCAGTTCTTAACATTCGCCAAGAAGGAATGGGAAGAAACAGATGAGTGACTTCAGATAGGGAGTACACTTTCTCTTCCTAGTCTCCATCGAACAATCTCACTTTTTTAACTGAGAATCCCCCACAGCTACATCCAAGTTAAGAGCAAAATACTTACACAAAACCAAAAGACAAATTACTGTAATATTATAGTTATCATTTCTATTCCATTAACATAGATAATCAAGAGGTGACTGTATAGAGCTATTAAATGCAATCATTCTTGTTTACTGCCCGTGAAAAAATTGCTGCATTAACATTAAGATCCATGATTGATTCCGTTCATTGTTTAAACTGAAATGTTCTTTATCATTTGAAAACCTTGCCATCCATTACACTTGTGAAACAACATGTTTAGGCCAGGGAAAAACATGTATTGATGCACATAAAAATTGTATGCATTGTGAAATGCATACATACACACACTTTGTCAGAATTCTTTTTCAGATACCATGAAATATGCATGGCACATAAAACTTGATATGCTTATGAAGTACATATTATGCAGAAACAATGAAAAATTTAGACAAACAAAACCTATCAAGCTAAGCAATATGCTTATCAAGATAGACATTCATTTGATAGCTACAAGCTTTCAGTTCCAGCTTGACTACAGGGTGAGAGGGCTTTTTTGAAGTTACATTAATAGAAGGCACTTGTTATTTATGAATACAGCAAACAAAAACCAGGTATTAAAAACTTTACAGCCATTCTGGGTTGTATAAATTCTCACCAACACTACATTCCAATGTAGTATTTGACTTTTGGATTTTTTATCTTTAGTAAGTCATTTTTATAATTATTGGCATTTTTTGGTGCTTAAACTTTTTTGAATGAAATTTAAGATGATTCTAAACTAAAAGATTTGAAGTGTATCATCCAATTTTGATATCTTAGGCTGATCACTTAAATGAAACATGCTAAGTTTCAGAAATCCTATCTCTTATACTAAGGATTAGAAATGCACTTCTCGTTGTACATATCTAGTCTGATACTTCAAATTAATTTCATTCAACCTTCACTCTGCATTTCTTTGAGGTGACATTAAAACGTTTTTCTCTTTTTCACTGTAGAGAAATGAGTCTTAGTTAGAAGGTCAACTACTAAATCCAAAAGACAAATAACTATGGGTAGCGATTCAAACTGGTGTACCAGCCAAAAGCTTTCCAGCCCTGAAAAAGCCAGGTCTGAAAGACCAGCCTCTACTAGAAACTCAATCCTTGAGACTAATGCCAATCACCTTATAAAAATGAAAAATACTCTTTATGTCAAAAAGGATATTTTTACCTTAAGAAATTCTGTTTGTTTACATACAGTATAAGCATCAAGTGCTCAAGGCTTTAACCCTACCAACCACCAAACAGAATGGATTTTTCTTTTCTTCTATATACATTCCAGATCTCACTATTTATTTTTTCAGTGTGAGATGCTACAACGAATGTTGAAAATACTCAAAAAGCTAGGTTAAAAAATTTTTTTTAAATGGCTGTGCTTATGATTCAAAAAGACCTAATTCTGAAGGCATTTCTGGTCAATTCCAGTTGTTTGCCGGATGCTGTAATAGTTGATTCTCCTACCGTGACCCGGCTGTTGGTGCCCGGGTTCCCTCCCAGCCTGTAGTTGTTGTAGGCGAGATGACTGTATGGATTGTATCCCACAAACCCTGGTGTGCTGGGCATTTGCTGATGGAAACAAATGAGACAAAAACACGAATGAGAAATGAGCTCAAACGAGGAAAACACAGAAATGAAAAATGATCTGCATATGGCATGCAAAAGCAACCTGAATTTAAACAAGCAATGATGTGTTGTAATTGTTCTTTTTTTCCACTGAGGAAATTAAATATTTTTCTTTCATTGAGAAACCTGTCTGCAGTGTCTTTTGGTTGTTTTTCTCTTTCTTTTTTGCAGGGGCTGGGGGTGTTTGTGTGACTGTGAATGTGTGTTTTGTTTTTTGAGGTAAGCAACACACTGAAGTGTTTAAAACATTCAGGATTACTTTATGGTCAACAATAGGATAAAACAACTTAGCAATATATGAAGACTGAAATAGGAAGGCTTGAAGTGTGATCAACTAGAACTCTGAAAACACTACATGCAAAACAAAATACAATTTATTTGACATGTGGATGCCACCAATGTATTTATCTACTAAAAACAAAAAAAAGAAATGGATCTGATTTCAACGACAGTTTTAAATCATTTTATATAATGTGAGAAATGAGTAGAGACTCAAATCGGGAAGCCAGGATTTGTCAATTGAAAAGAACATATGTTGGATTTGATGGATGTCACATACATGATTTAAAACAAAGACTTGTAAGAAATGCATGGATTTCATTCTGGGGTACTATCTGATCTTTTTAACCCAGTCATTCTTTTATAGGATTTCTCTTCCATTTCTTCTTTGATCCATCTTCCACTGGTCAATCATGAAAACATTTCTGCATTTTGTCTCAATGTGAACTACTTTTCTAGTTTATAGACTTCTTTTTTCATCTAGTTTCCTGATAGCTCTCACCCTTTCAAAATACAACTGCTCATTTCAGCAACAGAACCCTTGGTTTTTGTGAATTATGTGTTGATGTAATCACAAATGGGCTCTTATATAGCAGTAGCCTTGGGGCTAATACAATGACACTCAATGTTCATGAGAACCAAGGCATAATGCATAGAAAGAATATAGTAGAGAGAGACCAAAATTAGGGTATTTTACCTTGTAAAATTCAATCAAAATATGTGACAATTTCATTTTTACATGCAATTAACAATATCGGTCCTTAATTGTATAATGTAAAATACACTTAACACATTCCAACTAAGCTGTAGCTGTTACAAAATAAACACAATTTCCTAAAACATGCCGCTGCACATATCCTTAGTACCCAAAAGAAAGACATTTAAGCAGATATTACATTTGATACTCTTTAGGAGAAAAGAGAACGGCTGATCAATTTCTAGTCTATACAGTTAGAAAAGACGCAAATAAAGCATATTTAAGTAGGCAAAACACAGTTGAAGTATCAAAGGCATGAAAGAAGTGTATATTACTTGCAGCGGTACATTTGGGTGGCAGAGGTGATAGTGGTGATAGTGTTGGTAGTGGTGGTGATGGTGGTGGTGGTGGTAGAAGTAATGGAAAGAAAAAAGGAAGAAGAATAATTCATTTAGTATCCATTCTGTTGGATGTTTTAATCCCTAGTCTTCTATATTTTGTGTGTTAATGTGAAACTATAATGACACAAAAATATAACTAAAGAAAGGCAAAAAAAATTCCTTTTTATGCATAATAAATTATAAGGGGACACTTGGTTTTTGAAATATTTTAATCTCAAAAAATCAAGTTTGTCAAGATGATGCATTGTCAGAGGCAGTATTTTTGTCAAAATGACACCTTCAAAGGTAGCATAAATAATAAGAATCACTGTTCAACATTATGAGGCAATAATGTTATAAAAATAAGGGAACTAAAAAAAAAAAAATGGAAAGCAAAACATTATAATTATACCATTTCCAAAGCTGAAGTACATGGTTAGCTCTTTGAGGTCAGAATCTCAATTGTTCAGCTCCACCTGTATAGCCACTAGCAGAATGCCATGGAGATGGTCATAACAAATGTTCTTCGATTTAAGAAAGAAAACAAAGCAAGCATAGGACTTTATAGTCTACTGGAATTAACTTTAGAGCCTGTATATGACATAAATTGAAATGAGAACATATGGTACGGTATCTCTTTTCTAAAGTATCTCACTAAAGAAAAACAAATTGTTGATAAATGTAACTAAAATATGTATCTGAGGGTTAGTAAATATGAGTAGTTTTTTAGCGGAGAAAACTAAGTTACACAAGGACCTAATTAGTAGTGAAAAGTAGACTAGCCTGAAATTTAGGTGGTGGGGGTATGGAAGGAAGGATTAATATTAAAGAACTAATTTTGTAGAATTTGGTCATGCTAACAGTGTTTTTTTAAAAACAAACAAAACCCCCCCTCCCAAAAAACCAACAAGGAAGCCATTTCAGCAAGACCTGAACAGTTACTGCTAAATCTGTTTTGTGGGTTGGAAAATTATTTTACATGCTGACCAAGCTGGGCCAGAGCTTCCTGGGTGAAAAAACACGTTCACAACTACTTAAAACATATATACTTCCAAACCAATAAAATATAATTTATGGAGTGGAATAAGATTCAATAGCAAGATCTGCCCCATAGATAATGAAATCTTTACTTGAACAGCTTGAAAATATTTACAATGAGTAGTTTCAGAAGCTTTATTGTTTAATATGAAAATTTTAGAGAGAGACAAGAAAGGAGAGAAAAACATAACCAGTTGAAGGTTAGGTTTAACAAAATAGCCAGAATGAGCATTCACTCAGTAACAACTTAAAGACTCTTAATAGTGAAGATTAATAAGAAAGAAATGGTAAAACTTTCACTTATTTCCCATTTACAAAGAAAAAACAAAACAAACTGAGCACAGGAGGTTGGAGTTTTACAGTACTGTTTCTTTAAATGTTGGGGTTGGTTCAAGGAAAGATGCAAATAATTATTTTATTTAGTAGGAAGTGCTTTTTTTTTTTTCTTTTAAGCTGAATTTCATCCTGTTGCTGTGATGATTGAGTGACTGTCACTGGAAGACATCTGGGTTTTTGTATCAAGGCCAGAGTTGGCTATTACATTAACAAGAAAATTAAAACTTACTGTTGCAGGAGCTGGGGTGGGAGGTGGGGCATAAGATGGTCTTTCTGTTTGAAAGAAAATAAATAACTTCTTGTAAACAACTGAGATATAATACTATGCAACAAAACTACCAATGGTCCTGTTTTGAAGAAAAAAAAATGAGAGTATTTTGGAATTCCCACTTGCTAGGGCATTAGTCTCTTATTAACATAGATTGATAAATATAAAAATTGAAACTTACTTGACATTTTGGAAGATTAAGTTCTCAGTTCCTTAAGAATGAATCTGAGACACTAAAATAAAAAAAAAAGGAAAAAAAAAAGAGAATCAAAACTCAGCAAGCATACGAGAATGTTTTCCTAATGAATAGGGTAATTTAATTGGTATTTCTGAGTAAAATTACTTCACCTTAATTCCTAGTAATTAAGCCTTTTGTGTATTTTAACTAGTTCTTATAGGTCATTTGGTTGATTAGAATTAAATGACTAAAATAAAGTACTGGGGATATTTAGAAATGTACTTTCAGGTTTTTTCTTGTGATACTAAGCTACCTCTTGTATGGAAAACATTTTGCTGACGCCATGTAAACATTTCATCAGACTGATACAAGGATGAGAATAGAAAGTGATGTATTATCAGGGTCCAACGCAACAAGGCCTACCAGATACTGACAGCTCCCTGATCAGCAACTGTATCATGCTTTTGGGATAACAATTTTTATTAAAATTAGGCAGCATTTTATTCCTGGAAGCAGTGCAAAAGGTAATTGGTATGACAATGAACTTCACATTCTCTTATAATGGTAAATAGCTTCATAAATGCTGGGAATAAATTTTGAGAGTCTACCTGAAAAACTTTTATTCATCATTCACAGCCCATTTCAAAATTTTTCTCCTCAAGGGAACTTTCTTGATACATTACCTGGGCAGAATTAACTGCTCCCCCATCTGTATTCCTATACAGTTTACACAGATCTATATTATTATAACTTTTTTTTAACTTATCAATATGGCTAGATTGTATGCTACTTGGAAAGAGGGACCATGTCAGGACCTAGCTCAATTCTTAGGAAATTTTTTCCTAGTATTACCAGCTCACAACATAACCAGGCACATGTGAGCTTGTTCTTTACATCAACATACATCACAAATAGTGAGGTACAAAAAGACAAAAATTCATCTTTGGAAAGAAGGCAAATAAACTTCTATGACTATTGGAGGTATTTGCAACCAAACATGTGGAATAGATCTGATTTTTCGCTTCTATTATTAATTTTAAGGAAATTCCCTGGAGCATAAGGAATGAGTCCTGGTGTGGAAAGAAACAGCTCATTTTCTCAATGGTCCAACCTGAGTCTTTCCCTCTTAAAGAACAGCCAGAAACCTTTGACTCTGGTGTAGATTTCCTTTCTGCTCACATTAAGGGAGCTGTCAACATCCAGCAGGCCTCGCTGCAGGGGACCCTGACAACTAACATAAGCTCCCTGTACGTTATACTTCATTGTTAATACTTTAAAATTATTGCTCTCTTTTGCTAGAATACAAAATTTAAGAGTGGGCTTGTACATTTGTCCACCGTTGGATCCATCTTTGGTGCCTGGCATAAAAATAAATACCCGATAAATATTTGTTCAAGAAATACTTTATACGGGGTACGCTTATGACACTATTTCGCTTAACACTCACAAGTACTTTATATGTACAGCTATCCCCATTTTACAGATGAAACAAGGGAGTCTCGGAAAGTTTAAACAACTTGTCTGAAGCCATATGCAGCCAGGAAGTGCCAAAGTTGGGTTTCAAACCCAGGCCAAACTATTTCAGAGCTCTGCTCGTCCTCAAGTCGCTGCCTGAACCAATGGGGGAACCTTCTGCCCGGGTGGGGGGTGAACCACGGACCTGCCTTGCCCACGGCTTCCTGAGGTCGCTCTCTTTGTCTTGGAGAATGTACTTTACTAGCAACTCCCCTAAAACGGGGTATTCACAGGTGCTTTGACCAATTTCGGGGGACTGGCCTTGCCTCCAAGGAGGGGGCCCCAGATGGGACTCCCTCCCAACCCTCGCTCTGCTAGGCCTCAAGGAGGCCTCAACCGGCTCCTGGCTCTGGCCCCACGGCCAAGGCTGAACCCCAGCAACCCCCGGGAACTCGGGGTCTAGCCAAGCGGGGACACCACGACTTGCACCCACCGACCCGGTCCGTCCCACTTGGAAACACTCACCCGCGGGCAGAAAAAGCGCCCGCAGCTCCGGCTTCGCTTCCCTTTGTCCCGCGCTCGCCCCGCCCCTCGCGTCCGGAGCTTCCGCACTCGCACTTTCCACACTCTTCTTAATTTTTTTTTTTTTCCGGGCCCCACCCGACCCTCTTTAGAAAAACTAACCTTCTAGTGAAGATGCGGTGATGCTTAGCACACTCAGGGATTTTTTTCAGGACCCATTGGATCCTCAAAACTCCCCGAATTTTGATACTTTCCCAGCCGGGCGCTGATTCGTCACGGCGAAGAGGGCCGAGGAGGCCCGACCTAACACAGAATAGGCCTGGGTTTAGCGGCTGTGAGGAGCCGGAGCCGCCGCAGCGACCGAGGAAGTGGCGGGAGGTGCCGAGCCTTGCGGAGGGGCGGTGGGGGCCGCGGTGGGAGACGGCGGATGGCGCTCAGCGCGAGGCCGCGGAACCACTGTGGCAGCAAGCAGTTCGGCCAGACTCCCGCTGAGCCCGCTCCTGGAGGGGCCCTCCCCGACTCCGGTCTTGCTTTCCTTTAGGCTGTGGGTCAGAGTCTACACTTCACTAAACCTGGGATGGAGGCGTGGAGGACTTGCTTCGCGGCGTTTGCGTCCTCGCAGGCGCCTCGCAGGGCTTCCTGCCCTCACGGCGGGGGAGTAGCTTTGGCGAAAATCAGCACGAGTTCTGCAGTTTTTCCAAGCGCTTTTAGGGTGTAATCGTCCCAGGTTTCTAAGCCAAGGCCCGGAGAGTTGACCCCCTCGCAACAGCTTGTGTGTCCTTGCAGCGCCGCGGGTGCCACCTGGTCTCCGCCTCAGCGCTGCCTCGGCTCCTTCGGTTCCCACCAGCGGGAACGACCGTCCCCACTTTCAGCTTAAACTCATCTGTCCTTCTGGATCCAGCTCAGAGGTCTCTTTGTGATGCCCTCCTGGAACTTCCCCCCTAGTAATCCTTCCTTTGTATTCCCGTGGCTCTTTGATAATAATGGTTGGAGTCCTGAACCCGACCCTTTGTATCGGACCGTGTTTGTCATCTCCAGTGCTTTATGAAGGCCTTGAAAGCAAGGTTCAGCCGTCTGTATTGGTCATCTTCCCATTGCCAGTGCCTACGAAGGGCTTGACCCATTCATTGTTAGACGCTCAGTAAGTGTGTATTGAGGCAGCCCTCTGTGCCACTCCAGGGCTCTTTCCACTAAATCATGAGTATGTTGGTTTACCAGATGGAATGAGTAGCCTCTTCTTTGGATACATAAACACCCGATGGATATTGTGGGTCACTGTGGAGGGAGAATGAACGTATGGGATCCCTGACCTGTGGTTACTGGAAAACAGTTGACATTTAGAGAGAGGCTGAATTCTTGGGCTTCCCGTAGCCCCCATCCTGAGTGTGCCAACAGGGACTAGAAGCATCTCTAGTCTGCAAAGCGAGGAACAAGTGATACTCTGTCCAATTTTTCCAATATTGTTATACTCATGAATAGAGATTAATGAAATTGAAGAGCATATTCAAGAGAAAGACTAAAGGAGAAGTCGTCTGCCCCGTGGACAGGCAGCTTGAGTGGTGCTTGAGAAAATGTACATGAAATTGCTTGTTAAAAAATATTCACGCCTGTAATCCCAGCTCTTTTGGGAGGCCGAGGCGGGCAGATTACTAGGTCAGGAGATCGAGACCATCCTGGCTAACACGGTGAAACCCCGTCCCTACTAAAAATACAAAAACAAAATTAGCCGGGCGTGGCGGCGGGCGCCTGTGGTCCCAGCTATTGGGGAGGCTGAGGCAGGAGAATGGCGTGAACCCGGGAGGCGGAGCTTGCAGTGAACGGAGATGGCGCCACTGCACTCCAGCCTGGGCGAGAGAGCGAGACTCTGTCTCAAAAAAAAAAAAATTATATATATATATATGTATATATCCATCAGAGACATGTAAAGGATTAAAGTACGATACACAAAGGCCTCAGAAGGGATTTCAGTACATTCTTTTTCTGGCTTCGTCCAGCAACTCCAGCCTGGTTTCTTCCCTGCCTTTGGGATTATGGTGGGAGGATTGGGCGAGTGCAGTGCTGGGGAGGCGCTGTGTGTTGTCTCTAGGCAGTCCTCTGAAGAAAAACTGCAGGTTTTGGATGTTAAGAATAAAGCACCCTATAGTAGGAAAGGGGTGGCCCAAAAACGGCAAAAAGGGAAAGGAGGGGACCTAAGTGGAGCAGTGACATTGTCTGATACACTTTCTCACTGGGTTTCTGCTCAGATGTCACCTTCTTAGTAGGTGTTTCCTGACCTTTTTAAAATTGCATCTCATTCCCCAACCCCCGGTGTCTGTTCATGGCCTGTGCTTTACTTTTTCTGTAGCACTTGTCGCTACCTAACATACTATACTTCTTATGAATTTATTTTGTTTTGTCTTTTTCTTCTTCTTTTCTTTTTTTTTTTGAGACGGAGTTTCGCTCTTATTGCCCAGGCTGGAGTGCAATGGCGCGATCTTGGCTCACTACGACCTCCGTCTCCCGAGTTCAAGTGATTCTCCTGCCTCAGCCTCCCAAGTAGCTGGGATTACGGCATGTGCCACCACACCCTGCTAATTTTGTATTTTTAGTAGAGACGAGGTTTCACCATGTTGGTCAGGCTGGTCTTGGACTCCTGACCTCAAGTGATCCACCGCCTCGGCCTCCCAAAGTGCTGGATTACAGGCATGAGCCACCGCACCCAGCCGTCTTTTTTTTCCCATCAGGGTGGAGATTTTGACATCTGGAACAGTACACAGCACATTTAGATGCTCAATACTTGTGGAGTAAATAAATGAATGACTCATTTTCTTCGCTTGGTTCTTTCTCTACCAAAGATTTGAAAAATTAAGAAACACCAGCCTGGCAACATAGGGAGACCCCATCTCTTAAAAAAAAAATTAGCCAGGTGCGGTGGTGCACATTTGTGGTCTCAGTTATTTGGGACGCTGAGGTGGGAGGATCGCTTGAGCCTGGGAGGTCAAGGCTGCAGTGAGCCATGATCATGCCACTGCACTCCACCCTGGGTGACAGAGGCCCTTTCTAAAAAAAAAAAAAAAGAAAAGAAAGAAGGATATAGGCAAGAGATAATAGAAAAATAATCTGTTCTCTAGTCCTGAAGAAACTAAAACTGAAGAGTGAATTATCCAGC
This sequence comes from Homo sapiens, assembly GCF_000001405.40. Lineage (NCBI taxonomy): Eukaryota > Metazoa > Chordata > Mammalia > Primates > Hominidae > Homo > Homo sapiens. The sequence goes on from NC_000017.11 coordinate 40,650,918, forward strand.
AAGATGGACTTTACTTATTATGAGTTTTTTTCCCCCAAAGCAAACACCAGAACATATGCTCTTGCCTTTAGAAGGATATTTATGGTAACTACAGGACAGATGTTTGGAGTTGTGATTATTCCCAGAAAATTTGGGATACAGCATCAATATGACTATTTAAACTAAATATAACTATAAGGGTAGTTGGGAGCACTCACGTGGGACCAGTGGTTAACCCCAGAGATAATCTTAGGCCCAATTAAGACCTAACTTAGGCCTTAGTTTTCATTCTGGCAGCAAGATCCAGAAACGTGGCCTGCTTTCCCCTCTGACACTACTCATACTTTTTTGGGGTTCTTCTTTCCCCAAGACAGGGAAGCCAAAACTAAGTAAGCTAAGGTTCTAGTCCAGGTGTCTTTGAGTTCTTTCCATTGTTCTGTGGGAAGAAACGGGTGATGGAGACAGAGTTAGGGGTAGGACTGGGAAGAAAGGAGAAAAAAGGAGAAAATAAGACAGAATAAGGAAAAACCTGAAGTCCTTGGACACCCAGTAGTCCATGAATAGGCTCTAAGTGATCTATGAACCCTTTAAAATTATACTCAATTTTTATGGGCTTTTTTCCTGATAGGTTAATTCTTTCATGAGATTTTCAAAGAGGTGCGTGACTCAAGAAAGATTATGAACCAACCACTGAGCCATGGAGTTTGTAGTATGTTCTTTTGAAGCTTTTATAATGGATTTTTTTTTTCTTAAACAAGGGAAAGCGAGAGCAAAGCTTTACTTGACCCAAATAGCCTATGAAAGTCTGATTATAGACAACATGATGAAACAAACTAATTTTCTCAGCTGTTTCTGTGAGAGCAGAAGGAGTTATGGGTATTCTGTTTTCTGTAGCTGGAAATAGTTGTGAAATATTGAAGTTTAGCAGCTTTCCAGGACAGAGTGATCCACACTGTTTTACAGAATTTAAAAAGCACGGTTTGCTTTGAGAACCCTCTATGTTGCCCTCAAAATAACCTGGAGGATTTGGGACATGAGTGTTGCCCCATGGTGTGGAAAAGGATGAACGTTGAAAACAGGGTAGAGCTGGAGAATCTGGGTTGTGGGGTCTATTATCCACTGATAATATTGGGAGTCTAGGGCACAGTAGCCAAACGAGATTGTTGCAGGCCGTTATCTGGGCTGCCTCCTGTTTTTGTAATAAACCCTTATTTGGACACAAGCACCTTCATTTATTTACGTATTGTCTTTGGTTGCTTGTGGTTACAAGGGAAGGGTTGTGTAGTTGTTACAGGGATCCTATGGCCTGAAAAGCCTAAAATATTTGCTCTCTGGGCTTCGATGGAAAAGGTTGCCAAGCCTGGTCTAGAGTCTAAGCATGTGAGGGAAACTTGGAAAGCCTTGTACTGATTTTCACATATACCTTATTTTAGAGCCTTTATTTGTCATATGCCCACAAATATTGGCAATCTGTGTGTACATGCCGGCCATAACTTGTAAACATAGAACCAAATTCTGCCCTGTGGACAAACTTTCCTTTGATTTCATGTGTTGATAATTTGAGTAACGTGTATGCATATTGTTTAACTAAAATTTAATTTTGGCTCATGTATCATAATACATTTCCAATGGAAACTTTCAAATTAATGTAAGCATTTTTTGACTTCAGAGATTTTTTATTTTTGAGACAGGGTCTCACTCTGTTGCCTAAAGCTGGAGTGCAGTGGTGCAATCTAGGCTCACTGCAGTCTTGACCTCCTGGGTTCAGGCAATTCTCCCACCTCAGCTTCCTGAGTAGCTCAGACTACAGGTGCACACTACCACACTGGGTTAAGTTTTTGATTTTTTTTTTTTTTGGTAAAGACGAGGGCTCACTGTGTTGCCCAGGCTGGTCTCAAACTCCTGGGCTCAAGCGATCCTCCTGCCTCAGCCTCCCTAAGTGTTGAGATTACAGGTGTGAGCCACCATGCCCGGCCAACAGATTTTTAAAAAATTCTAAAAACGTAAGAAAACAAATTGAAGGACAAACTGAACTTTGCCAATACAAAGATCTCTAGCAAATGAATAAGAAATATGCTTATGTGCAGTATTAGTTGTATATTTCTGCATAACAAATTATCCCAAAATTTAGTGGCTCAAAATAATAATCACTTATTATCTTTAGAGAACTATTTTTTTTTTTTTTTGAGACACAGGGTCTCACTCTGTCACCCAGGCTGGAGTTCGGTGGCATGATCTTGGCTCACTGTATCTTCCACCTCCTGGGCTCAAACAATTCTTCCACTTCAGCATCCTGAATAGTTGGGACTACTGGTGTGTCACCATATTCGGTTAATTTAAAATTTTTTAATAGAGACGAGGCCTCACTGTATTGCCCAGGCTGGGCTTGAACTCCTGAGCTCTAGCAATCCTTCTGCCTAGGCCTCTCAAAGTGTTGGGATTATAGGTGTGAGCCACTGTGCCTGGCATAGAGAACATTTTTATACTTTAGACACTGTGCTTGGCATAGAGAACATTTTTTGTACTTTAAAAGCTATCATGACAGAACAGTTCAAATTGGGTGACTCACTGGGAAAGAATAACTGTTCTGGAAGCAATTGAAAAATTAAAAATAGTATCTTTACCTGTTGTGTTTTGAACTATTAATCATTGTCCGCTGTAATTTCCCCCACACATTCTTTAAAGACAATTTTCTTCCAAATAGTACTGTATATCTGAGCAGTGCTTTAACAAATATTTTTGCTTGTATATTATTTCAAACAACTGTAAGGTAGGTAGAGTAGGAATTATTATCCAGCTTTACCTTTTCCTTTGTTTTCAAGTGTAAAACTTGAGGCCTAGGAACTTAAAGTGGCCCCTCCTGGTTACATGGTTAGTGACAGAGCCAGGGTTAGGATCCTACAATTGTTAGTAACTGGAATTACTCTTTATTTTTGTATTTTTTTATGGAAGCATGCATTTGAAACATTTCAGAGAGATTAAAGAATATTAATTTCTACTCATGTGTAAAGCAAGGATAATATTATTCATTTTGTAGGATTGTTGTAAGGAAGGATTAGGGATTATTAGGGATAAACACAGTGCCTAGAGCTGAGTAAGTGCTTTGCAAATGGTGCTGCCATTATTAAACTTTTTCCAGAACTATGGGATTATGTGATTATTTTGATTTTTAAAAAACTAGAATAAAATATTGATATACCATTCTTAACTCTTTTGTAAAACAAGTTAAAAACCATTATCTATCTACTGTGATTGCAGTTTTCTTTATTCCCCAAATGAACTAACCATACTGGAGTAATTAGTTCTTTGTTTCACTTAACCATGCAGAGATATTTTTGAACTAAAAGGACTGCGTTCAAACTCACATACAATGCAGCTTTAGCATTCATATTTCAATTTTTTCAATTTTTAATTTTTATTTATTTTTACTTTTTAGAGAGATGGGGTCTTGCTATATTGCCCAGGCTGGCCTTGAACTCCTGGGCTCAAGCAGTCCTCCCACGTTGGCCTCCCAAAGTGCTGGGATTACAGGCATGAGCCACCGTGCCTGGCCATGTTTCATTTTTTTAATTGTAGTGGAATCATTACCTTGGTAAATTCATATCCCAATTTAAAATGCCCCAAAGCAAATAAAGCTTCATTATAAATTCAAATACTGTATTTTAAAATCTACATGTTATACACCCAATAGATGCATACTGGAATTGCTACAACAAGCAGTTACATTCATGACGACCAGTACTAAGTTTTTTTTAACACTGCAATAGATTATGCTAGATATATTGCTTTATTATGATCACTGTTGCTTAGTACAGTAACTTTAGTACAATAGCTTATATGATTGCATTTTTAAAGCTTTAATAAAGTTAGTAGCATTTAGCAATATCAAATGAAACATTTTTTATGTATAGGATGTATTTTAGGTCAGATGCTTATGCAAGAATAAGCACTTAACATGCTGTTATATCCTTGACAAAACAAAATCATCCCTTTTCACTAAATAGAATAAACCAGACTAAAAGGAATCTGAAGTAATTGAAAGAAAATTAAAAATTTTATATCCCTGTATTATGTTAAAGATTATTTAACATAATATTTTCCTGGTTAAAACATACATTTTTCTGGTTGAAATATATATATACATATATATAAATTATATATATGTATATATATAATAAGTATATATGGAGAGAGAGATAGAGGAGAAGAGAGAGGAGAGAGAGAGAGAAATATTTTAAAGGCTGTACTAAAATGCTAACGTAGCTATAGCCCTTAGATGATACTTTAGCTGGGAAAAAGTATGGTGAGTTGTACTCAGCTACTTTTTCTGCTTAGAAAAGAATTAAGAACTTATAAATTTCTAATGTCTTAAAACAGGTATTTATTAAGATCTTAAATATACCTGTATTAAACAAATTAGGTTATTTTAAAAACTTTGCAACAATACCTCACTTATTCACAAATATATTTTCTACCCATATTTATTACAATTTGAACGATTTAAAAACAAATCCTCTAAATACTCTTAGCTTAGATAACAATACCGTTATCTTAGTTCACATAAATGATTGCAAGAAATATTTATAATACTTCATATAGTATCTTATCTACGGCTTATAGCAAACAATCTAATCACATTTAGCTTTACAGTTGGAAAAACTGGGATGGTGGGTAACTGTTCTGATAACTATAGTAACTACCTTTTCAATTTGCTTTTCATGTTTTGTTTGCGCAGTTGGCCTTCTGATTTTTTTTCTTTTTTTGGTGGGGGATACAACCTTTAAAGTTCCTTGAGTAAAGTAAATCTTCCGGAAATCAGATACTTATTACAAAAAAAACCTTTTAGATATATGTAGATTAACTTAATTGTACTTATCTCAAATTAGCCCTGGGGTGTGTTCTATAGTTTGCTCAGAATTTCTCATGGAAAATAACTCATTTTTCTCAGTATACAAATGATTTATCTCAAAAAGAAGAATCCTCATTAGGTGAATAGTGAGTCCCCCTTTAAAAACTTGTTTATAATTGCTCTTTTTGAAAAATAGAACAAACATTGTAGGTTTAACCAGTCATGGAATAATGGTGAATAACTCAGTGTGACTCTTAACACAATCCTATTCAAACAATTCTTTTTTCCTTAGCGTATTCAGCCATTGAAAAAAATTACAAAGACTTTACTAAACCAGGTTAATGCTTACAGTCTCTGATGAAGTTTCAAGGGAAAAAGAAGACTATTGGGAGAATATAAAGAAAGAGACTGTACTGGATTTGTGATTTTATTTTTAAGCTACTCCCTCTCATTCATATATATATATATATGTCTATCTCCATAATTAGATTCAGAGAAATGTCCTTTATTGTTTTTTTCTTCTGAAGAGAACCACATATTGATCATAACATTTTCCATACATACGTAATAACTTACATTTTGGGACAGAGGGAGTTGGTATGGCCCACCTTGGTCCATCCTAACATTTTCCAATCAAGTCAAATACTATCTTTGGATTAATTAGCTGTTGATGGAGGTTTGATAGAGGGAATACTGCATGATCTTCTCATGATAAGCCTGACTTCTATATCTGGTAGATTATCCTGCTTAGTCTCTAAACACCCTTCATCAGTGGCTGCTAAATGAAGATCAAATCGAAGAGAAACAGACTTTTTCCTCAATCGAGGGTTATCTTTAAAGAAAGAACCTTCCCATTCTTTAATAACTTCATCCACTTTCTCTGTCCTGAAATGATAAAATAAACCTTTTAATAATGAAGAAGTATGGGTCTATTAAAAATATGTATTATATATTTCATATCTATGGAAAAATCAAGAAATTTGTATAATTTATAGTGTATAGAATTTATAATGTACATACTTTAAAAATCATATGAATAGAATTTCAAAGGAATTGTATGGAATTTCTCTTTAGGAATTCTCATGTTTGGGTTGTATTTTTGGAAAAAAACGGCAAAGTAAGGATTCAGTACTCTTCCATGAGTTTTTATGTATATATGTCAGATTAAAAATCACAGTATAGGCTGGGTGTGGTGGCTCATGCCTGTAATCCCAGCAATTTGGGAGGCTGAGGTGGGCAGATCATGAGGTCAGGAGAATGAGACAAGCCTGGCCAACATGGTAAAACCCCATCTCTACTAAAAATACAAAGAAAAACCCAGCTGAGTGTGGTGGCGCGCACCTGTAGTCCCAGCTACGTGGGAGGCTGAGGCAGAAGAATTGCTTGAACCCGGGAGGTGGAGGTTGCAGTGAGCCAAGATCGCGCCACTGCACTCCACCCTGGCGACAGAGCAAGACTCAATCTCAAAAAAAAAAAAAAAAATCACAGTATACTAAAACTATGTTTGGAAACATTTAAACAAAGAAGAGTAATTACTGGGATTACGCAAAGTTAATTTCTTTACATATATTTATTATTATTTCTTAGTCAAAGTTTCTTTACTTACTGAATAGTGCCATGAGCTTCAGTGCTCTCCTTAACGATACTCCCATTTAAGATTGCCTGTTTGGTTACTGTTTCTACATTTTCATTCTCATACTTTTGTGGGACTTTTGTAGTAAAAGATATTTCATTTATAATGGCTGTGAAAATATCATTTATGATATATTAAATTACAGTATTGAATTACTGTTCACAAATTATATTCAAACTTTTATTCAAATATTGCTTGTTTTTTTTCGACTTTAAAGTATTTAATTTCCTTATAAAGTAATCCCTGTAAATAGTACATCACTTTTCAAATGAGTTTATTTATGTCAGAAACTCACCTGATGGTAAAACAAAACCAACTCTACTTGTGGTAGGCTTTTTGTCTTTTTTCCCACCTTGGATACAACCATAATATCTGAAATCAGAAAGAATTTTATTTTAAGAGCAACACTGTATCAGCAAATAATTAAAACAAACAGGAGAATGGATAAATCGTATATTCACGCAATAGAAACACTATTTAACTGAAAAGAAATGAACTAAGGCTTCACCGTATCTTTATGGATTGATCCCCTAAGAATAATATTGAGTGAAAAAAGAAGTTTTATAGTTTTATAAAGTTTAGAATAATATGCAAAACAATTTCATACTTTGTAGGAATACATACATATTACCATAAATAAATGTATGGGACTAATAAGCATCAAATTCAGAAGCCAGGTCAGGTAGAGGGAGGAGCATGAGATTAGGGTATGTGGCTTAGGTGTCCAGGGAACTTCAACAACATTGGAAACATTTTACTCTTTTTTTTTTTTTTGGAACTATTTTTCTTCTTAAACTGGGGGAAGTGGGTACAGAGGTGGTCATTATATTTTTTTGAAATTTTCTTGTATATCTCAAGTGTAGCCTAATTTTTTTAAAGTTTTACTATGCAAATATTAAAGACTTTGATCAATATCTTGAATGATTAGGAATTAAATAAAATTCACAACCATTCATTTTATTTAACAATTATATAGTTACATGTATATAGGAACTGGAATGATTAGGAATTAAAATTTATAACCATTTAACTATATAGTTACATATATACATATACATATGTATATACATGATATGTATACACACACATTTACATAGAACTTACAATGTGCCAGGTATTGTTTTAAGCACTTTACAAACATTAACTCATTTAATCCTCACAGCAATCCTATGAGGTAGGTAGTAGTATTATTCCCATTTTACAGATGAGAAAACTGAGGCACACAGAGGTTAAGTAACTTGCCCAAGGTCACTCAGCTAGTAAGTGGTATATTTTTGATTCAGTTTATGTTTTTTCAAAGATTTAATAAATGTCAAGATTTATTATAGGCTAAAGTTGTTTCACCTAGTTTTCATCTAGTTTTATAGAGGACTTAGAATTTGGAAGCAAGCAAGAATAAAGATTTTTTCATGGAGAATTGGAGGTTATGTCATGCTCAAAGCAATATGACCTTATAAGTCATTACAGATTATGATGTATGAATTAACAAGAATTCCTCTTTTGATATCTTTTCCTATCAGGATATCTGGTAGTCTTTTAAATCATGACTCAAAATAATATTGCTTTCCGTGGTTGTAATATAATTACGTTAGAGTAATGATTACTGTTTTGAGGTTTGATGTGTGGTATAGGGTGAGCCCTTGATCAGGGGGATTGTGGTGATTGTGAATTTTCCAGGCTTTTGTTATGGGTGATCCTTAGAAGGCACAGACTAATCCTAGAAGAGATGAATGGCAAGGAAAGTGAGAAAGTTAGGAAAGGTCTCTCTCTCTCTCTCTCTTTTTTTTTTTTTTTTGAGGTGGAGTCTCACTCTGTCGCCTGGGCTGGAGTGCAGTGGCGCAGTCTCGGCTCACTGCAACCTGCCTCTCCTGGATTCAGGCGAGTCTCCTGTCTCAGCCTCCCGAGTAGCTGGGATTACAGGCATGCACCACCATGCCCGGCTAATTTTTGTATTATTATTATTGTTTTTTTCTTTTAGTAGAGACAGGGTTTCGCCATGTTGGCCAGGCGGATCTTGAACTCCTGACCTCAGGTGATCCGCCCACCTCAGCCTCCCGAAGTGCTGAGATTACAGGCGTGAGCCGCTGCACCCAGCTCAGGAAAGGTCTTTTTCATGATTAGCTCATTGTAATCCCAAACTCCTTAAGCAATCCTCCTACCTTAGCCTCCCAAGTAGCTGGGACTACAGGTGTGTGCCACCATGCTCAGCGAATTTTAAAATTTTTTGTACAGATGAGGTCTCACTATATTGCCCAAGCTGGTATTGAGCTCCTGAGCTGTAGTAATCCTCCTGCCTCAGCCTCCCAAAGTGCTGGGATTACAGCAGTGAGCCACTGCAGCTGGCCAAGACTACAAGATCATTTTTGTAGTAATCTAGAATTGTTTACATTTTGTTCTAGGTGACTTTGGCTGTTTGGTTCCTAATTTTGGAAGACTAGAAATGGTTCTTTCATATATTCTTTGCAGTGCATACCTTATTGTATGGGCTCAGTGAGTACACCATGATGATGATGGGGTTTTTGGATTTAATTTCTCTGACTACATCAACAATGGCATAAGTGGCTCTGTATTTCTGGCCCCTTGTCATTAACTAAATGGATTTAGGTACCTGATTTCTTCTTTTTCTAGGAGGTGGCGATAAGTTGCTATTTCTTGTTCCAGCCTCATCTTCGTGTTGAGAAGCATCTCGTGCTCTTGAAGCTGCTTTTCGATGCCGCGCCTTACTTCCTGTAGCTCTTTTTCTAGTCCTTCAATCACAGTCTCTAGGTCTTGCAGCTGCATCTGGTAATGCTGCTCGCTGGCATGTAGGGAGTTTTCAAGGCCCCTTTCCTGTTTTATATAGATTTTCATCAGTGAATCAGTAACACAGAATGTGTTTCTGAAATCTGATTTGCAATATCTTCATCTTTTTTTTTTTTTTGAGATGGAGTCTCACCCTGTTGCCCAGAGTGTAGTGCAATGCCATGATCTCGGTTCACTGGAAACTCCACCTCCTGGGCTCAATGATTCTCCTCCCTCAGCCTCCCAAGTAGCTGGGATTACAGTCGCGTGCCACCACGCCCGGCTAATTTTTTGTATCTTTAGTAGAGGCGGGGTTTCATCATGTTGGCCAGGCTGGTCTCAAACTCCTGACCCTGTGATCCGCCCGCCTTGGCCTCCCAAAGTGCTGGGATGACAGGCTTGAGCCACCGCGCCTGGCTGTCTTCATTCTATGTTCTATTTTTTTCTTTAAAAAGATTGCAATAATTTTATTATACCTATGCAAGAGGTGTGTTTCCTTACAGCTTTGTGTGACCCCTAATTATTAAAAAATTATATTTTATTTACATAACTAGAGATCTTACTCTATTTCAAAGACATCCTGTGATAATTCTTACTGAAAAAAAAATCCTCTGCAGTGTGATTAACTTATTATCACTCTGAATTATCTGATTTTTAAATTATTGAAAGTATACTTCAGAGGTAGGCTTTGTAAAAAAAAAAAAAAAAAAGAAAATATAGTACATTGAGTATCAAGGCCAGAGCAGACTGCTCATAAAAGGCATTTAGGAACATGCTTAAATACTTTTTGTTTGTTTGTTTGTTTGAGACAGTCTCGCTCTGTCGCTCATGCTGGAGTGCAGTGGCATGATCTCAGCTTACTGCAGCCTCTGCCTCCTGGGTTCAAGTGATTCTCGTGCCTCAGCCTCCAGAGTAGCTGGGATTACAGGCGTGTGCCACCATACCTGGCTAATTTTTTGTATTTTTAGGAGAGATGTTTTCGCCATGTTGCTCAGGCTGGCTTCAAACTCCTGGCCTCAAGCCTTGGCCTTCCAAAGTGCTAGGATTACAGGCGTGAGCAACTGTGCCTTGCTCCAAACATGCTTAAATATTTTTCTTTCTTTTTTTTTTTCCTTTTCTTTTCTGGAGACAGAGTCTCGCTCTGTCACCCAGGCTGGAGTGCAGTGGCATGATCTTGGCTTACTGCAACCTCTGCCTCCCAGGTTCAAGTAATTTTTGTGCCTCAGCCTCCTAAGTTGCTGGGACAACAGGCGCGTGCCACCATGCCTGGCTAATATTTTGTATTTAATAGAGATGGGGTTTCATCATGTTGCTCAGGCTGGTCTCAAACTCCTGAGCTCAGGCAATCAGCCCACCTCAGCCTCCCAAAGTGCTGGGATTACAGGGGTAAGCCACAGTGTCAGCCTAAATATTTTTTATTCGACGTCTCAATGGCATGGATAAAAGAATCTCCACTGTTAAGACTTTGGATAATAACGAATGCTCTATTCCCTATCTTCAGCAACTAGAAAATCCCAAGGTAATAAGAAAGGATTTCTTCATTTTTACAGGTCTGAACTAAACCTTGAGTGAGTTGGTAACAGCCACTGCCACAATGGAGGGAGGGGTGAGTAATTAAACTAGGATCAGGGATAGAATTCAGTGGCCTTGATTTCCAGTTTCTCATGGTAAATAAACAGACATTCATCTTTTCCTTCTCTTAATCAAATCACATCTGAGGACTCGATGGGTCGGTTACTTTTGGGATCATTCTCACCACAGCATGGAGAGATTCAATTTCCACTTGCAGGTGGTGCCACTGGCGTCGGGCCTCCTTGAGTTCTGCTTGAGCTGCCTTCAAAGCCTCTTCATCTTTGTCCATTTTTTTGCTTATGTCTTCTTCTAGCTAACAAGAAAGCCAACAGCAACAATAACAAACAAAAAACAAGGAGTGCTTCTGAAAATGAGATGTGTAAAAGCAATTATAGAAAAATTGTATAGGAATCAAAGCATTTTTCCTTAACTCATTAGATTATAATGTGTGTCCTAGTGCCTAGTTAACTAATTAAATATGTAAGTCCATTGCGTTCTTAGCCCGTTTTCTCCTATGTTAAATGATTTCAAGAAATCCCTTCCAACTATGACAATCTGTGAAATATGGAAAAATACATTTACATGAATGAAAACAGTTTGCAGGACCAAGATTCGTGATCTCTGATTTTTAACTTTTCATTATTTATGGATCACTAGGAGGAAGGATTGAAAATTAGCTATTTCCCCCCACATTTTCTTGTAGGCTGCTTTGCAGAAGCAGATAAACAGCCGTACCCCCAAAACTGATCAATTCTGGGACCAGGTATAGGGATAGGGCGTAAATACTGCTAGGAAATACATTACTAGTAATTTAGAGAATTAAGTTGTTATAGGCAATAAGGCTCACAAATAGACTTCCATATTAAGAAAATCTGTTGATTGACCTTTTTCAAGATGATCTTTTTAAAAGGCATATTAATTTTGGGTATCTGGGTAATAAAATGAATAAATAATAAAAATGACTTCTCTAAGGATTGTTTTCTAAATATTCTCCTATTAAAAAAGTAGAATATTTTATATTTAGCTTTAAATGTTTTTATGTTGATGTTGAAATGAAAAGAAAGTATCTGTTGACAGAATTTTTAACATTTGGCCCCAGGAACAGTGAGAACAATGTATAGAATTGATTGTAGCATTTTGAAGCAAAATTTATAACTTTTAATTTTCTTATAAAAATATATTTTAACATTTAAAAATTTAATTTTATCATACATTAGATTTTTTTAAAAAAACGTTGAAGTAAATGAAAGTTTATGAATAAAGTTTAGGGCAAGGTATTGGAGAACAAAATTCGTACATTTCTTTTGGTTTGTTGAAAATCTGTTCTTAGTGTTAACTTGGCAAAGTCAGGCAGCAAGCAACACCTACCAGAGCAACTACAGAAGGTAAAGTAAGGAATTTTGGAGAGAAGAAAACAGAAAAATGCTGGTATCTGCTGGTCTTGTGGCTTTCAAATATGGAACTGGCAGCTAAGCTTGTTCGGTAACTACAGTCCCAAGATGGCCCCTAAAGAAGTCTATCTCCCAAGATGAGTCCTAGGGTGATCCCCTTCTACATTGACTCTGGGCTGACCTGGGTCTTGCTTTAACCAGTAGAATGAGGCAGAAGGAATGCTGTGCCACTTCTAGACCTAAGTCTTAGGAAGCCTGATAGCTTCCACTTCTATGCTTTTGGGAGCCTTGGGCCAATATGCAAGAAGTCTGGATACCCTGCTGGAGAGATCCTGTAGAAAGGCCAGATGGAGAGAGACCCTGAGGCTACGTGAAGTGAGAGAGAAAGTCCCAGCAGAGCCAGCCTTTCGGCAATGCCCTGCCAAAGTGCCAGACACATAAGTGAGCCCAGTCATGCCCCAAGACGATTGAGGTCCCAGATGAGTTTTGGGGTGTTATACAACAATCTGTAACTAAAATAGCTTATTTAGAAATTTAAAAAAATAACTAATCAGGCTGTCTTGAATTTATTTCAGCTGACTTTCTGAGTTATTTGGAAGAAAATCCTCTAAAGTAGTTTCAAATTAAAAGACACTTTAAACAAAACTCACCGTAGTCTTGCTTTTTCATTTGAATTTACTCATTTTGGCCCTGTGACTTGTAAACTAAACTCATATTTCTACTACTGCAAAGTTAAGTGTTTTGTTTATGATTTTTAGAAGTTGTCATCTATTGATTTTTTTCTTCTGTTTGTAAAGGTGAATGAACTATCCCAATGCTTACCTGTACCAGTGACTTTGCTTAATCTAAGATGTTGATCATTCTTTATGAAGGCTGAAAATGTTATCTAGAGGTGAAATTTACAATGGAACTAAAAATGAGTGGCTAATGGAATAAAGGCCTGACATTTTTCTACCAATTTTTTTTTTTAAAATTTTGGGTGATATTCTTAAGTAAACTTTTTGCTGTATTTCAGGGTTTGGAAGATAACTTGAACCCATATATGATAGGTAAACTAAAAAATCCCCTAAATTTCTTAATCTTTGTTTCTAAAATATTTGTTTGTAAATTTGTTTAAAGACTTGAGACCTTAATTACTTGCTGAAGGTGATTGTTACTTTAAAACTAAGTCTATGAAATTAGGATTTAGTCCTTATCTAAGTAGGCTCTCTTTCTCTTTTTTAAATACTTAAATATTACAAGCTTTGTAATGGAAAGAAATGTTTCTCATCTTATAGTACAGAAGCAAAAATCTTAGTGGAGAATCGTTACCAATTTGGGGAATTTCAATGGTCATAATTTATATCATTGTTTCTGAATGCCATGTTCACACACTCAGATGATTTCTATTTATAACAATCTGGTATAAAATGGAACTCGTTAAAAAGATGATAGAAACCTTTTAGAAATATCTCTAGAAAGTGTACATGCTAATAAATCTTACTTAAAGATTTTTCATTTTAAAGATGTTATTTAAATTATCTCTGTAAATAACTCCAATAATATCTTTGAAGGGTATTTGGAATGGTTCCTTCCTGAAGATTGTAAGAGGTTAGAGTGCACCATTTTATGGTATGTTGACCCCATGTTAATGATAGGAACCTCACAATTTATATAAAAATCAAATGCATCAATCAACACTTACTTAATGGCAATTTAACAATATAATCACAGTATTTCCCCCTGTAGTCCCAGTCACACTGCAGTAGAAGCTAAATTCCTTCCCCAATAGATGCTGCATCGAAAAGGAAATACTGTACCTCAGAGAGGCCGGGACAGGAATTGGGTAGACATGGACTGTCTCCTTATTCTGGAAGGTGCCTGTCTGTATGAAATCATTACCTGGATCCTTGTTGAGAGCACCGTCTCTATCTGATTTCTGGTGAGGATCTTTTCATAGTTTGCCCTGATCTCATTGAGTAGCTGGGACAGTTCCATTCTTTTCCCATCCTCCACCTTGGCTAACTGAACCTTATCGATAGGATGAGTCGCTGCGGCAGTCTGCTCGGTCTGCGCGGAAGGCAGGGAGCCTCGCAGAGTTTTAAAGATGCAGAGCTCCTTTTTCGGAGGCCACGGAAATTCTCATCTTTCTAACTAATTATGCAAATACAGGGTAAACTCTTTGCTCCTATTGTTATTGGTATAGTAGAAATGTCAGATTCTTCATGAAGGAAAGGAAAATTTCAAAAACCTGTACTGGTTCCCTGTAAAAATTGAGCACTTTGAGGGGAGGGGGAGTTCATTTTTGTGAAAAGGAAATGGGGCATAACATAAGAAAATTGCCGGGCATGGTGGCTCATGCCTGTAATCCCAGCACTTTAGGAGGTTGAGGTGGGTGGATCACCTGAGGTCGGGAGTTCGAGATCAGCCTGGCCAACATGATGAAACCCTGTCTTTACTAAAAATACAAAAATTAGCTGGGCGTGGTGGTGGGTGCCTGTAATCCCAGCTACTCGGGAGGCTGAGGCAGGAGAATTGCTTGAACCCAGGAGGTGGAGGTTGCAGTGAGCCGAGATTGAGCCACTGCACTCCAGCCTGGGTGACAGAGTGAGACTCCATCTCCAAAAAAAAAAAAAAAAAAAAAAAAGAAAATTATATTTAGTTTTCTCAAAATGTTGCAGATAAGTGCTGGTAGACTATGAGAGTTGTGAGTTAACATTTCCAAAGTTTTAACAAGGATGAAGAAATAGACCTTTTGGTGTATTCACCAAAAGAACCCTTGAGTCCTTTGGAGGGTGTAGTCAGTGTACCATTCCATCCAATCGTTGCAATCACTTGAGCCCTTCGGAGGGTGTATTTGGCGTATCATTCCATCCAATCCTTGCAATCCCTGACATTTTCTAACCTGTAAAGATGAAAAGACTGAGGCCAGAGAGGTTGAGGCATCTTGCCCAAGGTTGCTCAGTGATGTATGACATCACTGGGACTGGCTCTTTGACAACTTGCTTGTGTTCCATGTATTACCCCTGCATATCTGCCTCTGCGTTCTCTCTCTCCCCTTCTAAATTCCTGGTTTAATCTTGCCAGCTGGTTGCTAGATGTGACAGAAATATGTCGTGAGAGTGGATCTATCATTATTGTTATTTGTGGAGTGGCTTTGGCTGAATTGTATCTGGAGCACAGTTCAGGAGATAATCAGACCTGGGTTCTAGCCCTTACAGGGCCTTTGCATGCATGTCCTGCTCTTTTAATTTCTGAATTAACTCACATCTGGCCAGGCCAGTCTATGCTGGGCATTCTCACAGCCCTCTCCAAACAAAGCTGTCCTACCCACAGCTCCTGGTGAGAGGAGAGGTTCCAGGTTATTTCTGACCCACCCCTCCCTACCTCCTGCACCTTCCCCATCAGTCACAACTTGATTATCTATAGATTGGTCAGAGACCTTTGGAGTAGGCTGAGACAGAAAGCTCTGACTAAAGAGAGTCATTAATGATTATCTAGGCCAAACTGATTCTCTTTCTTGGTAACTGGGACTGAGAAATATGAAGAGAATTAGGCTTGGGAGTGGAGGAGAGAGAAGAAAGCAATGAATTAAATTCCTAAATTAAATTCAGGGAGCAATGAATTAAATGCTTCCTGCTACTTTAGGTAGCTCCTGCTAATATCCGCCTGAAACACAGAGAGCTGAACTAGATTCCCTGGAGGGTCAGTCCTGGCAATCTGCATTTTAAATAGGTCTGCCAGCATTTCTTATGCACCCTAAATAAAGCAGCACTGTCCAGTGGAAATATAACACAAACCACAAATGCAAACCACAGATGTCCTTCCAAACTTTCTAGTAGCCATATCAAAAGATTGAAACAAAAAGAAGTGAAATTAATTTTACGACTATATTTTATTTAACTTGATATATCCAAAATGCAGCAACCCATATAAAATGTTAATGAGATCTTTTACATTATTCTTGATACTGTCTTTGAAATCCAAGTGTATTTTATACTTACATCGCATCTCAGCTTGGAACAGCCACATTTAAAGTGCTCAATAGCTGGGCACAGTGGCTCACCCCTGTAATCCCAGCACTTTGGGAGGCTGAGGCGGGAGGATGGCTTGAGCTCAGGAGTTCAAGACAAGCCTGGGCAACATAGAGAGACCCAGACTCTACAAAAAAAAAAAATTAAAAAATTAGCCAGGAGTAGTGGTGCAAGCCTGTAGTCCCACCTACTTGGGAGGCTGAGGTGGGAGGATCACTTGAGCCTGGGAAGATTGAGGCTGCAGTAAGCCAGATCACACCACTGCACTCCAGCCTGGGCAACAGAATGGGACCCTGTGTCAATAATTTGAGACATAATAATAAATATTTATTTATTGAGACAGACAGAGGGGATAGGATTTAGAAAGGTATTTTACAGGCATGTGAGTAATGCAGTAAACTATTTCTAGATCTCAAATTTTATTTTTCAAGGAAAAAATATTATTACTTTCCTTTACAAAAATACTACCCTTTATTTAAATAAAACAGTAACAATACCTCATTAAAGGCTATGGCATATATAAAATTGTGGGGTCCCTACAATTCTTGGTGCATGGACTGAGATTATGATGGAGATTGTCATAAATCCATTATAGTTATTAGAAAAGTAAATAATTTAAAAATGTTGACTTTATTAAAAGGAGAAAGCTTGTTATAACACATCTCACAAATGCCAAAATACTGTGTTTGGGGACCCTGGCTCCAGGGACATTCGTGTGTCTGTGTGTCTGCACACTGAAATCACTTCTGGAACTTTAAAAAATGGTGATGACTGTGTCCTCCTCCCAGAAAATCTGATTTAATTGGCTCAGGACGGGGCCTGGGCATCAGAATTTTTGAAAACTTCCCAGGAGTCTAATATGTAGCAAAGTTTGAGAGCCATTCTGATAAATGTAAGTTTTCTTCCACTCATTTATCCCTCTCTCTTCAGCCAGAGGAAACGAGTTGTTGGTACAATCATCTGAAGTTAAGATTCCTGCAGTTAAATATTGGCAAGTAGTTCATGCTGCAGCTATCACAACTCTGGGTGCATAGGCTCAGGCAGACCTTATTGCTTTATTTTTCTTTTTTCATGTTAATCTTTATTTTGAGTTCCTATTCTATGGAGGATGTGTGTTAAATCTCATCATCTCAGTCTCTCGCCTTTTCTCCAAAGCATTGCATCTAAGTTTTAGGGGAGCTTATATAGTTGTGACCTGGGGCGGGGAGCATATTGTCCTTAGTGTCATCTGTCCAAGCTGTGTTCACTGAGACAGTCATTATTCTTCCCATCTGTCCCATTATCGTTGGTTGGAGACATATAACTAAAAACAAAAATCTTCCCTCAACCCAGAAATCCTCTCCACAAAGGTAGTACGGAAAGAAAATACTTCTATTACTGAATAAGCACTAAACTAGAATGTGATGTGCATCACAGGTAATCTTCTAGGAAATTGCAAGATGGAAGGAAATCTCACCTGTTACATAGCCAAGCAGCAGATACAACCTATTACATACTTTTTGTTTTTTTTTTTGAGATGGAGTCTAGCTCTGTCGCCCAGGCTGGAGTGCAATGGCGCGATCTCAGCTCACTGCAACCTCTGGCTCCCAGGCTCAACCAAGTCTCCTGCCTCAGCCTCCCGAGTAGCTGGGATTACAGGCGCACACCACAATGCTCAGCTAATTTTTGTATTTTAGTAGAGACAGAGTTTCACCATGTTGGCCAGGCTGTCCTGACCTCAGGCAATCCACCCACCTTGGCCTCCCAACGTACTGGCATTACAGGCATGAACCACCGTGCCCGACCTACATACATATTTTCAAGATAAACAATAGTTAAGTTAGAGTAAGAGGACTTGACAGTACCATAGTTACACATCGTTCATCTTAACTTCACCTGGTAATTTGGGGTGATCATCTGTGTCAGCTACTTGGCTTTCTCCAGAGGAAAAACAAAACTTTTTATATCTTTATGACAGGTGGTAGTTTTGCAACTTTGAGTAAGGTACCCACAGAAGTTAGGCTCCTACCCTCCCACAGAAACTGGGATATAGGGGTGTCATCTCTTTTGATGTTTACATTTCAAAGAGATGGCTCCCAGGTACTTGAGAAATACATCCCTGGATCATAAAGCTAATGAAAGGCCTATCTAGGCTTCAAAAGGATTTACATAAATTTCAAAGAGAGGAAACAGTACATATAAGTTTTCAAAAGTTATAATTACAAATAAATGCTCCCTGATTTTAAATTATATTTGGAAGCTATAGCAATCAAAACAGCATGGTACTGGCATAAAAACAGAAACATAGACCAGTTAAACAGAGTATAGAGCCCAGAAATAAATCTAAACCTAATTTAATTAACTACATTTTGGCAAGGGCCTCAAGAGGACCCAATGGGGAAAAAATAGTCTCTTCAATAAATGGTACTGGGAAAACTGGATTTCCACATGCAAAAAAATGAAATTGGACCCTTATCTTACACCATATTAGAAAATCCACTCAAAATGGATAAAAGATCTAAATGTAAGACCTGAAGCCATTAAACTCCTAGAGGATAAGAGAGGGTAAAAGCTCCTTGACATTGGCCTTGGTAATGATGTTTTGGATATTACACCAAAAGCCCAGGCTACAAAAGCAAAAATAAATAAGTGGGACTACATCAAAATAAAAAGCTTCTGTACAGCAGAGGAAGCAATTAACACAATGAAAAGGCAATGTACAGGCTGGGAATAGATATTTGCAAACTGCATATCTAGTAAGGGGTTAATATCCAAAATTTATAAAGAACTCTTACAACTGAATAGCAGAAAAACAAATAAACCAGTTAAAAAATGAGCAAAGGATCTAAACAGATATTTCTCCAAAGAAGACATAAAAATGGGCAACAGATCCATGAAGAGGTGTTTAACATCACTAACCATCAGGGAAATGCAAATCAAAATTGCTATGAGATATCACCTTACACCTGTTAGGATTGGTGTTATCAAAAAGATGAGAGTGACAAATGTTGGCAAAGGTGTGGAGCAAAGAAACAGTACACTGTTGGTGGGAATGGAGATTGGTGCAGCCATTAGCAAAAAGTGCATGGAGGTTTCTAAAGAAGTCAAAAACAGAACTTCCAGGCCAGGTGCGCTGGCTCATGCCTGTAATCCCAGCACTTTGGGAGGCCGAGGCAGGTGGATCATTTGAGATCAGGAGTTCGAGACCAGCCGGGCCAAAGTGGTGAAACCCCGTCTCTACTAAAAATACAAAAATTAGCCGGGCGTGGTGGTGGGCACCTGTAGTCCCAGCTACTTGGGAGGCTGAGGCAGGAGAATCACTTGAACTCTGGAGGCCAGGGTTGCAGTGAGCCAAGATCACGCCACTGCACTCCAGCCTGGGCAACAGAGTGAGACTCCATCTCAAAAAAAAAAAAAAAAAAAAAAGAAAAGAAAAAGAACTTCCCTATGACCCAGCAATTCCCCTTCTGGGTATCCACCCAAAGGAGATGCAAACACCACCTTGTAAAGATATCTGCACTTTTATGTTCATTGTAGCATTATTCGCAATAGCCAAGATATGGAAACTACCTAAGTGTCAATGAATGAATGGATAAATAAACTGGTGAGTGTGTGTGTGTGTGTGTGTGTGTGTGTGTATATATATATATATATGCACAATAGACTATTATTCTACCCTAAAAAAGGAGATCTTGACATTTGTCACAACATAAATGGACCTGGAGGACACTATGTTAAGTGAAGTAAGAAAGACACAGAAAGATAAATATTACATGCACTCATTTATATGTGGAATCTAAGAAAAAAAAGTCAAATATGCAGAGAATAAAACAGTGGTTACCAGGAGTGGGGGTGGGATGGGTTAGGAAATGGGGAGATGGAAGTCAATGTATACAAAGGAGGAGATATGTAGGATGAACAAGTCTAGAGATCTAACCTATTAACCAGGACTAGAGCTAATAAAATTGTATGCTAACTGGGTTTTTTTTTTTTTAATGTAAGTAGACTTTAGCTGCTCTCATCACACACAATAAGGTAACTGTGAGATGATAGATATGTTAATTTGCTTCACCAGGGTAACCATTTTACTATGTATATGTATCCCATAACATTGTGTTGTAAACCTTAAATATACACAATACAATTTATTTTTTATAAAAGATGAAGTAAATGCTCAAAGAAAATTTAGGAAGAGAGAAAAATCTCTTCCCTTGTTTCCAACAGTGAGAATCAAGCCTCTTATTTTAAATTTGCTTCATCCTAGCAGTGTCCAGCTGCTCTCTCCCATATTTCTTTCCATGCTTAAGGGCGTAAGAGTCATTCTGATGCTTCTGTGTGCCTGTGGCATGGAAATATCAGGTGGACTGTGGCTCCATCTGCCCGGACACACTGTGCAGCCATAACCTATTTGGCTCTTGTCCCTTTCCTGAGGTTACAATCCAGGAAGTAAGGCACAGTTCTCCTAAATAGTTCCCCCAACTTACCTCCCGTTTTGCTGCTTTGTAGGGGCTCTGACTCAGAAGCAGGACCTGGGGCTCCCCTCTCAGGGACCCCGCTTTGCCCTTCCTCAGCAATCCTTTTTTTCTTCCCTCTCCTTTCAGTCCAAGGTAAGTTCTATTCTTGAGGGTGGGACGGAAAATCCTGCTTTTACTACTGGAACCTAAGCTCCAAGACCTGTCTGCTCACTGCTGGATCACCACTTTCTAGCTCTGTGCCTAGCACAGAGAAGGCAGGCAATAAACAAGCGCCAAATGAATAACGTTTCTTTAGGACATTTTGTGTGGGCCCTGAGTCCTCTTCATTCTAAGACTAGACTGAAGGAACACATTGCTTTTGTTTCATCCTCCCCTGAGACAATGAGCACAGATTAATTTATTTGCCTGAAGAAGGTAAAGGAAATGAATTACCAGAAGGATGGTAAGTGGCTCAAAAACACTATAGTCCCCAAATTTGTAGTGTTTACAAACACAAGCAAATCAGACAGGCACCCATCATTCATCTTGGTGAATTTTTATGGAGTGATTTCCTGGGAGTTTGGAATTAAACTCTGGGAGAAATAACATCTTTTCTAACCTGTTTGTCCTTAACAAATGTGGCACACTCAAGAATTTGAGTTTTGCTTTGAAGAGGAAAAAATATTAAAAAGGAAAATAATGGATTATTTTTATGTAATGCATTTGGGCACATACATTTCACCCTGTAAATCAATCTTGTACACAAGGATGTCAAACTCAAGCCATTTAATGTTTTTCCTGTCCTGCACATAAATGTTGTGATCTGTTTTTATTCTAAAAAGTATAAAAGATAGAATGATGGCAATGTAAGTTTATATTAAGTGTTTTTTTCCTTCCAGGAAGTTGTAAATATGAATCTGTTTTCTTCAGCTAGACAGAACACTCCAATTGATCTTTTATAATCCCAAAGAGCTTGGGTATTATTTTATTTATGAAGCATAATTTCTTTAGCAGCTTAGGATTTTGTGACTCCCTCTTCTTAATCAAGCATGCATTTTCATAGGATTATAAAGGCATAATTAGTCAGCAAATAAAGGCTTTTTTTTAAAACTTAAAAAATTGCTATAAATGACAGGGCTTTACTGGCTTATATCCTTTTTGTTATATTATTGATTTTTCTACTCATAGGAGCAGGCCTCTACGTGATATCATTTAATCTTTTGTTTTATATATAAGTTAAGACTATAATTAGACGATAAAGAGTTTTGTGTGGGAATATGTTTGTCAGCATTTTTTAGCATGTTTTCAGAGTATGTGAGAGATGCTTACATGCCTTTCTATACACACTGAACATGCATTTCACATGAACTGATTAAGCAGAGTACATTATACATGCAATCTTAGTCCTGGCAGATGCTCACTTCATTCTTTGCTGCTGTAACTCAAGGGCAAAAAGCAGGGCAGTTTTGCCAATCAAGGACTTTGCCATTGGGTCCTATTTTCTCTGGCATCTTCCAGATACTTCCAGGTGCTTCTCCTTCTTACCTTGTTTTTTGAGGCCCAATACACACAGATGGTCAAAATGAGCTTTACTAGATAGAGGGTGAGCTCATTTTAGAACACCCAGTTTATACAATTTTGGTGTATTACAATTCATGATTTTTTTCTAGCTTAGCAGACTATAGGCATCTTCCAAAACTATTCAGAATTTTCTCCATTCCTTTTTTATCTGGAGTGCGTTAAGTCCCAATCTTTGAAGTCATAGTTGTAGGTTGAAACTGTGCTCCCATCTACTCACTTGAGCTACAATATTTACGTCTCCTTTCAAATCTCTAGAAGGGAGGTCTTTGTTGGGTTCTAAGTACATTGTCTTCACCAATTTGACAGGTGTTCCCTTAGCTCTTCCTGTCTTTGAAATATTGATTTTTCTAAACCTGCTTTCTATAACTTACGACATTGGCCCTGCTGTCTTCTATTCTGTGTCCTGATACTCTAGTCTTAGTCATTTCTCTGCATCTTAGTTTATTCTAGACAATTTATTTCCTTGCACTTGCATTTATCCTTTCTTGCTTTTTTTTTTCTTTTTTTTTTTTTTTTCCGTAGATGGAGTCTTGCTCTGTCGCCCAGGCTGGATGGAGTGCAGTGGTGTGATCTTGGTTCACTGCAACCTCTGTCTCCTGGGTTCAAGTGATTCTCCTGCCTCAGCCTCCCGAGTAGTTGGGACTACAGGTGCCCGCCACCATGCCCAGGTAATTTTTGTATTTTTAGTAGAGATGGGGTTTTGCCATGTTGGCCAGGCTGGTCTCAAACTCCTGACCTCAGGTGATCTGCCACCTTGGTCTCCTAAAGTGCTGGGATTACAGGCGTGAGCCACTGCGCCTGGCCTCTTGAATTTTCCCTCTGTTGTCTTTTCTCTTTTTGAAAATTTTTATTTTGTTTAAAAAAATTTCTACTTAGGTCATTCTCACAGGCTTTCTGCCCTGCATATCAATTTTTAGCACCCTGACAGTATTCCCTGGACCCTCACCCCTTAACATTGCCCAAATCTTCCCAGGAATGCAGCTGTGAGCTTTCTTCTCCTCAGCCCAGACTGTACAGCATTCTGGACTTTATGATGTTCCATAGCCATTATTCAGTGGTTTATAAACACATGTTTTTAGTCATTCAAAAGCCTTTTTCATTTTTAGCTAAACTTTTGAGGTAACTGTGGATTCAGTTACTGTAAGAAACAGTACAGAGCAATCCCACATATCCTTTACTGAATTTCCCCGATGGCAACAGCTTGTAAAACTAGAGGACCATATCACAACCAGGGTATTCACACCAATGCAGTCAAGATACAGAACATTTCCATTGCAACAATGAGCTCAAGGAAGGGCTTTCTCTCAACGTTGGCTCTGGCTCACGGTCCCTCGCACCATGAAGGACACAGAAGGAACCAGACCCTGACCCTGCCGCACTGCTCCAATTCAGGGTAGAATTGCGAAGTGCCACAAGTAAGGCATCTCTGAAGAGGAAGTAATTGCCTTTTTTTTTTTTTTCCTGAGGGGATCAGAGAAGGCAAATAAAGGCAAACATAAATTAAAAATAAGAGACTTAATTCTTCCTGTTAAAAATAAGGGAAAAGACACCCCTGTACTCCCCTTTCTTCGAGCATTTACTTTAGAAAACTTGTAAATTCTTTCGCTGTCTCTTTGAAATGTGAGTAAATCTTTTAAAAAGTAAAATAAATCTTTTGCCAACTTTACAACCAAGGAATGCCTTTCTCAAGACTGGGAATCAAGCCTTTTGAGCGTGACCATCCAAGGAAATAAACACCCCTGTGTCCCAGGTTCTGTGGGAGGGCAGGACCTAATTTCGGCAGGCACCTTGCTCCAAAGCTACCTCCTATTATAAAGATGTGAGAAGTTTACTTTCCCTGTATATAAAGCCTATTAACTAACATAGATGGTCACCCAAATTATGGGTAAAGTTAGGATAAACCGTGTGTGACATATGGTGCTGTGAAGTCCTCTTATGTGAAGAGTAGCTGTTGTTCATCCTGAGAACATCCACGTAATGGGCTGTGTCTGCTTGGCTATATAAAGGAAGAGCTATCTTTCTGTCTTTGCAGTCTCTTAGTGGATTGCTTGTGACGGGCATCACATTCTGTTTTAACGCTTATTCAATAGTAAAATGATTTTCTTTCTCGTTTACCTTGGTGGAGAGGATTTCTAGGTTAGGAGATTTTTTTACTATTTTTTATTTTTTTTGAGACGGAGTCTCACTCTGTCTCCCAGGCTGGAGTGCAGTGGTGCGATCTTGGCTCACTGCAACCTCCGCCTCTTGGGTTCAAGCGATTCTCCTGCCTCAGCCTCCTGAGTAGCTGGGACTACAGGGGCCCACCATCACACCCGACTAATTTTCTTTTCTTTTCTTTTCTTTTTTTTTTTGAGACGGAGTCTCGCTCTGTCGCCCAGGCTGGAGTGCAGTGGCGCAATCTCGGCTCACTGCAAGCTCTGCCTCCCAGGTTCACGCCATTCTCCCGCCTCAGCCTCCCGAGTAGCTGGGACTACAGGCGCCCGCCACCACGCCTAATTTTTGTATTTTTAGTAGAGACGGGGTTTCACCATGTTGGCCAGACTGGATATTTTGTTTTTAATTGTATTTCCATAGCAGATTTCATGGAGGAGGTAGCGTCTGACCTTGGCTATGAAGGATGCTGCATACATATGTTATAGGCAATTTATTTTAAGATATGTAACATTTCTCATTTGTAGTTTAACCCACACATGGGACCCTGTTTTAGACAGGTGGCAGGGGGTCTGCCTGGAAATTAATTTTAAAAAATCCAAGTGAAATTCACGCAACGTAAAATTAACCATTAAAAAATGTACAGTTCATTGGCATTTAGTACACTCACCATGTTGTGTAACTAACACCTCTGTGTAGCTTCAAGCTATTTTCATCACCCCCAAAGAAAACCCAACCCATGAAGCAATCATTTCCTATCCTCCCATTCCCCCAGCCCCTTCAAACCACCAATTTGCTCTCTGTGGATAGCAGCACTATTCATCATAGCCAAAAGGGGGAAGCAACCCAAGTTTCCATCAATGGGTAAATGGACAAGCAAATATGTGCTACGTACATACAATGCAATGTTATTAAGCCATAATAGGGAGTAAAGTACTGATGCATCCTAAAAGGTGGACAAACCTTGAAAACATTACACTAAATGCAAGCCGGACCCCAAAGGTCACGTCTTATATACTTCTACTTATATGAAATATCCAGAATAGGTAAAAAAAAAATTGTTTTTTGGAGGGTACATTTTAGCACATTTGGGAAGACATTTATATGGTAGACTTTGAACCCTTATGGGGGATGGTGTGGAGTGTTTTCTGGGAAACAGAATTAGTAAAGTGGAAGAGGCAGGAAATAGAAAACTTAAGGGGTGGCCGATGACAGAGGAAGCAAGAGTTTACAGAAATCCCTCCTCCTGGCTTTCAACGCCCACCCTACCTGAGCAAGCTTGTGTCTCAGTGTGAAGTTTCTCTGACAACAGGGACTGGTCCCTGTCCAGTCTTGGATATATGCCCTGCACAACTCTTGTAATAGTAACAGTCTAGTCCTCAGAATCAAACATTTAGTTTAACTTTACGTGTTTGAAATGCCTTGAATGCAGGACCCCGCTTTAGTTTTCCATTTTCACCCACTCTGGTAGCCTCCCTAGAAAGACTGCGTGGACAGCTTGAGGACACCTGTGCAGATCATGATCAAAGGGACCACGTAGTTCTAGTTTTTAAATAAAGTTCACGTATCTTTTTGTATTATTTTTGCTAATTATTTGCCTTTACCCAACGGCTTGAATGATTGAACTCTATTTTCAGGCTTAAATATTCCCTCTGCACTGCTGCAACTGGCCGGATAAATGTGCCTACTCCAGCAGCAAGCTCTCCACATCCCGTCCCCCTTTCTGTCTCCTCCTTACTTCATGCCCCCACTGCCTCCTTAGTTTTCAGCTGCCAGTGCAAAGCACCCCAGCTTTCTCTAGGCTGTGCTCTGCTCCCTGACAGCTGCTGTTCTCTCCCCATCCCTCTCTTCTTCCCTTGCTTTCAACTTCCCAGCCAGTCTGAGTATTTGAGCACCTTCCAGCTGCTTCACTGTTGTGTCATGCCGGGGGCCATGTTGCACAGCCGCGGCACACATGTATATCCACGGGGACTCCTTTCTGAGCCTACTGGGTGCATAGAAACTGGTGTTCCAGAAGTGTACAGTTGAGTTTTTGACAAAGAGAAATTTTACAAACAAAATTGTGGCTGTACAAATTTTTTTTTAAAATTATATTTTCCCATTGGCTTCACAGAAGAGATAGCACCTGACCTTGGCTATTAAATGCACAGTATTTAAAATATATGGATTAACAAAATTTTATTTGCTCACACCTTTAAGTGGGGTTAAATATACTTGGTAATTGTTTTCTTCTTAACCAGATTGTCCTTAAGGGCAAAGAGTGCGTGTCTTACATTTCTTTAAAATTTGCCCCATTTCCGTCGTCCCACCAGCCCCTTAGACTTAGTGCTTAATGTTTTTAAACAAACAAATGAATATTAAAGTAGGCAATCTTTTATTGACTTTGTATCTTGTCTTGAAAAGGAGTTGATTACTGTTAAAATTCTCTTAAAAATATGTTTTGAGTTCTGGGAATATACATTGCAAGGTTCAAGTTTGTTTTGACTTTCTAATTGTATAATTAGAGAGGAGTAGCTCACTCAGGAATTACTGTTGTGAATGATAAGCTTTTCCTCTTGGATGTGAGGTTGTGTTCAGATTAAAGACACTAATATGGTATACCAGCAATTACACAGTTTAAGGCAACTAAGTTACATCTATAGACCATATCATTTTACATGAATATAATACTTCTATTTCCATAAATAATTCCGAATGCTTGGAGAAAACACTAGTTTTTATTCCCCAAAATCATTGTCTTTGAAACCTCCTTAAATAGCCATAAGACTAGCAACTCATGCCTTGAAAAAGGTAGTCACTGATATCAACACTGTTTGAGAATTGGAAAAACATTTCCAGGACAAGCACAGTGGCTCACACCTGTAAACCCAGAACTCTGGGAGGCTGAGGTGGGAGGATTGCTTGAGGCCAGGAGTTCGAGACCAGCCTAGGCTACACGGCAAGACCTCGTCTCTCCAAAAAAAAAAAAAAAAAAAAAAAAATTAGCCAGGCATGGTGGCACATGCCTATAGTCCTAGCTCCCAGGAGTTTGAGGTTACAGTGAGCTATGGTCTCACCACTGCACTCTAGCCTGGGTGACAGAGCAGGACCCAATTTTGAAAGAAAGAAAGAAAGAATTAATTTCCAGTTCTCTTTGATAAATTCTCAGTGTTAACGACTAAGACAGAATCCATCCTTTTTTCAACTGTATGGTTCTATATGATACCTTTGATAGTTAAGCTATATTAGTTTATTACCATACATTTGGATAGTTAGCAATCAATAAGTTTTGTGCTATCTGTGAAAAATAATCTGGTAGTAAGATAAAAGTGTGCATAACTTATTTTCTGCTTCAGTACTTAACATAGTTACTATTTTCTTGAAGACTGTAGTTTTGTAATACTATGCTCTTTGGTGAGACAAAGCGTTCTGAAATTTGTGAACACTTCTTATTTCCTGGTAATTATTTTTTTTGGCCCCCCCAGTTTGACTTTTCTTTCTTTTTGGCTTCTTATATCACTGTCCCACGTTAAAAAATTTAACAGATTTTAAGATGTCTTTTGGCTTAAATTGCAAACAATTACATTTGAAAATTAATGAACTTCGCGAAATTTAGTCCAGCCTATATGAAAAAGAAAACTGTTGTCAGGGTGAGAATAGATGATTCGTGATTTCAGATTCTGCCACACCTTTACAAATATTTTTCACACTGTTGCCTTCAGAAAAATTCATTATGCTAATCCATCAAGCTTCAGTTCCTTCTTAATTGTTTTTTTCAAACGTCTCTTCTCACTGGTGGCTTGGCGCCATCTCTCACTGCTGACTTCAGAAATGAAATGTGATGATATGCTGACATACCAGTGTCACAAGCTTTGTTACCTTTGAAAATCATTATCTTTGAAACTTCTGCAAGTAGCCACAAAACGAGTGACTCATACCTTTTTTATTTTTTTCCAACTTTTATTTTAGAATCAGGGGAGTCCATGTGCAGGTTTATTACCAGGGTATATTGTGTGATGCTGAGGGTTGGGGTACAAGTAATCCCATCACCCAGGTACTGAGCATAGTACTCAACAGTTAGTTTTTCAACCCTGTTCCCCTCCCTCCTGTGCCTCATACCTCAAAAGAGATGGTCATTGAAGTCAGTACTGTTTCAGAATTAGGAAAACATTTTCAGTTGTCTTTGAGAAATCCTAAGTGTCAATCTTAGAGCTTGAGGAAACAAACAAACAACAACCAGAATTCACCACTTTTTCAACTGTGTGCTTTTTCTTTGATACCTCTGATAATTTAGCTATGTTACCTTATTACTGTACTTGCATGTTGTAAATGATCAATACATGGTTTTTAAATTGAGTAGGGTATCTACAAGACACACTTAACTGCATAATTTGTGTCTAAATATGTCATGTATGTATTTTTTTTGTGTGACTCACTTATAGAAAGGACTTCCCTGTTGTGGTTCTTCGGTTGAGATAATTAACACCTCAAAATATCATATATAGTTCTGAATTTCTAGAGTTTTATTAGTTGTAAAGTGATTTTAGAAATGCACTCTGATTCTAAATGTTTGTCATGTGGATAGAAATTTTGCTATGAATAATACATTTTCATTAAAATAAAGACGTGTTTTTCATGCTATATATATATATATATTTTTTTTTTTTTAGTGTAATTGCCCATTTGTTCTTTTTTTTGTTTGTTTGTTTTTTTGATATGGAGTCTCACTCTGCCACCCAGTCTGGAGGGGAGTGGTGTGATCTCAGCTCACTGTAACCTCTGCCTCTCAGGTTCAAGTGATTCTCCTGCCTCAGCGTCCCAAGTAGCTGAGATTACAGGCATGCCCCACCATGCTGGGCTAATTTTTGTATTTTCAGTAGAGATAGGGTTTTGCCATGTTGGCCAGGCTGGTCTCAAACTCCTGACTTCAAGTAATCCACCCACCTCGGCCTCCCAAAGTGCTGGGATTACAGGCGTGAACCACCACACCTGGCCTGATTTTTTTTTATTGTATATTTCTAGTTAGGTGTTCCTTTGTTATATCAAACTCAGTATACCTATAGCTTGCCATATCATCTTTTCTTCTAATTCTGCTCTTCCTGCCAACTTTCCAACTTTTATTCCACCTTGAAATTTTAGAAATTTTGCTTAAACTGTCTTAGCTCTTTAAGGTCTAATAAGCCAAATCTTGTCTCCCAGATTTTTCACTTCTCCTGGGATTATTTCAGTCCAGAAAAATTTCAATTTATTGTTAAATTGCTAAAGTAACCTTCTGACTTCATCTCTAGTTTCCATCCCTACCACTCCAATTCATCTGGCATACAGATGCATATTAATTTTCTTAGGCAACCCTTGCATATTTTCTTTTGCAACCCCTGATAGATTACTACAAAGCCTAAGATTTCAAGAGTTCCCTGTGATCCTTAAGATGAGTCTGTACTCCTCAAAGAAGCTCTTAAGAGTCTCCAGGAGATCTCCAGGAGATCTCACTACATTGCCCAGGTTGGTCTCAAACTCCTGACCTCAAGTGAGCCTCCTGCCTCGGCCTCCCAAAGTGTTGGCATTACAGGCATGAGCCACTGTGCCCAGCCCCAGCTGCTTCCTGTTCATGTTAATACTTGGTATAGTCTTTTTAATTTCCACTTGCTGGTGGGTGTAAAATGCTATAATATTGGAGCTTTAATTCACAGCTTCATGAGTTTTTTACTGGCCTCTTTGGCCCATATTGAATTATTATCTGTGAGTTCCCAGGCACTTATCATCTGTGCTACTTACTACTTTTAGTTCTATGTGACATTCTGATGCCATTGAATTATTTCAAGAGTATCTCCCACATCTCCAGATGGGCTGTACCTTCTAGAAGGGAATATTTGTCTCTTATTGTTTACTGTCTGGAGTCTGGAGTGCTTAGCCAAGCACTGGACCCAAATTGATTGCTTCAGACCAGAGCTAAAAACTGCAAGGTTAGACCTTCTGAATTAGAAGTGTACTCATTTTTGTTAAGTCCACAAAGATTAAAAAATTCCAAAATGTAGATGGGTGCATTCACATGACATTACTGAAGATGAGCAAAAACATTCCCTAAATATCCTGCTGGCTTTTATTTTTCCTAGTGTAAAAAGATGAGTATTGTTGAAATACATTCCCTTGTCTTCATGGCTTTTGCAAAGTTTCACTCTATACATTGCTTCAGTTATCCAATATACGTGACCAAGGTTAAATGGTTCTTGGTGCTTTATTTGTCTTAGTTTTTGTGGCTAGCTTGTGTGGTGCTCCTTAAACTGGTCTTTGGTGAACACCTCTTATTTGTGATAAAACAACAATGCCATCAATCAGTTCTTTAACAATTGTGTTGTGCCAAAACATTTCGTTGGTTCTGCGAAAAGAAAGTGTTAGGTCAATTACATATTGATGGAAATAAAGTAAATTGATAAAGCATTTCTCTTTAATCAAAAGTAAGACAGCTTTCGTATTGGGTACTTATTAACTTTTCTACCTACTTTCAACAGTGAGAAAGATAAGCATATAAATCTCATTGATTTTAATCTTTGCTTTTCTAAAGCTTCACAAATTTGGAGTGACTTTGATAAAATTCAGTCAGAATTGTAGTTAATACTTTATGTTAGCTACATGTTTGCATATATTTTTCCTTCTAGACTGTAAATTCTCCGAGAGAGGGACCACATCTTTGTATCTCCAACACTTAACACAGGTGTTTATTAAAGGCATAACATGATCTACAACCACATCAGTAGCACAGACGAATCGCGCACACGGCGTGTTGAGGGAAAGAAGCCAGACACGAAAAAGAACATACTGCTTGATTCAGGGTTTGAATCCTAACTCTTCCCAAGTTACTGTATAACTTGGGAAAATTATAGTGTCCTTATCTGTAAACTGGGGATAATAATAGTACTCACTTCATAAAGTGTTGAGAGGATGAAAAATGGGAATGAGATTATCACTTGGAATTTTGGAACCTCAAAAGGTTTGATCCTGGCTTACTCTGTCCCAGATGAGCTTTGTGATCATGGGTGAGCTATTTAACCTCGCTGAACTTCAGTTTCCTCATCTATGCAATGGGGATCATGCCCCATCTACAGAATTGCTGTGGGAATTATGTTTACATAGTGGGTGCTCCAAAAATGGTAGTTGTCTTTGTTATCATTGTTATAATACAGCAAGTCCTATGTAGAGAGGCATTGCAATGATATAGGCAAGAAAGTGGCATATGGTGAAATCATAGTGAAATTAGCTCAACAAACGATGAAGGGTTTGAATTCTTCTAGGAATGCCAGTGAATTCTCAGTCATAGAGAAGGAAGTGACATCAAGAACAATAGCAAACAGATTCACAATCCCTTTCTCTTTCTTTCTTTCTTTCTTTCTTTCTTTCTTTCTTTCTTTCTTTCTTTCTTTCTTTCTTTCTTTCAATGGAGTCTCACTCTGTCACTCAGGCTGGAGTGCAGTGGTGTGATCTCGGCTCACTGCAACCTCCTCCTCCAGAGTTCAAGTGATTCTCCTGCCTCAGCCTCCCGAGTAGCTGGGATTACAGGCATGCACCACCATGCCCAGCTAATTTTTGTATTTTTAATAGAGACGAGGTTTCACTATGTTGGCTAGGCTGGTCTCGAACTCCTGACCTCAGGTGATCCACCTGCCTTGGCCTCCCAAAGTGCTGGGATTACAGGCATGAGCCACCACGCTTGGCCCACAATCCATTTCATACAATTAAGTTCAAGTAAAAACTGAAAGGAAAAATAAAGAAAACTCTATAGTAAAGGCTGTAACTTTTCCCACTGCAAGCCACAAGAACAAAGGCATCATTTTACATCATGGCCCAGTACACCTGTAATCCCAGCTTCTTGGGAGGCTGAGGCATGAGAATGGCTTGAACCTCGGAGGCAGAGGTTGCAGTAAGCAGAGATTGCACCACTGCACTCCAGCCTGGGTGACAGAGTGAGACCTTGTCTCAAAAATAAATACATACATACATACATACATACACACATACATAAGTAAATGGATCGCAGCCTGCAGCTTGAAAAACACTGCCTTAAACTAACCTACAAGTTGAAACCTTCTTGTTTAATTAACTTTTTGTCTTCAATTATGCATCTTTCTTCAGTCTATCTCCTTTCCTTCTTCACCTCCTTTGACCTTTCAAAGAAAATATGGATTAAAATGCATTTCCACCTTTTGATTTTGAGGTGAACGATGTTGAAGGAAAGCCATTTAAATGTGATATAGCAATAGCTTCTAAGATATTTATTACTGTTTATTTAGGTGTAAGTTGAAAGAAAAAAAATTACAATGCTATTTTGACAAATGTCTCAGTAAAAGTATTCCACAACCAGAGTCTTGATTTTATGACTCTAACTGGGTAATACAAACATTGGATTCATATAAAAACAACACTTTTAGACTTTGGAGTACGCTGTTCCTCTGAAGAAAATGAAATAGAATAATAGAAAACTTGTATTTAGAACTTATCCTTGATTTTATTTCCTCTTTTTGATCCAGTTTCAAACTTATGACTGAAAAGAAAAATAGGATAGTCTTATACTCTGGTTTTGATTGTTGTAGGTATCATAAAAATTGTAATATCTGAGATTTTTTTTTTTAAAAAGCTCTATGTTGAAGTCTTTGAATTTTAGCTTTTTCTATGTTTTATTCGTTCTGTTTTTGAATTACACCACCCTAAATGACTATTTATCATCTAATATGTTGGATATAATACACTTGTTTCCACAGACGGTCTGGCAGAACAACAGTTCTGCCTAAATTTCAATTCAGGTGGGCAAACATTTGTGGTGCACCTTGTAGCCGGTGGTAATGCATGGACTAGGGGCTGGGTTCATAAATCGAGGCCGTGGTCATTGCTTTCCTAGAGCTGGAATGGGGCATTGAAAATTGTCCTTACTGGTGGCTCACACCTGTAATCCCAGCACTTTGGGAGGCCGAGGCGGGTGGATCACTTGAGGTCAGGAGTTCGAGACCAGCCTGGCCAACATGGCGGAACCCTGCCTCTACTAAAAATACAAAAAATTAGCTGTGTGTGGTAGTGCGCACCTTTGGTCCCAGTTACTTGGGAAGCTGAGGCACAAGAATCACTTGAACCGGGAGGTGGAGGTTGCAGTGAGCGGAGATCGCACCACTGCACTCCAGCCTGGGTGACAGAGTGAGACTCTGTCTCAAAAAATTAAAAAAAAATTATCCTTACTGAATGAACCCTGTGGAGGTTGTTCAGCCCTGGTTGTATGTCCTTGTTGCGGTTAGCTAAAAATGTAAATAGGAGTCATTGAGACCTATACGTGCCCCAGTCCTAACTACTCTCCTTCTTTACCATACCCACAGCTTCTTGCAGACCAGCTCAGCCCTGTGAGCAGGCAGTGGTTGGTCCCAGCTTCATTCACCAGGCACGCCTTGACCTTCAGCAGCTGCATTTAGCCTGGCTCTGGTCCTTGGTCTTGCAATGCCCTTGAAGGAGCTGGGTCTCCAGGCACTAACCTCTACCTGAGGCTGGCGCTTGGCCTTTGATTCCATCAGCTTGGCTTTGAGGGCTGTTTTCTGAGAGTGGAGCGAAGATTGCCTAAGAGAAGAGATGAAATAAAGAGTCATTTGGGTAGATTAGCATCAGAAAGTTTTCCTATTCTCTCTGCAGGAAGGGAATATACACTGGATGGATGTTACTGTCTCATCTTCTAACCTCTTCTCTTTCAAGTAAAACAGAGATAATCTTCTATGCAGATGCTGTGTTTTAAGAGGGCGAGGTTTTGATTTAACTGGAAGGAAAGTATCTCAGGATGCCTGTCTTCTGTACCTAGTGCATCCCTATGGTGTAGGAAAATCCTGCTTTCTTAAGGTAGAGCAGTGATTTTCAGGTGATTTTGTGCCTCCCTTCCACT
Organism: Homo sapiens; assembly: GCF_000001405.40. Taxonomy (NCBI): domain Eukaryota; kingdom Metazoa; phylum Chordata; class Mammalia; order Primates; family Hominidae; genus Homo; species Homo sapiens. The sequence goes on from NC_000017.11 coordinate 40,685,187, forward strand.
CTCATTTGGCAATATTTGGAGACATTTTTGGCTGACATAATAAGGGGTAGGGGGTGTACTATTGGTACCTACTAGGTAGAGGCCATAAACTTCCATAAACCCACAGGACAGCTCCCCAAGAATTATCCAACCAAAAATGTCTAGAGTGCCAAGGTTGAGACACTCTGCCTTAAAACCTGACATTTGGATGTTAGGCATTTCAAAAGTTTCAGGAAACTGCTTGAATTAGGGTGAATCTGATCTAATTTTAATTCCCTGTAACATTAATTCTGCCACTTTGATTTTTTTTTTAATTCAAACAGTTTCTATTTGCAGAGTCATAGATTTTAGAGCTAGACGATAAGTACCTTAGTAATCACCAACTCCCTTGCTTTGCAGAAAAAAATGAGGCTTAGAGATAGATACTTTTAGAGGAATGACTTATCTAAGGTTACATGGTGAGCTTTGAGACAACCTAAGACTGAGACTCAGGCCTACCAAGTCAATGAAAAATACAGCAACTTCCTTATGTATTATTAGTTTGATCAAAGTTTCCCTATGGCTAAAGTGTAATTCCCAGAAGATAAAGATGCTGCTGCCATCCTTGTTCCTATTTTGCTTCTCCTGAAACATTGGACACTTAATAAATTCTTATCATGAATGCTCCTAAGTGAAAAATTGATTTTAAAAGTGACACATAGCTATTCAAGTTTGTTTATTTATTTATTTATTCTTTGAGACAGAGTCTTGTCCTGTTGCCCAGGCTGCGATGCATTGGCGCGATCTCAGTTCACTGCAACCTCCACCTCCTGGGT